>NC_000008.11:133214222-133839222 GCF_000001405.40 Homo sapiens
AATTTTTGGATAATATATTAATATTCTAAGATAGCTGATGATTTAGCTCCTCAATAACCACCTGATATAACCCCTACCTTCCAAATGACATTGCCATAATTTTTGATTATACAATCATCAGTACTTATAATATTATGACCAGGTAAATATTGTTCACTGCAGTATGAGATCAGGAACTGGCTTTAATTCACTTCCTTATGATGCTTTTGTTTTTCCTGGACTTTCTAATGGCCTTTGCTTTTTCTTTATTCTTGGTGTATTCTGATATCCTCCTGTTTGGAGGTGGTTGTTGTTGTTGTTGTTGTTGTTAGTTGTTGTTTTCTTTGGTCTTCAAGTGCTCCATCACGGGTATTCTATCCTTTTTTGTTCCAAGACACCTCCTTTATGAAACTTTCTGACCCCCTGCTTCTGTCCGGACTTGTATTCCCTTGAATTGTGTAAGCATTACCCAAAATATATGACTCATCAGATTAAGAGAGCTACCTAGGTATTATGATGCAGCAGCCTAACTTCTGAAAACTTCCACAAAGTCTCATAAACCCAAAAACTCCCTTCTTCCCTTAGTGCTGAATCAAGCCTTCCCCTTAACTATGACTCCATATACACCCCGTCACATAGTCACACACAACGTAGTCTCTCATCCTCAGCTAACCATTATATTTTTTGAGGTGGATTGTCCATGAGGGTTATGTACATCATTTGCAGTCAGACAATTTTATTTTATCTGAACCACATGGTTAATTTATGACAGTTTCTTCTCTTTTATCATTGGTTCATGCTTCAACTTTCACACGAATCCTTGTGTCTTTGGCTTTCTGTGAATAACCATCCCACTTCTCCCATCTTTCTAATTTTTCTTCTTTTACTGAAACTCATTAGCAGCCACATAAATGGTATGTTCAAAGAGAACTTGCAGCATCCGCTGCACAGAATCATCTGATATGTTGATTATAAATGTTATTCTTGAGCCCCACCCCAGACTTGTTGAATCAGAGTCTCTGGAAGTGGGAATGAGGATCTAGTCCTTTAACAAGACTCCCAGGTGATTCTCATGCATGCTAAAGTTCAAGAATTGCTGCTAATATACTCAGTCATCTGTTCCCTCCCCATAACCCAGGTAGGGAAACCTGGCCTGGACTTCTTACACTAGAACCACCTCCAGTTATATGAGCTTGTCTCATAATTTATTCTTCCAGTAAAAACTGTTCTTCAAGGTCATTAAAAAGATACTTCTTTTCACTACCATTGCATTAATCTCTAAAGCTGTATTGAGATCTTGTCATCTGCCAGGCACCACTCATTTATAGATGTTCTGTCATGGATCCAAAGATTGTGTGAACCCAGAAACTGCCTGTCCTGCCTGCCTTCCCCACCGGTGGCCTGGAAAACCCCCTTCCCTGTCCTCCTCACCCCCTATCTCTGCATCTTAGGTCCTGCCTTGACCCAGTACAGCCACTTAACTTCCCAACACCATGGGCTTCTGTGTACTTCCTTTCCTTTTATTTGAAAAAAACAAAAACTGTAGGCTAAAGGAGATTGTAATAGATTTTACGCCTACCAGTGGTTCCCTGGTCATGAAGTTTTACAAGCATTGAGATAAATAAAGCTAACCAGGAGCTATAGAAATTCTCAGAGGCTTCAAATTTTCATGTCCATTGCCAAATTCCAAAAGAGAGGTATCATAAGCTTCATAATAAATTTTTTAGATGTATTTAATACTAAATTTTTTCAGTCAGATAGTTCCTTACCCACCCATTACACTACACACACACACACACACACACAAACACACAGTTATACATATACACATCACACACATATGTGCCCACACATGCACAAACACAACTCACTAGTGCTCTATTGAACATGTTCCCGGAAGTGCTACCATAGTGTCTGAATTCATGAGACCCTAATGCAGGAAAGAAGAGAGTGTGGGGTCTGCAAAAGAATACACCTCTGGGCCAGAGGGTAAACAGAACAAACGGTTCCTCTAAGAAACAATCTTTCCACAAATGGTCAGCTAAGCAAATGGACAGTTCCTAGGACAGGCTAAATCTGTCCTTAAAGATTTGCATGTAATTAGACCAGAACAAGGCAGGTAATAAAAATGAGCCATTGCAACCCTGGCTTATATAACTCAAACAGAGTATGATGGGGACAATGGCAATCTGGTGTGTGCAAGCCCTGGCTTTCAGAGATGACCCTACTGGGCCCAGCCACTCTGGCCAAGCAGAAAAAAGCTAGGTCTTGTTCAGCATGCTTAGTTTTCAAGAGAATCCAGGTACATAGATTTGTGTATGATTTGTAAACATTGGCAATACATTCAAAAATATTTTTAAAACCACTCTGTGGGCCAAACTAAATACATCTGTGGGCAGAGGGTGACCTCTGAGTTACATCATTTGGCTATTTCAGTTGCACAAACACTACTCTACGTTTAAATGAAGCTGGGTCAGGCCTGAGGTCAGTGTGGTTTGGTGGAAGGATTATGATATTTACAAGCTGACAGACTTGAGTTTTAGATCCTGGCTCTGCCACTTGCTAGCTACGTGACCATGTGCACATCACTTAAGGAGTGTCATAAAACCAACCTCACATGCTTGTTGCAAAATAAATAAGGAAATGTCAAAAAATAAAAATAAAAGTAATTGGCTGCTCTTGGCTTGCCTTGCAAGGAAAGTTACCTCAGTCTTATTCACGGCCACCTTTAGAGGAGGGAGCAGGTCTAGCTCCTGGCCTAGATCCCCCATACTGAAGAGTGAGGGAGTAGTAAATTCATGCATGCTCTTTGGACCTAGACAACCCAGCTGGAATCCCAGCATCATCACTCACTATTACTATGACTTTAGGCGAACTACTTAGCCTTTTAAGTCTCAGTTTCTTCTTCAAGGAAAATGTGACAAAGAAAGTTTATATCTCTGGGTGGTTAGAATGTCAAGTGCCTGCTACATGGCAGGAGCTGAATAAAGAGTACAGCTCACCCCAGTTCCCATCCATCCATCCCTCCATTGATTCTTCACACAATAAACATAAGTGAGGCAGCAAAAACAAACAGAGCTACAACAAGGCATGGCCCACTGTCCCTGCTGACAGCGTGAGCTGACAGTCCATGGGAGGTGTGAAGGGAGGGAAGGCCCCGATGGCAGAGCAAGTTGACTTGAATTCCTGAAAGTGCTTCAGTAAGAGGAAAGCTAACTCGATCACACCTGCACTTGCAGATCTGAGATTAGATAGGAGGTAGTGAAGGAAACCCAACTGTCTTCACCATCTCGCCTTTGATTAGTTAGAAACTTAATGAGTCAGCTGAAGGGACCATCTGCAGCCGTCATGCATCCCACTAGCCTGTGGTGGGCAGGCTGGTCAGAGCCAGTAGCAGCATCTCACTTCCCCACCCAAAGCCCCAAGGAGAGAGACTGGCGCGCCTTCTAGTTGCACTGGTTTTCAACCTTAGCTGCAAACAGGATTCACCTGGGGAACTTTTAAAATACGGAGATCAACAAAAGAAGAATACTGACACCCAGGTTCACCCCCATATTCTGAGGCCTGGCATGAGCATCACAATTTTTAAAAGCTCCCCAGGTTCCCCTGGGGTTCCCCTGTGCAGCTGGTAGGGAAAGCCACTGTGCTGGGGACTCCGGGCATCTAGCACTGACCTCTCCCTCCAAAGTCTCCACATGCAGGGACAGAGTTCCGGGCTTAGCCCACTCCCTTCTCCACACACACACACACACACACACACTCTTCCTGGAGAGACAGCGTGCAGGCAGAGGCAGGGTGACTCAGAATGCAAAGATGAGTGATTCACCCAGCGCTTCCTCTGCTTTTTTTGCCTTCCTCTGTCCCCTCCTTCACTGGTGTCTGGTGGCAGGAAATGGGCTGTGGAGTCAGGTCTCCTGGGTTTGAGTCCCAGCTGTATCATTCAACAGTTTCGTGACCTTGAACAAACGAATCATTTAACCTCTCTGAGAGCTTTCCTGTCCATCAAAGGAGAAAAATAAAACTCTTCATGAAGTCATTGGGAGAACTGAATGAGATAATGTATCAGATGATACCTGGCACTAGATCAGAGGGTCAGTTGATGTTAGCATCTTTCCTTTCTGCACCTCCTGCACGGATAACCGCACCCCAAAAAAAACAATAGCCGCAGCAAGGTTCACACAAACCGGGATTCTGCTTCCCGCTGTGGTCACCTTGGACGCTATGTGTCTTCACCTTGCTGAGACTTTGTTTTGCTATATATAAAGACAAAGATGATAATGTGATAGTGTTTCTGTACAGAATAAAATAAGTAATGCAATGCACAATACAGAGGAGACCCAGTATCCAATAACAGAGACAGTACTTCGAAAACCTTCATGCCTGCTAGACATTAGGATTACTGCTATTATTAACAGCCACCTTCGGGCAAACCCTGAAGGACAGAACTGTTGGCCCACTGCAGATTCCAAACTGCTTCTCCTTGGGTGGCCACTCATGATGTCCGGGGCTCTTTACCTGCATTTCCAGAAGCTGTCCTCCAGAGAGAGCATGGTATCAAGGGTGATATCTGGTCCAGAAGTCCCCAACTCTCCCTGACTCCAAACTGGCTTAACTAACTCCACATGGCCACTTGGTTGTCAACCAGCCATCTCACGCATAATGGAGAACACTTGAGTCCACCCAACCCAAACCCTGCTTGTCCAAAGAGGACAGAGCATCTTCCTCCTTCTCGACTCCTCTCCTTTCCCCCGCACAGCCCCTCTGTCAGTAAGTCCTGGCAGCTCTCCTTCCAAATCTGTCTGGAAGCCGAGCTCTTCTCTTTCTGGCTTCAGACCGCTCTCTCCCACCTGGGTCTCAGGGTGGTCCCCCATGCTACCTTTGCCCTCTGACTCAGCACCGTGAGTGTTCTCATGTCCTCAACTCAGCACCATGAGTGTTCTTGCAAAGCATACTTTTCATCATTCATTCAGCAGTTGCTTACTGAGCACCTACTATGTGCTAGGCTCTAACAGCTTTGCACTTCCTCTGAGCCTACAAGGAAGCCTTCTCGGACCTCCTCTCCTTCCCTTTTCCTTCTTGTCTCCCCTCCTCAGACCTCTCCCACAGCCCAGGCTTGCTCCCACCTGTGGTCTTTTTACTTAAGTGGGCCCCTCCCTACCTGGAAAGCTCCTCCCCCAACCCCTGGGCGGGCTTCCTTCCTCACCTCCTTCAGGCTTTGCTGAGCGTCATCACCCAGTGAGGCCTTCCCCATCCACCTGATTTAACCCTATTCCCAGTTGCGCTGAGAATACTCACCAGCAGCACTAGAGGCTGCAGCATTTACCCCAAAATAATTTTGCCACAAAATATCTCACTTTTGTTACTCTATTCACATCATTCTAGAATACCAACTTTGAAAAACAAAAGATATCATTCTATTTACAGCATTGTGTTTTTTTAGGAGTGGTATTTCCATTTACAAAATATAGTAATTCTCGATCACTGAAAATGTCAAATCCTAGAAAACCCAGCATTCCTATGCATAATTGTTCTTCAACAGTTGGCTGGGATTCACTTGATGAATCTGATTTTTCTGAAATAGATTATTCTGATGATTCAGACAATTCTGATGTTAGTTCTGTTTAGAAAGAACTCCAAGAAACAGTTTTTATATTTTATTTTTACATGGAAAATCAGTCAGATTTGCTTTAACCTCAAAAAGTGTGTTTATGTAAAATTAAATGAGCTCTGGCAGCTAGCTGAACATTTTTTTCTAAACAGGGAAAGGGTTATTAATAAATTTGCAACTGTCTCCCCCCGCCCAACTCCCCCTCCCTGCTCCACTTTTCTCCCAGACACTTGTAACTGCCAACATTCCATATGACCTTTCCACAGCATAAGCTCTTTGAGGGCATGTCTTTTGTCTGTTTTGTCCACTATTGAGTCCCCAGCACATAGAAGGCTCCATGAATGTGTATGGAATGAATGGAACACGTGTTTCGAAGTGTTCTGGCTTTTTTTTTACAAGTCGGTCACCTTCAGAACCATGAGCCCTAATGGCAGGTCTTTGTCAGTACCAGGCTTTGTGCCTGGTGCTGGGGACCCTGCAGGGAGCAAACCAGCCAAGTCCCTCGGGAGGCTGCGTCCTTCCACTCCCTGGGTGCTGGCTGAAGCTATAAAGGAACTCCTGCACTCCCTTTGCTGAAGTTCCACCAAACACTCAGCCCTGCCCTGTGCACTCTCACACCTCCCTGCCTTTGCCTTTGTGCCTCTGTTCCTCCTCCATGCTGGGAGCCATCCCCGGGATTGGGGCATGGTCCACATGGAGCCCCTATAAAGGCAGCTGGGCCAGCCAGGGGCACCAAGGCCACTGGGCCTGACCGGCCACCTGTGTTTGCAGAGGTGGTCGGTGTGGGCTGCGTCCTGGATGGGGTGCGCTACAACAACGGCCAGTCCTTCCAGCCTAACTGCAAGTACAACTGCACGTGCATCGACGGCGCGGTGGGCTGCACACCACTGTGCCTCCGAGTGCGCCCCCCGCGTCTCTGGTGCCCCCACCCGCGGCGCGTGAGCATACCTGGCCACTGCTGTGAGCAGTGGGTATGTGAGGACGACGCCAAGAGGCCACGCAAGACCGCACCCCGTGACACAGGAGCCTTCGGTGGGTGTGGGCCCGAGTGGGCTGGGGGTGGGACCCTACAAATGGGTTGTGGACCCTCCTGGAACTCTGACCACCATAGAATGACTCATTCCCCAGTCCACTACCTACTAGCTTTGTGACCTTGAGAAAGTCATACCTCCCCTGAGACCCTATTTCCCCATCTGTAAAACAGAAATAATCCCATCTGTCTAGTCTGTCCTGTGGGATCCTCCCAGCATAAAATGAGGAGTGCTTTGTAAAGAACAAAGCCCTAAAAGTGCAATCCATTATTATCCTACTAAAGAGTTAGGGATGGGTGGTGGAAGAAGGGTAGGTATGTGGGTACCTGAGGAGAGGAGGTATGAGCAAGAGGAGATGGGTCTAGTAGAAGCTTCATGATGATTTGGGGCTTCCCCCTTGCTATGAAGATGGGTGGGCAGGTGAGATTTCAGCCAGGTAAACCAGATAAGAGGAAGCCCTGGAAAAGAAGAGTGGGGACAGGCCCAATTGTTTCACTGCTGCTTACTGGAATCTAGCCCAGTGCCATACACTTAGCAGGTATCCAATTAATGTTTGTCATACTGATGGGTGGGCAGATGGATGGATGAAGAATAGATAGATGGGCGGGTGGATGGATGGATGGATGGATTGGTGAAGAGATGGATGGATAAATAGATGAATGTATAAATAGATGAGTGGATGGATAGATGACGGATGAATAGGTGGATGATGGATGGATGGAAGGATGATGAATGAATGGGTGGATTAATAGATGGATGGATAAATGGATGTATGAATAGATGGGTGGATTGATGAGTGGATAGATGAATTGATGGATAGGTGTATAAATAGATAGATGGGTGAGTAGATGGGTGGATAGATGAATAGACAGATGAATGTATGAATGGATGGATGGATGGATATATGTATAAATAACTAGATGAGTGGACAGGTGGATGGATGAATGGATGGATGGATGAATTGATAAATGGACAGATGGATGAATAGATAGATGGATTTATAAAAAATTGGATGATTGGATGGATAGATGATGGACAAATAGGTGAATGATGGATGGGTCAATTAATGGATGGATGGAGGATGGATGGATGGATGGATGGATAGATGTATAAATAAGTAGACGAGGGGACAGATGGATGGATGAATGGATGGATGGATGGATGAATGGATGAACTGAATGGATGGGTGGATGAATAGGTAGATAGATGTATAAATAAATGGATGATTGGATGGATAGATGACGGACAAATAGGTGAATGATGGATGGATCAATTAATGGATGGATGGATGGAGGATGGATGGATGGATGAATGGGTGGGTAGGTGGATAGATGGATGGGCTAATGAGGATCTGAACTAGGGCAGTGGGAGTAGAGGCAGTGAAGAAGGAACAGACACAAGAGGCATTGCTTGAGTAAGACTGAAGGTCTTAATGTCAATCTAATGCATGGGGTGAAGAAGAAAGAGGGACAGAGGCTGACTCCCAGGGCTTGTCATTGCCTAGGATCAAATACAAGAGAAGGAGCACATTTGGGCCAAGGGAGATCTACTCTGTTTGAAACAGACTGAGTTTAAGGCAGAGTGCCCTGCCCACGGGATCTTAAGAGAAGCTTCCAGTTTCTCTTTATGGGGAGGAAGGAGACGAAATAGGAGAGCTCTGAAGTCATCTGCTTGGAGCTGCTGGTGGTGATGGCTGGGATGGCCTGAGGGTAACATCCACAGTGAGACAGAGGGGGCCTGAGGCAGAGGTCTGGGAATGCTGACATGTGAAGGGTGAGCAGAATAAGAGGAGGCATGGGGAAACAGAGAGGAGGGTTGGGATGTATGAAGAAAACCAGGAGCATCTGATGCCATGGCAGGCAGCAGATGAGGACATTTCTAGAGGAAAGTGCTTACGAGGCAAGCAGTAGAGAGCAGTAGAAAAATGGCAATAGAGTGGGAGTTCTAAGAGTATTGGTAGTTTTTTTAAAAAAAATTATATATGCTAAAGATTGCTCAGGGACGGTGTGGGGCAGGTTTCTCAAGCTCGGCACTGTCAACATCTTGGATGAAGGAATTCTTTGTGGTGGGGTTGTCATGTGCACTGGAGGATGTTTAGTAGCAATCTAATGCATGACTACTAAATCCCAGCAATCTAATCCCTGGCCTCTACCCACTAGATGCCAGAAGCGCCCGCTCCCTCAGAGATGTGACAACCAAAATCATCTCCAGACCTTTCCAAATACACCCTAGGAGACAAAATTGCTCGGTGGAGAAGCAGTCCTGTGAGGATAGGAGGAGGCGTGGAGGAAAGCTTTGTCCCCAGCAGCCCCAGGGCAGCAAGGCAGCTCTCCCACCACCACCTCCCCAGGAGGGCCACACGAGGGTCACGGGGGGAGCAGGGAGGCAGAAGCTGTCTGCCATTGTGTCTGGCCCAGTGACCCTGTTCTGACCGAGCACAAGCGGAGCCCCTGCCTAGCCGAGGTGACCCAAAAACCAAAGCCTCTTTATCCTCCTGGGCAATTCCCTCCCCACCACCTCCCAAGATGCTTGCAGCTCCAGCTCCTGTCAGCCCTGCCCCTCCTGTCCTTGGATGCCTCCCATTTCAGGTCTTTCCCTCTCTCACTCAGTGATTCCTGCATTCATTCATCAATGTTCCCAGCACACCTATAAGCTTAGAGGAACTGACTTACCTTTCCTCTTTATCCTTCTAATCCTAGTTAGATTTCTCTTCTTTTCTGTGTTTATCTTTTTGCCTCTCTTTCCCTCCCTTCATTCTTTTTATTACTTTTATTACCTTCCTCCTGTTTCTTTCTCTCTCTCACACACACACACGCTTTTTCTCTCTCCTCCTCTCCTTCTTTCTCTCTCTTTTCTCTGAGCTTCCATCTGTCTTTCCATCCCTTCCCTGTCTGCCTGTTCCCTCCTCTCCTCATGCACATGTGTGTTTGGATGGGACAGGCCTCCTCTCCACTGCATCTTGTTCCATCTTTCTGTGGGCAGTTCTGTCTTAACAGCTTTTAACCTGCTTTGGTCTCGAGCTCACCACCATTTTCCGTTTTTCAGATAGTTAGAGAGCACTTACTATCTTCTAGATGCGGGAGATACATGCATCAATAGGAACATCCAAGAGTGGGTAGTTGAGTTGGCTGACAGTCAAATGACCACACAGACTCACATTAACTAAGGGCTTTAGCTTACTAAAGGCCAGGGACAGCCTGGGTGCTTTCATAGGCGTGAAGTCATCTTTTCTATCATGGCACTAGAAAGAGATGCTATAGCCAACCCCATGTGCAGGTGGGGATCCTGAGGCAAGGAGGTGTGAGCTAGCTTATTGGAAGTTACATAGCCAGCAAGTAGCAGTGCTGCCAGTTGAACCCTGGTGATTTGAATTTGAAGCCCGTAAGTCCTTTTTTTTTTTTTTTTTTTTTTTTTTTTTGAGACAGAATCCTGCTTTTTAGACCAGGCTGGAGTGCACGGGCACGATCTTGGCTCACTGCAACCTCTACCTCCCAGATCAAGCAATTCTTGTGACTAAACCTCCTGAGTAGCTGGGATTACAGCACATGCCACCATGCCCGGTTAATTTGTGTATTTTTTAGTAGAGATGGGGTTTCAACATGTTAGCTAGGCTAGTCTCAAACTCCTGACCTCAAGTGATCCACCTGCTTTGGCCTCCCAAAGAAGCCTGTGTGCCCTCTTACCCACTATGCCCTCGGCATCACTGCGACAAAATGTTAGGTGCTGGCATGTAGCTACTTGCCTTTGAACTTCCCCCAAATAAACTTTCTCTCTGCAGAGGCAGGAGAATGTCTTTTAAAACTCTTATTCCTGGTCAGGCGTGGTGGCTTATGCCTGTAATCCCAACACTTTGGAAGGCTGAGGCGGGTGGATCACCTGAGGTCAGGAGTTTGAGACCAGCCTGACCAACATGGTGAAACCTCATCTCTACTAAAAATACAAAATTAGCCGGGCATGGTGGCCCATGCCTGTAATCTCAGCTACTTGGGAGGCTGAGGCAGGAGAATAACTTAAAACCCAGGAGGCGGAGGTTGCAGTGAGCTGAGATTGTGCCATTGCACTCCAGCCTAGGCAACAAGAGTGAAACTCTGTCTCAAAAAAAAAAAAAAAAGTCCCATTCCCAGCACCTAGCAAGATGATTGATGCATACTCAGTAAAAATCTAGGCCTTATTATTGTGTTGCCAGCCGCACAGGCAGGTGTTATTGTTCTAATAGGGAGACAGGCCCAGGGTGGGTTATCTAAGATCACACAGCTTGTAGGTGGTAGAGCAGAATTTGAACTGGGATCCACCTGTCTCTAAAGATGGGTTTCCTCCCATGCTTCCACACTGCCTCTCTTGATCAGAAACATACAAGGAGCTGAGAACATGTCCTCCACTCCCTGGGTACCTTTGCTGGTTAGAAGCCAACTTGCTGTCCTGTGGGGAGGTACAGCCAATTTCTGTGTTCCTCTGAGTTCTGGGGACCGCAGACCTTAGTGTGGTGAAAGTGAGGGTTGGGGGCTGGTGGGAGCTGTAGATTCATGCAGATTCTGTTCCCCACACACAGATGCTGTGGGTGAGGTGGAGGCATGGCACAGGAACTGCATAGCCTACACAAGCCCCTGGAGCCCTTGCTCCACCAGCTGCGGCCTGGGGGTCTCCACTCGGATCTCCAATGTTAACGCCCAGTGCTGGCCTGAGCAAGAGAGCCGCCTCTGCAACTTGCGGCCATGCGATGTGGACATCCATACACTCATTAAGGTGGGTCCAGAGCAGGTGTGGATGTCTAGACTTCACAAGCAGACAAATATGGGTTTGAGCCTGGCTCCTGAACTTCCTCGTGGGGAGCATTTGTAAAGTGGGAATAGTTAAGCTCACCTGGTAGGTCTGGTGTAACAGCTATTTCGGATAATGCAGGTCACCAGATTGGTGCATTGTGAATTTCAGTCAATGGAAGCTTTGGTAGGTATCATATTATTAGAATCAGGATCACTCCAGAGAAACCTCAGAGACCCTCAGGAGTGGTCTTCTATAATGATTCTGAGGGATCCTTACCAATTTCCATCCTCCCTTCACTCCTGTGCCAGCCCACCCCCACACAGCAGCCACACTGGGTGATATAGAGAGCACTAAATGAGGCTCAGGACCCCTAGAGTCAAATGTCTGCTTGCATTAATTGCATGTGACTGTGGCCAATCTCTGCTCATCACTGAGCCCCCATTCCCTCATCATTAACATATTGGAGTTGATCTCTGAAATCCCTTTCAGCTTTAAGAGTCCAAGATAATTAAAATAAAGCATCAAAGAAAATTGGGCCACATTAGTTTGAGCCCCAGTCTCAGAGTTAAAAGTGGATCTGATTTATCTAATTCAAGTCCTCCTCACTCATGCCTTAGGAGTGGTCAGCCTTTTGTCACAGGAAAAACAAAGCAAAACAAAAAATTCAACAGTTATTCCATTTTTGGAATGCTGATGGTTTCTTAGGGATGTTGAGGACAGGGTTGCCTCCCATGTAGAAAAGACAGCACAGCTTCCTGTGATCCTCTTCAGACATCCAACATCACTCCTCATCCCCTAGACACCTTCTCCAGTCATCTATATATTGATCAACTGGATCCATTTTTCTTCTTCCTTCTCCTTCTTCTCTTCTTTCTTCTTCCTCTCTGATTATTTTTCCCTGTAATACTAGCTTTTGTATTTTCTGCGCTTGGTATACAGTAAGCATTCCATAGACATCTCTTAACTGAAAACGTACATGGAAAAGGTACCAGCTGCAGAGGAATGACAGCAAAGGTCGTTAGCTGAGTGAGATGGCTCTACCATTACTGGACCACGTAATGCAAGTCCAAGCCAATTTTGATTTCCAACCAATTTTTTTCCAGAATTATGTGCCCTCAGAGGGTTTCCCAAATTGGGCAAGCTTCATGCCGCCATACAGCCTAGATCTAGCATACTATTTACACAGTAGACCCTGAGAACCCTCAATCCAATGGGTTTAGTAAGTGCCTACTCTGTACTAGGCATGGAATTATACCACAGAAACACAGAAAGAACAGTAAATCTCAAGTGGCCCATAGCCCAGTGGAAGGTAGCGTTACCTTTAATGTCAACCATTTGAATACGTTGAATACTAAAGGTATGTGTGAAAGGCCACGAGAGGCAAAGGCAGGAGGGGCGGTTAGGGCAAAGCGTGTCCCCTGAGTGTGGAGTCCCGATGCCAGTTCTGCCACTAGCTAGCCAGGGGAACTTGCTTGGATGAAGGAGCTACATAGGCTCCCCATGTTGGTGAAACCATGATGAATGACTGGCCATAGGCAAGACAAAAATGCAGGACAAAAGAGAAACTGCAGGCTGTGAGATACAACCCAAACAAAACATTTTTCTCTGTGGTCCTCCATTTACCCCTGTGCGGTATGCTGGATCTCACTGTGTTTGCTGTTGTCCCTCCTTGCTTGAGGATGCTGTGAAGCTGAAAGTAAGGTGGAATGCTCCCACATAGTGAGAAGGGAAAAACTGGGGGCTCAGGGGAAGAAGGTGGTTGTCCATTCTCTGAGCACTCCCACTGAAAGCTCCTTTCCTTTCCTTCAGGCAGGGAAGAAGTGTCTGGCTGTGTACCAGCCAGAGGCATCCATGAACTTCACACTTGCGGGCTGCATCAGCACACGCTCCTATCAACCCAAGTACTGTGGAGTTTGCATGGACAATAGGTGCTGCATCCCCTACAAGTCTAAGACTATCGACGTGTCCTTCCAGTGTCCTGATGGGCTTGGCTTCTCCCGCCAGGTCCTATGGATTAATGCCTGCTTCTGTAACCTGAGCTGTAGGAATCCCAATGACATCTTTGCTGACTTGGAATCCTACCCTGACTTCTCAGAAATTGCCAACTAGGCAGGCACAAATCTTGGGTCTTGGGGACTAACCCAATGCCTGTGAAGCAGTCAGCCCTTATGGCCAATAACTTTTCACCAATGAGCCTTAGTTACCCTGATCTGGACCCTTGGCCTCCATTTCTGTCTCTAACCATTCAAATGACGCCTGATGGTGCTGCTCAGGCCCATGCTATGAGTTTTCTCCTTGATATCATTCAGCATCTACTCTAAAGAAAAATGCCTGTCTCTAGCTGTTCTGGACTACACCCAAGCCTGATCCAGCCTTTCCAAGTCACTAGAAGTCCTGCTGGATCTTGCCTAAATCCCAAGAAATGGAATCAGGTAGACTTTTAATATCACTAATTTCTTCTTTAGATGCCAAACCACAAGACTCTTTGGGTCCATTCAGATGAATAGATGGAATTTGGAACAATAGAATAATCTATTATTTGGAGCCTGCCAAGAGGTACTGTAATGGGTAATTCTGACGTCAGCGCACCAAAACTATCCTGATTCCAAATATGTATGCACCTCAAGGTCATCAAACATTTGCCAAGTGAGTTGAATAGTTGCTTAATTTTGATTTTTAATGGAAAGTTGTATCCATTAACCTGGGCATTGTTGAGGTTAAGTTTCTCTTCACCCCTACACTGTGAAGGGTACAGATTAGGTTTGTCCCAGTCAGAAATAAAATTTGATAAACATTCCTGTTGATGGGAAAAGCCCCCAGTTAATACTCCAGAGACAGGGAAAGGTCAGCCCGTTTCAGAAGGACCAATTGACTCTCACACTGAATCAGCTGCTGACTGGCAGGGCTTTGGGCAGTTGGCCAGGCTCTTCCTTGAATCTTCTCCCTTGTCCTGCTTGGGGTTCATAGGAATTGGTAAGGCCTCTGGACTGGCCTGTCTGGCCCCTGAGAGTGGTGCCCTGGAACACTCCTCTACTCTTACAGAGCCTTGAGAGACCCAGCTGCAGACCATGCCAGACCCACTGAAATGACCAAGACAGGTTCAGGTAGGGGTGTGGGTCAAACCAAGAAGTGGGTGCCCTTGGTAGCAGCCTGGGGTGACCTCTAGAGCTGGAGGCTGTGGGACTCCAGGGGCCCCCGTGTTCAGGACACATCTATTGCAGAGACTCATTTCACAGCCTTTCGTTCTGCTGACCAAATGGCCAGTTTTCTGGTAGGAAGATGGAGGTTTACCGGTTGTTTAGAAACAGAAATAGACTTAATAAAGGTTTAAAGCTGAAGAGGTTGAAGCTAAAAGGAAAAGGTTGTTGTTAATGAATATCAGGCTATTATTTATTGTATTAGGAAAATATAATATTTACTGTTAGAATTCTTTTATTTAGGGCCTTTTCTGTGCCAGACATTGCTCTCAGTGCTTTGCATGTATTAGCTCACTGAATCTTCACGACAATGTTGAGAAGTTCCCATTATTATTTCTGTTCTTACAAATGTGAAACGGAAGCTCATAGAGGTGAGAAAACTCAACCAGAGTCACCCAGTTGGTGACTGGGAAAGTTAGGATTCAGATCGAAATTGGACTGTCTTTATAACCCATATTTTCCCCCTGTTTTTAGAGCTTCCAAATGTGTCAGAATAGGAAAACATTGCAATAAATGGCTTGATTTTTTAATGTCATTTTTCCCTCTTATAGTCTTTCTAGCTCCTTTTCAAAAGACGAGAATATCTGATTTTCTGATAATTTAGGTGCTTAAGCATCCAAAATACATGGGACACACAAAAATCCAGGAATCCCCTGTAGCTTATTCCCTCTTTCCCATCGGAACCAGCTCTCATCACACATTTAAAAGATGATTCTGTTTACCCAATGCTGCATATTGAATGTTGTGTAGTTATTCACAGGGAATTCTGTGCAGTGTGCAGAGAGATTCCTAAACGGGAAAAGGACTGGGAATACATCCTCCTTACTGTGACCTCCCCAAAACCTAGTCCAGTGCAAGGTATACAGTGGTGCTCATTAAATACTTGATGAATACAGGAAGCTGTGCATGTGTTCCTACTTTTATTCGAAGCTCTCTTCTTCCAAAGCTACATGAAAATAGAATTTTAACAGTCAAAATTTTATATTAAGTGCCTTAGCAAAAGAGACATTTAATATTTCAAAGAAATGCATATGTATGTATACATATATTTGTGTATGCGTATGCAAGAATTCTTGTATAAAGAGAATTCACTCCATGAATGATCTCTTCTGTAAGTCAGTGTGAATCATGTTAGATTTTCTGAGAGTGAAAACACCTGCCATCTACAAATTACAAGGCTGGATAACAGCTCACTCCATTTGAAATTCAGTGGAAACCCAAGAGCTAGGTTCTTACTGAATTTGCATCTCAATTTGGGAAACTGAACTTAGCTTTCAAAGATCATAGGAAGTCTGGTTGGAGAAACTAGGGATTATTCTGGCAATGGGTGCAGGAAGGTGGTCAGAATAACCCAGTCGCCATTGGTTTTGAGAAACGGAACTATCTTATGCAGAGCCCGGAGGGCAAGTCTCAGACCCATGGGTTGAAGCCATGGAGAAGGAAATTTGGATCCAATGTAATGAAGCGCTTTCTAAGTCAGAATTTCCCTGCAATGGTGTGGCCTGATTCAATAAAAATTAAGAATAATAAATATAATGGAAAAAAATCTCCACTGATTGAGTGTTTACTTGGTGCCAAGCACTATGCTAAGTTGTTCATTATTTTATTTAATTGTTACAGCAATTTTGAGTATGCATCTTTCACTATTTTATAAGTGGAAAAGAGAAGTGCCCCCAAAAAGTTAGAGCTCAAACAGCAGCTTATTCTACCAGCCCCTGCTCTTGCGGAGGCCTCTGGAAAAGACCTGAATGACACCTATTGGAGAATTACATCTACAAGGGGCTTCAAACAGACCAAATAGATCATCACCTCTGTGGTCCCTTGTTAACTATATGTTCTGAGACAAAGGAAAGCTACCCTAAGGGTTAGTTAACCTTTGCTGAGGAAATTTACATTCATACTTAGAGTGAATTACTCAGGTGTGCTTAGGTGTGCAAAAGGGAAGGAGACCTGAATTCACCAAGTTAAATCTTGCTAAACCTTATCATAAGCATTTTTTGAGCGCTTAGCATACACCAAGCCTTGTGGAAGGTGCTTTCCTGCCATATCTCATTTAATCCTCACAGCAAACCTATAGAATATGGCATTATCATCTGAGTCTCACAGAAGTTTAGTCGTGTACTCAAGGTCTTACCAGCTAGTGAACAGCAGACCAAGACTGGAAACCCAGGATAGTCTGATACCTGAGCCATCTCTTCTTGTGCTACGCCTAGTTATTCTGTCCCCCAAATCAAAAGGCATGACCTTTATAAGAGGCGCTTTACTGACAATAGCTGCAATTTTAACTTTGAAAATGATTCAGAATTATCAAAGATAGTAGATTCGAATGACATGATTGTCTATAATCTCGCTAGCCTTGTACTGTGTGTGCATAGCAATTACAGGGAAGTAATCTAGCTCCTGACTATTATGTTGAACTATGTCGCTGCTTTTTACAAACTTGTCTTGATCCAAAGCAGTCACAATGATAACCCTGCATATCTGGGAATCATAAGTCAACTATGTATCCCTGTGTGTGTATATATATGTATGTATGTATCTATTTTCAAACTGTGATTTAATATTTAAATATTCCTACTGCCATTTTTGTGACTGAAAAACTACACATGAGGAAACGTCTTAGAATTTTCCAATAGAGGAAAAATAACACTTGGGCAATCTGTCATGTTTCACAACAGTTCTCATTTTTCTCATGATTTGTGTAGCGTGGAATGTGTTTGCTCAATGTGAAGGGTTTTCATTGCTCAATTTCTCTGTGTAAGTCTTTTCCTTAAGGTAATAAACCATCAGCAAAGTCACATACTGGAGTTGGTGGCTTTTCTTGTACAGGCAGTTGTTATGAGACAATGATGGAGCATTGAGCATGTTCAATAAATGTGCAGATGGTGGAAACGAGGTCCCAGATACTTTATATACTGAAATTAAAATGGCTAAAAAAGTTTGGAAATGGGCTTAGAAACACAAATTTTAGAACTCAGAGAAGACAAGGGCTGCCAATGTATCCAGGCTGGAAGACACCTCATGTAAATATAAAATGAAATTTTTGGCATTCATTCATTCACTTACTCACATATTCACTGTCTGTCTACATCCCCAGCGAGACTGAGTATCATGAGGTCAGGGACTGTAACTGCGTCCTCTGAGCCTAGCTCAGAAGCAGGCGCATGTCAAGAACTGAGTAAGCAAGGACTGGATGGATGGACAGAGTATCTATTGCCAGCTGCCTCAGGAAACAAGAGGAGGAAAAAGAAGCCTAAGGGAGGGTACAGATGCAATGGAAACAATCCTGACTTTGGGCCTCAAGTGGATCTTGATATACCTTTTTCCTGACTAGGCCCATCTGAGCCTCAGTTTCTCCAGCTGTGAGATGTAGAAAATGATAGTACCTACCCCTCAGTGGGATGCGTATTGCATACAAAATTTTAAAATAGAACTTAGAATACTAAGCACTTAATAAACTTAGAACATTAAACACTTACTAAATACATCTACTATTAGCTGAGTTTCTTCATAAACTGGAGGTAATCAGCAAGGCAACAGTAAGAATTAATGTCAACGTGTGTGTTTGTATATTTACTTTACGTAGCCCTTATTTAAAATAGCAAATGTAAAGAAAACTATCTGTACTCAGTTATAGTGTCACTATCTATACTCAGTTGAATGCTCTTTTACCTCAACCATAGACTGCTTAGCCCCTTAAATTTTTGCTTTTTATGTTTTCATTTTATGCTGTAACTTGATTTGAAACCCAGCTTCTCTAAAGCAGGAAGGGTGTGTTATACTTTTCTGTGTCTCCCAAGCCCAACACAGCACACAGCATATGCTGAGCTGTATGAACAGATGTGCAGATGGCTGGGGCACATTAAGTGAATGCCTCTTTTGATACCTCTTGGCCAAATCCCTCTCATCTACTTGCCCCCAGAACACATGATGAGAGTATAAAGAGTCAAGGGGAGGCTCCATTCCAATAAAAATATAATTGTCACACGAATTCTTTCTAGGAACACCTCTATCCTGAAGCATATTGGTTTCAAAATTGGAACTTAGATCGTGGAGTCCTGTGGGTGCCTCAGATTAAGATGAATGTATAGATGTTAGGGCAATGTTTTAGGACGTCAGGCGGCTGAATTGGGGGGGGGAAATGGGATTTAGGGGAAACGGCCAGAGCATTTTATTATGAAGCATTTTATTTTCAAAAGCATATTGCAGAGATGCCAGTGTTCTCCATCACCCCTACTGACAAAATCGGAATTCAAAGGCATCCTCTGTATTCAGAGAGCCAATTTCTAGTTGAATCTGGGTTCTTTCTAAATGTAGGACTGAGCAAAAATGGCTTCTGAGGAGACAAACAAGCTGTCACAAAGCCCGTGCACTGTTTCATATGTTTTATTCTGTAACGAATGTCTCCAGATCTCCAGCCTAAACCTCACTGCTCTTGATTTTCGCACAACCCCAACCATGTAGATTTCTTAGTCCATTCCATAAAAAGGGAGAGGAAGCTGCCCGAAGCAGGCTTATTGATAGCAGAGGCCAGCCTGGCAGCAGAGGAGGAGGTGGAAAAATTAAAAACCAGATGAAAGATATAAAAGCAGGTCACCCAAGTCAGAGTGGGACTATCTAATAACAGAGGGACAAACACCCGCCGCAGTCAATAACAACCTTACGGGCATCCACAGTCTTAGTTAGTCCCAGGAACTTACTGATGCTCCAGAATCCCAAGACATCAATAGGTGGTGGCATGAGTCACGTGCTCAGTGAACTGCTTCAAAAGACAACAAGACAACAAGGGATTTAATCCATTTTAGAAATGGCTGGGCAAGCGATTTAATCTCTCCGAGCCTGGGTTTTCTCATCTATGAAGCAAGGACAAGTCCTCACAAATAAATAATAAAAACGGGGAAGAATCTATAAAGCACACTAAATATTATTAAAGGAAGTGTGCATCTGTTAATTTAACAAAAGTCTCCTGTTATGTGCCTTGCTCTATGCTGGCCCTGTCAATACAGAAGAAATCCCACCCGCCTGGCCAACATGGCAAAACCCCGTCTCTACTAAAAATACAAAAAGTTAGCCAGGCATGGTGGCACGCCTGTAGTCCCAGCTACTTGGGAGGCTAAGGTAGGAGAATCGCTTGAATCCGGGAAGCAGACGTTGTGGGGAGCCGAGATCACGCCACTACACTCCAGCCTGGGTGACAGAGCAAGACTCCATCTAAAAAAAAAAAAACAAAAAGAAGAAGAAGAAGAAAAAATCCCTAGTTTGCGAGAGAAAGGACACCCACAGTGACATGTGTTACAAATGCTAGATGTCCCATCTCTGCAGGGTGGCGCCTGCCTCGTGGGGCAGGCTGGGCATTCAGCAGACACTTCTCAAAGCAGGGATGAGAAAGGGCATGTTCTGCCACAGTGAGCTTGGCTGTCAATGGGCTCAATCATGCAACAGATACACTCAATTCACCACCACAACTACATCAATTACTCAGACACCTGCAGCATGTATGTGGGGGGAAGGGGGCAGGAGTAACATGAGCCCAGTCACAGTTGATTAGACAGGGAGTGGCACCTGAGTAGAGCTGGACCGATGAGATTCTTCCCCTTAAGAGACAGAAACACCTGATTAGTTTGGGGTTCAAGAACCAAAAGGTCAGGTAGCCCTTGGGTTAGGGCCACCATTTTATGCTTCAGAGTTACACAAAAATCAGATCTTAGAAAGGAGGAGGCTAACTCCTCCCCAGTCCTGTCTCCCACCCCATAAGGCCAAGCCTCACCTTCTGCTCTTGGATTCCATGTGGGACGCTAGCGAAGGGTTTCCATGCAGCCTGTGAAGCCCAATATAAATACGTAAGCCGATGGATTTAGGCCAGATCTAGGGGTCAACCTAATGACTCTCTTAGGGAAACTATGGAAAGGGCCAAGGACAGACCCTGCACATGCTAATCTCAGCACGCATTTGGCCTCCCAGATGCTGCTGAAACCCAAGAGTCAGGAGATTTGAAACCAAAACAAGCAGCTAGGAGACCAGAATCAGATCCCCAGCTGGCCAAACAGCCTTTGGGCATGTAGCTCTAAATAGCACTGATACATGTGAACACCTGCAACAGTTCCTTCCTCGAGGAAGCCAGACCACAGCAAGTCTCTGTGCCACACTGACTCCTCAAAGCTGGCACAGCCCCCCTGCTGTGATGCTTCCTCGCCAGTTCCTTCACCACCCGCTTTATCTTAGTTCCCGACTCACACAGGACACAAAGTAGGAAAGGCACTTCTTATGTTTGTTGAATAATCACAAGCCAACATGCTCCTCCCTCCCTCCTGACCTCGTGATCCACCTGCCTCGGCCTCCCAAAGTGCTGGGATTACAGGCGTGAGCCACCGCACCCGGCTGTATGGTTCTTACATGTATGGATTGCGGTCTCATGTCTCCCTAAAATGTATACAACCAAACTGTGCCCCGATCACCTTGGGCACAGGTCGTCAGGACCTCCTGAGGCTGTCACAGGCGCCTGTCCTCAGCCTTGGCAAAATAAACTTTCTAAATTAACAGAGACCTGTCTCAAATTTTGGGGGTTCACACTTCCAAAGAATGAATATGGAAAAGTGGAAAGGGTAACCTGACGATAGAGAAATCTGGCAAACACTACCCCAGCCACGCCATCACCATTAATCCCATCAGTGATAAACCACAGTGATAGCGTGTGGCCTGGATATGATGTGAGAAGCAGGACAAATCACCTCTGTGGGTTTCCCCGAAAAACCCACAGCCCCAAGTTGTACTGTGAGAAAAACTACTTACAAACCTCAGTGGGGAGACTTGTGACAGAATGTCTGACTAGTGCTTCTCAACGCTGTTGAAGAAAAGGGAAAATCTGGCCGGTCGCGGTGGCTCACACCTGTAATCCAAGCACTTTGGGAGGCCAAGGCGGGTGGATTACCTGAGCTCAGAAGTTGGAGACCAGCCTGGACAACACAGTGAAAACCCGTCTCTACTAAAATACAAAAAAATTAGCTGGGCGTGGCAGCCTGCGCCTGTAATCCCAGTTACTTGGGAGGGTGAGGTAGGAGAATTGCTTGAACCTGGGAGGCAGAGGTTGCAGTGAGCCGAGATCACACCACTGCACTCCGGCCTGGGCGACAGAGCAAGACTCCATCTCAAGTAAAAATAAATAAATAAATAAATAAATAAAATAAAATCTGAGAAACTGTTACAAACCAGAGGAAGCTGAGACATGATGACAAAATGTAATGGGGTGTCCCAGATGGGATCCTGGACAGAGAGAGGACATTAGGGGAACCCCAGTGAATTCTCAATATGGTCCAGGGCTTAGTTAACAGCAACGTCCAACTGATCTCCCGGTTGTGACAAGTATGCAGTAACGTCAGATATTAGTGACAGGGGTCACTAAGTACAGGCTATATGGCAACTCTCTGTATTGTTTGCAACTGTCTGTATATTTTAAACTAATCTTAGTTTAAATAAGAGGTTACACTAAAATCTCTTTTTTTTAATGTAGAGTAGAAAACAAGCATTACAATGGTTGTCACTGGGCATGAGAAAAGGAATGATCTTTCCACATACATTTGTTTGTAATCCAAACAAAATGTAGCCTGGGTACGGTGACTCATGCCTGTAATCCCAGCACTCTGGGAGGCCTAGGTGGACGGATCACTTGAGGTCAGGAGTTCGAGACCAGCCTGGCCATGGCAAAAACCCCATCTCTACTAAAAATAAAAATAAAAATAAATTATCTGGGCATGGTGGCGCATGCCTGTAATCCCAGCTACTCAGCAGGCTAAGGCACGAGAACTGCTTGAACCTGGGAGGCGGAGGTTGCAATTAGCGAAGATTGTGCCACTGCACTTGAGCCTGGGTGACAAAGTGAGACTACGTTTCAAAAAATAAAAATAAATATTAAAAATAAAAAAGCTGTTTTCCTCGAATTATAGGTTGGAAAGTTTTTTATCCTCATCATTGTGCTGCCCAAGCTACTGGGCAATTGAAATGCAGCTGGTCTGAATGCATTGCGAGTGTGAAACACACTAGAGTTCCTAGAATGAAAAAAGAATGCAAAATACCTGGTCAATAGTTTTTATAGAAGTGGTAATATTTTAGACGTCTTGAGATAAATGAAATGTATTATTAAAATTAATTTCATCTGTTTCTTTCCACTTTTGAAAATGTGGCCACTGGGAAATTAGAATTAACATATGAGCTGACTTAAATTTCTGCTGGACGTGATGCTCCGAGGAAAGAATTCCAGAGATGAGGGGCTGGGGTCCCCTAGGTGTCAAGGACGGGCAACCCCCCAGTGAAACAGCCATCCCTGCACTGCAATGTTTCACACACACAATCTCTCAGGGACAGAAAAAAGACACAAGCCGCTGCAAAGTTACAAATTTATTGGTCTGGAAATAAATACAAATATCTCATTAAGAAACTCCTCTGGAAAGACTTGTGCACAATAGTTTCCCATCCGTACTCAGCCTCTCTTGCCCCGATCCCCGACTTTTCTACTCAAGGCCAGGGAAGGCCTCCAAGGTGATGGGCGGCAGGTAACGAGTCATTGCCTCTCACGCCACCTGGAAGGCTGGACTACTTCCTCCTCCCAACTGCGGGGTCCCAGAAATCCTCGGGTCCCAGTGGCTGACTTACAATATTCAATTCACTCTGACCAAACTTCCTATGAGAAAATCCACGGTGAGCCAAAATGAAAAGTACAAGGCAGTAGTACAGGAACCTGGCAGCCGCACTGGCCGCCCAGAAACGTCAGTGGTGCTGCCCCATTCGGCGAAAGGTTAGGGAGCAGGAAAAGAGGAAGCAGGAGAGGGAAGGAAAGTCCCATGGAATATGTATTCCAGAATCCTTACATTTTCTCAGCCACCGCTCCCCACGTGAGTTCCCACCCCCACCCCGACAAGAGCAAAGAGTTCTGAGGATCCAAGAACGTGACCGGGTCAGACAGGTTCAGCTACTGAGTTCACGTTCCAGCCCAGCTGTCGAAGATTGAAAACTGGATTTAAGCCAATCACACAAAATTCCTGGAACCAAGCTGGGATCCACAGAAATCACAACTGCACTGGATCTCAACACAACAACAAGGAATCCCTTACATCGAGTAACCCCAATTCCACCCCCACCCCAGTGCTCCTACTCCGGCCCCTGCAAGGACACTCATCACAGCCAGGGCAGCTGTGGAATGTTGCCCTCCATTCTAAGGAATGCAAAACAAATCTAAATGATCTTCTCCCTGAACAAGAATAATCACTGGCTCATGTATCAGGGGTGGGAGGTTGGGGCTGTGGAGGAGAGGCAGAAAGCAGAACTAAAGCCTTCAAAAACCATGATGCCCAACGTTTGCTGAAATATTTTTGTCTGTAAAGCCAGGAGATTTTGTCGCCTGCTTTTGCTGCACATTAAGAGGATGCTAGAAAAATCAAGCTTGTTTGCTTCTGCATTCAAAGCTTTCTAGATGCACCAACTTTAAAAATCGGTTTCTTCAAGTTAACTACGTAGATTTGTTGTTCCAAATGCCTCTAGCCTCGACATGAATCCCACCTTTTCCCCCTTCCTGTTTTGCCTGTTTAAAAGAGGTGCCTGCATGTCACTATTACCCCCCTCCCCAAATGAGAAAAGGATTTTGTTTCCGGAAACTGGATCAGCTTCTCCTCAGTTAAAGAGGAAACGGGAAGTGGGCGGCTGGCCTTCTGACCAGGCACCCGTTTGAACCAGGATGCTCAGGGCGGCCTAGGCTTGGCTTTGTGAAGTGTGTGCTGCTACGCGTCTTGTTTTTGGCAGTTTGGTGTCTCTGAGGGAGGGGAGGAGAGTGGCAACCGGCCACTGGTTAATGGAAGAGGATGCGATGCGGAGATGCTTGCTTCCTTCCTTTGGTCCACCGCCACCCCGCCTTTGGAGAGGGCACCCACGTAATAGACCTCATTTGTCTCCACCAGAGCTCACTCTTACAAAATAAGCTTTGGATTAATACCGAGTTAGGCGCAGTATGGCAGGCAGGGGGCGAAAAGGGGCCGGGGAGGAGGGGGCCACTACAGAGATCAGAGTCCGGGGGCGGCAGCTGGGCAGGCCGCCTAGCAGGAGACCTCCATGGACTTGGGCCCGGCGCTGTTCCCAGCAGCACCCGAGTTGGGGGTGATGTCCAGGTGGGCCCCCTCGCTGGTGTGCGAGCGGCTGCGGGTGCCCTCGCTGGTGTGGGAGCGGCTTCGGGTGCCCTCGCTGGTGTGGGAGCGGCTGCGGGTGCCATCCAGAGAAGTGACGCTGGAACCAGAGGCTGTGCGGGACCGCATCAGGCGGGTCATGCTAGCCGAGGGCACTAGGGGAACAAGAGACAGCCGGTTAGAGGGCAGGAGACTGCCAGGTGAGGAGCCAGGCATGCCCGTCCACCAGCCACATGCTCTTCTACGTGCCAGCCCCAGAGAAGACTTGATCCCTGCAGCCATCCAGCTGCTGGGCCCCCGTCCTCTCCATGTCCACTCGGAGAGAGAGATGGCAAGGCCCAGATGCGGGAAGGAACTGCCGCAATCACACCATGAGTGACTTGAACCCAGATCTGGGTCTGAACCCCAATTCTGCCACCTGTTAAAAGCTGTGTAATTTTGAGAGTGTCCCCCTGAGCCTCCCTGTTCCCATCTGTAAAGCAAGTATGTTAAATACTGACCCCTGGTATCAGCACCTGTGTGTACGCCCATGACCCCATGCTGTCCATGATCACTGGAGCAGGGAGGACACCTGGGGTCAGTGGCCCTGCACATCACAGGTGGGGAAAGGGAGAGGGGCCACACGGCAAGTTCCCGGCATGGCTATTCGTTGTCATCTCTCCCAAAGAAGCCTGTCAGCCCAGGTGCTAACAAGGGCGCTGTCTATTCTTTGGGATCTTCTCTGAGACCTCAAATGCTCTTGCACATGGCACGTGCAAGTGGCACATGCTGATGGGGTAGCACGTGCTGATGGGGTGGAATGAGGAGGAACAATCCTGCCCACCTGTACCGGGTGGGACAGTGTCCCGGAAGATTCACACCTACCTGAAACTTCAGAAGGGAACCTTATTTGGAAATAGGGTCTTTGCATATGTAATTAGTTAAGGATCTTGAGATGAAATCATCCTGGGTTGAGAGGGAACCCTAAACCCAATGACTGTGATGTCCTTATAGAAACAGCACACAGGGATATGCAGGGGAGAAGTCCACGCAAAGACAGAGGCTGAGATTGGAGTGATGCAGCCACAAGCCACATAAAGCCAAGGATTGCTGGGGCCACCAGAAGCCAGGAAGAGGCATGGAAGGTTCTTCCACAGCAGCGTTGGAGGGAGCAAGGCCCTGCCCACACCTTGATTTTGGACTTTAGGCCTCCTGAACTTTGAGAGAATGGATTTCTATTGTTTTCAGCCACCCAGTTTGTGGAGATTTGTTACGGCAGCTTTAGGAAACTAGTACTCCACCCAACTGAAGCATCATGGCTAGGAGGCCACACTGAGTCAGACATCAGAAACAGGGGCAGTTGATCCACACCAAGCATGCAGGGCTTATGTTATCTCCTTGATAGGCACAGGGAGGGGCTTTTGATGTCAGGCACTCCCAAACAGAATTAATCCTTGCTGAATTGTCTTAAAGAGCTAGTTTTGAATTCAGAAAGAATTGGGGTCAATGCCACATCCGCAGCTCACATATTTCTCTGAGCCCCTACTTCTCACCCACAAATCTGGGATGTCTACTGAGCAGGATGAGAAGCGTACAGTGAGCACTGATGCCAGGTGTGCAAAGGGTTCATCAAGCCAGCACCCCGTGGTGTGCAGAAGGCCAGTGACCGGTTCCTTTCCTTCTCTTTGGCTGATGCCTTTGAGACCATAGCTCTTCCTGTTATTTTCCCCCCAAGACCTGCAGGAGGCTTCAGCTTTCTGGTAATAGAAGCCGATTTGGGGAGAAAGATGAGGTCTAGCATTCACTTCCTTTCTCTCCAGAACACACTCTCAAAGCAGAAATCCAAACCCTGGCGGGACCAAGACAAATGGGAGCCACAATTCACACCGTGCAGGGTAAAGCAGGACTGCCCCGCGGCTGTCTCCATGGCTGTCTCCAATGACAACCTTTGCCTGCAACTTCCGTCGGGGAAAGCAGGCTAGAAAGGCAGGAGCCCCACTAGCAGATAGCTTCTGTTGGAAGAGGGCACCTGGGGATGTGGATCCTGCCTGAGCCTGAGGCATGGAAATCAAACCTGCCAGCCTCGCCTTGCTAGAGCTAATCATGGCTAAGGCCAATGCTAGGACTGCAGTCAGCTTACCAAGCATACTCTTACTATACATGGGCAAACAGTTTAAGGAAATGATAAAAGGGATCAGAAGTTCAATAACTTCCTAGTAAGGGAGGACACACGAATTATAGTTCCAAGCAGTAGGGTCAGAAGAGCCACTAGTCATGTCAGGGCCGGACCATGGCTGACAGGCCCACAGCACTGAGTGTGGCTGCTGTTCAGCCGAGTTACAACTCGCCAGGGTCTGTCCTAGTCCTGGGACAGCACTTCTGGAAAAAAGGCTGTATGTGTCTAACAAACTATAACTGCAAAATAAGAACGAGTGAGTTCCTGAATGATGCTTCCAATGTATCCTCCACTTCCCAAAGCTCATGACTTGACTATGGCATGCTCCACCTTGAATGTAAGCAACTTTGTTAGCCACTTCCACAGAGCTTCACAGTCTTCAAAGAATTTCCACAGATCCGCCCTCTGCTCCCTGCTTACAACCCCGAAGCCTCAGCTTCATCACTGATAAGATGGGCTAAGAATATGTCAAAGGAGTACTGTGATGGTTCAGTGAGATAAAATAATGTGTTAGTAATCTTTCATCATCATCGACACCATCTTCATCATCACTGTAGCTAGTGGTCTCTTAAAACTTGTGATCAAAATTTTTAAAAATGTTATTGTTTCACTGTTGGTCATTGTCTTGGTGCTTAAAGGGACAGTCCTCATCTAAACCCCCCAAAATCCCTGGTGTGAAACAACTTCTATTCAACAAAGGAGGAAAAATGAGCCTCACTGATAAATGAGAGGCTAGATCCTCCAGGCTGCCACATGCCCTCCACACACCTAACTGTTTCCTCCCAGAAAGCTGAAGCTGGCCAGGGGGACACAGAATTGCTCATCCAAACCTGGCTCAGGACAGAGCACTTCCAATTCCGACACATGCCCCGACCCACTGCACACGGGGAATGCCATACTCACTGTATCCCATGCCCTGCACGAAGTACTTGAAGGCCTCAGCGAGCTTGGCCGGCTGCGAGAGACAAGGAGAGAAAATGCAGTCAGTTGCTGGGGAGCCAGATCACCCGAGGCCATGGGGGGCTGTGCCTGTGGTCACCTTCATTTGAGAGTTTGGCTCAAGACAAAAGCCATCACGTGTTGACAGGACAAAACACAAAAGTAAGAGTATGGGACAATGATGGGAAATTCACCCCACAGCTGTGGAACTTGGACAAGTTACATGACCTGTCTGAGCCAGTTTCCTCACCTGTAATACAGGGCAGAGTATCACAGCTATTTCTGTGTGTTTCTGAGGAGATTACCATCCACAAAGGGACATGTCTAACCCAGCAAGTGGAACATAACTGCATCGGCATCATGAGCCACTCCCAATGCAAGGGGCTTTGCTGCGTTCATTCATTTACTCCTGACAACCCCTCACGAGGTCAGTGCTACCTTAGATACATTTCATAGCTGAACAGATTTGGACAGGTAAATCCACTCAGGGTCCCACAACAAGTAAGTGGTGGGTCCTGTACATTAACCCAGGGCTCTCCAAACCTAAAACACTTGTTCTTGAGGCAAATCACTGTCAGCCTCAATAGCAGGCTGGCTGAAAGAAGGGATGATGGATAGATGGATGGGTGGAAAGAAAAGGATGGATGGAAAGAAGGAAGGAAAAAAGAAAGAAAGGAAGAGAAGGAAGGAAGGAAGGAAAGATGGATTAAAAAAAGAATTGATGGACAAAAGGAAGAAAAAAAGAGAAATATGAACAAAAGAAGGACAAATAAAAGGAAGAAAGGATATGAAGAAGAATGAATGGATGATGGTTGGATGGTTCGTTGGATGGGTAAACAAACCAATTAATTAACAACTAACTGGGCTACTTTAAGTGAAATGCGTATGGAATGCTGAGACCACATCCAGTTCTACCAGTTCTCTCAGTTCATTTAATGTAAACTTGGAGGTGAATGCTCAAATATCAAGGGCATACGTGCAAGGCGTATCTGTTCTTCAGTTAATCCCAACTGTTCTATCCAGTGCCCTGGGTCCTATTCTCCTGAGGCAGTGAGAGGGCACTGGTAGAGGCTGGGCTGACCCCCCTCCCTGCTCTCCACTAACTCCTGCCAGGATTCCACAAAGAGCCAAATGACATTTAAAAGAGCGGCTATGCTCAAATTGCCCTCTGGAATTTGTGTGACAGTGGAAGAAAGAGACAAGAGAAGCAGGTCAGGGCTGCAGGGAACAGGGACGCCTGTGTTCGAGATGGTGGAGAGAACCAAGAATACACGCTTGGGAATGAGAACACTTGGGCCCAATTTTAGCTCCAGTAATCATGGGCAATCTCTCTCAACTTTTGGCCTCAGTTTCCTCTTCTGTGACACTGGGATAAAATGCTTGCTCTTCCCACCTCTGAGGACTATTGCAAGGACCTAATTTAATCAAGGATGGGAAAACCCTGTGTAAACATACACCCAACCTGCAACGGCATGAGGACGACAGTGTCACACAGGAATTGCTCCCCCCTGTGCTGGTGTCCTCGAAGCCTGTGCTCGTTGCACTCCTCTGAAGCTCTGAAAATTCTTTTAATTATGACCAGGGTTACATCTGTTCTCATTTTAAGTAGAGAAAGAAAAAAAGGAGGAAGAAAGGAGGCAGGGCAGGTTTTGGATAAAAAAGATGACAAAAAACTCTATTTCATTTTAAGATGGAACACAAAACTGTCAGGATATAAAATTATAAGACAACAAATTAAAAGTTTACTTGTTAGGTTGGTGAGATTCTTTATAGGAGGGGAAATTGAAGGGATCAGTTACGTAGCAAACACATTACGTTGATCAATGTGTTTATTTGTACATGTGCACACACATTTACACATGCACACAGACATGTGTACACATGCACACACACAGACGTGTACACATGCACACACAGAAACATGCATGCACACACACACAATTTGGCTTAATCTCCTCCATGTCCCTCTGCTCTGGGCTGGAGCTCCTTGCGGCCCTTCACTCCAG
Organism: Homo sapiens; assembly: GCF_000001405.40. Taxonomy (NCBI): domain Eukaryota; kingdom Metazoa; phylum Chordata; class Mammalia; order Primates; family Hominidae; genus Homo; species Homo sapiens. The sequence goes on from NC_000008.11 coordinate 133,244,065, forward strand.
CAGAAGCCCGTGGTCTTTGGGGCAGACATACCCAGATTCTGACCCATGATGACCAAGGTGTGTCTACTTGGCAAATCCCCCAACCTCTGTGAACCGCAGTATCACCTACTCCACAGGGGTTGGTTCCTAGGGAATCAGAGTCCTCCTATATAGCACCTTTTCCCAACAGTCCACAAACTGTCATCCGATGTCACAGCAAGGTAATGAGGGAACAGGTGTCACAGAGGCACATGCACTCCACCCAGGGGGAAGCGACAGCTGTATAATGCAAAAGCCAACATGGCACTCACCTGGGAGATCTGCGGGAGGCCGCCACAGTCCGCCATCTAGGAGAGAGGGAAGCTCGTTAGTGCCAAACACCACAGCCAAGGCCCTCTGCGCTCTATGAATTTTTTCCGAAAGGATGCCCATCCGCCCGCTGCCCTGCCCTGCCTTGTCCTGCCTTACAAAGGAGGAACAGGGTGGACCGTGGGTAGGGAACACTCCAGCCCCACCAGGCAAGGCTGCTGGTGTCTCCGTGGCAACCATCACTTGCAGCTTGCTACGTGCCAGGCACTATGCTAGGCCCTACAGATAATTTCACTCCATTCCCCAAGAACCATGGAAGGTACAGCTGTCCCATTTTACAGGCAGAAACTGGGCCAGGAAGAGCTTGAGGGACTCGCAAGGTTCCAGGCCAGGATCTCTCTGACCCGAAAGGGTTTGATAAACAAGACCCTCTTCATATATTCCCTTGAAAGTTTCCCTCAAAAGGAAGTGGTTGAATTTGGGTCTTCAGGCCGGATTCAGCTGACCAGTACCCTTCCTAAATGGTGGACGTTCAAAGTCCCTGTGAAATCACCGAACCGCAAGAGGCCATTGCAGGCTGTGAGACTGTGCAGCCAGCCTGGAAATGGGCAGCGCTGACGGCAAGGGAGCAGGGGGAGGCTGCGGGGAGGGTGGCCTGGGGTGAAACGGGGCTGGAGGAGTTCATGGGAGTGGTGAGGCTGTGGGCATCCTACAGCCCAGGGCGCCTCAAGTCTGGACCCCCAACACTAGCCACAAAGCGACACTGACCTGGGGCAGCCCTCAGCTCAACCAGCACGCAGGGAGCAGGATGCCCGAATTTTTCCTCCAGGCGGGGCACTCAGCACATTAGACTGACGCTGTGGAAGTCTCCAGAATCAGGCCTAAGTGAGTTCTGTTTCTGGATCTACCATCAAATCGGCCACCCCACCTCAGTCAGGCCACCTACCCTTTGCTGTAGGTTGTGGTTGAATTGTGTCCCCAAAATAGACATACTGAAGTCCTAACCCCAGTACCTATCACTGTGGCTATACTTGGAAATAGGGTCTTTGCAGGTAAAATCAAGTTAAGATGAGGTCATATTGGATTAGAGCGGGCCCTAAAGCTAACGGCTGATGTTATTAAAAGAAGAAGGAAATTTGGACATAGACGCAGAGATACAATCGGGAGAGTGCTGAGTGAGGATGGAGGCAGAGACTGGAGTGATGTGTCTACTAGCTAAGGTGAACCAAGTGTGGCCAGCAGCCACCAGAAGCTGGAAGAGGCAGGCAGCATTCTCCCCTAGCACCTTCAGAGGGAGCACGGCCCTGCCCACACCTTGATTTCGGACTTTTAGCTTCCAGAACTAAAAGGGAATAAATATCTGTTGCTTTAAGCCACCCATTTTGTGATACTTGTGACAACCGCCCTCAAAGTACGGCATTATGCAAGCTTGACGCCCAGCAGCTTCTAATCTTGCAATTTCCTTTTGAGGGAATCTTGAAAGAAAATCTATGTAAAGAGCCCAATACAGGAAAACAGCCTCCCACTCAATAAGTATCGGACACCCCCTACATGCCTTTCAAAGGCATTCTACTTCTATGGGGGAAGTTGAGGGCACGGTGACCTACAGATGCCACCTCTTTGTCCTTCCCCCAGTGCGAGGGAGCCGCCTCATCTCCACCCAGGTCCCGCCTGGTCATCTGCCCCTGCAGGGGTGCACCCCGGCTGAGAGGCCCCTCTGAAAGGTTCCCACTCTTGGGCTGCATCTCCGGACGAGGCCGCCACAAACAGCCAGTGGTTTGCATTGTGCAATCAGTCATAACTGGCAAAGGACTGGCGGAGGTTGCTACAGACACTCAAATCCAGCTGCGAGTGAGCTGGCTCACCATGTGCTCAGATGAACTTGCTGGACAAAGTCCTGACCTTCCCCGGCTGTGGGACACGTCTCTTCTTATTGTGACAAGCAGAGAGCCCCTCTTGGAGGAATGTCCTGGCCCCAGCCTATGGAGGGCCCTTGCCAAGCCATCCCTGGTCCCTCTATCCCCAAAGCCCCCAGACCAGCAGCCTATTGATTCCTGCAGTCCCAGAGAAGGATCCCTCATCTTTGCAGCCTCAGATCACCAGTCAGCACCCAATATATGTTCATAAACAGATAGATTAAATCATTAATTCTATAGTTTCTGATCGTGTGCCTTGCCTTTTTCAAGCCTAACTCAATGTTGCAGAAAACGTCTGAGAGTTTCTAAGAAATAACAAACACGAACCCCCACTGTTTTCCCTGTACCTTGAGGAGAGTGGTCTTTGTTGGGTCCAATTTTGAGTTGCACTCCACCTGCACAAGAGGGAGGAAATCTGTTAATTTTCTACGTGAAGCCAAAGCCAAAACATCTCCCCCTTCTCCGCCACTCTGCCACCGTCACCAGAAACTCCAGTATTTCTGCTGGCAAAGAAGAAAGTATGTGGAGTTATTGGGATTCAGCAGATGTGGCTTGAAATCCCAGCCTTGCCATTACCAGCTGTGACAACTTGGATAAGTGATTTAACTTCTTTGGGCCTCAGTTTCCTCATCAATAAAATGGAGCTAATATCTTTTTTCAAAAGGTTATTATGAAGATTAGCCGAAATGTAAACAGTACTGTAGAAATACCTGCTAAATAAATATCCTTGTTTAACCAGCAGCTGCCAGAGATTCTACAGGTTTAATATTCCCAGATCTAACAACTATTCTTCATGTAAAATCACACTGGTTTCTCTCTTCATTTTGTCAGTGAACCTCTTGAAAGGGGCATCTGGAATTGGGCAGAATACCCATATGTAACCCAGGATGTTCAAAATGCTTAAAGTAAAACTATCACCTCCCTTGATTTGAACAGTGTATCTCTATTGATGTATCCCATGATTATCTCCAGTCAGTCAGCCCGTAAGAAACTCATGGTTCACTAAGGCATGCCAGGTATTTACTACATGAACATTTGCAAATGTCACTCTGCAGATCACTGCACAAAGCATGGCAGTACTGCAGGACTCTGATCCATAGCCCCTAAGTCTTCCATCTCCCCAGCTGTGGGGTTGTTTGAAAGGCAGATTCCTCTCTTTGCTGCCACAAAGTTGCAGGTGGGAGTTAAGGGGTGAAAGGAGTCAGGAAGCTTTGCTAAGCCCTGCCTCCCAGTGCCTCTCTCCCCTGCCAGCTCATCAGGCACCAGTCAGTTTGGAAAGATCCAGCTGCTTCCCAAATAAGAGGTGAGTCTCTTGGCCAGGAAGCCAAGTGGCAAACATGCCCATATAAACAAGCCGATGGGACACAGACTGGCGGGTGAGGGGACCTGGGAGAGGAGACACTGCCAAGCAACCAGGGCTGGCAGCCACCAGGGAAAGAGACTGAGTGGCTGGGCCCTCTGCCCAAAGGCCAATATGGCATTTCAAAAAACATCACCTGCCCTGATGGGGCAGAGGAGAGGAGGGGCAGGCAGGGCCACTTCAACAAAGTCAACCAGACTTTGCCTGTTGAATTAAACACAGAAATCAGCTGTGATTTCTACATACCACGGCATCCACTGCAGGCGAGCTGTCCCCAACCACCAACAGAGCAGGGCACCTGGGGTCAGGGATAGAGCAGAGAATTAGCACAAGGTTCCTTTAAAGATTGTCCCACTCCCAGGCCTGCCAGGCTGGGGCCTGCATTCTACAAACAATGTCATTTTGGTTTCCCCAACACCCTTTGCTCTTTTACTTCATTCTCCTTTGATCTTAGGATAACATTGGTTACTAGTCATTCACAACTTAGTATGAATTTCAGCCAGGGAATTTCTGTGACTCAGTGCTTTTGTTTTAAAGCATCTTCTCCTCAAGGATGGTTAAGCAGGACTTAGCTGGCAATCAAGACCGAAACAAGAACAGCATGAAGGACAAAGGCAATGACGTGCCAGGTTCCCAAGTGTCACACAACGCGGTGCACTCAGCCACAAAAAGACACCATCATTACTGGTGGAAACCCAGTTAGTTCTGTCCATGACTGTCTTTTCCTCCTAGGTGTATGGAGCACTTTAAGGCTGGGTCCTGTGCTATCCATCCCTAGGCTTCATGGAGCAAAGCCTCACACAGTTATTGATGTAGTAGGTGCTTAATAAATGCTGTCCCAAGTACAATCAACCATCCTTCTCCAAGATCAAAGGCCTAGGTCATGGGGACACCCTAGAAACGGATGCCACCGGCACAGGGAGAAGTCCAAGTCAGGCTGGGTAATGCTCAGTCTCTGGGTGGAATATATCCAGGTCTCACTGACACAATGTCCTGCCACACTCAGAAAGAAGGCCCTGCCAGCAAGGCCACCTTTATAGTGGGCAGCCCCGACTGCAAGTGCTGGGGGAGAGAAAAGCCACTCACTGCAGGGTGACTGTGTGGGTTCCCGGCATTGGTCGCTCAATCTCCAGGTCGCGCCGGCTGCAGGAAACAAATGCATCATTAGCATGAGGACCCCTCCCCTGGAGAAATCTCCCACTCCCATCCAGCCAAGCCCAGGAGGTCCTGCCAGTGGCCATTCTGGTAAGCTACCCACATCCCCAACTTGAGAGAGGCCCTGTGGCTTTCAGGACTCCACACCCTCTTGGTGTCCACAGACCTGGTTAGAGGGACAGCACAACACATGCATTTCAAGCAGAGCCCCCTCATTTTGTCACAAATATTTGTGGGGCTTTTTTTTCCAGGAGTAGAAGTCAGATTCTCCACCATAGAGGGTCCCCGCCTTCCCTGTCCCCCTAGTCAGAGCCCCCACCTGACAGAGGGGCCACCTCCCAAATGCTCTCGCAGCCTCTTAGTTTAAGTCCCAGCCTCACCAACTCTGAGTCCTCTATAAAGCACCCAAATGATCTCTTTAAAACTCAGGCCTCATCTTTCCATTCCCTGTCTCAAACCCTGTGGTGGTTTCCCACTGCACTCGTGTGAGGCCCAGTGTGGGTCCAGCCCAGTGCCGACCACCTTTCCTGCACGCAGCCACCCACCCTCTCTGCTATCTTGCAGCTCCCAACATGAGAAGCTCTTTCCCAGCTCACAGCCTGGAGTTAGACAAGCAGGATCCAAATCATGCTCTGCCACTTTCTAGCTGTGTGGCCTTGGGGAGAACACAGGATCTCTTTGCGCCTTTGCTTCCTCAACAGGAAATGACAGTAATTCCAGGACCTTCACAGTGGGATTTGGAGAGGGGTCAGTTAATTACGGTGCTATCTACACGGGCAAGTTAACAGTGTGGAGTCTGCGGGCTGTGCTGGTTTCCTCTGTGTCTCCAGCGCCCAGCCGAATGCCTGACTCGCTCCAGTTCTCAGAAAGTGTTTACTAAGTGAACCGCACTGCCAGGTTTCGGTTTCTTCAGTCACATCCACAGTGAGGATGTTACCACTGAGATGAGGGCAGGATTGTAAAAGGAGGCAGATACTAAGCTCTGTTACAAATGTTAATTTCAAGAAGTCACTTTATTAACATTTGAGCAGAGATAAACACTATGAGGCTCATTTCTATCTCCTGTTCTGCGAGCGTGGCAGAGCGAGCTCAGCAGGTTGAGCGAGCTCCCTGGAAGATTACAGAGTCTCTGGCTGACACCAATGGCCCTGAGCTGTCTCCTCCCCTAGCTGAGCTCCAGATAAGCACCTAGTGCTGGTTGAGAGGGCCACGCCTTAGGCAAAGGCCATGTTCAGGTCCTCCTTATCCTTGGAATGACAAACTCCCAGAAGCCTGCCTGGATTATCCCCGGCCTCCAGGAGTGCTTTGCTGCTCTCTCACTTAGCTCTTCTTACATTTGGCCTTTCGTGAAGGTCAGCAGCGGGCACACATATTTACTCTCAACCCTCTGAGTGTGCGACTGCGTCCCTCTCACGTCTGCACCCCCAGTGGTCTGGAGTGTTTGTTCAGATCCCTGCAAGGCGAGCTGAATGCCAGGAACCAGCTTACAGGCCAGGTGTCCTTCCTGGGGACACCTGTCCTATTAATCTATTTGCTCAAACTCAGAGCCTGCCTCTTCCGCTCATTTTATACTCTCCCTCTCATCTGTCCCACATTTCGGATCTACAGAAGACACCTCATAAATAGCAATGATGTGGCTGAACTACATCCCAATACCTGTTGTAGGCATTGATGAACAGGTGCAGGTTGCCGGGGTTCATGTCATTCACAATGTGCTGGCGGTAGGTGTGGACCACTTCCACGTTACTCTGCATTTCTTCCTGCATTTAGAGAGGTGAGAAGATGGTCCTCATCGCACTGTGGCCCTGAGCTGGTCACTACTCTCTCCATTCTCCAGGTTATTTGGAGACAAAGTAAAGATAATAATGCCTAATCCACAAGACAGCGACGGACCTAAAAAAAAAACCTTTGGGAAAGCAACACGCCCAACCAGGTGCAGACAGGGGTTTCACTATCCGCTGGGAGCAGAAAAGACCCCCATCCTGGAAAGGCCACACCCCACCCTTCCAAACTCATTACTTTGGGAGTTTCAATTTGAAGTCAGACATCCTGGATCTAGAGCTTAGCTTCATCACTGTCCCTTTCGTAGGCAAATCTTTCAACCTCTCTGAGCCTCAGATCTCTTAAAAAAAAAAAAAAAAAAAAGGGAAGAGAGAGAATGTTGCCTACTTCACTAGGTTGTAGGACTTAATGGAGGTTGTGTTCTCACCTCTACTAACAGTAAAAATTGGAGGCAAATGTTAGTAATTGTTTTCCAATGGGAAGAGCTGAAAAGAAGTTTTTCATGCTTGAAAAGCAAAATCAACTCATGCCACAGGAAGTTACTGAAAAGAAGGGCAATTGCAACTCCCACCACGGCCAACCAGAGCCTTGGGGAAGTCGGCCTCAGCCTCCCCGTCTCTGGGTGCTTTTTGAATGTTATTTGCGACAAACAACTTGTTTGCTCTGTTTCTCATTTGTACGAGGGCAGACACTGTAGGTTTCACACAAGGGTCTGATATGACCAGTGGCAACCAGATGAGAAGTTGGAGTTGGGGGTCAAAGAAAGCCGGTGTCAAGCTTGAGCTGCATCAAACAGTCCAGGATCATTTAGGCAGCAAGGAGGTCAACTGGCTACTAAGAGCAAACTCTGGAAAAAATAGTCAGGAATCACGCTGGGATTTCAGATCAAAACCAACTATAGCGATCTGGGGGTACCCTCAGACACCATGGCCGGACCAACCAGTCTCCAAATAACTTGGGGTATAATCAGATCAGATGCTCAACGCTATGTCTGACATCCCTCCTCCAGTGAAACAGAGACAGTGGCTGTGAATTTTTCCCAATTCCTATCAGTTTCAGATTACACACTCAGGACAGGGAAAATGTGTCACACGCTGTGGAATGAATCGTAAAAGGGGAAAGAGGACTCTAGTGGGCTAAACTGTGGCCCTCAAAAGATATGTCCATGTCAAATCTCTTGAACTTGGGAATGCAAACTTGCTGGGAAAAAGGGTTTTTGCAGGTGTAATTAATTAAGGATCTTGAGATGAGATAATCCTGGATTACATGAGCCGGGATGAAATCCAATGGAAAGTATCCTTAAAAGAGGAAGGAGAGGGAGAAATAAAACAGACACAGAGGAGAAGACCATGTGAAGACAGAGGCAGAGAGTGGTGTGAGCAGCCACTAGCCAAGGAATGCCGACAGCGACCTGGAGCAGTAAGAAGCAAGGACGAATTTCCCCTGGAGCCTGTGGCGGAGGGGCGGCCCTGCCAGCGCTTGACATCGGAGTTCTAGACTCAGAGCTGTGAGAGAATACACTTTTGTTTTCCTTTTTCTCTGTTTTTGAGACAGAGTCTCCCTCTGTCTCACCCAGGCTGCAGTGCATGGCGCGATCTCGGCTCACTGCAGCCTCTGCCTCCCAGGTTCAAGTGATTCTCCTGTCTCAGCCTCCCGAGTAGCTGGGATTACAGGCGCGTGCCACCACATCCGGTTAATTTTGTATTTTCAGTAGAGACGGGGTTTCACCATGTTGGCCAGGCTCGTCTCGAACTCCTGACCTCAGGTGATCCACTCGCCTAAGCCTCCCAAAGTGCTGGGATTATAGGTGTGAGCCACCCTGCTCATCCCACTTTCGCTGTTCTAAGCCATCCTGTTTGTGGTAATTTGTTACAGAAGCCACAGGAAACCAACACAACAGGCAAACCTAGCAGTTGTACTCGCCAACTCCAGAGTGGAGCCTCTGTTCCCCTGGTACACTCGCCAACTCCAGAGTGGGGTCTCTGTTCCCCTGGTACACTCGCCAACTCCGGAGTGGGGCCTCTGTTTCCCTCGTACACTCGCCAACTCCGGAGTGGGGCCTCTGTTTCCCTCGTACACTCGCCAACTCCAGAGTGGGGCCTCTGTTCCCCTGGTACACTTGCCAACTCCAGAGTGGGGCCTCTATTCCCCTCGTACACTCGCCAGCTCCAGAGTGGGGCCTCTGTTTCCCTCGTACACTCACCAGCTCCAGAGTGGAGGCTCTATTCCCCTCGTACACTCGCCAACTCCAGAGTGGGGACTCTATTCCCCTCGTACACTCGCCAACTCCAGAGTGGGGCCTCTATTGCCCTCGTACACTCGTCAACTCCAGAGTGGGGCCTCTATTCCCCTGGTACACTCGTCAACTCCAGAGTGGGGCGTCTGTTCCCCTGGTGTACTCGCCAGCTCCAGAGTGGAGGCTGTGTCCCCAGGACTCATGGGAGTGTCAGATGGTCACACATGTTAGCTCAGAAGCAGACAGTGGTATGTAAGCAAAGCAGGTCACTGCAATTTCAGGCAACCAAGGGGTTTTCCAGACCCTGGGCTTGCAACCAAGCCCATGGCATACCCTTCCCGAGGGTAGCTGGCCCCAGCTAGAGACACAAAACCAGTGTCTGGGGCCAGGCAGGCTGGGCTGATAAGATGACTGCTCACTTCTAGCATGCTGTGAGGGGCTTGGCTCAATCCCCTTTAGTGGGGTAACTCTGCAGAAGAGCAGCTCATCTCAGAGCCAGGCAGCAGCACAGGCAGCCGCCATCCTGCTGTGGTGACCAGAATGAAGCCAGATTCATAGGTTCTAATACCGGCCCCACCTCTCCCTGGTTGAGACCCTATGCAAGTCACTCAACCTCTCTGGTCTGTTTCCTCTTCCATAAACTGGGAATGAGAACAGAATTTATCACACAGGTCACAGAGCACCTGGGTGGAATCCTATTCCTATAGTTAACACTTGTGAAGCTCTTAGGACTGAGCCCAGCCCAGCACACAGCTAACTCCACGGACATGTTTGCTACTGACCAGATTTATAACAGCCCAGAACTGGGAACAACTCAAAGGTCTTATCAACAGGTGAATGGAAAAACAAACTGTTGCACATACATAAAATGGAATACTTCTCAGCACTAAAAAGGAATAAACTTTTTTTTAAGAGACAGGGTCTCTCTGTCACCTAGGCGGAATACAGTGGGCTATCCCAGCTCACTGCTCACTGTAGCCTCAAACTCCTGGGCTCAAGCAATCCTCCTGCCTCAGCCTCCCAAGTAGCTAGGACTATAGGCATGCAGAACCACCATGCCTGGCCAATTTTTAATTTTTCTGTAGAGACAAGGTGTCACTATGTTGCCCAGGCTGGTCTTGAACTCCTGGGCTCAAGCAATCCTCCTGCCATGGCCTCCCAAAGTGCTGGGATTATAGGAATGAGCACTGCACCCCGACTAGGAATAAACTATTGATCCACTCATTAACATGGACAAATCTCAAAATGGTTATGCTGAGGGAAAGAAGCCAGACCAAAAAAAAAAAAAAAAGAGTACCTACTATATAATGCCATTTATATAAAATTCTAGGAATTGCAAAGCAATCTATAGAGGCCAATGCTGATCAGAAGTTGCCTGAGGAGGAGGGAGAGGAGGACTATCAAGGGGCACAAGGAAACTCTTGGAGTGATGGAGACGTTATTCTCCTGATTACAGGGATGGTTTTACAAATGTATATGCATGTCAATTGTACACTTTAAATATGTGCAGTTAATTGTACTTCAATCAGCTGTTTTTAAAAGACACATAAAAAAGAGAGAGAATGAATGACTTGTTGCTTATGAATGAATAATGTCACATTATCTCATGAGCACCAGCTCGGTGGCCCCCAGTTGATTGTGTCTTGTTCTCTCCACCCCCACATGGGGCCCTGTGCTGAGCACCACACAATGCCTTGCTCAGCAGGAACAACAGATTTGCCAGACCACGCAACTCACCTTCCCAAAAAGGTGGGACACCACCATGTCCGGCAGAGCTTGGGTCCATCCTGAGATCTGGAAAGGAGTAAAGTGGGTGGATGAGAAACCAGGAGCTAACAGTAGTTAACAAGGTCAGCAAAACCCCACTTCCCTGGGTGCAGGGTGGCATTGCTGGACTCCCCCCTACATGCAGGCCTCAAGGACATCCCCCTTGATAGAAACTCAGTTCCTGTCTCCAGTTCCCTCCTGGACCTGATCCCCCAAATGCAGGGCCTGGGACTATATCCAGTTCCTTATTTTCAGAGGCCCATGCACAAGATGCACAGCAAATAAGTGCTGAATAAAGACCCAGCTACTGCTAGCTTACCCTGCTCCAAACATTCACCAAGTCCTCAGCAAAGAGGGCCATCCATTCACCTCTTCTAAAAACACACTGAGCTCCCCAGTCTATACCCCAAGATATGCTTGGCTCCCAACTATCCCTCCTCTCTCATCTCCAAGCCAGTTTCCCCTTTCTAAGTATACTGATATTACCAAAGACACTGACAATCTTCTTTTCCTACCTCTCCCCAGTGACTAGGTTTGCAGCAGGAGCTCTATAAGTCCTAGTATACAGCAGAAGCTCCATAAATGTGTGCTGACCTAAGCATTAGGCAAAAATGAGTAGGAGAGAAGCTCTAGACCTAAGGGTCTTTGGCTGGCCCTTGCCTGCCACAGCCTAGCTGTGTGGCACTGGGCAGTCTGCATACCTCTGGGTCTCAGACTTCTAATCTGGAACTGGGAGTGCCAGGAACTTCAAGGCCACAAGGTCAAGGGAAGGACTGCAAGAAGTAACTGCACACATCACAGTATCTAATACCAATGCCTGGTAATCGAAAGGCTGGAGTTGAAAAAGAAGGGAATAGTACAGCTATTAAAGCTGTACTGAAGGGAATAGTACAGCTATTAAAGACAATCCTCAGGCTTCACATTAGCCAGTGGTCGACATCCCCAGACCTTCGAGTCTCACTCAGGACAGCTATCATGAAGCCCAGCGGGTTGACTGGAATGTCACTTCCTTTGCTGGAAAATCAAATAAAAAACAGGGAGTGTGTTCCACTCCAGAACGTCATACAGGCTGGACGGAAGGGCTCCTGCATTCTGGAGGAATGTTCAAAGAACAAATGCAAAATCACAGTGGCTGGTACAGGGCAGGGGATGGGGCAAGAGGCAGGGCCCCTTCAAACCATCGGTCCCTGGCAGCCACCCAAAATTGGGCAAAAATGCACTTGCAGAATGAGAAGCTGCGATCACCTCAGCTTGAAAGACTCTGTCCTATTTCAACTGGAATGACCTCCCCCTCTCCTTGGCCAACACTGAGGCCTTTACAGGGAAAAAAACAAAAACAAAAACACCACAATGATAATTTTTAAAAGATAAACAAGGAACCTTAGGACACCAGCCAGGACAGAGCTTCCCAAGACAGCACAGGTCCCTTCTCCTCCAGGCAGCCTACCCTGCTTGCCAGGCCTGCCTGTCTCCCACCCTGGACAGGAGCCCCAGGGGCACGGGTGGTCAGGTCCACGAACCACAAAGTCAAAGCAAGCTGCATCCAGTCCCCGTTCTACTGCCTAGCTTTATGTGACCCTGGACAATCCCCTTAGCCACACCGAGTCCTTACCTCTGAAACGGTGATAAAAATTCTCACCTCCTAGAGTTACTATGAAGATTAACTGAGATCATGCACACACAGCAACGTAGAATGAAACTAGCACATGGTAAACTCTCAATCTACGTTAGCTAATTATTATCGTAAAATTCTGTGGCACAGTCCGTACTAAATACATATTTATTTTTCTTTAATAATATGTGAATGGATTCCTAAGATTCATTCCTAGAGGCTTTTGTCTTGTTCATCTCAAGAAGTCTTGTTCTTCAAGATGCTCAGCATCTTGACCAAAGCCTGGCACAAGTTATGTACCCAGCTAATACTCATTAATCCAAGCAATGCTTCTCCAAGCTGCCTCAGGGACCTGTGTCCCAGTGCTTTCCCTGGCTTAGACAGCTTGGTGGTATTTAAGTCTTCTGAATGGCAAACGGCTGAGGTCATGTGTACTGTTCTAAGTAAAGCAGAGGGAACTGGAGTGGGCAGTAGAGGGTAGTGGAGGAGTGGGTAAAGAGAGAGCTCGTAGCTCCAGGGATCCCCCAGGCAGAGGCTGTGTGCACCTGTCCCTCTTCTTGCAGGGATCCCGCCGGCCTGACAGGCCCCCACCTCACCTTGGAGGCGGCCCAGTCCATCCAGCCTTCCGCACAAGGGTTCACGTTGATAAGGACAAGGCCCTCCACCATCTCAGGGTTGTTTAGCTGCAATTCAAGACACAAAGTGAGACAGACATCCCAGCAATCTGAAACACTAGGAACTTTCCAAGGCAAACCAAAGCTTGAGAGAAGTACCCAGAAAAAGGCAGTGTGGGCAGCAGAGCAGGCTGCTGCTCCCCGGCCCCACCCCATGCAAAACTGAGGTTCCAGCACAGCAGACACGGTATCGGGTCCTAGAGAGAGTGGGAAGGAGAAAGAGGAAGTGCAGGAGAAGTAGGAAGCCCGCTGCTTTGCAGGCCTGCCTTGGGCAAGTCACTTCAACCCACGGAGGCTCAGCTTCTCCAGCTATCAAATGGGTGTAACACACCATCGACCTCATCAATCAAACAAGGCGCACAGCACAAATGCTCTCTAGTTGTGGCAGTAACAACTGTATTACTTACTTCCAGGATAAACACATGCATACACACACACACACACACACACACACACACACACAGAGAGAGAGACAGAGTTATGCATCGCTGAATAACAGGGATACTTTCTGAGAAAATTCATCATTAGGAGATTTTGTCATTGTGTGAAGATCTCAGAGTATACTTACACACACCTAGACAGTATAGTCTACAACTCACCAAGGCTGTATAGAACAGCCCTTTGCTCCTAGGTTTGCTGTACAAACCTGTACAGCATATGACGCTACCCAATACTGCAGGGAATTGCAACACAATGCTAAGTATTGATGTATCTAAGCAAATCTAAACATAAAAATGGTACAGTAAAAATGAACCATTATAATCTTATGGAACCACTGTCAAATGTGCAGTCTGTCATTGACCAAAATGTCATTATGTGATGCAGATACATACAGATATAGATATGTACACCTGGGGTACAGTTGAGACCATTTTTAATTTGCTGAGAGCCTATATGGCCAGACCATTTTGTATTCATGTCAGCATTCCTTTCTTTTTTTTGTAAGATGGATGTTGTAGAATCATGTCAGTATTCCCAACCTCCAGCAAAGCCCAGCAAATAATAGGTAGTCAAAATACCAATGGATGTACAAAATGAGTATTGTTGCATTCTTACACAATTGCTCGGTGAGGATACAAAGGAACAGTGGCTCTTGACCTGAGCCCAGAGAAATAACAATGACAACTGTCATGAAAACTTCCCGTGTCTGATTCTAGTTTAGAATCAGTTATGACCCAGGAGTGCCCTGACTACAAAAACCTGTACAGCTGTTACAAAGCAGTGTCATAGCAGAGTACTCAGTGAGTGAGGAGCGTCCTCACTAGATGGCTAAGCGGACAAAGCCCATGACAAAGGAATGTGTCCAGTATCATCCTTGAGTGGAGGAAGAGAAAAGGCTGTGAGTATATATATATACGAGTACCCATGCACCACACACACACACACACACAACTGTGGAGAATACGGGTCATTTCTTTTTCCCTTTTGGGTTTTTGATGCTTTTCCAATGTCTTCCTTCATCTTAAAATGTTATTTAAAATGCGATTTTCAAAAAATGCCAAAGCACTCACAGCAAATCGAGTTAGGATGTAGGCGCCTGCTCCTGTTCCCATGCCAATAATGCTTTTCAGCCTGGAAGCAAAAATACAAATGCATGTCACACAAGGACAGAGTGACGGGAGCCTCCAAGGACCCACTTAGAACTTCCTGAGGGTGACCGCCTGGCTAGGCAATGCGGGAGCATGCTGCCGTAACTGCCTGCACAGCTCTGAGGTCACCATGCTTTAGGACTGGACAGAGACCTCGACCTTGGAGAGCCGCGCCCCTTCTCCTCACTTCCCTCCTGGCCGCCACCCAGGCTCTGAGAGACCGTCTGACATTTACGGGAAGGCCCGTTACGGCATCATTTCTTCCCACTCTTAAGCTTTATTTTGGATTCTAAAACTTGGAATGAAAACAAATTGAGCAAGAACCATGAAGTTATCATTCTTTGAAGAGCTCAAGACAGAGAGGAACACTGGAAAAATGAGGGTGTGGAGAGAAAAGCTAAGGACTCAGGCAACTCCATTCCAGAACATTCCATGGGAAAGAGAAGGGAATGGAAGAACAGGAGGCAAGAGCAAATGGGTGGGGCAGCTGCCATCATGCAATATAACATTCACGCAAGAGGAAAACTGAAGTTAGAGGAGACAGACTAGAGCTCAGAGACTGTGTGAAGAACAGTGTTCACAGAGTGACGAGCTAATTTCTTGCCTCATCTCTAAATTGCAACCTTAATTTTAGTGGTCAGTCCAGATCAAAGCCAAGGGGCAGGAAGATGCTAGAAACCAGGCTTCTCTGCAGACAGAGAAGGAGCTGATCCTTCGCTCTTACCCAAACTGTTGAAGGACTCCAGGAAGCATTTCAGCCAGCTGATCCATGGAGGGGTACATGTACCTGGGGATGACACAGAGAAGCCATTAGTGAGCGCCCGGACAGAAACGGGTAATCCAAACAGGGACACGCTTGAAGGGTGGGGACCATGCAGCAGCCTGCCCCATGCACCCAGACCCCCCCACCCCCAAGTCTAGTCCCTTCGCATCCTCCTTCCAAGACCCCTGCAGCACACTCTATCAATTGCTTCCTACGCTCCAGGTCCCATGGACACATTCTGGGAATTAGCTCATTCAATTTTCACAATAACTCTAGGAGGCTGCTAGGATTTCCCCTCATAGCAAGATTATAAACATCACTGAGGCTGAGAGATGAGACACTTGGCCTCACAAGAGCAGTAGATGGTTAGCCAGAAACATGTCCTCACTGTGTTTGTCTGGTTTTGGGTCTAGGGTGTTGCAGAAACTGACTAGAAGGCATTTCACAATTCCAATGTCAGGGAGAAGGAATTAAAACAGGCATGAATGAGTTCCATCCGCAAAGCAGTGATTGATCCTCACACATGCCGGGCTCTTGGTGAGGCAATGGCAGGGGTCTGTGAGCAAAGCAGATGCAAACCAGGACAGGAGCCAGCCCTCGAGTCAACAGAAACAGGGGGTGTTACTCATAACAAAGCCTATCGAAACAGAGACCTGCCGTGCTCAGATGATCAGGGAGGGCTTCTTGGAAGAAGTGACGCTGAAGGGGTCATGGGAACCTGATGAGTAAAGCGTGTGGGCAGGGAAGCAGTGTATGCGGACGCCCTGGGAAGAGCCAGAAAGAGCCCGTATGGTGTGGCTCCACATCAACAGAGCCACTGAGCTGAGAAGCCGCAGGGCAGAAGTGCGGCAAAGACATGAAGCTCCTCTGAAATGGCCATGGCTCAATTTGGAGCCAGCAGCTCCTAAGGTGTGACACTGGAGAAGCCACTTAATTGCAGGGCCCTCTGTTTCTTCCCTGTTCCCCAGGGCTGGTGTGAGGCGAGGAAGCAGCAGAATTCTACTTCCAAGGTCCCTCCTGTGTAGGTGGTGGACACCGGGGCCAGGAGGAGCCCAGCCAGGGATCCCCTACCCTGCTCTGCTGTCTCGGCTTCAGAATACAGGGGGCTCACCCTTAAAGGGCCTGGGAGATGCTCCCTCACCCCTCCCAAGCCCCACACTCTCCTCTGCCCTACTCCAGGAGGAAGAAACAAGTCAGGTCCCACTCTGACAGTGGGTCCCACCAGATGCACACGAAAACCACATAGTAAACTAGGGGGAAAATGCGCTGTAATACCCAGACCAACGGAATAAAAATTCCTGGGGGTGGGGCTCAGGCCTCAGAATATTTGTAAAACTTCACCAGGGGGAACTAAGAGTCTCTGCTTTCCCCCAAGTCTTTCACACAACTGGTCCAACCAAAGATTTACGGACACACCTCTGGCTTTATCTGCTGGTTAACAATTAACCACGTCCCACTGTTTTAATACACTTTTAATTTTTGGTCCTGGCCCCATACGGTTGGCTGTCCCTTCCCTTCCTCTCTGATAAAGGTTAATTATTAAGGATAATTCTGAACACTAATAAAAAAGGATATCTATTTATAAATGCCAAGAAGGCCCCTTCTGGAAGACTTTAAGCCCAAGAACCTGCTCCTGCCCTAGTTTAAACACAGGTCAGGTGCAGGGACAAGAGGGGTTATCTCTGAGGTCTGCCACCCCCACATGATGCTGATTGGGGGATCCAACAAGCTTGACCATAATTGCACAAGGGGAAATTGAAAGGCCATGCCCATACAGATCACGAGCTGACAAGGGCCAGGCAGTGCAAATACTCTCAACTAAGGCAGCCTGATGTTCCAAAGAGGATACACGTCTCAGTAGATAGGATCAAAGCCAACTCCCCAGTCATCAGCTGTGCAACCTTTTTTTCTTTTTTGGAGACAGAGTCTTGCTCTGTCACCCAGGCTGGAGTGCAGTGGTGCGATCTTGGCTCACTGTAACCTCTGCCTCCCAGGTTCAAGGGATTATCTGGCCTAAGCCTCCCGAGTAGCAGGGATTATAGCCACCCGCCACCACGCCCAGCTCATTTTTGTATTTTTAGTGGAGACAGGGTTTCATCACGTTGGCCGGAGACAGGGTTTCACCATGTTGGCCAGGCTGGTCTCAAACTCCCAACCTCGGTGGTCCGCCCACCTTGGCCTCCCAAAGTGCTGAGATTACAGGCATGAACCACCATGCCCGGCCTCAGCTGTGCAACCTTCAGCAAGGTAGTTAATGCCTCCATGCCTCAATATGTTTGTCTGGAAAATGGAGCTAACAACAGCAGCCACACAGAGCTAGCTGTAAGGATTAAGCCCAGTGTTAGACACAAATGATGAAGCCTAGCCCACAGGAAGGGCTCCATCAATGTTACTTCTCTCCCTCTCTGTTTCTCCCCAGACTTCTAGGTTTTTCTTCACACTATTTGGTGGTGTCAAGTCCTCCTCCACTGAAGTCCTGTCCAGGCTGAGCACACCTATCGTAACGCCAGCCTTGCAGGAAGGCTGGGGGAATGGGGAGATAGTATCTGATAAGTATGTTGTTTCAGTTTGGGAAGATGAAAAAGTCCTGGAGATGGATGGTGGTGACGGCTGCACAACAATGTCTGCATGTCCTTAATGCCACTGAACTATATACTTAAAAATAGTGAAAGTGCTAACTTTTATGTTATGTATCTTTTCCCACAATTTAAAAAGTGCTTAAGATGATACGTTTTATATTTTACCACAGTTAAAAAGTATTTAAAAGAGCAAAGCACCTGAACCCCTCCCCGACACCCAGTTTCCACCCTGTAGAGCTCATAGGGCAAGAGGCCTCTCACCCTGCGGGGAAGGAGGCTGCGCCGTCCTGCTGGCCAGGGGCGTCCACGTGGCAGACGGCAAAGTGCTGGGTGATCTCCTGCATGTCCTCGTAGTTGAAGAGGGGGTTGTAGCAGGTTTTGTCTGAAGAACAGCAGTGAGGGAGAGAAGAGAAAAAAGTAAGATGAGAAAAAAATTAGGTGTCTCGGTGGCAAAGCACATTCATTTTGTTTCATTCCTATTCAGAAGTAGGAAGTGAACTTAGAAGAACACAGATGTTGGCGTTTTTTGTTTTTTGGTTTTGTCCCCATGCCCACTTTCCTCTGCTGATAAAAAGCAAGAGTAAGTTTCATGGGGCAAGGGAGTGGTAGCTGGCAGATGAGTCTTGCAGTTGGTGCTGGAAGGGGTTCCCAGGCTGGCTCCTGTAGCTCCTCCAGTCAGCCAGGGTCAGGATGGCCCTGGCATGAGATGGCTTTGCCCTCCTGATCCTCTCTTTCCATCTGGGTCCACTATACCCTCCCATCTGGGGTACTGGTCCAGGACACACATAATTTTCAAACGAGGAGGAGCATGGGAGGTGAGGCGTGCCTCCTCCTTTCATGTGGCCTGGATGAGTCTCCTCACTGCTGAAGCCTAAGGAAGTCGGGCTGCTCACCCTACCTCCTGTCCCTTTTCCTCCTGGGCACTCAGCTAGACGGTATATCCCAAGCTCCCTTGCAATGAGAGGCAGCCATGTGATCTGTTTCTGGCCGATAGCCTGTGACCGTCACCATTTCCTCACCATACCTGCCACCCAGATTCTCTAAGATCCTCTAAGTTTCTCTCTTCTCTCATCTACCTGCCAGAAGCACAGTTTCCAGCAGAAGGCTCTGCAGCCCCAGGGGATGGCAAACCCACAAGCTAGAAGGAGCCTGGGTCCTTGAATTGCCAAATAGAACATGTCCCACTAAACACCCACTAAACTGTTACATGAGCGAGAAATAAAACATATACTGTGTTAAGCCACAGAGGGCTTGGCATCTTTTGTTACAGTGGTAAGCCTATTATAAACCAACAATGAGCCTCTCCGAATGGGGAGAGACGCTGCCATATGCAATTCCAGTTCCTTGTCAGAGTCAATAAAATGAGATAGTGTAAATCAAAATACCTAGCATGGACCTGGTACAAAATGGATATAAGGGAAACAGACAGGGGAAGAAGTGAGATAAAAGAAGGTGAGAATGAAGTGAAAAAGTGTTTTCAGTGGATTTCAGTGACACCATCCCCAGCCTCAAGGTATTAATAAGGTATTAATAAGCTTTATAGAAACAAATGAAAATCAGGCAGTCCATCGTCAAAAATCAAGCAAGCTTGCAATACTCAAGTTCATAAAAATTACGGGACCAGTGAAACCTGTGTCTTCTGATTCCTCACAGAAGAATTCACCTCTATTCCATGAAATTTCAACATTCAGTAGCTTCCATTCCATTCTCATCTATGAAAAATGGGGAACCCACCTAAGAAAACCCTCCTGGTAATCTTGGAATTCACAGTCTAAACATTCGTAGCAGAGTTACTCACACAGCCAAAAAGTGAAAATGCCCCAAATGCCCATCAACTGAAGAATAGATGGCCGGGCCCAATGGCTCATGCCTGTAATCCCAGCACTTTGGGAGGTGGAGGTGGGTGGATCACCTGAGGTCAGGAGTTCGAGGTCAGCCTGGCCAACACAGTGAAACCCCGTCTCTACTAAAAATACAAAAATTAGTCAGGCGTGGTGGTGGGTGCCCGTAATCCCAGGTACTTGGGAGGCTGAGGCAAAAGAATTGCTTGAACCCAGTAGGTGGAGATTGCAGTGAGCCACGATCGCACCACTGCACTCCAGCCTGGGCAACAGAGCGAGATTCTGTCTCAGAAAAAAAAAAAAAAAGAAAGAAAGAAAAAGAAAAAAGAACGAATAAAGTGTGGTAAATCCATACAATGGAATATTATTATTCAATAAAGGAATAAAGGAAATACAAATATTAATGCATGGCCTGGATAAACCTTGAAAGCACTAAGAAAGAAGCCAGTTACCAAAAAAAAATCACATATTATTTGATTCAATGTATACAAAATTCCAGAACAGGCAAATTCACAGAAAAGGAAAGTCAATGAAGGGTCAGTCATCTGAGGGTGGGGTGACAGATAAAAGGTACAGGATTTTTTGGAAGGATGAAAATGTTCCAAAATTGTGCTGATCGTTGCACAATTCTGTGAAAAGACTGAAAACCATATGCGTGCATTAATATAGAAGTCACTGCCACAGATAGCAAACAGCTTCCTGTGTTCCCAGCGCCTCCGGGCACACAGACAACTCCGTGCCCACATGCAGCGCATTTCTGGCTTTTCCAGGCTGTGGCAAGAGTTCTTCCCAGAACAGCCCCAGGAAGTCCCAGGCAAAAAGAAACCACCAGCTCCCGGCCATCAGCCCTTCTCGGCTGCCTTTTTCCGCCACTCTCTTGGGAACCGGCTGACAGGGAATCAGAGCTCCTCAGAACTTACGGTTCATGCCGATGTCATGGTAGGTGAGGATGACAGGCCGGTTTCCCTTGGGAGTCCCACACAGCGTGACGTGAACAGAGCCATGTAAAGTCTCGATGTCCTGCTCCTGAGGAGACACAGCAGACAGTGGGCTGGTCATGTGGGGTTCATGGCATCCGCGTGGCTGAAGACAGCCAGCCTGTTTCCAACTGTGTTTTGAGGAAGCTCTCTTCTCATCTGGCCATAAGAGCCCCGGCTTCGGGCAGCAGCTCTCTCTGGCCAGAAGCCACTCCAAGGACCAGGGCTAGGAGGGGACTCCCAGGAGGCAGGGGACAGAGGCCTGGCTCAGACTGCGCTGTTAAATGCACCAAATGCTGGGGAAAGGGCTTGCCCGCCACCATCTCTGCCCCGGACTGTTTGCTCCATCTGGAAAACAGGCCATCAAGCCTGCGCTTCCTTGCTTCCTTGCCCTCAGGCCCCACTGGCCCCACAGGTTACTGTACCTGTGACTAACATCTGCTGGCTTGGGGCTACACAGAATTCACTCCCCACTTCCAAGAACAGCCCTCAGTTTCCTTCAGGAACCCACCCAACCCTCACCCTCAGTCCTAAGTGTTCTGTTGACAGTGACCCCCCTCCCCACGTTTCACAAGTCAAGGCCAATTCATGCACTCCACCTCCCAGTTGCAAGGACTGGATCAGGAAAGAACACATGGGTTGGCTCAGGCCAACTAAAGCCAGCTGCACTTATTTCTAGTAATTGGGGAACTGGATCGGACTTGATGGAGCAAGGTTGGGAGGGCTGGATCTGTAGCAGCCACATTGTCACCGTGAGGCAAGGGCCTGCCTGAAAGTATGGCCAGCCCAGGGATGGAAAAGAGTGAAAGACGGTTTGGGGATGGCATCCACCACCTGGGATTTTCAGTTACACGGCCCACCAACTTCCAATCCCATGTAAGCCATGTTGAGTTGACCAAAAGATTCTGAATGATACCATGCCCATCCTCCCTCCTGCCCTTCCTTCTTGTTGAGCCAGATGGTTCTCTGGGTCAAGGCCAACTCTCCAGCTCGGCCAGTGACCCCCAGCCAGCTTACTCCCAGTCATCCCTGCACCTCTCCGCACCAAACCTTCCTAACAGCTGAAGACCTGCTCACCTTTCTTCCTCTGGAAAACAAAAAAAAAAGGCACCCTGCCTTGGTTCCAAGCACCCCAGCTCACTCATGGACCAATCTGTCACCTGCCATGTTCATCTAAACTCCTGCAGAGGGTGGTCGTGACTCTTTCTCAATTGTCACTTCCACTCACCCTTCACCCCATGCCTACCCTGGGCTTCCGCCCTCCTCAAGGTCAACCAGAAGTTCCCGAGGACCCCAGTCACTCATCTCCCTTGAGCAATTTCCACATCTGAGAGCAGTGACCTCCCCTTTGAAGTGCCCCACTCTGGGCTCTGCTCCCACAGGGCAGTTGGGGAGCAGGAGGCAAGGCCATCAGGCTGCTGAGACCTGCCAGGTGTCAAGGCAGTGCTGAACCATGTCCCTCCATGTCCTCACCCTCACAGGAGCCCTGCCAGAGCCATGTGACCCAGCTGGCTGAGGAAGTGAAGTCAGTATCCCAGAGTCACACGGGCAGGCAGCACAGAGGCAGGTCCCCCAGACAATCAGCCTCCGCGGGGCCCCAGGCTTCTCAGCACTTGACCCGCCCGCAAGCGGCGCACACTCAGGCCTCACGAGGCCACCTCAGCTCAGCACGCTGCATTGATTTTCCAAAGATTAAATGAGGCAGTGAAGTGGAACACAGAACACTCTAAATGCTGTTGAACCTGCTTCTAGAAGCTGGCAGAAATGCGACCCATACAGATCACTGCCGTGTGGCAGCAGAGAGGAAGGTCAGCGTTCACAAACTCACGCTTGAGAAGAAGGGATGGGACAGATCACCACTTAGGCACCCTGTGGGGGCAAGTCACCTCCTCCCCAGCTTGAATCTTTAAAACAGGAACAGCCTGGCCCTTCCTACCTCCTAGAGGTGCTGAAGGCCCAGAGAATGTAGGCTGCTCCATCTGTGAGTGACCCCCCGTGAAGTGGTACGAGGCAGCCACCCCCACGCCATCCACACCCGCTGGTGATCGGATTCCACCTCTGCTACTTCTTACCCCTGATACTTAAGGCAGTTCAATTTCATCTGAGAAACATTCATTAGGCACCTATTGTATGCCAGGTCCCCTTTGTCCCCGCAGGGACGAGTGGGTGACAACTCACAAGCTAGTGGGGGCAGTGGAAATGGCCCCGGGGGGCTGCAGTTCCTCTGGGTCCTCTGAGAAAGGAGAAAGAGGATTTAACCCACTGGGGGGTTGCTGGGAATGGGACCAGGAAAGCCTCCTGAATCCCTTAAGACCAACGATTCTCAACCTGAGGAACAAGTTCAAAAATAAAGAAAAATGGCATCCAATTCCCAGGTTCCCCCGCAGCGTATGAAAGCTCCGTACTGAGTTTCCAACAAGAACTCACCACCTCCCCCTCCCCAGCGGAGGAGTGCAGGGGTTCCCGACACTCACTTGGAGAACCCCGAAGCCAGCCAGCCCCAGGCCACCATCGTGCTTCTGCAGAAAGGAGACAAGCACCCCAGCTCACTCATGGACCAATCTCTCACCTGCCATGTTCATCTAAACTCCTGCAGAGGGTGGTCGTGACTCTTTCTCAATTGCCACTTCACTCGCCTGCCCTGGGTTTCCGCCCTCCTCAAGGTTACCTAAAAGTTCCCTGTTCCTGAATGGCACAGGGACGCAGCAGTGGTTACCAGGTGAGGGTGGTGACACATAAAGAGGCACTGTACAGGGCCAGGCCCAGCCCCCTGGGAGCACCCGGGCCCGCCCAGCACGGGGTCATCCTGGCACCTGCATTAGCCCCCAACACCGTTAAGTCCCCTGGCACACAGAGCTCAGCCCCATCTCCCTTCTCCCCTCTCTGCCCCTCAGGGCCCAACACTTCTTTCCTGCCCATAACAGGCACTGGAAAAATCCATAGATGAGGGAGCAGTGGCCCAGCTTCCAGGGGGCCGGAGATCATCTGCTGGGCCCAGCCCAGCCCTGAAGCCACTGTGGGAACAAAGGTCCATTTGTTTGTGGGGGCACATTCTTCATTGTCTCCCCAGCTGACCCACATGGCTCCCTCTAAAAGACAGGCCAGGGCAGGCGGTGTCCCCACCGCCACGGACATCGGAGTTCAAATCCAAGTCCTACCACTCCCCAACCTCCGAGCCTCCAGGTCCTCACCCCTGAGCTGGGAGGGCCGCCTGCACCCCAGACTCCATAGCAGGAGAGGAGTCACCTGCACGGAGCCCAGAGCACAGCACCAGGCAGGATGGGGACTCCCGGTGCAGGCAGCAGAGGGTACTAATGTGGCAGCAGGTATGGGACACGCCACCCCAGCTGGCATCAAGAATGTCCCTGGCAGCCCCCGGAGTTGCGAGTGGGTAGCAGATTTTTGACTCATCTCTTTGAAGGTCTTAAAATTATACAGCCATGGAACCAGAACTAAACTGGAGGATCTATTCCTCAGTCCAAGAAGGAAAGGCTGCCTAGGTCTCACTCACTTTCTGTCCACAGGCCTCTGCATAGCTGCCTGCTCTCAGTGGGCACCCGGTATCTGCTGGATAAGAGATCTGATCCCGACAGATGATGGTGAGCATTACACCCTAGAAAGGAACTTTCTCTCCTAAGGGCATCGATCCATGTTGGGATCTTCCCCACTCTGCTCTTGGATTGGCCATGAGATGCTCAGCTCCCTCCTGATAAGACCCCCAGGGTTGGTGAGAGCCTCACAGAGCACTAACACTTCACCCCAGCTCATGAGTGTCAGGACCCTGGCTGCTGCCTCATCACTGCCCCAAACCTCAGCCTGAGCAGGACTCAAAAAAGAGGCTTTCGACATTGCTAGCCTTGGTGGGAAGGACAAAGACCCCGTCTGAGAACATGGAAGTGAAGTGGTGAAGGTCACACAGGGGCAGGGCTGCTTCCCAGGCATAGGTGAGCAGAGGTGAGGGAGAACATTTGCTAAGCGCCTACGAAGAGTAAGGCAGGGTATCAGACCTCCATGCCACCGGGAGGCCCATCAATCCCATTTTATAGGTAAAGAAGTTGAAGGGACTCTCCCAAGGTCATAGGTTTGTGGTGGTAGAACTAGGATTCGAACTCTCTCCGCTGGGCCCTTGCTCCTTTGTGCCAGGGTCTGCTGGCCCCCATCGGTCCTCCACTCAGTTCCTGGCCCCCCAGCACACACAGGAGGAGGAGGAAAAAAGCAAGTGTTGTCATCTTCCCTGTACCCAAGTCCCATCCCCTAAGTCACACACACACACACACACACACACAACAAACACACCCACCAACAAACACACGTGCACGCACGCGGTTCTAAGCCAGTCAAGAAGACTGTCTGAGATTGAATGGGAGAATTACAACACTCACAAACACAGGCCTTTGTCCTATTCAGTCCCAAAGGAATGTTCTGTCCTTCTGTCCCTGCGGGGATCAATCACTCAGTGTTCTGGAGAGAGGAACCCATCCCGTGTCTTCTATGTTTTCCCAAAGAGAAAGCACAAGGAACCCAGAACATCAGAACTGCAAGGTGCACTGTTCGTCCTCTTGCCTGAGAGAGCAAATTGCCTGTCTCGAAGCTCATGAGGGACCCCCCAACTTCTGGCTGGGACAAGGCTGGCAACACAAACACAACTCCTCCACCATCCAGAGCCCCACACCCAGCTCTTCCACAGTTCAGGACCAGGCCACAGAAGACCCTGCTCACAGGGCCTGATCCAGACAAGAGGATGAAAAGACAAAAACCTGGCTGCACACACTTTCCTCTCACCTGCTCTGGAAGAGTCTAGAAAGCTGCTCTTTCAAGTCTAGAGGTGATGGCAGGGATGGGGGCAGTAATAAACAGCCACTGCATCTTACCCCATGCCTGCTTTGAGTTTCTCACACGTGTTTTCTCATTAAATACACGGAACAACCATTGCAGAGATGAGAAAGCTGAGGCTGAGAGAGATTAAGGACTTCATCCAAGGCCACACAGCTGGAATAATGGGGCAGGATCTGAACCAAGCTTGGATTCGAATGTCTGCATCCAAAGCCTGTTCTCTTTAACATCCTGTTTCACATTCTGTGCCGGGCAGAAGAGGGGAAGGAAACCTTTCTCTGCAACGTGCACTGTGACTCCCTAAAGGGGATGCAGCAAGTCAGATTTCCCACACTTATTTGACTGCAAAACACTCGTACCTCCCCAGCGTCTCCAAGGACTGGCCATCCATGCAGCACAGGCTGTTCCACTACCAAACAGAATCGAGAAATAATATCTGCTGCTCCCATCCTCCTAAAACAGGCACCTGCCCCCAAACTGCACGCATGTGTGTCTTTGTGAGGAAGTGTGCCAACACTGGAAACACCTCAGCACAGACATGAGACGTCACCTCCTCCTTCCTGCTACCCACCATACACATGCCATGCAAACCCTGTTCTCTTCTTTGCAGCACGACCACAATTACAAATATATGTGTAACAGCTGCCTCCCCAGCCAGGCCGCCAATTCCCAGAGGGAAAGGCTGGCTCTCCAATTGACAGAGTCTGGCCCGGAGGGTACACTTAGAGATTTACAGTCTACACTGCCTATATGCTGGCAAGTAGCAACCATGGCACGTACCACTATGGTCTACACCGCCTGGAAGCTGTCAAGTGGGGAAACAGGACCTAACACCAAGCATGCCTTAAAGATTTCATCTCTTTGGCTGTCAACCCTGGCTTGGGAGCTTTAAAACTATGGCAGACTCTGTTGGTTGGCATCCCAAACATCTGTTGTTCCCTTCTTTTTGAGGATAGAATTCCAACTGATGTACTAAGCAGCAAAGTGCCTGATAAAGTGGTCCCCTTCCTTACTCACCTCCCTTGTAACCAAAGATGGTCAGGAGGTTCAGTTCTGGCCAATGAAATGCCAGCAGAAAATTCCTGTAGCTTCAAGGAGAGTTTTTTAAAAAGGGTCAAACTTGACCTTTTGATTCTTGTCCTTTCACCCTCCTGCCTGCATCCTACTTGGAACATGGATGAGATGCTTGGGGGTTCGGTGGCTATCCTACCAATCTGAGGACCAAAGCCGCATGCTCAGGTGACAGTAGGAAGCTGTAAGGACTAACTCCAGCTGGGCTGGGTGACATTCATAGCTGGGGTGTTAGCTTTCTAGGTTGGTGAGAATAGCAAACATTTCCTTGGCACAGCACTGTTTTTTGAGCAATACTTATCCTAATGATATAACCACCACGTGCCCTTGGCCAAGTTATCAGCCTTCTCTGACAATCCCTGCCATCAGTTGTAAGCTGAGGTCAATGACAAGGCCTCCTGCTCCATTAAGATGCTCCCAAGACTAAAACCATGGTACAGACCTGAATGTGTTTTGCAAGCTGCAGCATTTCCCTCCATGTCAGTTGTTATGGACAACCGCTCCAGAGATGATTAGTGTGAAGCTCCCAGGGCCAGCCCCACTGGCTTAAGTCAACTCTCTGGATGATCCGGAGGGGCTCTGGAGGCCAGCTGTGACTGTCTCCCCGCTGCCCCTGGTAATCCCCTCCTTCCCAGCAGGCCCTGGGCAGATGCCGACCGTTCTAGGCTCTAAGAGGATCACCGCATACCCAGGATCTAAGTCAGTTGGTGGGCTTGGTGACCCTCCCTCAGTCTAGCAAGTGGGGTCCAAGCATGGCCAGAGCAGTTACGGTGCCCTCTGGAACAGCTGTCCAGGAAGCTGACTATGGCTCATCAGCATAAAGTCAAGGCCCATGGCAGCAAGAAAGGCAAATCATGGGAACAGAGGCTCAAGAGAGAATGTCAGGGGCCTGCCCCCTCCCCACCATCTTTTCATAAAATGATACACTCCTCCCCCTATATTTTCCTGGTTCATCGCCTATGCCCATGGAGGAGGAGGTGGAGACACAGCAGTGCCATTCATCTTAATGATCCATTCCATTAAGTAACAAACATAGGCTAGGTGTGATGGCTCACACCTGTAACTTTGAGTTTGAGACCAGCATCTGCAACATAATGAGACCTCCTTTCTACAAAAAATAAAATTAGCCAGGCATGGTGGCTCACGCCTATAGTCCCAACTACTAGGGAGGCTGAGGTAGGAGGATCACTTGAGCCCAGGAGGTCACAGTTGCAGTGAGCCGAGATCACACTACTACACTCCAGCATGGGCAACAAAGGGAGACCCTGTCTAAAAAAAAAAAAAAAAAAAAAAAAAAAAGGAGTAAAGAACACATAAAGTACCAGAGATAACCAGGGGAGGTGTGTGTGTAGCCAGGAGGAACACGATAAAAAGACAGCCACCCACTTACTGAGCAAGTCTGATAAAGCCAGCTTTGTCTCCTGTGCTATATCATGACAGCCATTGAACAGCCTTTGGGGCTGAAGTATAGGTGCCCAATGAGATAACAGAATTAAGATTCAAGATAGATAGGTCCTTGGGCTTCCAAAGCCAAGACTCCCCTGCAAGCCTCACACAATGGAAGACCTTCAAGAGGTCAAGCTGGGCCTGTCACTTCTCGCTTCATTCCCCAGTCTTCTTTTATGTTGACATCAGGTCAAGAGAATTAAACAAAGTTACAGAGGGTCAGGGAACAGGCTGCAGTGGGCAGAAGGTGTCAGCCTGGGAATACAGCATGCAACTGGAACCCACGCTGAAGACCTCAGTTCTCCAAGGAAACAAGAATTAGGAAGAACATCTTTGTTTGGATTAGGGTGAAGAGATGGAGCAGACCCCATCATCCATGGAGCAGGGGAGGGCGACAAAGACCTGTGAGCTGAGCCCGCTGCTGTGTGCATTCAGTGTTTGCAATGTGCTCAGGGACAGCGATGCTCCCCACTGTTTCACAGATTAGGAAACTAAGCCCCAGGGAGGTCAAGCGAGTGGCCAAGGACACGCGAGTAGCAAATGACAGGGCTGGGTCTGCACTCGCTGCCGCTCACTGCACCCTTTCTGGGACACCAGGAGATGAGTGAGGTCAGCCTGGCAGAGCCTGGCCTGGACACACCTCGGAGGCCTGGGTATGAGCCCCACCTCTCCTGTTCCATTGGAGGGTGCTCCTAGGAAACCCACAGCAGAATTGCAGAAGTATGCTGTGTTTATTTTCCAAAGTCTCATTTTGTGCTGATCCAGATGAGCGTTCCTGCCATCTGTCACTCTAAGGGTTTGCTCTAAGTCCCAATGGCTTTGCTAGGAAGTAGGGCTGGGGGAGGGCGAGAATGGGAAATGGTGAGTTTAGGATTTCCAGGCTTCTGTCTGAGTTCTGCCCACCTTCAGTCATGGGGCATGAAAACAAGAAGCAACTGTGTGGAAAGAGAGAAATTAGCAAAAGGTCACCATTTCCATTTTCCCTGTGAGCTGGTCCGCTTCCAAGAAAAGGAGGGAAAACAGCCCCCCCACCGAATGGGATTGTACATCCCTAAGACCAGCTCAGCTCTGCTGAACAAGAGGCCTTGCAGCAGAACGGGAGCCAGACCTCCAGAGCCCTGCCCGGCCCTGGTGCTGCCCCAGCCCCCTCCACCACTCCACACGGAGGCCCTGTGGGTCACATCAGCTCATTTCCCACAGAGCCCTGGTGAGCACACAAACACAGATTCCCATGGAAACCAAATCAAATCTAACCATCTGAATAACTCAAGATCCAGGTGGAGGGAATTAGAAGCAGCAAATCCAACAGAAAAAGCAATTTGAAGCCACAGAAAGTCACTCGGCCCACGAGGTACAATTTATCGGTGATGAAGTCAACTCTGCTGTCCCTTCCCCAAAACTCGTTAAATGAACTTTGGCTCCAGACGTGTGGATTGAATCAGCTTTCACCATCTATCTCACCATGGCGTGACACTGGGCAAATCCCTCCAGATTTTCTGGGCCTCGTATCTTCAACATAAAACAAGGATGGCAAGGATAGATGGCAAGGATACCTCCCTCAACAAGGTTTCATGAGGATCACATGAGCGGATGCAGGAAAATAGCCCAGCACGGTTTCTGACGTACAGCAGAGCTCAAGAGAGGCCAGCCATTACGACTTCCATGACTATAACATTTTTCGGAAGCAGATGGATCTAAGTCTAGGACTATCTCTACAGTACCCTTTGGCAAGTTCCCTAACATCTTCAAATGGGTCTCTCATCTGCAAAAGAGGCCAACACCCCTCACCTTAGCAGGGAAGCCCTGAGACAATGAGTATGCAAATATTCATTCTTCCTCCTCTTCCCTCCCCCAGGTGGCCTTCCACAAAGCTCTCCAACTGGAGCAGAAGTCTTGGACTCTAGAATTCTAGCCAAAGAAAATAAGCTGGAACCCAAAATACTCCCCCCCTCCCTACTCATCAAATCTGCAAACACAATTGCCTAAAACCTGATGCTGGAGGCCTCTCAGCCGAGCCAGATCAGACCGTGTCCTTCCTGCAACCCGGACACCTAGGCCAGCAGCCCGCCCACCCCGTGCCCTGAGGGTTCTGGAATCTTTTCAGGAACCAGAGCCAGGTGGGGGCCTGACAGCGCTGGCAGAACCTCATATGCAAATCACCAATCACTTTGCCCGAACATCACCCAGGACAAAACAAAGAGACCGCCTAAAGGCGATGCCAGTGATGGAGAGATAAGGCCTGATGCCATCTGCTCTGGCAGGCGAGCTGTCTCCAGAGACAGGCCACCCAGCAGCTCAATGCAGACTCCGCCAGCAGCTCCTCAGTGCCGAGCTCTGGGCTCAGTGTGTGTGTTTTGATTCATTTAAAAAACAAAAACAATAAAAGCCTAAATTATTGACTACATTGGTAAAGGAAGTAGGAATCTGCCTGAGTTAGTCAAAGTGCTGAAGCAGTAATTATTTTTCAAGGAATGACATCGGCTGCTTTCAGATACACAAAATAAAGCGACTCAGACTCCTTAGACTGGACCAGGAGGGAAGCTATGCCCAGGGCAAGAACTGCCCAGGAGGGAGCCCTATTTTAACAAGCAGGTAAGAAACCAACTAAATGAATAGATAAAATTCATTTGCCATTAAGGCACAGCAACTCTTGAG
Organism: Homo sapiens; assembly: GCF_000001405.40. Classification (NCBI taxonomy): domain Eukaryota; kingdom Metazoa; phylum Chordata; class Mammalia; order Primates; family Hominidae; genus Homo; species Homo sapiens. Next base: position 133,274,609 of record NC_000008.11, read on the forward strand.
TCCTACAACAACTCATTGTCAGTAGGCTGAACATAAGCCCAATGAAGTGTTGCTTAGATTATCTGCTTGGCTAGATTTTTTGACAAGCAGACGTGTCAAAGGTGAACCACAATCTAGTCCATAAGGGCTTGATCAGCCTTTCCAGGAACAGGGCTATACTCAAGCATCACGGTTGAGAGAACTGTCTACGTCAGACAGCCCTGGGCTCAATGTGGCTCACTTCACAGCTGCCGCCCCTGGGAAAGCCTCAGTTTCCTTATCTGTAAAGGAAGGATGATGGTACAGGTCCCCAAAGATTCAGCAAGAGGGCGTGGGAGGCCCTCAGTGCTGGCCTGGCTCATCAGAGGACACTGAAGTGCATGGCAGACAGGTGCTGTCCTGTCGCTTTGCTGCAACTCCCATGTGAATCTGAGGTCAGATTATGCTGACCAGTCCCCGGGCTGATACGCCCTGTAGGCCCCCTTGACCAAAGCTCTGTCCTTCTCAGTTCCTGGCCCTGGAACCCATCAGGCCCCAGAGAGCTTCCGTCGTCACACTGCACTGCATCTTCTGAAGGAAATTCTACAGCAACCCTACACCCAAGATTTTGGAGACTGCTGAAAATCTGGGGGACGCTTTCATCAATCTCTTGAGTCCCTAACACCTTCCAATCTAAGAAGCCAAATCTAAATGAATACAGTTTTAGACAAAGATTTTCTTTTGGTAACAACCTTGAAAAGTGTCATTCAACACTCAGATTTCAGCTCAAATATTGTGACTTACTGGGAACACTGAGCCTGTTAACAGCTTACAGGAATAACACATTTTTGCCCTTGGAAATTTCAGAATTCAGATCAGAAAGGCCTTTGCTTGTGCTGTTACCTCTGCCTGGAATGATCTATCCCCAGTCTCTTTGTCACGTGACTGGCTCTATCTATCTTTTAGACTTCAGTGCAATGTCACCACTTAAAAAAAAGCCTCAACCTAAGACAGCACCCCAGCCATGCCCTATCCCATCACCTGGCTCCATATCACCCTTCACTGTTATCTTCAAAGCACCTACAGAAGCTGGAATGCTCACATTTGCTTGTTTGTATGTTTGTTTGACTCTTTCTTCTGAGGAATCGGGATTGGTTTCAAATATGTGCCCTGGAAGCAAATGGCTTGAGGTCCCCTTTCCAGCTCTGCGATCTCAGGCAAGTTCCCTAACCTCTCTGTGCTTCAGGTCCTCTCTCTCCGTAGGATGGGGACAGGATCGCCGTAAGCACACGTGGGGCACATTTGGCATGCTGCCAGACACATTCTGTGCTCGGCAGTGCTGAGCTATTATTCCAGAATTTAGGTTCCTGAAAACACAGGTCACTGCCTGTCATGCTCATCACTGCATCCCCAGCACCTAAACTAATGCCAGGCACAAAGTGGGCATTTGTTAAAGAAATAAAGGAAGGCACAATAGGGAAAATGCTCCGACCTCATAGGACAGCTTGGGGAATTAACTCAGACGGCTCAGCCCAGGCTGGTGCACAATGCTGGGAAATCTTATCCTGACCTCTGCTCTATCCTTCCAAAGGCTTCTCTGTGTGGCCCCCACTTTAATGATGTCCTAAGGGGCAGCGCCTTAGCCGACCCCAGCCTGAGCCACATAGGTTGACCTTCCCTGGGAGTAGGTCAGTTGCCTGTGTCCTGAGATGGGAGAATGTAAAAGTGTTTTGCAGACTTTCCAGAGAAACAAAAATGTGAGGAATTATCTTCGCAGGGAGCAGATAAACTATGCTTTCTAGGTTTCTCAGAATTGGTAACCAAGATTTTAAAATCCAAAATAACCATATGATCCAGTGATAGGGTTTGGCTGTGTCCCCACCCAAATCTCATCTTGAATTGTAGCTCCCATAATCCCCACGTGTCGTGGGAGGGAACCAGTGGGAGGTAATTGAATCATGGGGTCAGGTTTTGCCTGTGCTGTTCTCGTGATAGTGAATGAGTCTCAAGAGATCTCATGGTTTTATAAAGAGCAAGAGATCTCATGGTTTTATAAACGGCAGTTCCCCTGCACACACACACTCTTGCCTGCCGCCATGTAAGGCGTGCCTTGGTTCCTCCTTCACCTTCTGCCATGAATGTGAGGCCTCCCCAGCCATGTGAAACTGTGAGTCCATTAAACCTCTTTTTCTTTATAAATTACCCAGTTTCTGATATGTCCTTATAGCAGCTTGAGAATGGACTGATACCTCTAGCAATTCCACTTCTGGGTATATGTCCCCCAAAACTGAAAGCAGGATCTCAAAGAGATATCTGTACACATGTTCACAGCAGCAGTATTCACAATAGCCCAAAGTGCCCAAAGTGTCCACCAACGGACAAATGGATAAGCAAAATGTGGGGCATACATACAACAGAATATGATTCAGCCTTAAAAAGGAAGGAAATGCTGACACCTGCTACAACAGGGATGAACCCTGAGGACACGATGCTAACTTATACCAGCCAGACACTGGCAAAGAACAAATCAATGCAAATTAATACAGTTTTATAATAATAATATAGTGTATGACTGCACTTGTATGAGGTACTTAGAGGAATCAAAATCTAGAGTAATCAAAATCACAGAGACAGAAAATAGAAGGATGACTGCCTAAAGCTAGAATGAGGAGTTGTTTAATGGGACAGAGTTTCAGTTCTGCAGGTTTTAAAGTTCCAGGGGTACAGTGGCTCAAGCCTGTAATTCCAGCACTTTGGGAGGCTGAGGCAGGTAGATCACTTGAAGTCAGGAGTTCGAGACCAGACTGGCCAACATGGAAAAACCCATCTCTACTAAAAATACAAAAATTAGCCCGGTGTGGTGGCGGGCACCTGTAATCCCAGCCACTCAGGAGGCTGGGGCATGAGAATTGCTTGAACCCAGGAGGTAAAGAAAGGTTGCAGTGAGCCAAGATCGCACCACTACACTCCAGCCTGGATGACAGAGCAAGACTCTGTCTAAACAGAAATAAAAATAAATAAATACAGTTCTGAAAATGGACGATAGTGATGGTTGCACAGGAATATGAATGTACTTAATATGACGGAACTGTACATTTAAAAGTAGTTAAGTTGGTAAATTGGATGTTACGTGTATGTTTCCACAACAGCAAAAATAATTCGGGAAAACACTCCATGATAGTTAGTGGATAGGGTGTGTGATGTTTGGCCCGGCACTGATGCGGGAAGCACCACATCATTGGCCCTTGTCAGTGTCCTCTCTCCACCACCACTTAACAAGCCTGGAGCACTGTCTCCATTTCACAGGTGGGGAAACAGAGGTGAAGCATCTTGTGCTAAGGGTCAATCACCAGGAAAGGGCACCCATGGGGCTTGCGCTTCACTCTTCCTGGCTCTGGAATGGGGCCTTCACCTGAGGAGGATGGACAATCACATCCCCACTGCAGGAAGATACAACCTCAGTGCCAGCAAGCCGCTCCCCTGGGGAACACAAGGAGCTGACATTTCAGCCACAGGGAAGGTTGGCAAGGGCAGCTTCGATCAGGCTGAGGGAGGCTGGGGTGGCCCGGCCCATCCCTGAATGAGCAGATGACCCCTGGGGCTAACTTCCAGCTGTTCTCAGCTCAGAGAACCAGTCAAATAACCAAGGCCATGGTGCTGGTGCCACAGCCACTGCATCTATTGCAGCTCTGACTTCCCTGGGTGCATTTTTTCCCATTCTCAGGAGGGTGAAAAAGAGGATTGCTACCATAACTCTTAGCTGCCCCACCATGCCACCCTCAATGAGTGACTTCCCCCTTTCTCTGTCCCTCAGGTTCCCCAGCTGTAAAATGAAGGCTTGGACTTGATAAACCTCAAGATAGTACATTCACCTCCCACCCTCCTGGAGCACCTTCGCATGCCCAGCGTCCTGCAACATAGAGAGGAACGGGATGGAGCTCTGGCCAGGGCATGGGAGAAGCCTGGACCTCAGCACATGAGTGGTGCGGGAAGAACATGGGCTTCCTTCCTGGTCAGGCAGAGCTAGGTGTGGCTCCCAGTCCCTCCACTCTGGCCTCAGTATACCCATCTGAAAAATAAAGCTAATGGTGCCTCTCCTGTTATCATGAGATATTGAGGCATTACATGAGATATTGGCTGGCAAGCTCTCAGCACAGCACCTGGCAGGTAAGAAGCCCTCACCAACATCATTAAAACCTACACAAGCAGCAAGGGGAGCACTCAGGGCTGGAAGAGGTGAGGCCCAGAGTCTGGCACCACTTCCCCAATCACTGCTGAGTGACCCCAGGCAAGTCACTTCCCAGTGCTGTCTCTCTTCTTCTTTTTTTTTTTTTTTTTTTTGAGACAGAGTTTCACTCTTGTTGCCCAGGCTGGAGTGCAACGACGTGGTCTCAGCTCACTGCAACCTCTGCCTCCCAGGTTCAAGCAATTCTCCTGTCTCAGCCCCCAAGTAGCTGGGGTTATAGGTGCTTACCACCATGCCTGGCTAATTTTTGTATTTTTAGTAGAGACAGGGTTTCTCCTTGTTGGCCAGGCTGGCCTCGAGCTCCTGACCTCAGGTGATCTGCCTGCCTCGGCCTTCCAAAGTGCTAGGATTACAGGCATGAGCCACTGCATCTGGCCCTTCTTCTTAAACACTGAGGTCAGGGTGATCTCTAGGGACAGCCTGACACAACCAGGATGATGAGAAAATACACACCTTGGTGGTGGTATAGAAAGCCTCGATCATCTACTAGCCAATGCTTCCAGCCCCTCTCCCATCCTTTCCTTTCCTTCCAAAGACAGTGCAAGATTCCTCGCCTCGGGATGGATGGGGGAGCATTCATGAAATCAGAGATTCAAGAGGAAAAGCGGAGTTGTTTTGAGGTAAGGAGGTAGAATAGAGGAGTGAGATGCAGAGTGCAGAATGGGTCCCAAACTGGGGACACCTGTGCAACACATGGGTAGCGGTTCAGGTGAGAACACCTCAGCCACCTCTGGCTCTCTGGCTGGTCCAGGAGTGCGCCTCTCCTCCTTCAAGGAGACCACAAGCTCGCCATATGCTCAGGCTTTCTGCCCCACCCTCCAGAGGCCAGCACAGCATGGGACCCACCCCAGCTTGGGGCTAACGAGTCCAGGACTTAGATTTCCTGAAGTTCTGACCCAGCCCTCGGCTGAGAGAGCCCAGCCCGTTCTCCTGAGAGCCTATTCTTGGACACAGCTGAGGTGCACCCCCTGGCCCACCCTGCAATCCTGAGTGGGAATGGAGATACTTCAGTTCTGGGCCAGTAAACCACAGAGAAGGCTGGTTTCAGTTTCCCAAGTGGAGCCAAGAACATCAAGCTTTTGCTTCCGTTCCCTCCCCTCACAGGGTCCCAAGCCAGCCCAGCATCACACCATTTTCCCCACACACGCCCCACCGTTCTGGCCAGCTCTTTGGGACTGAAACAGGCGGTGTCTCTGTCCTGCTTTCGTGGGAAGTGACTGGTTCCTGATTCTTTGGCCAGCACTCAAGTCAGCTTCTGTCTGGGAGCAGCAGCTGAGGGTGAGGACCTAGCTGAGACCACTGCCTTCTCTCCCCTTGCCCGCAATGTTTGCACAATGATCTACTTAAACCAATGGAAAGAAAAAGGAAAAAGAGAAGACGGGATGAGGAAGGGGAAGGAAAGCCACATCCTCTACTTGCCTGGACATCAAACTCTTGCAGGAGGCCGGTGATGGTCTGTGAAAAGACAAAAAAAATTGTCAATTTCATCTGTTTTCTCTGTAAGAGAAATAATATTGGGACATATGGGCCTTTCTATGACCTGAATCTGTACCTACACTTCCTCCTTTGTGGGGTCTCCTTAATTCCTCACAAAGGCAGGCTTTCCTTTTCTCTTTTTTTTTTTTTTTTGAGACGGAGTCTTGCTCTGTCGCCCAGGTTAGAGTACAGTGGTGTGATCGCAGCTCACTGCAAGCTCCGCCTCCCAGGGTCACGCCATTCTCCTGCCTCAGCCTCCTGAGTAGCTGGGACTACAGGTGCCCGCCACCACGCCCAGTTATTTTTATTTTTATTTTTTGTATTTTTAGTAGAGACGGGATTTCACCATGTTAGCCAGGATGGTCTCGATTTCCTGACCTCATGATCCACCTGCCTCGGCCTCCCAAAGTGCTGGGGATTACAGGTGTGAGCCACTGTGCCCAGCCGAGACTTTCCTTTTCATCTCAAAATAGAAGTCCAGCAGAAAAGCAGACACATTAACTGGACTCCTTTCTGACAATAGCCTTGATAGATAAAAAGCTGAAGGTCTAAGCTGATCACAAGCTTGAGAGATACAGAAATGTGATATCTGACTATTAACTGGTCTCCCCGGCTCCACCCATGTGCTATACTTTTAAAACTCAAACCTGACCACATCATGGTCCTCCTTACATTTTTTCCATGGCTGCTGTCATCTGGACCTGGATTAAATTTCAGTCTCTTGTGAGTAGAAGAGGCAGTGGAGACCTCTAAGCATTTCCCTCAATCTAAAAATTCTGAGTTTCAGGCTGGGTGCTGTGGCTCACGCCTGTAATCTCAGCACTTTGGGAGGCTGAGGCAGGCGGGATCACCTGAGGTCAGGAGTTCAAGACCAGCTTGACCAGCATGGAGAAACCCCGTCTCTACTAAAAATACAAAATTAGCCAGGCATGATGGCGCATGCCTGTAATCCCAGCTACTCGGGAGGCTAAGGCAGGAGAATTCCTTGAACCCAGGAGACAGAGGTTGCAGTGAGCCTAGATCACACCATGGCACTCCAGCCTGGGCAACAAGAGTGAAACTCCGTCTCAAAAAAAAAAAAAAAAAATCTGAGTTTCAGCCCAAATTCTATCTTTTACCAGAGCTGTCCATGGCAGGACAGGCCCAGGAAGACAGAGAAAAGTCTTGTGTCCCCTCTGGCCTGGTGAAAGTGTGACTCGGAGGACCAACTGGAGTCTTGGCTGGCCAACATTTCTAAGAGATGTTGCTGGCATGTTTTCCTACTGACCCAGAGATGGAGTCCCAACACTGTGAAAACTGAGCCCCAGCCTCACCCACCACAAACCCCCAGAAAACAAGACGGCTCAGCAGAGCGAAATGCAAAAGCGATGAGGGGAACAGGATGATGGAATGGAGCTCCCATTAGATGGCAGGGATTGGAAGACTAGATGACAACACAGGCCCTCGTGCTGGGGATTCAAATAGCCCCACATCCCCTGAGCTGTGGGCAAGAACATCAGGGACTTTGGGTAAATTCAAGTGGAAACAAACGTGGCTGGCACCTATACCATTGCCCTGTGTGTGTATATGTGCATGTGAGTGTGTACTGGTGGGAAAGAATGGGGAAAGCCATTCTGTACAGCAAACACCAACCTTCAAAACGTCATCAGAGTATAGTGGCAATCTAGATTGAGGACAGACACAAGGAAGAACTTCCCAATAGTCAAGCCTAACTCTAAATACTTTGCTGAGTCAATCTAAGGAATTGAAAGAAATTTATTTCCGTCTAAACCTTGAAAGAAAGGGTAAATATTCACTGAGAGATGCACTGGCATGTAACCCTGAATGGGCAAGCTCTTAGACATGTGTTTCATACATAAAATGTTCTAAGGATTCCAGTAGGCTGCCCGAAATAAATAAAAAATGTTGTTTTAAATGCATTTACCCTTGGACCCAGCGATGCCACTTCTGAGAACTTTTTTCTAGGGCTGTACCTGCACATGTATGTAATGACACACATGAAAGATACAAGGGTGCAAATTTCTTGCAGTGCTGTCTGTAATAGCAAAAGGCTGGAAAGACACATGTGTTCATATACTGGGCACTGGGCAAATACATGTAGTGGAATACTATGTACCTAAAAAGAGAAAAGCAAGTGGATTATGGACTGATGTTGAAAAGATCTCCCAGAAATGTCAAGTGAATAAAGCAAAGTGTGGGATACTATTTTCACAGGGTTTTTTAAAAGGGAGAAATAAGAATATGGTGATATGTATTTGTTCTATCTAGAAGTTTCTGTTTGACTATTTCAGAAGACTATGTCACAGACCCAGAGTTTAGAGGACACAGATTTAGAAATTGCATAGTATACAGTAGGGGTTGGCACACTGCAATCCGCCTCACCACATTTTAAATTTTTGTTGGAACACATTAAGTACATTCACTTGTATACTGTCTATGGTTGCTTTCTTGCTATAATGGCAAAGTTGAGCAGTTGCAACAGAGGTCATGTGGCCTTCAATGCCTAAGATATTTACTATTTGACCCTTTGCAGAAAAGGTTTGCAGACCTTAGTGTGGAATGATAAGCAAGCATCTGTAGCCTCCCCAGGCTTGGTTTCTAACTCTAGTTGTACCAGCTATCTGGATGAACTTGACCAATCCCCTTCCTGTCTAGGACCAGTTTGTTTTTATTTTTAAATCTGCAAAAGGGGAAAAGAGATGGTTGCCTCACACATTTGTAAAGAAAAGTCTATGAAATTATGAACCTAAAACAGAGCAGCCACATGTAGAGTCATAAGGAAATTAAATGAACAGTCTATTCACCAACGTCCGCTGGCCTGGGTTTGATTCCATGTCCCACACTTTGTAACTATGCAAAGAAGACAAATTAACCTCCCTAAGACCCAACTTCCTCCTCTACAAAATGAGTACGATCACAGAACCTGGGACCTGCATGAACCAAAGTTGAAATACGGTCGGCGGAGAAGCAGGCATGCAGGATGTGGTTAGTGCATGGTAATTATCACTTTTAAAAGCATTTAGTTGGCTTTAGACTAACTTCACTTTTGGACCAAAGCTTCCACATTTTTAAAAAGACATATCAGAGGCAGTTATGAGGCTAAGTGAGAATTGGGATGTAAACATGCTTTGAAGCTACGGTGTCAACTGTGCAAATGTAAAGGTTCATTCATCTTCAGAACAATCAGCCCAGGCTGGGCCCTGCCAGCCCAGCCTATAGACAGGGGCTTCTGTTTCCAACAGGAAGAGCTCTGTTGACAGAAGAGGTTTGCCCAAAAAGATAATAATAGCAAGTGAAAAAGTGACTATGCATTGCCCATCTCCTCTATGGCAAAGTTCTAACTGTTCCCTATGAATTAGGTCACTCCATCCTCACTTGGCCCCATGAGGTAAGTCCTAATGTCACCATTTTACAGATGAAGAACTAGAATATGAAGATACTGAGAGGTTAGCAAGTGGACACCAAGCTGCAAAGTGTCACAGCTGGGATTTAAGCCCAGACAGTGCGGCCCCAGAGTATGTGGCTTTAATGAGAGCTGAGGCAGGCAGTCCCTATGGGCAACTGGGCCCCATGTTGCATGTTCTATAACCACAGAATGTTAGAGACGGGAAAGCTGAGAGAACCTCTGGTTCGATGTCTTCACTTTACAAATGAGAGCAGAAAGGCCCAGAGAAGTGGGCAAGGGGCCCAGCCCTCGATCCTATGGGACTTGAACCAGAGCCTCTCACAACTTTGCATTTCAAGGAAGCAGTGGACAAATGTGTTATGTGTGTACGCATGTGTGTCTGTATGCTATGTACATGTGTGTGCAGCATGTTTGTATGCCGTGTGTATGCTGTATACATGTGTATTTGTGCAGTGTTTGCATGCCCATAAGTACAAGTGTGAGCTCCGGTGTGCCTGTGTGTGTCTATGTGCACATGTGCCTGTGATGGGGTAGCCAGGAAGATCTCCACTCACCTCCCCTTTCTCCACCAAAGGCTTCACCTCAGCGAGGTCTACATCCTGCATCTCCCGAGACATGTCCCTGCTGTCACCTGCCTGCAAGGAGACAAAGGCCAAAAGGTCAACACTTCCTGCTGAGAGGTTTCCTAAAGGAAGCAAATCCAAGACCAATGGCAAGAAGGCCAGGCCTGCGCTCTGCCCAGCAGCTTCACCTCCCTCGTGATGCACTGCAGGGGATGAGGAGGTCCCTTGTACACACAGCCCATGGACCCAACCCAGTCTTCCCATTGGGGCCAGCGCAGTGGATTTCCTGGGAGAGGATACTGAGGCTCACAGACACCACCCTCCCAATGAAATGGATAGATCAGCCTCACAAACAGGTCCCCATACCAAGTTCAGGCCCACCCACCATACCCAGGATGCAGCTCACTGCATTCTAGAAGGGGACCTGCATTGCTGATCCCAAAGTCAGGCAGCCCCCGTGTGACAATGAAAGGGGAACACAAGCTCACACGATGCTTACCACGTATAGGCATAGTGCAAGCTTCAGCCTCACAGTTAGCCCTAACAGAAGGTTGGTGATGCAGACGCACAGACACACAGGCACACGCATGCGCGTGAACACACATACACACCCCACGGTGCAGGACTCTCGGCTGCCTGCTAAAAGGGAAGAGGGGCAGAGGAAAACCTTAAGTCAAGGAGTTTGGCAGGCATTTGAACGCACAGTACAATTTTGTAAGAAAAAAGACCTCCAAGGCAGAAAGCACTTCCTGGATCAAAGCAGGGGATGGACCAGAGGGGTTACCTGTGCTCTAACACAGGGCAGGTGCAGAAGTGTGGGCTGCAAAACCAGACTGAAGCACAGCCCAGGAAGACTTGGAATGCTGCCACTGACTCCCTGGGGTGCAAGGCTTGGGCAGGTGGTGCTATCTATTAAGCATGCCTCCAAGAGCTGAATCTAGAAACCAGAAGTATAAGCATGTATTCTTCTAGATCAGTAGTCAAGTTAGAAAAACTAAATGCCCATCAATCCCTGGGGTGAAGCATAAAAAATGCAGAATAAGGTCAAGTCTTACAGACAGCAGCAGAGGACCGGCGGAGAAGAAGTAAGTGACAAGAGGGAAGAGCCCAGGCCACCCACCCAGTTCACAGATCCAGACTTTCTGAATGGAAAACGCCTGACCAAAGCCCTCACACAGCCAGCTTCAGAGTGGGAACCTGGGCCCCGCACTGCCCAAGGCCCCTCGGATGCAATGGTCGAGAGAATGCAAGCCTCTGAAATTCCTGCCTAGGGCTCCTCTGAAGACCCAGGAACTCCCAAGAACCTGGTGAAACACCTCTTAGAGGTCAGCCGGCAAGTGCGGGCCACCCCGAATCCACCCCGGGTCCATCCCTTGTGCCAACACATGGCATTCCGTGGGCAGATCCTGCTCTCCACTGGGGTGCTCTGGTCTGGGGCCCCAGCATGATTTTCCCCAGTAGATAACCAGCCCCACAAGAATGGCTTTATACAGACTTTGGAGTCTATGCTCCAGAACATTCTGAAAACAAAGTCGGTTTTATATTTGTGAGCATTCCTGGGCAGCTGCCAGCTTGGAGGCAGGAGGCATGAAAGGCCCGCGTCTGTTAGCCTTGCTAATTCAGCAGGTTCGTGGTCCCAAGACCCTGGCCTGTGGGACACCTCGCCTACATGGCCTAGGGAGCCTTCCAGAAACCCAGGGCCCTGCCAACGCCACCCCTCATTCTGGGAGTGAAAGGACTTCTCATTTCACAGGAGCTTCTTAGCATACCCTGCTCAGCAAAGCGCGCCAGGGTGAAGTCAGGGGGCTCTCACTGTCCCACCAGGTGGGTTCAAGCAGTCCTATCTGTGAGCTTCATCAAGCAGGTAGCTTGTTCTTTTCTCTACCTCTAGCTCCCAGCACGAGAGACTCTCCTAGGCAGAAAGTCAGGCTGCAACTCCCTCTCTGAATAAATGAGCAATGTAGCTCAACAGCATGCTTTCAGTAAAATTCACTTTTAAATCATTGCTAAACCCCAAGAGTGCAATGTCTGGAAAACAAATTCTACATTTAAAAGGACTCGAGAAATGCTGTGGTTCAGCCCAGTTTGGTCAGTTCTCTTTGGCTTCCAGAAACCGTGATCACATTAGGACATAGTGTCTGTCAGTCTCCACCAGCTCTCTCGTTCTCCAGAACAGAAAAGACAGAAATGTCCACCTTCCCCGTTTCCTCTATCTGGTGAAACCTCTTTACCCTACCCGGCACCTTTTTTATTCCTACAGCTTAGCTTCCCAGACCACATGAGGCAATGGGTTAAAAAAATCGCTGTGTGTCCTAGAAATATCAAGTTCTTGAGCATCTGCTTTTGGGAGCTGGTGGGGCCTTCTCTGACCCAGCCCCCTCACTGCTAAAGGCCTTTGGGAAGTCCAGAGATAAAACTGCTGAGGATGATCACGGGGTATATCTAAACTAGGGGGGATTTTCTCTCCCAGGGGACATTTGGCAATGTCTAGTGACATTATTTATTGTCCCCCAAATGATTCCATTGATTTTGAACCATTTAGGAAGTGTCCTAGACTCTGAAGTCTGCCGGGAGACTGGATAAAGCTTTGCACTAGTCTGGGGGGACTGTGGGGGCTGCAGGCCTCGGGGTAGCCTGCATGTTGGTCGCGTCCTGCAATACTAAGGCCGCATGAACCAAGGACTGCAGAAGGTGCTCTCTGCAGGTTGACCCAGCCAGCTGCTGGCGGTCCACCATCTGGCCAGCCTGTAGGGTGGGAGGAGAGCGGCTCCCTCACCTCAGTTCTCCCGAGTTGGGCCCATCAAGCAGCCCTTACCTTGTCCCTGATGCCTCAACCAAAAAACTTTTCAAACTTTTTTTGCAGGAGCTTTTATCCAAAGGAAATCATGTAAGGAAGTTCAACATATAAAAATGTTAAAAAATAAAAATTTTAAAATTTAAAAAGCCAAGGTGCTTCGGCTCAAGCCAGGGAAAGGGGCCTGAACCCCACTCCACCCCAGGACTTGGCTCCCTACAATCTGCCCACTCCCAGCCCCCACGCCACCAGGCTGGCCCTCAAAGAACATCTGAGTTCACGGAAGCAGGATGGAAAACTCAGGATTTATTCAGAGGTTTCTACCCACTAGGTTCTATGTGCCCAACACAGAGCTCAGAACAAAAATAACACCAGCTATGGTGATGAGACTGGCTATGGGACTCATCTGGGGATCATGAGCAAACAGACCCAGTTCCTGCCCCCACGGAGCTCACAGTCCCGAGGGGACAGGCACTCCCTTGGGCTCACTCATCAGGCTGCATCTGGGCTGTGTCCACTGTCTGTCTGTCCCCCTGGAGGGCAGAGCAGATGCTGTCTGGACAGCATCCAGGACAGCGTCTGTGCCTCCTGGACAGAGATCCTCAGCTCAGCACTGCTGACATTTGGGCCCCACAAGCAGCCTCTGCCTTAGGGGCTGCCCTGAGCACGGGAGGAGGCTCAGCAGCATCCCTGGCCTCTGCCCACCACATGCCCACAGCATACACCCCACGCTGCGACCAGCAAAAGAATCTGCAAACGTTGCCAAATGTCCCCTGGTGCGACATCCACCCTCCTCTGGAATAGCTGATTTTAGTAATTCCTAGTAGGTAACAGTATCCAGAAAATGTCAGTTGGATGCATTCTTATTTAATCTAGTGCATGCGTGCACACACGCACACACACACACACACACTCTCAAATGCACTCACACATTCCCTCACACTGACACACTTGCAAACTTTCATTCTCACACTCAGACATTCTCACATTCACACACTTATACTCACACATACATACATTCTCACAAACACACTCATTCTCACATACTCACACTTTCTTACACACTGATACATTCTCACTTTCATGGACTCTCACATCCACAGTCATTTATACTCACACGCACTCACACGCACACGTGCACTCCCCACCACCTTCATTCACGGAGGAGGGGGCTGGGCCCAAGCGGCTGCCAGCTGTCCTGAGCTCACCCTGCTGGCTGCAGCACAGGGGCTGGAGTGGAGTCAGATCCAATGTTCACACTCTTCCTTCACTCCACTCTCCCCAAAACACTTTTTCTGGGATTCAAAGTCACCACCTGAGAATCATGGAAGGACCCAGTTCTGGCAGAAGCTGCTGTCTTCTGGTGTCTGTGATCTCCTTCTGCCAGCAGGAAATGGCAGGTGATACGTGACCTGGTTTGGCGGCTCGAGCTGGTGCTTCCACTCCTGCTCCCTCCTCCCGGGCACCTGAGGCCCTCACGGCTTAGCAAGTGTGGCAGGTGGAGCCTGTCCCTGGGCTTGAGGTCCTTGCTGGACTCCAGCTCCTGCCCTCCCTCTGCCTCATGCAAAGTCCTAATCACAGAATGTTGGGACCCACTAGAAAGCATCAAAGAGGTCCTCCAGCAGGTGGGGTGGCAAGGCAGGGCCACACACAGCATGGCGGGGGAACCAGGGCTGACTCCTAGCCCACCAGCCCCACCTTTGGAGTGGCTTGGGACTGACAAACCGTGTCTCCATCTCCAAGGCCATCTTTGCTCCCCAAGAAGCACAGAAGAAACCCCTCCAGCAGGTCTCCTTCAGCTAAAACCCAGCTTAGCACCAAAAACAGGGCTCCAGGTCACAGCACCAGCTGCCAGCCTGTATCTTCACTTCTTTTCCCATCCACCTGCCTGGGAGGAATTCCGAGAAGACCAATGCCAGAGAAGCGAAAGGTAGCCAGGAGCTGGGGGAAGGCTTGCAGGCCATGGTGTCACCATTTATTAGCTCTGTGATCCTGCATAATTTATCGAATCTCTTTTTAAAAATGTATTATTCATCTTGTTTTTTAGAGAGACAGGGTCTTGCTATGTTGCCCAGACTGGTCTCAAACTCCTGGGTTCAAGTGATCCTCCTACTCCGGCCTCCTGAGTAGCTGAGATTACAGGCATATGCCACCATGCCTGGCTATCTAACCTCTTTGCCTCAGTTTGCTTGTCTGTCAATGGGCATGCTAACTCCTGCTCCCAATGATCAGCAGTGGGGCTTAAATTCAAGAATGGCATGGAGAATTAAGCAAACAGTTGCTTAATTCATCAACATACTTTCCTTTCAGGGTTGCCTTGGAGATGCCAGGACATCTGTGAGGATGTGGCCTGGGTTTCAGTCCTAGAGTCCCAGCGAGGAGAGGGACACATGGAAAATGCTCAGCAAATGCCACCAAGGTTTCTGATTATCAGGCCCAGTGCGTCACCACTGGGGCCCTTCTCTCCACCAGCACTGTCTGTCAATGAGTAATGAGGGCCCAAGAGGGGCTACACAAATACCCTTCCAGTCCAGCAGACCCAGGAGAGTCAGAGGAGAGCTGGATCACAGGTGCCAGGCAAAGCCAAGGCCAGGATCTGCCCGAGGAAGAAAAGAACGTGACCCGTGACCCTGGGACCTGGGAGGGCAGTGGGCAGAGGCATCTTCAGTAATCCGACACCACTTGAGAACTGTTCAACAGCCCCTGGGGGACTGAGGGGGACACACAGAGCCTGTGATTCCCAAAAACCTCAGTGGGGCAGCAGGAACGCTGGCCTAGGAATCAGGGCATGGGGACCCTGCCACTTTCCTATTCCATGACTCTGAGCAAGTCACTTCCTCTCTGGGCCTTGGTTTCTCCATCTGTAAAGTAGGCACAGTGTACGTCTATGGAGATCACGCTGTCCACAACAAACTTACAGGCAAATGGAAACCCAGGCAGGAAGGTGCTTCACCAAGACAAAAGGGCCACAGGGTCTTACCAAGGCCCTGCCAGGCTCAGCTCTGGCCAGATTAGCCCCGCACCTTGGACCAAGGCCCCCACTTCTGCCAGCCTCAGACTCCTGTCTGTTAAGACTAGTGCCTTGCTCCAGCTCTGCCACCCACCTGCACACCCTCTTGAGCAAACTCTCCTGGGCCCCGCCACAACTCCCACAGGGTGAGGCTGAAGGGGTATCCAGCAGAGAAACATCCATGATCTGTTCTAGAAGTTCCAGGTTCCGCCCACCAGGAAGAGCAGCCACAGGAAGGCAACAATGTAACCCTACACAGACACACCACAAAAACAGCACCAGGAACAGTATCTGTGGCACTAACTGGACTCTAAACCCGGTACTTCCTTTAAGCCTCACAGAAACCCTAGGAGGGAGGTGCCAGCATGTCACCATTTAACAGACGGGGAAACTGAGGCATCAAGAGGTTAAGATGTGTGCCCCAAGTCAGCAAGCATCAAGCTGGCTGCTTTAAGGTTAAAGCAACCTTAAAGGGAATGTTGACAATGATCTCACATTGCCCTAAATATATCCACAGTCCTCACCACCACCCGTGGCCCAGATACAACGTTGTAAGGTGGGCTGCACGTGACCATGAGGCTTTCAGCGTGTGGAGGTCAGCTGGGACAGTCACATGCCTCTCCTCCACCCTGCAGTCACCACTGAGCCATCATGAGCAGGCTTGAGCTTTTGGCAAAACCAGCATCTTGAACTTTTCTCCCTTCACAACACCCAGAAGGTTCTCTGTTTTCAGCTCCCCCATAGTACCTTCCTAAGACGGCCAACTCAATGCTTTGGAAAAGCATTCACTCAGCACACTGTTTCACTTGCTCCTCAAGGAGGTTGCCCCGGGAGAGGCTGGGTATTATACCCAGTTCACAAATGGGTAACCTGAGGCTCAAAAACAAACACAAAGGCCCACTTGACTTCCAAAGGCCACATGTCTAGATTCCTCCCTACTGAGGGAAAGGTGAAAAACTCACTGGTTTGTTGTGGGTGCAGGTGTGGCACTCATTCCCTCGGGGGAGGGCGGACAACAGTCCCCTGGAGGCCTTCAGTGAAGCAGATAAAGGGAGAGCAGGCGGGAATTGCTGACAAGGGTAGCATCGATTGTCACCAACAGCAACTGGCCCAGATTCCACCCTCTGTAACATGCCTGGTTTTAAGGCCACATGAAAGCCAGTGTTCTCTCCAGCACATTGTGCTCTTTATAGAACAGATTTTTAAAAGGAGGGAAAAAATCAACATGTGCTGTGGCTGTTTGCTGTAGCAACTTCCCCAGAAAATTGCCGAGAACAGCACCATTTCTGCCTGAACCTCAAGGAAAACCACCTTGAGATAGGCCCTGGATAGCCCTGCCTTACTGTGGATACAATCCTTTGTCATTTCTTTGCCCAAAGAGATTTTGAAGTCAAGCTACAAAGCAGTTCATGGGCTCTCTTGGTGTTTTCTGGCCCTTCTGAAACTCAAGGCCCTGGGGAGGGTGAGGAAGTTGGCAGTCTTCACGAACTGTCTTTCTTAACTAATCAACTCAGCAAACAATATGGGTGGATTCACTGGACCTTCAAGAAAGTTCCCTAGTTTAGAGGTTAGGGAACTGTATCAGAGCAATCAGAATCAAGGAAACAGTACAAATGTCAGAGAACAAAACCACAGTAGGAACTCCTCGAGGGCCCCTGTACTTTGCAGTGGAGCCTGAAACCCAGGAGGCATCAGTGATGTTTGATATTCAAGGAATGAAAAAGGGATCACTAAGAAGGTGAACCCCACTGTCTCCCTCTCAAACAAGCCAAAGCCGCATTCACTCCCTGGGTGTGGGTCCAGAGGGGCTGGAGCTGAAACTGAACTGCTGTGTGTTCAACTTGAGCACAGCACCAGGGAGGTCAGCAAGAGTGTCCCAAACACAACAGCAGGAAGAGGGAGGTGTCAGGAATCTCGTCAGGGCCCACCTCTTTTCTGCAATACAACCGAGATCTTCCTGGAGATTCTCAGTGGAGTTTTGGCAGCACGAGTAATTTGTTTGGCAGACAGAAGACGACCGTCTGAGGGGACGAGGTGAATAACTGGAAGTCCAAAGGAGGACACTGGTCTCCTTAGAGGATTATTTTGTGAAATTGCAAGACAGGCATGAGCTGCGCTGGATGGTCTGAGATAATTTGTGGAAATCACACAAACGGAGCCAGTGTTAGCAGAGGACGAGGAAATGGCTTCCTCATACAGAACCCTTTGTCCCGAGATGGGATGCTAGCCACGCTAACAGGATCCTTCCCCAGAATGGTCTTGCAGTTTCCACCCTCCGGAATGGGCCTCCGATCTTGTCTATGCAAGATGGTCCAAGTTACTTCCTTAATCAGTGGAGATGTCCTTTCCACCACCACTAACACAACACCTACTAAGGACAGGCTCTCAGGTTTCATGGGAGACATGGACAGGTCCCAGGAAGGACCCAACCCAGCCTCCCCTCCAGCAGAGGACAGCCAAGGAGGCCTTTCTGGAGAAAGGAGGAGAGTTCCATGATTAAAAAGGAGGAAGGAGAGATGGTAAGCATTCCCAGCTGAGAGAGGCCATAGACCCACCTCTTAAATGGCCCTCTCACATCCATATTTGAAGAGGGTTACTTGGAATCTTCTTAGGTTCCGTGGGGGTGGGGCAGAGGGTGAAGGCAGGAGAACAAGGTGGAGACCTGGGCCCCCACCCACCTCTCTTCAAACAGAACTCTATGCAGATTTAAAATGTATAGCTGCAGAAAGTCTCCCCACAGATTTAAAGAAAGGAAAGATTAAACTGCTGGGGAGGGCACTCAAGGCCCCCAGACTGTTAAGGAGCCTCACTTTCTACCAGCTCAGTTGCAAGAAAACCCGCTGGACTCAAAAGGTCAGAGATGGAGCCCAGGCAGGTAGGGCATAGGCAGGTCTGCAAACAATGTTAGGTGGGAAAGTCAAAGATCTGGGTCAAAGAGACCTGCTTATGGCCCCGATTGTGTAATCCATTCCCATTCTGTAGTGCTGGGGCTTACGCCCCACCCGAGGGAGCCCAGGTTTCTTTTCACATGGCCCCCACCCCGAGAACACGGCTCCAGGTTGGCACCTACTCATGGCCCTCTACCTCTGCAGCCGCCTTCCTGTGGGGCCTCAGTGTCCCCAGCCCTTCTGCCTACCTGCCTGGGCTAAGTTCTCAGCCAAGACCGCTATCTAGCCTGCCTCTATCTCCAAGTTGAAAGATAAAAAGCAAGTGGACACGCGGTACTTCCATCACACAGCCATCAAGGGAGGCAGGAACAACAGCCTGGGGTGGATCCAGGAAACAAGCTCCTTCTCAAAAGGTGGGCCCAGAGGGTGTGGGTGGCCTCCAAGCGCAATGTTGGAGGGTGGAAAGGGCTCAGGAGGCTCACCTTGGGCAGAACCCCACTCACTGGACTCTGGACAGAAGAGTCACCAGCCTGAGCCTCAATTTTCTGACCTGAGAGGTGGAAAGAATGTCTTCTACCTCAGTTAGCTGATGTGATGCATTGAACCTCCAAGGCACTATAGCAAACAAGAGCTATTTACTGAGCACTCACTAATTCCCTGGCACTGTGGACACAGGGTGGCCTGAAGGTACAGCGGCATGTATGACTACACCTTCCTTCTTCTCTCCCCTGTCATTCCAGAGCAGAGGTTCTCAACTCTGTCTGCCTGCAGGATACCCCATTCCCAACCCAGCCAAAGGAGCTTTGAAACAACAGCATATCCCCTGATGGAGAGAGAATCGCAGGAGACCGGGCCTGGAAATGTGCATTTCAGACAAGATTTTCATGACACTATTATGCAACCTACATAAGCTTAGCAAAAAGCAATACCTAGGTCAAGCATTTGCAGGCACTTTCACAGCCTTGGGTAGGTTTAGGACAAAGGGTCCCAGACTCTGCCTGCCAAGAAGATGCCTTGAGAATGTCTTCTGCGGGTGCTACTGACGGCAAACACCTACACGCTGTTTTCCACATGCTCAGTGCTGTTCTCAGGTTACACAGATTAATATTTACACATTCTGATGGCATCATGTCTGTTACTCTCATTTTACAGAAAAGCAAACTGAGGCATGGAGCTCCTGACTGCCTTTTCATTTGAGCCTGATTTCTTCAGGCGCCCCAACATGTTGTCATGGAAAAAAAACAAAGGCTCTGAAGTCCAACTGTCCGGGTTCAAAGTCTGGCTCTCCCACCTGAGCCATATGGCAACAGGCAAATCCTGAAACTCTCCTGGCCTCAGTTGCCTCATCCATTCAATGGAGCAATACGATCCAGGCAACGTTCTTGCGAGGATGAAGGCAGATGGAGGGAGACAGTGGCTGCTCTGGAGGGAGAGAGATGTCGTGTCCCTCCCTGGCCTTCCTTCCAGGCTGAGTCAAACCTGAACCCTGCTTGAGTCTCAGATGCTGAGTCATCACGCTTTCTCTCCCAGGACAAGGCCTCTGAGTCACATCTGGAATGGGATTCTCTGGGGTTGGGTCCCAAGGAAGAACTGCAGCTTTGGGCCACCCGAAAAACACAATGCTATCTTTCTTTCAGGTCCATGAGGAGGCAAGTTCAGGCCAGCGGATTTCA
Organism: Homo sapiens; assembly: GCF_000001405.40. Classification (NCBI taxonomy): domain Eukaryota; kingdom Metazoa; phylum Chordata; class Mammalia; order Primates; family Hominidae; genus Homo; species Homo sapiens. Next base: position 133,294,623 of record NC_000008.11, read on the forward strand.
ACGTAACCCAGGGGGGCCCTCAGCTCAGTTGAGATCTGTCTTCTGTCATGGGGGGGGGGCAGCCCCATTCAGTCAAAGGCCAACTCAGGGGGCTGCAGCCTCTAAGCCCCTGCCCTTCAGGCTGGCTTTGCTAATCTCTCAAGAACACCTGATTTACACTTAAAAAAAATCATTCCGCTCTGCCCCTTTGGCCTCAAAAGTTTCCTCACCAGAAATTCAATGAAGATGCAATTTCCTTTCGCCCCTCCATAGCAGGCAGGCAAAATCCTGCCAGGAACCCTTTCCACTGCCTTCAGTCCCACCCAGGAGCCTCTCACAAAGCTGAGCTCCAGCTCAGTTCGGCCTGGGCACATCCCTCCCCATCCCTGTGCCTCATTTTCCATCTGTAAAATGGAAAGAAGTTGGACTAGGTAGGTCCTGTGTGAGTTTTTTATTCCATTCCAAATGATCAAACTTTGTTGCTCCAAAAGAACTTCCTCACAAGAGACCCAAACAGACACTCCAGGATCCCTCAAAAGCAAAAGCCAACACCTCCACCCATGCACAGTCTATTACCTCGCCCGAAACTCAACCTGCTGGTTCACAGGAGAATGGGGCAGAAGACCCAGAGCCATCCACTTCATCCCATGTGCATATTTCAACTCCTCCCACCTGCCAGGCGCTGGGCCAGGGGCCAGGTTACAGGGCAGGGCAGGCAAATCCTCCTCCTTGCCCAGATGCAGTGGGAGACACGGTCCCACAAAGCTAAGAAGTCACAGGTCAGGGGAACACCCAGTTTTCCATCCACACCAAAACCCTCTCTCTCCCTTACACCTTCCTTCATCCCCGACACTGTGCCACCCCAGCCTGGGGCTGGCTCTGCCGCCACACACACCACACAGAACCGGTCTGCGTCTCCAGCCGTGTGTCTTCCCCACCAGAAGGCAGCCCTTCCAAGAAAGGCGCTGGGGTTTGCCCCCTCTGTACCTTGCTTATTTCAATCACATTTGTGAAACTCAATAAGAACGCCAGAATTTCTCAACAGGAAGAGTCTAGACTGAAAAATTCGCCTTGAAACTACATTTCTGCAGCAAGAACAGGGGGTTTGTATTTAGATATGTTCTTTTGAGGCAGCTTAGGAGAAGGTCCCGTGCAGCTGATGGGTATTATAAGGATGTCTACCGCCCTCCTGCCTGGCCACTGGCTGACTTCTGAATATTAGATATTTCCCAGTAGCTTAAAGAAACCAAACAAACTGAAGTGCCCCCAGCGTCCGTGAGGAAGGGGTGTTCTTGGATGGGCATAAGATAACCAAGGGCCCTGCCTCCCCCACCCACTGCCAGGCATCTCCCACTTCCAAGCCACAGAGGCGTGCTGTTCAGGACCCCCAGGGACAGCAGGGACAACAGGCGGGGGATATGGGGGAGGGGTGGGTAAGGAACCGACCCACTAAATCCCAGCTCCAGCTACTAATTTGACAGAGGCGTGACAGCGTGTTTCCCCCAGAACCAGCCGCATTCCCCAAGCCCAGCCCGAAATCTCCTCCCGAGGCTGAATCAGAGACCGCGGCGGATCCCCCAGGAACGTCGAAGTAATTCCAGCTGTTTTCCCCCGTGGAGGGCAGGAGCGGCCAGCACCAGAGGCAGGGGAGGGGAGGAAAGCGGGGGAGGGTGGGCGGAGGCGAAAATGACGCCACTCCTAGCTCCAGCCAGCTCAAGGGGCCGCCAAATGTCCGCGAGACCCCTCTCGCCCAGGTCACTTCTCCCACGCCGCCGATGCGCCAATCCCGGGTTCCTCCGGGGGCGCACCCTGCCCAGTGGCGCTCGCAGACACTTGCTCCGGCTCGCGTGTTGCACTGTGACACACCCTGGACCCTCCCCCCACACACACGCTTACACTCACACATGCACACCGCCCTGTGTGTGCTACGGGACTGAAGCGCCACCAGCCTCTCGGATCCACACCCGTTCCCGACCCAGTCTGCAAGCCAGACACACCCACGCCCCCCTCTCCAGCCTCCTTGCCAGCGCCACTCACCTCTACCAACCCCTCATCTACACACTCGCGCGCAATCTCTCCGTTCCCAGACACAGACACACACACACACACACACACACACACACACACACACTCACCTAGTCCCTTCTGCACCCACGTCCAGCGCGCACCCCTGCCAGCGGCGCCAGCTGGGATTCGGAGACGACGCCAGGAAACGCTATCCTGGTATTTTTTCGGACCGTCTCATCGCCCCCTTCCCGACCTCCAGAACCCCAATCCCCAGCTAGGGGGGAGATGAATGGGACCCTGTCTTTTTTTCCTCCCTTTCCGTAATTGAACCCCCCACTTCAGCGGTGTCTGCACCCAAAGCCCCCTCGCGCCCGCGCCCCGGGGTGACCGCGCACTTGCAGCTCCGGGGCGCTTACTCCTGGAGTACGCGGGGCTACAAAGGGCGGTCCTGGCGCTCCAGCGGCACCGCACGGGCGGCCCCTTTCTGCTCCGCGTCGCGCCTGGGAGAAGAGGGCGCGGGCTTACCTAACGCGAGGGAGAAAGGAAAGGACGGTGCCGAGGCTGGCGGCCCAGCGCCCCGCGGAAGCCGAGGGCGGATGGTGAACTGACGAGCTTCAGCACCAGCTGGGAGCCAGGCGAGGTTTGTTTACGTCCGGGCGGAGGGCGACTTTATAGGCGCCGCGGCCCCGCCCCCGCGCCTCGCCCCTCCCAGACCCTCGCAGTCCCAGCACGCAGCCGGGACACACCCCTTCCCCGCTCCCTGCTCCCTCCTCCCGGGCGCGCCGGGCTGGGCTGGGCTCCGGCAGCGCGCGGCGGGCGCCCACTGGAGCCGCCGCCTGTTGCGCAAGCAGTCGTAGGGGCGCGGCCGGGAGGGGCATCGGGGCCCGGGTTGTGGGTCGGCTCTGCAGTCCCCTCCGAGTCCAGGGCCTCGGCCTGTGCAGCGGGCGCGTGTGCCCTGCCCGGAGGAGGCGTTTGTGTGCTTGTGCGTGTTCATGTGCGCGCTCGTGCGTGTGCATGTGGACTTCCTTGTGTCTCCGTATGGGCGGAGGCCCCCCATCTCTGCCTCAGAGTTTCTTCTAAGAGTCTCGTTGCGCCACGCCCTGAGCGACTCCCTTCACTTCCTGTAGGTCTCACCAGCTCGGCTCTCCAGCCGGATTCGGCTGCCTGCCCAGCAGCCGCCTTCGCTTTCGCCCGACAGGCTCCCTCCGATTCTCAGCCTTCCGTGTCGCCAAAGCTCTCGCTGAAATCCTCGCTCCCGTTTAATCTCGTCCATCTTGCCCACCGCCGCCCAGCGCTTACCCTTCCCCTCATCTTCCCAGTTCTAAGCACACTCACTGGACCTTGCCCACTGGGCTCTTCTCTCCTGCCCCACAAGCCCAGATGAGAGGATTCTCACCCCTTCCTATTCTGATTTCCTGAACTTTCATGACTCACCCTTTCCAACCTTAGCACCGTCCTGCTCTGCTGCTCTGTTTGTGCGTAACTATTGGCCTGCATGTTCCCATCTGGCCAAAGAAACCAGCAATTCTCAACCCCTACTGCATATGAGAAGTCCCAGAGGAGCCGCCAAATTAAAAAATAAATAAATAGATAGATAATAAAAAGAGAGAGATGGACTCCAGAACAGTTTAATCAGAATCTCAGGGGGTGCAAACCAACTGGGCATTGGGGTTTTTACAAAGCTACCCAGGTGGCTCCTGACGTGCAGCCAGGTTGAGAAGCACTGCATGGAGGAACATGATTTTATGAATAAAGGAAGTCTGACTCACAGCTGGCACCGTCATTGTCCTCAGGCCACCTGCCCAGCGTTGAATTTGCCACTGAGCCCAGGACCAGACCCAGGGCAAGCTCAGGTGACCCTCCCTGCGCCTCCACAGACACACACGCGCGCACGCACAACACTTCCTGCTGAATTGTAAACCTCTTTTCTGTGCCAACCCATGCTGTCCCCAAGGCAGGGGCCATGGCTTTCCCCTCTGATTATTAGGGCCAGTTTTGGAGAAGGGTTTTCTGGAACAAAAGAAATATGGAGAGGGGCAAACAGCACCTCTAGGACCCAGGACATCTGTGTTTCAGGCCTGTCTTTGACACTATCGATCACAAATCAACAAATCTGGGCTTCAGAATTCTCACTGGCAAAGGGAGAGGATTAGATTCAATGATCTTTCAGAACCTATCTAGTGCTAAAGCTCTGTTATTCTATTACAAATGACCAGTGTGAAGAACAGAGTTCCAGTGTCATGGGTTTTGCTGCTAGAAGAGTTTGGCTAAACTACAAAGTTTGGCTATTAGCTATGAAGTTTGGCTAAACTACAAAGTTTGGCTACATTCAAGAATGCCTTGAATGTAGGAGCACATTCCCCCACCCTAGAAAATTTAACATCTAGAATTAATAAGTGAATGAATGACCACTGGGCAGTCTTCCATTCTTTATGGATTTGAACTAGTTCAACTGCAGCATTCCCAGTGAGGGAAAATTTTTCTTATTTCAAATAAAATGTTGTGTCCAGGTAGAGTGGCTTACACCTGTAATCCCAGCACTTTGGGAGGCCAATGCAGAAGCCTCTCTTGAGTCCAGGAGTTTGAGACCAGCCTTCACAACATAGTGATGTCCCATCTCTACAAAAAAGATGAAAGCTAGCCAGGCCTGGTGGCAAGTACCTGTAGTCCCAGCTACTTCAGAGGCAGAGGTGGGAGGATTGCTTGAGCCCAGGAGTTCCAGAAAAGTCTGAGCAACATAATGAGACATCATCTCTACAAGAAAATAAAAAATCAGGTGGGCTTAGTGGCATGCAGCTGTAGTTCCAGCTACTTGGGAGGCTAAGGCAGGAGCCTTGCCTCCCTAGGCCCTGAAACTTATTTATTCTGTCATTCCACAAATGACAGAATTGAGCTGCTCTTATGAGCTGGGTCCTGTACTCCGCCACTGGGAAAGGACTGAAAAGGCAAAAACATTTTCTACAGGTGCATAGCATGGTACAGCCCCAAGACGCAGTTTCTCCATCCATACAGCGTGGTTGAGATGAACTCATTCATTCCCTAACTATATTAAGGACCTACTATGCCCAGGCACCATTCTAGACCCTGGGGACATGATCATGAACAACAGCAACAACAAAAGTGCATCTCTGGGAGCCATCCTGCTGTCTAAAGACCCTCCCAGATCAAGCAGCCTGTGTGCCTGTTATCCTTTAGCCAGCTTACACATACCCATTTTCCCATAGGCTCCCCATTGCGGCGATTTATTGAGTGAGCACCTTTGGTTTTTTACCTGCTAAAGATACAAGAGTGTCAAGTTCAAAAGTGCGGAGTGTCAAGATAAGGAATGTCAAGTTCAAAGGCGCAGGGAAGGCGGCCCACTTCTTCAGTAACAAATGGAACTAGTGCATGGAATTAGAAGGGCATTTTGCCAGGGGAGGCCCTTGCCTGTCTCTTTGAGGAGGTCCTCAGGACAGAATGCGAAGAGCAGCCCAGATTTGCAGCTTGAAACCCCGAGGAGGTTGCCTGGCAGGAGGCTGGGCTTGTGTGGGAAGCCTAACCTTCTGGAAGACCATTAGCATTGAATAGGTCAGAAGACAGAGGAAGGAGAGTGGAGTGAAGAGAAAAGAGCAGAGAAGGGAGGCAAGAATTTGAGCAATGGAACACAATTTTCCAAGTGATGGCATTCTAAAATCAGAGTCCACATCACCTTGGAGAAGGCCTGAGGAAGACACCATTTGGATTCCACACTCCCCTCCCTCAGCCCAACACAGCCAATTTTCCTTCCCTGTTGAAAAGGATGTTTTCTTCCGCTGAGCACCAGATGAAGTAGTTTTCTTAGCTAAGTGTCACGCTGCAGGAGAAAGACTGTCTTTAGTACAGGCCTGGATGCACATAAAGCATAGAGGACGCCCACCCTATACAGAGGCCCCTCACTGGGACCTGGGAGCTGCATGCACCTCCACATCCCCCACCGCAGCCAGCTGAGGTGGCAGAAGCTCACGGAGCTGAATGTGGGTGCAATTGCACTGACTGTTTACATTATTCCTCTTTCTCGCTGGTCAGCAGTAGAATCAGATTTGCTTAGTAAATGCACACGCGCTGCAAATCCGTCACAGGATGAGATTGGATTTTCTGGACTAATGTCCACTGGAAATTTCTACTTAACAACAACTTAGATTTTATACTAGAATATTCTAACCAAATGTTCCAAAAATGACCATAGGAATCACCTGTTCCCAACTGTCTTTCTTAAAACTCATGGGTACTCGGGGTTGGGAGAGACCAAGATGCAGCAGGGATTCATGGAGAAGAACCCGGTGGTCTGTGGCCCCCAGCTCCAACTTCACCACTTATGAGCTGTAGTACCTGGGGCAAATTACTCCACCTCTCTGTGCATGGAGGAAACGAGTGAGAGAAACCATCAGACCTTTCAATCACAATTTATGGGTCTACTGCTGCAGACCATCATCTTTTCTGTCTGTCAAAATGAAAAAGTGTCCGTAAAAGTGTCTTCCCACCTCCAGTCCTGGGCTCCCTCGGGACCCCCTCTCTCCTCCAGCATCCATCTCTCCCTTTCTTCTGGATCAAACTAATCAACAAGTAAATATTCACTGCAATCAATGACCCACCCTAAACCAATCCCCTCTTAATTCCAAGCCCCCCACTCCTGTACTGCAGCCCAATCAACAAGTAAACATTCACTGCAATCAATGACCCACCCTAACCAATCCCCTCTGATTCCCAAGTCCCCCATTCCTGTACTGCAGCCCAGTTCCTCTCACCCCTTCCTCCCTAAACTTTCCAAAACAAGCATCTGTACCCAAAGGCCCACCTCATCTCCTCTTCCTTTTACTTTGTAGTGATTATCAAGTTTTTCTTGAACCTGGTCAAATAAGTCTTCAAAACTTGTTAGGAAAAACAACAGCCTTTGTCTCCCCACTTTTCCACTTCCCTATCCCCAGAAGTCACCACTCTCTGCTCTTGGAGAATTATTTCTATCTTATCTTTGCCACTTGCAGACTCTATGCTCTTGGGCAAGTTATTTCATTTCCTTCCTCTGCCTCCTCATGTATAAGATACACATAACAATACAGGGTCATTGTGATAAATATATGTGTTAATATATGTAAAGTGCCTAGAACAGTCCCTGGCATATAGAAGGCTCTCATTAAAGTGTTCACCCTCATCCTCACTGTCATCATCACCATCATCATCATCATCATCATCATCATCATCATCTTGTCTCATCCCTCCTGGCATCTTGCACACCTGACCGTAGAGAAGTTCAGTAAATATTGGTTGAAGAACTGAGCAAATGCAGATGTTTCTCTTTGAATTCATCCCATCTTATTCGGTCTTACTGCTTGGACTCTGTTAGGAGGGAAAAGGGGATCCTACCTGCTTCATGATCCCAGGTGGAGGGACTGCCATCTGGGATTTTTACTTAAGTAAAAGTAAATTATCCCAGTTATCTGCAAGCATGCCTGGCCTGTAATATCATGTTGTGAGCAATGAAAATTAAAAAAAAAAAAAACCATGAAAGGAAAACAATTCCAAATGAGGGTGAAGGGTAGGCTATGTTCAGGATGTGTAATAAATCCTTTACTTTGAACATAAATGAAGAGTTGTGCAATGTTTGGCCCTTAGAAAATCAGTTTCTCCTCACTCCTGGCTTGCATGAGTTTCCTAGGACTGTCATAACAAATCACCATAAACTGGGTGGCTTACAACAGCAGCCATGTATTCTCCCACCGTTCTGGAGGCTAGAAATAAAAACTCCAGATGTGGACAGGGACCTGCTGCCTCTGAAGTCTCAGGGAAAAATCCTTCCTTGCCCCTTCCTGGCTCCTGGTAGTTACTGGCAGTCCCTGCTGCTCCTTAGCTTATACATGCATCACTTCAATCTCGGCCTCTGTCAGCACATTCCTTCCTCTCTCATCTCTCTGTGACCTCTCATCTTAACCTACCTAATTATATTCTGCAAACACCCTGTTTCCAAATACGGTAATTTTTGTTTGTTTGTTTTTTTAGAGATGGAATCTTGCTATCTTACCCAGGCTGGCCTCCAACTCCTGGGCTCAAGAGATCTTGCAATCTCAGCCTCCCAAGTAGCTGATACTACAGACATGCACCACCACACCAGGCTCTTTTGAAGTTTTGCATGGACGTGAATTTTTGGAGAGAAACTGTTCAACCCCATACATGGCTAATATGGATTTAGCAAGTATTTGTTCCATATTTGCTGAGAGATGTACTCAAGGGGCTGCTCAGAGCAGCCATGACAACACTGCAGTCGTAGGATCCCACAGCAGCCCCCTTTTGTTCTCTGTCCCTCCCATGCACTTGATCACATGGCCGGTTCCATTGTCATCTTGATCCATCTAAATCATAGGTTCTGCCTTATTAGGGCTTTCATTGATCCTGTTGCCTGCCAAGTTCACCACGCCATCCGTGGTGTGGCAATAGGGATATTCCTCGGTGAGCCCAAGCTTGTGTCTGACTCCCCACATTCTCCTCTAGCCAGTCACTCACTGCTTTTCCTGAAAATACTCATCTTCACCTACATCTCTCAACTTTTGACTAAGCTGCTTTCTCCTCCTAGAGAGCCTTGCCACCCCCTTCACCTATGGTGACTTCACTCATTCACTCTTCCTGGAAACACAGCAGGGTTGATCACCACCCATTTCCGTTCCCCTTCTTCCTGCCCCTCCCTCCTTGAAGTCGGGCATGTCCTCCACCGTCGATGGATGATGAGTGGAAGTGACCTGTGTCACTGTTGGGTGGGAACTTTTGTAACCACTGTGTGACTCAGCTGCTCTTCTGACTCTTGCCGCTGTAACTAGCCAAACACCAAATGGTGGAGGCTCCATTCCCTGGGGCTTGGAGGAAGGAAACACAATGCAGAGCCTGCAACTGACCTAAAATGGACATGTAATGTGGCAGTTGCTAAGGCAGGAATGTGTGTGTCCCCACTGCCCCACAGATTCACATATTGAAAGCCAACCCTCAATGTGATGGTGTTAGCAGGTGGGGCCTCTGGAAGGATATCAGGTCATGAGCGTGAAGCCCTCCTGGATGGGACCAGTGCTCTTATCAAAGAAACCCCAGAGAGATGCTTTTACCCTTCTGCCTTGTGAGATTATAGTCAAAAGATGACTGTCTACGAGGAACAGGCCCTCACCAGGCACCAGGGCCTTGATCTGGGACTTTCCAGCCTTCAGAACCATGAGAAATAAATTTCTGCTGTTTATAAGCTACTCTGGTTATAATATTTTGTAACAGTAGACAGGAAAGAAAGAAAACCTGTTTCCATCTGCTGCTAAGATTATGAGGGAGGTTGTTACTGCAGCTTAACATGGCCCATCCTGACTGATCCCCATCCTCCAGGGCCCATGCAAACTGCCAGCTCCCCCAGCTAACCTCTCATTCTCCTGCAATGAAATTCTTTTTTTAAAATTCAGTACACATTTGTTGAGAATTCATATCCCAGCAGGCACTGTGTGAGATACTAAGAATAAACAGATAAGCAACAAAAAAAGCATATTCCCTACCCTCATGACAGCCACATCAGACCAAAAAAATGGCATAATTATATAATTGCAATTGTTGCAAGTGAAGACTATATAACCCAAGAATCTCACCTACTCTGGAAAGTCAGGAAAAGCCCTCATGGATGAGCATGACCTTAACACCTTCAGATCTCCTGAGTATTGTGTATTTTTATTTGTATTAGTTAGAAGTCTTTAATGCAGCCGGGCGTGGTGGCTGACATCTATAATTCCAGCACTTTGGAAGGCCGAGGCAGGCAGGTCACTTGAGGTCAGGAGTTCGAGACCAGCCTGGCCAACGTGGCAAAACCCCATCTCTACAAAAAGTACAAAACTGGCTGGGCTTGGTGGTGCATGCCTGTAATCCCAGCTACTTGGGAGGGTGAAGCAGGAGAATTGCTTGAACCCAGGAGGCGGAGGTTGCAGTGAGCCAAGATTGCACCACTGCACTCCAGCCTGGGTGACAGAGTGAGACTCCATCTCAAAAAAAAAAAGAAAAGAGAAAAAAAGAACTCGTTAATGTATACCTGGCATCGATATAATTTTGAATGTCTTGAGCGATAAAGGGGGGCAGGGAGTAGTTATGGGCTCATGCAGCAGTAAGGTCCAGAGGAGAGGCGGGTTCAGCGTGGAGGATCCAGGGCTGATATCACCAGGACTCTGTCTCTAGATCTCAGCATCACCCAGGTTAGTCTTATTTGGTTTTGGCTTTGTTCTCTGACAGGTTCTTTCTAGATTAAATCACAAGGCTGTCAGGTTGTATTAGGTCAATTAATTAGGGACCTCATCTCTGAGGAAAGTAGATCCCTGAAAATTTTTCCTCATTTTTGGAGAGGTTTGGGGGAGCTTTGATATGCCTTCTTATATACTTGGCAGCCACTTGTTCTGAAATTACTGGCCCTTCACACTCTACTCATGTTTTTTGCCTCCCCTGATCATCTGCCTCCACCACCATCACCACCAACTGCACCTTCCAGTCAAACTGCCTGCCTGCCTCATTCCATCAGGCCAGCCAACTTCATGTCTTTGTGCCTTTGCTGTTGCCTCTGCAGGGTGGAACTCGTTGTTGGGGGGCAAAGGCTCCTCTATCTTGGAAACACAATACCTTACATAGGATGGATAAGACTGAAGTGATCTTTGTTAACTAAAGGGAAGGAAAGGAGTGAGAGGAGGGAAGAAGAAGAGAGAGAGAGATGGGAAGAAAGAAGGAAGGGAGCAGAGGAAGAAAGAAGGAAAAGAGAGGGTTGAAGAGAGGAAGGGAGAGAAGGGGAGGGGAGGGAAGGAGAAAGTGAGAAGGAAGGAAGGAAGGGAGGGAGGAAGGAAGGAAGGAAGGGAGATAGATTTCAGTCTAATATACAGACAATTGGCTTAAAACTACCCTCATTCATCCAGGATTAGAATACAGGATGGTTCTTTGGCATTTTCTAAGCTTTATCCTGCCTCCAAGGCTGCATTTACCTTATTAAGAGAGGGGCTCAATGACTTTCTGAGAGAGAATGATTGTAGAGAGAATGATTGTCTTTACTGAGAGAAAAGTTAGATTTAGCCTCACTGGATCTCCCACCTGGCTCTTGACTGATGATTCCCTGCCGCCATCACCTGGGATCTGGCTTAAGCATTGCAAAAGGATTTTGTAGCAATCATTCAACTTATTCCCTAACCTGATTGTGGGATAATGACACCTGACTTTGCATTTTTTGTACATAATTAAATTTCAAGTAGGACATACCTTTGCTGGACCTGGAGGTACATTCCATCTTGGTCAATAAATTATCCTGCTCAATGTGATTAGAATTAGAAATGCAAGTGTAAGCCTTTTATTTGTTCACTTGTAATGCTTTCTGAAGCTAAAGTCTAAATGGCTCTTAGATTCATTCCTGACATGTAGCCTACTAACCCACAGCTCAGCAACAGCACTGATTCTGTAGGAGCCTGTTGCTCCCGCTTTCTGGAAAGAGACTGAAACGTCTACCCCATCCAGGCATCCCAGCAATGTGTAATTTTGGCTCCCACCAGGACAAGATGCAAGAAGAGAGGGGAAATTCACCCCAATTCTAGGCAACACAGGGAAGACTATTCACCCTGTGTGCTGCAAAAAAATCAGACATATGCACAGGGAATGACAGGCTGCAGCACAGAAGAGCTGATGTTATCTTCAAATTACAAGACAGACCAAAGCACAGCTGCCCTGTTGTTAAGCAAAAAGGAGAGGAGAAACCAATGGGCTTTTGTGAAAATTGTCAGAATCAAAATGGGGTCAATTGTGTTAAAAAAAAAATTTGAAAATGGAGTGAGGGAAGGCCATAAGGACAAGGTGCTCATGCAAAAATGCCGGATAATAAAAAGTATCACAAAAGACCACAAAAACCACAACCTTACACAAAGGCCATTGCAAACTTACACACACACAAAAATACCTCTGCAAGGATATCCTCCCAGCAAGTCCCTGCCCAGCCTTGGACAGATACCATGCTTGTTATTAATTCTTGTAGCCAAGGATGATTACCAAAAACAATTATGTGGTCCTCCTCATTTTTCCTTTAAAAGTCTTTGGCTTTTTTTTAACCTCCCTAAATATGAATATAGTTTAGTATTACACATGTATTCCCATTGCAATGTTTATTCTCAAAGAAATATAATTTTCTTTAAGAGATTCTCCCTCTCTATTATTTAGGATAACGTAACTGGTGTCAGAAGTGGGATTTGAAGCCCGATAATCTTTGGAGAAAGTGTGTGATTCTTGGAAGTGGTGTGCAGTCAGCACATCTGAGTCCTTTGAGCTCTTTTCTTCCACAGCTCACCTTTTCATCCCTGGTGAGCATTCTCTTAGGCCAAGACTCCATTTTTTTGGTAAAAGCTCTTTGACTTTATTTGAGACCTGATTTGGGCAAGCCCAACTCAAATAAAAGACCTTGCATTCCTCCTGGGAAAAATAAGATTTTTTTTGTTTTTTTCTGACAAGTCCCTTCTAGTACAAAGTGATCTTGTCTTTCTGATGGGTATACTTTTCTGGTTTCTATGGAACTTATGTTCTGTTAGTGAGGCATGCCTTTACTGGTGCATTCACTATTGATTCCTTCTGCATACCTGGTTTAATATTTTGCTTGATCTGCGTGCCTGGCTTAAGATTTTTGTAAACACTTTGATTTTGGTTTATTTTAGTTTGGCTATGCATGTCTATATATAATTTGGATTATTTTCCCCCATGCTTGTTTCTGAGCGTTTTCTGAGAACAAAAATAAACATTCTAAATGGTGGATGTGAGATGACCAATTAAAAGCCACTGGGGAGGTTGCCATCATCTAAAACACTGGTCTAAACTCTTGACATTCCCTGACAGGATTTATAGGATTTACTCTGCTCTCAAGAGAATAAGAAATGAAATGGGATTCTCAAATATTAAGGCATGCCAGTTTTCTGGGACTCCATCCAGCTACATGGCTTTTCCTCATGCACATTTTTAAATCAGTGGCCCTCATAGGAATCATCAGAACTCCCCAAGCTTGTTTTCCTTGGTACCAAATTTTAAAACTGCAACTATAAGGTTAAAATAAAATGCCAGCACGTAAAAGCTCTTAATTGATCTATCTCTCTTTATTTCCCTTTTTTTAACCTCCTCTCCCATTGCTTTAAATCTGCTCTCTTTTTCACTGTTATTAAGATAATCTACTGTTGTTAATTTCAAAAACACTAAAAGGTTTTTCTTAGGGCACTTCAGCCAAGACTTTAAAAGCGAGAGAGTGCTTTGAAATTACAACAGCTCCATGATAACCAACAACCTAACCTTGCACACCTAAGAGCCATCCCTTTTGGAAATGCAAATTTAGGTTTACTGAGCTATAATCACTTAGTGTGATGGAACAGTTAATTAAAAGATTGATAATCTAAAAGAGAAACAACAAGACAGCATGTTTATAAAAGTTATGTTCTCAGATCAAACAGGTCAAAGTCTTGAGATCAGAACAATAATATAAGGTTTCCCTATCCAGCGTAAAAATTTTGCTTTGTCTGCCACACATACACCAGCAAAAGCCAAGGAAAAAACCCCGAAACTATAAACATCTTTCTCTAAAATGTTCCCTGCCCACATCAACTAATCAAGCAAACCAGACCTATAAACAAAAAGATAAATGTGTTGCTAAAATTCAAGGCCACCTGGATATTTTTCCCTTGTACAATTTAGCCAGTCATAACTGAAATATAAACATTTAAATATTTAAACCCTGAACTCATTTAAGCTAAAAAAAATGATAAAAAGAGGTTTTTAAAAAGCAAACTGCAATGAAAACCTCTTTACTTGAAGCTTTGGTACACAGCCTTCGTGAGATTACCTACGGAGTAAAGTAAAATGTAGCCAGAAAAACAGGTTCCAGTTTATCAGAAATATCATTTGGATCCAACTGTCCTTGCATAAATCAGTGAATTTATATTGCTGTGTTTTACTGGTAGAGAATCTGCTTTTGTGTATTTGTGTTGTCTGTCTGTTTTCATTTTGTTTGTATATTTTTCTACCAAAATATATTACAAAGCCTTAATTAATTAATTGACTTGAAACCTTAAGTACTTAAATCAAGTATTTCATCAAAAATATACTAACTCGGTTTTAAGTTCATAAAACTTAGATAAATCTTTGGTAAATAAAATAATTTTAAAATTGTTGGTAAAATAAAAATAGAAATGTCTTCAGAATTGCCAACATATGTTTTTCCCTGGGTTTAGTGATCAGATCATTTTATATTTGTCTTTGCTAGATGCTTTAACATGTCAGGCAAGGTTTAACACTAAGGTCATAAAACGATAAACCCAGCCTAAAAAGAGAATGATCTTTGTTTATGTAAGTCTTTGGTAATTAAAACTAATTTAATATTATTGATTTAATGAAAACAGCTATAGTTTTGAAGTTATCCACAAAATGCTCAAATATTTAACTTTAAGGTCCTTACTTGGGTGATAAACGCCTGATTTATTCACAGGCTATAAAAATGGTTAACAAAATAATAGCTTACGATAATGACTAGCCTTGTCTAATATCTCAGGTTTCATAAATAATCTAAGTATAATTGTGAAAAATAAATAAATTAGGTAAACGTAAATGGCACAAATGTTTATAAACTCTTCATAGTTTCAAAAAATCTTTTTGGTAACTTTAAATCTCAAAATTATATTAAATTAAGAAATAAATACTCATTAAGCATCTGGGTCATTTTCAAATAAGATCAAATACTAAAACATACATTGCTAAACATAAATATATTTGTTCCTGGCTTTTTAAATTTTATAAAGAGACCAAATAAATTTATGTCTATTAATACTCCTTGAAAATTATGTTATGGAGAAATATGTTTCTAATGTTATAAAATGATTCTCATCTATAAAATATTGATATGTGACAGAAAGTTCAAACTTTCTTACTTCCTATGTTTCACTAAAATTTAAGGTTACTAAGAGTTAAAATTCTTTTTTTTTTTTGAGACGGAGTCTTGCTCTGTCTCCCAGGCCGGAGTGCAGTGGCGCGATCTCTGCTCACTGCAAACTCCGCCTCCTGGGTTCCTGCCATTCTCCTGCCCGCCCCCGGCCGCCAGTAGGTGGGACTACAGGCACCCGCCGCTGCACCCGGCTAATTTTTTTGTATTTTTCAGTAGAGACGGGGTTTCACCGTGTTAGCCAGGATGGTCTCGATCTCCTGACCTCGTGATCCACCTGCCTCGGCCTCCCAAAGTGCTGGGATTACAGGCGTGAGCCACCGCGCCCGGCCGAGTTAAAATTCTATTAATTTATATATATTACTGTATACAAAGTATACCAAAAAAGTAAAATATCTTTTAAATGAGAAAAGTAATAAGAAGGACATAAAACATGTTCTTTATTGAAAAAAAACCTTTTTTTCTAATTCATAAATTATTTAAAGATTATTTCAAAGTATGAATTTAAAAAGAAAATCAAACCAAGACATAAGGAAGCTAATAAGTAACACAGAGAGAGAGGTTAAAAAAAAAAAAAAACTGTTACAGATACAAAAATGTATTTTTGGTA
The DNA here is from genome assembly GCF_000001405.40 of Homo sapiens. Taxonomy (NCBI): domain Eukaryota; kingdom Metazoa; phylum Chordata; class Mammalia; order Primates; family Hominidae; genus Homo; species Homo sapiens. Next base: position 133,310,171 of record NC_000008.11, read on the forward strand.
AGAAAAATTAAAAAGAAAAAAGGAATTTTCAAAACAATAATTTAAAAATTTGTTCTATGGTAAAATGAGTGGCTATTTATAAAAGAAAAGTGAAACAAAACTAAAGACTTAAGCCTATTGTCAAAGATCTGCACAGGTCATGAAGATTCCTAAAGGATAAATTTATTTTTAAAAATGTGTGTGTAATCCTCATGTTCTCACTTATAAGTGGGAGTTGAACAATGAGAACACATGGACACAGGGAGGGGAACATCACACTCTGGGGCCTGTTCCTGGATGAGGGCAAGGGGAAGGAGAGCATTAGGACAAATACCTAATGTATCTGGGGCTTAAAACCTAGATGACAGGTTGATAGGTGCAGCAAACCACCATGGCACATGTATACCTATGTAACAAACCTGTACGTTCTGCACATGTATCCCAGAACTTAAAGTAAACTAAAAATAAATAAATAAAAAAACTTGTGTTTAATCAAGTTGAGTAAAAGAAAATTATTTATAAGTCTTTCTAAAGATTAAGACATACACACACACACAGATACAAGTTTTCTATGTTATAACTACAAAGTTTTCTTACAATATTGATCTTCTATAGTAATATTTACAAGAAGTTACAAGTTTTGACTTTTAATTCTGAAAATTTTCAGCCATCATCTGAACCACAGCTTTTATTTGTTTTATAGTCTCCATTTAATGTCCCTGGTTTCAGGCTAACAATACTGTCTTCTTCACTTAAAAAGGCAATTTCATTTCTAGAGGTAGAGTGTTTTTCTATAAACTTTTCAATTCAATTTTGCTGTATCTCGCAACACAGAATTTACAGGTCATACATCATTGCCTTTTGTTCTTCCTTTTTCTCCCCTTAAACAGATTCTCTTTGCTTGGCTGGGGTGATAACACTCTCTTTCAACTTTTTTTGTCTGCTGCAGTAACTTTTTCCTCTGGTCCTAACTGTTGGCATGGCCCAGTGTGAAAATGTTTGTCTTAAAGGCCTAAAAAAGCAATACTTTCTTCCAGTATAACTTGGTTCTGTACTGTTGACTTTTCTTGGTATGTTTTGATTGTTCCATTTAGCAGGAAATTTTACACACTTTTACTTTTTTTAAGAGCCATGTACTCCTCTGCTTAAAGCAGTAGTTTTCTTGTTTACTTCTTCTATGATATAGTGTAAACGTTAACCTTAGACACAAACTTTTCTTGTGCCTGATTAAAGTTAAGTACCTTTTCACCAGGTTTAACTTCCAGATTATCTAAGCAGACTTTCCCTAATGCAAAACGATCACACTGTACATTTTTTCTTTACCTTTTGGTAACTGGCCTATAAAATAAAGAATTTATAATTTCCTTTGCTTCATGTTGCTTTTATTAGTTTTTCTGATTACTTTAAAAAACTAAGCTTTATAAGGGTTATGGTTTCTTTTTAATATCCATGTAACTTTCTGTATTGCTTTTGAAGTCTTTGATTGTCACTCTGGTTAAATAAATGACTACTATTGCCGTGACCTGTTAACTTGTTTGATCAAATGTTTTGAAACTTTTGACTTCTCTGACAGGGTTTTCCAGGACCAAGTTCTAAATTAAGTCATTTTGACCTAAAATTAACTTTGAGATTTTCCAGTTGGGGCCCTGGAGAATCTGAAAGGATATATCTCTCAGTTTGTAGAGATATTAAATAATTAGGTTTATTTTGTAGATTGCATTGGAAGAAACATTGCCAAATGATAAGTGATGCTAGATTTTCTTTTAATTACATATATGGGTATGTTATTGATATAAATGTTCTAAAATTATAGAAAACTCTTAAAAATATTTTATCAGACTTGATTCTGGTTATTATGCTGTATGCCACAAAATAACCAAATTTCCTTGTCAATTTCTGGTTCTGATAAATTTTCATCAGGTTTTTAACCATGGTTATTCTAAGTTTTTGTATCTACAGTTATTATTTAAAATAGTTCTCTAAAGGCATCTGCAATCAGATTCATGAAAAAAAACCTCTAATGAGTACATTTAAATACAGGCTTCTAAAAACTTAAAGATCAATGGATTAAATAAAAATTTTTTAAATTCTGGTTTTTAAAAGACCTGATAAATTCATGAAACTGCTAACTAAGTTCAAGTACAACAAAATTAATTACATGAAACTAACTGAACTAATGAAAAAAGTATGGTTTTTATGGCCTCTGTTGACCAGGCTGGACTGCAGTGGCGTGATCTCACTGCAACCTCTGCCTCCCAGGTTCAAGCGATTCTCTCCTTCCTCAGCCTCCAGAGTAGTTGGGATTAAAGGCACCCACCACCATGCCTGGCTAATTTTTGTATTTTTAGTAGAGTTGGGATTTCACCATGTTGGCCAGGCTGGTCTCAAACTCCTGGCCTTAAGTGATCCGCATGCCTTGGCCTCCCAAAGTTCTGGGATTACAGGAGTGAGCCACCACACCCGACCACAATGCTGATTCTTTATTTAAATGTTTTGCCTTCCAGATTTAAGAAAACTTTCTGTCTTAAACTACCTATAATTTATAGCAGGCTGGGCACAGTGGCTCATGCCTGTAATCCCAGAACTTTGGGAGGCCAAGGTAGGCCAATTGCTTGAGACCAGGAGTTTGTTGGAGACCAGCCCAGGAAACATGCGGAAGCCCCATCTCTACAGAAAATACAAAAATTAGCCGAGCATACTGACAATTGCCTGTAATACTAGCTACTCTGGGACTGAGGCAAGACGATCCCTTGAGCCTGGGGGTTTGAGGCTTCAGTGAGCCTCAAACAGTGATCATACCACTGCACTCTAGCCTGGGCAACAAGAGTGAAACTTTGTCTCAAAAAAAAAAAAAAAGAAAGAAAGAAAAAGCTATAATACACATATCGTAGATTGCAACCCTGTACATGGTTTCCACATTCTCATTTACCTGTAGAGTGGACGTAGATCCTGAATTTTCTTGATTGCCTCCAATATTCAGCCACAACTCTCCAATAAGAACAAAAATTGCTCTGTTCTTAAAGTCCTGAATGCTAAAGCTAGTTAACTTAATATAAATTTCAAGGGACAAGTCTCATGCCTAATATATGGGCCACACAAGAAGCTCACCAAACCTGATGTCATAACCAGACACAAGTAGTTGATGACTTCATGCTGTGGATGACTTTCCCAAGACAACAGAACAACACCCCTCATATGACAGTCTTGTCCTTCTTATTTTTTTCTTTCTTATGCCTACCTTTCTCGTGCTTTACCCGGATACATTCCTCCATGAAAGCTGAGACCCAATACACAAAATTTGTTTTAAAAGCAGGCCACATGGTTATGATAGGTCTCACCTAATTCCCCATGGCCATTTGATTTATTCAATTGGTTGCCTTTAAGCCTTTTTTTTTTTTTTTCTGAGACAGAGTCTTGCACTGTTGCCCAGGCTGGAGTGCAGTGGCGAAATCTCAGCTCACTGCAACCTCTGCCTCCCGGGTTCCAGTGATTCTCCTGCCTCAGCCTCCTGAGTAACTGGGACTACAGGTGTGTGCCACCACACCCAGCTAATTTTTGTATTTTTTTAGTAGAGAAGGGGTTTCGTCATGTTGGCCAGGCTGGTCTCAAATTCCTGAACTCAGGTGATCCGACCGCCTCAGCCTCCCAAACTTCTGGGATTACGGGCATGACCCACCGTGCCCAGCCCTCAAAAGGTTTTTAAATCTGAGAATAATATGTGGTCAAATCACTATTCTCACAGACAACATTTGCTAAAACTAAGGTTATCTAAAAAACAAATGTCTTACTCTGATTGATAAAAATCAGGATGTCTATAGAGAAAAAAAGTTTGACTCTAAAGAAAAAACTAAGCCAGGCACCGTGGCTCACACCTGTAATCCCAGCACTTTGGGAGGCTGAGGCGGGCGGATCACCTGAGGTCAGAAGTTCGAGACCAGCCTGACCAACATGGAGGAACTCTGTCTCTACTAAAAATACAAAATTAGCCGGGTGTGGTGGTGCATTCCTGTAGTCCCAGCTACTCGGGAGGCTGAGGCAGGAGAATCTCTCGAACCCTGGAGGTGGAGGTTGTGGTGAGCCGAGATCATGCCATTGCACTCTAGCCTGGGCAACAAGAGTGAAACTTTGTCTCAAAAAAAAAAAAAAAGAAAGAAAGAAAAAGCTATAATACACATATCGTAGATTGCAACCCTGTACATGGTTTCCACATTCTCATTTACCTGTAGAGTGGACGTAGATCCTGAATTTTCTTGATTGCCTCCAATATTCAGCCACAACTCTCCAATAAGAACAAAAATTGCTCTGTTCTTAAAGTCCTGAATGCTAAAGCTAGTTAACTTAATATAAATTTCAAGGGACAAGTCTCATGCCTAATATATGGGCCACACAAGAAGCTCACCAAACCTGATGTCATAACCAGACACAAGTAGTTGATGACTTCATGCTGTGGATGACTTTCCCAAGACAACAGAACAACACCCCTCATATGACAGTCTTGTCCTTCTTATTTTTTTCTTTCTTATGCCTACCTTTCTCGTGCTTTACCCGGATACATTCCTCCATGAAAGCTGAGACCCAATACACAAAATTTGTTTTAAAAGCAGGCCACATGGTTATGATAGGTCTCACCTAATTCCCCATGGCCATTTGATTTATTCAATTGGTTGCCTTTAAGCCTTTTTTTTTTTTTTTCTGAGACAGAGTCTTGCACTGTTGCCCAGGCTGGAGTGCAGTGGCATGATCTCAGCTCACTGCAACCTCTGCCTCCCGGGTTCAAGCAATTCTTCTACCTCAGCCTCCCAAGTAGCTGGGATTACAGGTGCGTGCCACCACGCCCAGCTAATTTTTGTATTGTTAGTAGAGACAGGGTTTCACCATGTTGGTCAGGCTGGTTTCAAACTCCTGACCTCGTGACCCACCCACCTCAGCCTCACAAAGTGCTGGGATTATAGGCGTGAGCCACTGTGCCCAGCCGCCTTTAAGTCTATTATTATAGCTCAAAACTATTAAACGAACTGGAGTTGTCATATTACTATGACATACTAAATGTTACTTTGTATTTTTCTTTGAAACTTTGTACGTGTTACTTGTCTAATTTCTGCAAAAGTATGATTCCTATCAAAATGATGTTGTCCCTGCACTTTGAGATAATGGCCCAAAGACTACAGAACAGACAAAATTAAACTTAACAGTGGACTTCAGGTAGACTTAGCCTAAATGTCACTTCCTCCAAACCTTAGATGCCTTGTTGCTCAAATGTGGCTAAGACCAACAACCCAGGACAAGTCCATCACAGCATTGAGGAGCAATCAGATCACAACTGCAGGATGATTCATCAGTGACACCTTTGAAAAAAAAATATTTTTTGAGACAGGGTCTTTCTCTCTGTTGCCCAGGCTGGAGTGCAGTGGTGCAATCACAGCTTACTGCAGCGTTGACCTCCCTGGCTCAAGTGATCCTCCCTCCTCAGCCTCCTGAGTAGCTGGGACCACAGGCAGGTGTATTGTTTGTAGAGACAGTCTCATCTTGTTGCCCAGGCTGGTCTTGAACTCCTGGGCTCAAGCAATCTTCCTACTTCAGCCTCCCAAAGTGCTGGTGTTACAGGTGTGAGTCACTGCACCCAGCTTTGGAAAAAGATTTTAATCAAAAGGGAGAAATACGAAAGTTGTCAGAATCAAAATGGAGTCACTTGTGTTAAACAAACTCTTAAAAAGTAGAGCTGAGGAAAACCATAAAGGAAGGGTTCTCATGCACAAATGCCTGATAACAAAAACTATCACAAAAGTCTCTACAAAAAAACACAACTTATCCAAAGCCATTGCAACTTTACACAAAAGAATGCTTCTGCTAGGACATCTGTCTAGCAACTGCCTGTCCAACCCTGGACTGATTCCATCCTTCTTATTGATCCTTGTAGTCAAGAACAATGATCTTAAAACAATTATATAGTCTTCCTCATTATTCCTTTAAAAACTTTCATCTTTCTTTGCCTCCGTGAATCCACACATAGTTTACCGTGACACATGCGTCTCCATCACAATGCTCGGTCGCAAATAAATGATATTTTATTTTAGAAAGTCTCCCTCTCTGTTATTCTCTGTTATTCTCACCTAATTCCCCATGGCCATTTGATTTATTCAGTTGGTTGCCTTTAAGCCTTTTTTTTTTTTCTGAGACACAGTCTTGCTCTGTTGCCCAGGCTGGAGTGCAGTGGCGTGATCTTGGCTCACTGCAAACTCTGCCCTTACCTTAAACCTAAACCTAAGGATGATGCCCTTAACTTAAACCTAAGCAGGTTCAAAGAGTTCACCTGAGTAGGTGGGGAGGTTGCACCTAATAATTTTCCTTACAAGTGTAGAGCACAGGGAGTTTTCAGAGGGAATTCCCATCTGTCCTGTTATTTCACAGATGAGGAAGCTGAAGCCACACTTGACTAGCACCAAAAAGAAATCCAACTCCTGGCCTAGGCTTGGGAAAGGGGTCCCAATGACCCAGGGGCTGCATAGTTGCTGGACAGGATCTGGTGACATGGGCAGTCTATTGGACCCTAAGGAAACATGCAACCAGTGGCTGTGACCATGGAGGAGGAAGCAAAGCCAGCGAGCACCAGGAGAAGAGAAAACGTGGCTACAGCTGCCCAAGCAGCCAGCTGGACGAAGCTGAGGACAGGGTGGATTCTGAATTGCACATCTGCCTAAAACAAATGGGCCATCCGTAGTTTTATAGCAGGTCAATACTTATATTTGGCCAGGTAGACAGAGACTTTATCTTCAGCACATGAGCATCTAGTGTAAGTAGACCAAGTTTTTTTTTTTTAAGAGACAGGATGGGATCTCACTATGTTGCCCAGGCTGGAGTGCAGTTGCTGTTCACTGGCACGACCATATCGTACTACAGCCTCAAACTCCTGGGCTCAAGTGATCCTCCTGCCTCAGCCTCCTGGATAACTGGAACTGACTGCAGGCACCCACCACCACACCCAGCTATTAGACTTAGTTTTTTTCTTGAGCTGATAGTAAACTAAGAAAAGCTATAGAAATGATTGTTACTGTCATAATAACTATTTTTTTTTTTTTTTTTTTTTTTGAGACGGAGTCTCGCTCTGTCGCCCAGGCCGGACTGCGGACTGCAGTGGCGCAATCTCGGCTCACTGCAAGCTCCGCTTCCCGGGTTCACGCCATTCTCCTGCCTCAGCCTCCCGAGTAGCTGGGACTACAGGCGCCCGCCACCGCGCCCGGCTAATTTTTTGTATTTTTAGTAGAGACGGGGTTTCACCTTGTTAGCCAGGATGGTCTCGATCTCCTGACCTCATGATCCACCCGCCTCAGCCTCCCAAAGTGCTGGGATTACAGGCGTGAGCCACCGCGCCCGGCCCATAATAACTATTTTTAAGCTTTTAGAAAGAAATGCTTCATGTACAACTATTAGAAAATTCAGATACTCACAAAATACATACACATATACATATATATGTACATGCATCAAAAAAGGAAATCACAAAAATTAAAATAAACTACCACTCAGAAATAATCACTGTTAATATTTTTATGCTTATCCCTCCAGATGTTATTCTACGAGTGTGTGTGTAAATATATATTTAAAATATATTGATAGTATTCAAGTATAAATAGAATTTTTTTTTTTTTGAGATGGAGTCTCGCTCTGTCACCAAGCTGGAGTGCAATGGCAAGATCTTGGCTCACTGCAACCTCTGCCCCCCAGGTTCAAGCGATTTTCCTGCCTCAGCCTCCTGAGTAGCTGGGACTACAAGCACACGCCATCACGCTCAGCTGATTTTTGTATTTTTAGTAGAGATGGGGTTTCACCATGTTAGCCAGAATGGTCTCGATCCCTTGACCTCATGATCTGCTCGCCCCAGCCTCCCGGAGTGCTGGGATTACTGGCATGAGCCACCACACCCGGCCATAAATAGGTATTTTGATGACAGCATTTAAAAATGCTCTCATACTATATCGACTTTTTAATAACCTGCTTCTTTTTTCCCATAACCGTACATGATGAACATCTTTGCATTTTTAAAAATCTGACCACATTTTTTAAAAACTTTCTTATAAAATACAACATGCGTAAAACTGAAGTATACAGTATAACAGAATAAATATAAAATGAACGCTGAAGGATACAGCAGCTACCTGGGATAAGATGGAGAACACGGCCACTCCACAGGGGCTCCCGACTCCCTCCAGGACCACCACCACCACCCATAAGGCTACATGATCTTTTCTAAGAACCCATAATATTTGCTCTGCCACATGGATGAACCACAGTTCATTTAATGTAATGTGTCAAATTGTTGGGCATTTTGAGTGTTTCTGGTTTCTGCTGGAATGAATGTTCCATAGGTACTTCCGCATACTTACTTGTGTCTCTCAATGATTTTTTGGGGGTAAAGTCATAGAAGGGAAATCTCTGGTTCAAAGGGTGTACACATTTTTTAAGGCTTTTGATACATTGTTGCGAGTTGCCTTTTTTTTTTGAGACAGAGTCTCGCTCTGTCACCCAGGCGGGAGTGCAGTGGCGAGATCTCGGCTCACTGCAAGCTCCGCCTCCCGGGTTCACGCCATTCTCCTGGCTCAGCCTCCTGAGTAGCTGGGACTACAGGCGCCCACCACCATGCCCGGCTAATTTTTTGTGTTTTTTTAGTAGAGACGGGTTTCACCGTGCTAGCCAGAATGGTCTCGATCTCCTGACCTCGTGATCCGCCCGCCTCAGCCTCCCAAAGTGCTGGGATTACAGGCGTGAGCCACCGCGCCTGGCCGCCTTTTTACAAGCAGTAGGAGGGTTGGGTCTCACCAGGCCTTCAGCTTGGTGGATGTTTGCTCATCTGATAGGTGAAAGTATCTCATTGTCTTGATGCATTTGCATATCTTTTCTGTTGATGAGATGACATCATTTATGTCATGTAATTATATTTGTCCTCCAGGAATTACCAGTGAGAGATCCTATTATTAAAATATATAATCTCAAGAGCTTGTCCTGTCTCTATGTCCACCCATAAGTAATAAAAATCCCACCCCACCCTTTCTCTTCCCCACTCCACGTCTGGAACCATTTATCAGCTCCCAGACTTGAAGCCAAACCTGACCTCATTGCAAAGTCCTTGGTTGTGCTAATAAGCAGCTACCGGGAACTGGGCTAAGTCACTCCCCTCTCTGAGCCTCAGCTGACAAAGGCTTAGCAAATGAGAGAAACGTGGAAGTGGAATAGAATTATGAACTCTAACTTTAATAAACTAATATATGTTGAACATCTATTATATTCCAGGTACTGTGATAGATACTTTGCGTTCTTCATTTCTGAATTTTGTAACAACCCTGTGAAGCAAGTATTATAATCTCCATTTTACACATGAGGAAACTGAGGCTAAGAGAGGTGAAGTGACTTGCCCATGGTCCCACCGCTGGGAAGACTAACAGGCCTGGCTGATTCCCAAGAATCTGCTCTTTCTGGGAGGACCCAGTGCCATCAACATCTCTGGACAGGCATATGGAATGACTATCATTAAATGGTGTCTGGAGCATGTCTTATCAGAAATGTTCTTGGGGAATCCCTTTTTTCCCCTATGCTGGTCCTATTGCTGTTTTTTCCATGCACCCCTCCAGAATGTGGTGGGGACTCTTCCTTGCTGGAACACCTCTCCGCGGCTCAGGGCCCACTTTAGTTAAGCTCTGCAAGAATGAGAGGAGGCTCATCCCTCCTTTGGCTCTGTTCTTTGTCTTCACCTCCTGTTACCACCACTTTCCTCACCTCTTGGCTTCTCTGAGTCTCACCTGTCCAGGAAGCCCTCCATGATGAAAACTCAGAGTTAACCTGAAGACCTTTCAGAAGAAAAGAACAAGAAGAGAGGGCTTGCCATGACTAAATGTCAACCCTACACAGGGACTTCACCTACATCATTTCATGCAATTAGCACTCCAACTGTAGGAGTTATTATATCCACATTTTGCCAATGGGGAAGCTAAGCTTCAGGCAGGTAAATTTCTGGACCAAGTGTTCATGGCGAATGAGAAGAACTAATACTTATTTAGCATATAAGTACCAGGGATGGTTATAAACCACTTGTATGTAATAACCATAGTCTTCAACACATCTCCAAAAGGTAAGGTACTGTTTTTAACATCCCCACTGTATAAATGGAAATACCGAGGCAGAAAAAAAATAATTTGCCGAAGACGTCCAGTAGAGCTGGGATTGGAACCCAGGCAGTCAGTCAAGTGTGTCCCTAACCACCATTATCTGGATGACCCCAAACCTCCATGGTTTCTTTTTCCTAAGCAACCAAGTGTCTTCTGAATGCAAAGGTTGGTGGGGAAATGCTTGAAGTCAACATTCTTCCTGTGTAGTCTGAGGAACCTGACACCCAGAGAGAGTGTTCCTGGCTCTAGGTCCCAGGTCTTATGACTGCAGATCCAGTCTTACCACAATCCAGCCCACACTGCCTCTACTCAAAGGGAGAAAGGGCATTGCTGCTGATCTCACCTCCTCCCTGCCCCCTCGGTGGTGGTGGGCCAGGACTCTCTCTGAAACAGTGATCATGGTTTAATCACTAGGTGAGTAACCATGGGAGGCTTCCTGGCTGATTATTAATAGAAGCTGGAGAAGGTGTGCGTGTTTAGCAACAGGCCAGCAGTTTGGGATGCCAGGCTGGCTTGGTCTCTTGGTTTCTGGAGTCATCTGAATGATTTGACTCATCTCCTGGCTGAGGGCTTGGCTTCTTACTTCTGAGACACCCCATTCCCAAGGCAAATTGCTGCCTTGCCTCTCTCCTTACACTCATTTACATCATCTGTTTCCAGGCTGCCTGCAGGAACTGAAGCTTCTAGACAAAGAGACCTGGGTTTAATCCTTGCAGACCTTAGCTATATTGTCTAACCTCTTGGGACGTCAGTTTCCTCATCTTTGAAATGGGCATGCCAACATCCAACTTCTCATGAGGACTTATGGAGATGATTGCACAGCAGACATTCAGGAAGCTGCCACCATTGTGACTAGTACCATTCGGAGGCTGCCACGCTGGAACCTGCGGGCCACAGGCCCTAACAAAACTGTTCCTTTGCTGCAAATGTCTTTTCCAGGTCTTTCCCCCTTTTCTTCACATTGGGAGTGACGGTCCTATGGGGAAGAATAATGTGTTGCAATATTAGAGAGTGAGGTTCTTCTTTTTGTTTTTTTCAGCAGGGCTCTTGGGAAGAAACCTGGCCATTTGAGCCCACTTTACCTGGGGGTCAGGGTGACTGGGCCTAAAGCAAGACACAGTCATTGCTGGCTTTTGTTTTGATAAAACTTAAGGCATGAAAATATTTGATCAAGAATTCCAGAAGGGAAGGAGAGAAACTTAAAGTTGGAGAAGGAAGAACACTTTGCCTGAGCTGGGGGCAGGGTCTGGGGTTCTGTTAGCAGCAGGGACCCTTGCTCCTGCCCTAGGGAGGTAGACAGGCTGCTATGTCCTCAGCCCACCCTCTCTGGAGAGCCTGGTGCCCAGGCAGCAACCCCTGCTCTGAAGAAACCCTGAGTTCCCCAATGCCTGCCTGCTCTGTAACACAACCCGTGAAACTTTGCTTGACATTGGTGCAGGGGAACTGGGTGTCCGCTCATGACAGAGACTGAATTTCCCCACTGAGCCAGCGGAATGAGGACTGCAAGTCCCCACGGACTGAAAAAAAGTAAGAAAAATGGATATTTCTTGCACACCTGAACTTGTGACCTCAGATTTTTGCCCACCACCCCTGTGTTGGGACCTCTGCCTCACTGCAAGGGCCAGAGCAACAGTGCATGAAGCTCCCATGTAGAAAACAGGTCTTGAGAAGAAATGTCCATGATAATACAGTGGCTGCAGTTCTGCGAAGGAGAAGGCTAGACCTGTGCCGTTTAATACAACAACCGGTAGCCACACAGGTCTGTGTTTAAATTCATTCAAAGGAAATGAAATTAAAAATTAGCCATGTTTCAAGTGCTCAATAACCCTTGTGACCAGTGGCTACGGAGACTGGCCAGCACACAGTTCTATCACTGCAGAATGTTCTATTGGTCTACCGGTTTATTTGTCTAGACAATTCCATCTAGAGTAAGGAACACGGAACAATTCCCCAAAAAGCACTGGAAAAAAACTTTCTTTACCCTCTGCACAACAGGTGAAGATTACCTCTGTTTTCAGGGACAGTTTTAATGATTCCTAACAGTCAATGTGGAGGAGGAGGCCTACAATTATGCATGGGGGTGGATACAATTTGTGCGGAGGAAGGATGTGTGTGCAAATAACTTCTACCTGGCAGGCACAGGAAGTTTGTGGACACTTTGTTCCTCGAAACACATCTGTAGGGCCCTCCTTTGGAGACCTTCCAGGCTGGCCTCTCCAGCCAAGTCTCCATTGCCCACGTGTCCCAGCCCCTCATGGTGATGACTCTGAAAAAAGGTATTTTGGAAAAGCAATGTCACGTGTAAGCCCCATTTTCTGTTTGCAGGCCTATCTCTCCTCTGTGGGGGTTAGTTCTTTGAGAAACATCTCCAGTGTATCCCCAGCATCCAGAGCCTGGCTACACACAGTAGAGGCTTAATAAGTGTTGATGAGATGAATGGGCACGTTGGCAGATGGCAGGCTGACTTGGGGCGGCTGCCTTTGACCTCCAACAAAACTGGGTGTAAACTTCATCTTCTCCAGAACATCTCTGTGGACTCCAATCCCCAACTCTGGGCGCCATGGTATTCCTAGATTCCGTGATTGCTTTCCTAGATTCCCAGAATGGGTTGTGGTATAACAGGTGGAAAAACTGACGATCCATAACCAGAAAATGGGGAAGGTTGGGAAGGGGAGGGCTCAGATAGAAACTCAGTAGACAAGGCAGAAGAAGAAAGCCTCATGGGGGACATTGGGGGTGGACAGGCCCTTCTGTCCAGGGGTTTCCCCAGCAGTGGGGGGAAGTAAGTACCAGGTAACACCTATTTGTGTTGCTCAGAATCTTTTAAAATTTGTGCAGGGAGAATACAATGGAATATTTCACATGTGTCTTATATCCAAACAACAGAAATTCCATTGCAGATAGGTGCTGGAGAAGCCTTTTATAAAGTTTCCTGGGGCAGGGCAGGAGGAGGAGCCAGGCCCAGGAGTCAGTCCCAAGTCTGGAGGGTAGGCCCTGCCCTGGGCGACCCGCCAGGCAGCCGGGTGACCCCCTATCCAAGGGCCTTGTTCAGCCCCTGTCGGCTCTGCTGGCAGCATCTGGGGGCTTCTCTGCAGGATGCTGGTGCAGAGCGCTGTTCTGCCAGGTGGCCCAGCCCGACGGGTGTCTCCCTAGCTTCTCCGACAGCTTTGCCACCTTGCACCCACTTGCCCGCGTGCTCAGTCACGTCCTCCTCGTCGGCCGCGTTCCCCAGGCAGCTGTGTCAGCCTCCCAAAATACAGGCAAGCCTCTGGCCTGGGGCCGGTGTCTCTGGCCTGGCTCACCTGCCGGGTAGGTGACTGTTAGCATCACTGCCTCTCCCCTAAAAGAAATCCCCTATTTTCACCCTTGGGCACTCACATACCGTACCCACTACCAACAGTTTCATCTCTGCCTTTAAGCATTTACAATTAAGATATCCACCGGTGTTGATTGAAACACTTGTTTCCAGTAAACGTTCAAGGCTGCATTCATTCATTCATCATGCATTGAGTCAGCTCAGGCCTGGTTTGTCCAGGAGTGTTCCCTACTAGGAGCACAGCCCCCAATTCCACTGAATGCTAGAGGGAGGGGCATAGACAGGAACCTCGGCCTTTGAGGTCTGGAGAGGAGGTGGGCGGGTACTCACCATCATAATTGTAGCTTATGCTTACTGAGAGCAAATCCTGTGCCAGGCCCTGTTCTAAGTACTCTCCATGTTGATAGCCTCAGAACATTCTTATGAGGGAGATGTTACTGTACTACCAGTTTTGTAAATGAGGAAAGTGAACACAGAAAGTTTAAGTGAAAAAGGTGTCACATCACAGAGCTCGTAGCAGTTTGCTAGGGCTGCCATAATAAACAACTGCAGGCTATGGGGCTCAAACAACAGAAATTGATTGTCTCACAGGTCTGGAAGCCAGAAGTCTGAGATCAAGATGTTGGCAGGGTTGGTTTCTTCTGAGGTCTCTCTGGCTTGTAGGTGGCTGTCTCCTCTGTGTGTCTTCACATGGTCTTCCCTCTGTACCTGTGCCCATGTTTTCTCCTCTCCTAAGGACACCAGTCACATTGGATTAGGCCACCCTAGTAATCTGATTTTAACTTGAGGACCTCTGTAAAGACCTGTCTTCCAATACAGTCACATCCTGAGGTACTAGAGGTTAGGGTATCATCCTATGAATTTGTGGGACACAATTTAGCCCATACTATAAGCTAGTAGGTGACAGAGTCAGGATTTAAATTCAGGCTGACAGGCTCCAGAATCCACGTGCTGCCTCTCAGAGAGACTCCCCATCCTGGGTAAAAAGGCTGCAGTGATCCTCTACCCTAGGGTTAGAGAAAATTTTCCAGAGCCAGGCTACTGTGGGGAGTGAGTGGGAGACTGTTGGTGCCCTCCAACCTCCCCCGACAGCTTCCAAACCCTGGGCACCCCATACTCCCTGGATGTCCTGAAGTTCCAATTGCATTCTCCTTACATGGCCAGGGAATTTCCTTCTTCTTTAAGAGACAGGGAGACATATAAACAAAAGACCCCCTTCTCTGCCAGGCACCTTTCTGGGCACTTCCCCATCGGACCCACCCAATTTAAATAATAACCCAGCAAGTTAGTGATTGTTATCCCAAAGGAGAAAATGGAAGCCAGGTTCTTTATCATCTGACCTTTCTCCTAAATCTCAGAGACACCTCATCAGGGAATATGCTAGCTAGAAAGTGCTTATCAGTTACAGGATCCAACAATTCTGTAGATAACAAAACCAACGCTCAAAGAAGGACGTGGTGTATTGGAGTCACAAAGCGTGTTAAAGTCAGAGGCATGACTTTAACTGTGTGACTATGAACTGCAAGACTATGGCAGCAGAGACTGTGTCTGTCTTAGTTACCCTGGGTCCCCAGGATGGAGAATCAGATGAGCACAAAGGAAACCCTTCCTACATATTAGTTTTAAGAATAAATAAATTATTCAACAATGAATACATTAATTCCCAGCCCAGGCCCTTGTTTTGGCCTCAAATAAAGAAATAATGGGTTGTATTCAATCTCCTCTTCATCTTTCATAACAGAACACCAAATTTTAACAGATAACCAGCCTAAATAGATATTTCCCAGTTTCCCTGGTATGTGACAATGTTTTGGCCAAAGCGATCTAATTAGAAGGGTTTGAAAACTTCTAGAAAATATGCTTCAAGAAAAAGCATGCACAAGTTAATTTGTTTCTTCCTTTATGCTGGCAAGAGTGAAATGCAATGGCTGGAGCTCCAGCAGTTACTGTGGACCAGAAGGTGACCTTAGGCATGAAACCAATGCAGCACAGAACAACGGAGAGAAGGAACCTGATTCATTGACACTCTGGGGCTCCATACCAGCCCAGACAGCTCCTTGGAATGCCTTGGACACAACAGAGAAGTAAACGTCTATGTTGCTTAAACTGCTGTTATTTGGGTTTTTTTTCTATTACTCATAATTAGACATAATCTAACTACTACAAGTCTCTAATGAAGGAGCCCATTGGAGGCAATATAGATTAGTCAAGAGCTCAGAATGTAAATCCAGATGCACTTGCTAAGGACATGACCTTATACAAGCTACTTCACCCTCTGGAGTCTCAGTTTCCTCATCCGTACAATGGGTTTAATAATAGCATTTATCCTCTTCCTCAGCGCTGCCTATGAGGTGGCAGCCATCTCCTCAGCATCATGGCCGCCCTTAGACCCCTTGTGAAGTCCAAGATCGTCAAAAAGAGAACCAAGAAGTTCATCCGTCACCAGTCAGACTGATATGTCAGAATTAAGTGTAACTGATGGGAACCCAGAGGTATTGACAGCAGGGTTCACAGAAGGTTCAAAGGCCAGATCTTGATGCCCAACATTGGTTATGGGAGCAACCAAAAAACAAAGCACATGCTGCCCAGTGGCTTCTGGAAGTTCCTGGTCCACAATGTCAAGGAGCTGGAAGTGCTGCTGATGTGCAATAAATCTTACTGTGCTGACATCGCTCACAATGTTGCCTCCAAGAACCACAAAGCCAACATGGAAAGAGCCGCCCAGCTAGCCATCAGAGTCACCAACCCTAATGCCAGGCAGCGTGGCAAAGAAAATGAGTAGACAGCTCATGTGCACGTTTGTGTTTAAATAAAACTGTAAAAACTGCCAAAAGAATTAGCATTTATCCCATGAGTTGGTATAATCCATGGTGTGGATAAACGGAGGTACATCTTATAAAGTACAAGCGCATAGCTCACTCTGAGGCCCAGGCAGTGGCGTGCTCAGCCGAGATCTTGTCTTTAGCACCCAGGCCCCAGCATGGGGACTGGGGTGGGATCAGTTTTTGTCAGTTGATGATGATGATGGGGATGCTTTACTTATTGTCACAAGTGACCGTGAGCCAGCTTGGTCTTGATGGAGGGGCAGCCCAGGACTCCTGGCTGAACCTTCATCAATGGAGCAGAGGGCTGCCAGAAAGAAAAAGGCACAGTGGGGGACTTCCTTGACAATCCAGCCTTTACCAGCTTGGAGGATTTTTTGGAAAGGTGGGTGGTTCCATAGGGATGTGGGCTGACTATTCCACAGTGCTGCAGAAATCAGAACAAAACAAAACGAGCTATAATCGTGAAACCATGTACACTGTGCATCCAAATTAAACAGTTCTACCACTCTATGGCCCCAGATATGTTCCAACACTTCAAGTTAAGGAACAAACAGAAATCAGATCCAGACAAGTTTTATTTGGGAGGATTTGTTCTGCCTCATAACTGTTGTTTAAACATGCAAGAAATTTACTCAGTCAGCTTACTGGCTCTGAGACCTTGGGAAGAAGCCATTTAAACTCTCTGAGCCTTAATTTTACCACTGTACAATGGGGGTAGTAACATCTACCTCAAAAGATGACTAAAAAGAAAAGATTAAATAGATTGTTTAGCAAACAGTCAGTACTAAATAAATATCTTCTGTCCCTTCCCTTTCCCGCAGGTCCACCACAACAAAGCCTAGAGAACTAGTGCCGAGTGAACTGGATACACAGAATTTATTTCAAGCGTGTAAATGTAGGCTGGGTGCGGTGGCTCATATCTACAACCCCAGCACTTTGAGAAGCCAAGGTGGGAGGATAGCTTGAGGCCAGGAGTTTGAGACCAGCCTGTGAGACCCCGTCTCCACAAAAAATACAAAAAAATTAGCTGGATGGGGTGGTGCATGCCTGTAGTCCCAGCTACTCAGGAGGCTGAGGAGGGAGGATCGCTTGAACCTGTGAGTTTGAGGCTGCAGTAAGCTGTGATTGTGCCAGTGCACTCCAGCCTAGGTGACGCAGCAAGATCTTGTCTCCAAAATAAAGAAACAAAATAAAAAGTGCGAATGCAGAAGAACATGTGTTGGTCCTACAGAATCTCCTGACGAAAGGTGAGCCAGGCAGGGGTTGAGTTCATGCCAGGTGACAGTCCCTCCAGGTATAGTAGAACCTTGCGGGAAAGCTCTGCCTGTGACCTGGTCCACATCACATCAAATGTTTTGATGTTAATTAAATAATGTGAAAGTGGTCATCTATTTTAATGTTCTTTAAAATTAAATATTAAAAGTGTTTTTTATTGTCATTTTTGATAGAAACTGAGAAATCAGAGGAAGCAAGATTGTGATGGGGCTTTAGATATCTATCCAGAATTGCTAAGTGGATTTCACCTCTTCTGCACGGCAGTCAATGGACAATGGCTGTCTGGAACACGGCATTGAGAAGAATTCTCCATGCCATAGGGTAGACTAGTGATGTCTAGGGCAGACTAGCGATGTCTAGGGTAGACTAGTGATGTCTAGGGTAGACTAGAAATGTCTAGGGTAGACTAGCAATGTCTACCCTAGGCATAGAGTAGAAATATGACATGTACACATGGTCAGGGTATTTGCCATTCCTGAACTAGTCCCTTTGCCCCATCTGGCTAAACCTAGACTATGTAAACATAACCAATTATCTAATGAGGCTAGATAATAGCTAGGTAGTTGCTCAGAGATCTCTCCCCGGTGAAAGTCTCCACTAGGCAGAGCTGGAAGTGAAAGATATGTTAACACATGGATCCCACGTGGTTACCCTGAACTGAGCACAAAATGCCAAGCACTTTACATGCATTATTTCTAATCCTCCCAAGAATTCTGTGAGTTGGGCACAAGCGTACCCATTCCATAGATAGGAAACTGAGTTCTCATGAGCTTCAGTGACTTGTCCGGAGTTACCCTTAACTGTTGAGCATCAGAGCTGGAAGCTGCTCCCCTATCTAACACAGAAACCCACACTGTCTTTCCTTGGGCTACGCTGTGTTTTCAGGAAGGAAAGGGAGTGAACCGTCTGACTAGGTGATGGCTGATGGAAGCTCTCTTTTTCCTCTGCCATTGCTGGGTTTTCTGGACAGCCTCCTCGGGCCTCTATTTGGCTTCGACTGTGGGACACAACCTTGGCTTTCGCCACAGACAGCTGGGTGTGTCCTCCAGTTGGGAAAGTTTGGTAAAGCCTGCGTTTTGCCCCAGACAGATAACTCAGGCCAGAAGCACGTTCTTCATGGACTCACCTTGAGAAAACCACTTCTCTGCATGCAGAGGCAGGCCTGGATGCTGACTCAGGGCTGCCTGGATGGTCTGGGGTTGCTCATTCTCACACAACTGGGAGTATTATGACCTGTGGTCTGTTGGCCAGCCCCTCACCTGTGAGCAGAGACTCTGAGGGGCCTATCCAGGCTCCTCCTTGGAGAACCGGAGCCACTTCTCCCCTCTGCCTTGCACCCCTCCATCTCCACAGTGACTTTGTGCTAACTTTGCAAAGGTTTCAATGCTTATCAAGTAACTTTGAATAGGAAATACATTTCAATAGCTTACAAAATAAGCAGTTTCAAAAGGCACACAGGAAAAGTTCTTATTCCCATTTTTGCCTGCTATCCACTGAGTTCCCCACCCCCGCCATAATAACCACCTTTATTATCTTCCTGAGATTCCTACAGAAAACAAACATGTATAAAGGTATATGCTTATCACCACGCACTTCCATCACACAAAGTAGCATACCTAAACACCTCTTGCGTCCTATTTCAAGTACCAATACATCCCGAATCTCTTATAATATATAAAAATATTTGTATTCTTTTTGGCATCTGCATATATTCCACGGAATGGATATACTAGGATTATTTAATTAGTCTCCTCTTGAGGGACATTATGTATGTTTCCAAGGTTTTACTACAAGCAATACTGCAATAATTTGTCACTTAGTAACTGAGCAAGCTTATCAGTTGGGTAAATTCCCAGAAATGAGATCGATGGCTCAAAGGGTATATATGCTTTTATGGCTTTGCTAGTATTCCAAAATTGCCCTCCATAGAGTTTGTACCAATTTACACTCTCTCCTGCAATTTACCAGTTTCTACCCAACCTCACACACACAATGTGTGGTCAATATTTAATTTTTTTACCAACCTGATAGATGAAAAATGGCATCTCAGTGTTGTTTCAATTTGATTATCTCTTATGTTGTGTCTTTCTGTATTTTAAAAACCATTTATGTTTTTTACTGTGAACTTTCTATTCATATCTTCTGCCCATTTTTCTTTTTAGTTATTACTCTTTTTATCATTTCTAAGAGCTCTTTACATATTATGAAGATTAAAAGCTTGATCTGTAATATGACTTGCAAATATTTTGCCTAGCTTGATTTTGTCTTTTGATTTTGCTAATGGTTTTATTATGCTAGGTAGAAATTTTTAAAAATTGCTTATCATATAATTTATCAATCAATTCTTTTATAAATATTGGATTCTGAACTGTAACTAAATAAGCCTTCTTACTCCATATTTTCTTCTAATATTTTTATAGTTTGAAATTTTGTACTTAACTATTTTATCTATTTGGAGTTTATTCTAGTGTATGAAGTGAGCTATGTTTAGACCGATATTCAGTTGACCTGCTATCCTTTATTGAATATCTTTTCTCTGCTGACTTAAGATACCACTTTTATCTTATTTTATACTACATTACAGAATGTATCTCATTGTATTAATCAACTTTCTCTCCTGTTCCATTAGACTATTTATGTAATAGTGCAATACTAATTTAATTAATGGTTAATTAAATTCATTAATTATTGAGCTCCATGACATATTTTAATATCTGATATGACTGGACCCCTAGTCATTGTTATTTTTGTTCAGATTTGTCCTTGTTTGTTTTCAATATAAACTTTAGAATCATCTAGTTTACTTTTTTTTTTTTTTTTTTTTGAGACAGTGTCTCACTCTGTTGCCCAGGCTGGAGTGCAATGGTGCGATCTCGGCTCACTGCAACCTCTGCCTCCCAGGTTCAAGCAATTCTCCTGCCTCAGCCTCCCAAGTAGCTGGGATTACAGGTGCCCACAACCACGTCCAGCTAATTTTTTGTCTTTTTAGTAGAGACAGGGTTTTACTATGTTGGTCAGGCTGGTCTCAAACTCCTGACCTTAGGTGATCCCCCAGCCTCTGCCGGCCTCTCAAAGTGCTGGGATTTCAGGGGTGAGCCACCGTGCCTGGTCCATCTAGTCTACTTCTAAAACCAAAACCAAAACTTGATATTTTTGTTAGGATTACACTAAATTTAGAAACCAACCTAGAGAGATTTGGCATTGTTACACGATTGAATTTCCCTAACCGAGAACAGATTACATAATTTCCTTTGTTCAAGTGTACCTTTGTGTTTTATATAATTATTGTAATAAATTATGTTAACAGATTTTATAATATTGAACACATTCTTGAATTCTTGCATAAATTCTACCAGGTCATGATGTTTAATTTTCTTAGTGTCATGCTAGATTTTATTTGTTAATATATTATTTAAAATTTTTGCTTTAACATCTATTAGGGAGACATTGTTTTTTCCTTTTTTTGTGAAATCTTTCTCGATATTTGGTGCTGATGTGTTTTTCACTTCATGAAAGAATCATAGAATTTCCATTTTCTCTATGTACTGGAATAATATAAATCGCGTTGGAACTGTTTACCTTCTAAGGATTTGGAAGACGTCCTCTGTGAAAACATCTTTTTCCTTTTGCTGGGAGGTGGGGAAAAAGAGAAGGTTAACTTTCTGGCAACTTTTTATATTTATTCTCTGGTAATTACAAAGTTTGAATTTTCATTATTTTCTGGGGTCAAATTTCATAAATTTTTTTTTCCGGAAAGGTTTATATTTCAACTGGGTTCCAAACATTTTTACAAATTTATTTGTATTATGAAAAATTTTAGACATATATAAAGTTACGAAAGAATAGTATACTGAGCTCCAGCTACCCAGGACCCAGCAACTATCGGTTCACAATCACTCCTATTGAATGTGGAATCCCACCCTACTTCCCCCCACCCTCCTCCTGAGTCTGGAGTGTTTTGTAGCAATCCTGGGATATTGTATTCTTTTGCTTGCAGAACTTTCAGGCTGTGTCACTAAAACATAAGTATTCTTTTTTTTTTTTTTTTTTCTGAGACGGATTCTCGCTCTGTCACCCAGGCTGGAGTGCAGTGGCGCAATCTCGGCTCACTGCAAGCTCCGCCTCCCGGGTTCACGCCATTCTCCTGCCTCAGCCTCCCCAGTAGCTGGGACTACAGGCACCCGCCACCACGCCTGGCTAATTTTTTGTATTTTTAGTAGAGATGGGGTTTCTCCGTGTTAGCCAGGATGGTCTCGATCACCTGACCTCCTGATCCGCCCGCTTCGTCCTCCCAAAGTGCTGGGATTACAGGCGTGAGCCACCGCGCCCGGCCCATAAGTATTATTTTTTAAACAGGAAGTCATTCAGTTATTTGTTGAAATCAGGGTCCAAATAAGCTCTAGACAATTACACCTGCTGGATATGTGTCTTAAATCTCTTCATTTATAGGTTTTTCTATAAATCTCACCTCCTCCTCTCCCAGATATCTTTCCTCAAAATTTATTTGTTGAATAAACAAGGTCATCTTCCTGGCAGACTTTTTTTTTTTTTTTGAGATGAAGTCTCACTCTGTCACCCAGGCTGGAGTGCAGTGGCATGATCTCGGCTCACTGCAGCCTCCACCTCCCAGGTTCAAGCGATTCTTCTGCCTCAGCCTTTTGAGTAGCTGGGACTACAAGCGCATGCCACCACGCCTAGCTAATTTTTGTATTTTTAATAGAGATGTGGGTTTCACCATGTGTGCCAGGCTGGTCTTGAACTCCTGACTTCAAGTGATCCACGCGCCTCGGCCTCCCAAAGTGCTGGGATCATAGGCATGAGCCACCGTACCTGGACTTCCTGGTGGACTTTTTATACTCTGAAATGTGCTGATTTTCTCCTTAGGTATCATTTAGAATGTTCTTATTTCCCCTGTATTGGTTCATCTGGAGGCTAGATCAAATTCAGGTTTTGTTTGTTTGTTTGTTTGTTTTTGGCTAAGAGTACGTTATAAATAGAAGTGTGTCAAATTTATTTGAAAGTTGAGCAACGTGGTCTCATGAATTTTCTCTCTTTTCATGATTATTTCCTACTTATCATTTCTTATTTATTGACTTTTTTTCCTTTTCTTCTTAAGCAGGTTGGATTATAGTTCATCTATTTTATCTTACTGTTTTTCAAATCAATACATGTTAGTTTCACTTATTAGTTTGCTTTCTGCTTTTGTCTTTAAAGTTACTTCTCTCTAGTCATATATTTCAATGTTCTTTTTCTAACTTTTGTGTCTAATGCATACGTTATTTAATTTTACATAATTATTTAAGTCTATGAATTTTTCTACGAGCACTTTTTATCTCTATCCATATGTTCGGCTGTTAGACATTCTGCAGTTTGGGTTTGTATTTCCTTTTTGACCAAAGAGTTATTTAGAAGATAACACTTTATAGAGTTTCCAAGTAAAAGAGCCTATAGTTTTATTATTAATTTCTAGTCTTATTGAATTATGGTCAGAAAATGGTTTGTATTGTTTTGACATTTTGGAATTTATTAAGGTTTCCTTTTGGCCTAGTATGTTCAGTTGTAGATGTTTTAAAAACATCTAAGAAGGGAGGCTGAGGCAGGAGAATTGCTTGAACCTGGGAGGCGAAGGTTGCAGTGAAAGTGAGCCGAGATCGCGCCACTGCACTCCATTCTGGGTAACAAGAGCAAAATTCTGTCTCAAAAAAAAAAAAAAAATCTAAAAAATAAAAAAGGAATATATTCTATTTTCACGGTATGGCATTTGAAATATATGCCAAATATAGCTTATACATTATATTTTAAATTCTCTCTTTGAATGTTTGGATCTGTCACGGACTTAAACAAAAATGAATTAAATTCTCCTAATAACCAGTGTGTTTTTGTTTCTTCCTCCTTTTAGCTTCTATAATTTGTACTTTATGGCTATTATTACTATTATATTTAGTTATCAATATTTATAACTTTAATTTTTGTCATGAATTATACCCTTTAGTATTATAGGTTTCCAATTTTGTCTTATTTAATGGTTTTTTTGCAAGAATTCCACTTTGTCTGATATTAAGATTGTGACCACCACTTTCTCTTGGTGGCTTTTGCCTGCAAATGTTGCACATCTTTGCATTTTCAATTTGTATGAACCACTTTATTTTAAATATGTCTAAATGTGATACGTTACACATCGAGTTTTTCTCTGTAGTTCAGTCTGGGAACTTCTTCCTTCAGTAGGCAAGCTAAACTCATTTATAGTGACTGATAAGACAAATAACATTTAGTCTTTTTTTGTCATATGATTTTATGTATTCTTTTCTATTTTAAGAGTTTAAAAATTTAACAGGTGGTCTCTGTGTGCGTGTGTGTGTGTGTGTGTGTGTGTGAGTGATTCTTATAAAATTTGGAAAGTTAATATTTTTATTATAATACCTATCTGCATAATTATATCTTGGTCTATTTCTTTAGTTTCTTTTATATTTCACTCCCATAAGTAATAATAAAATTCACAGTCCCTGATCAGATTTCAGTTAAGACTATTATTTTTCTTAGCAGTACCTTTTAATTATTAACTATGCTTAGAACTCTACTATTTGATGTGTCAACTGTTAACAACAATTCTTACACTTGCAACTATTGCAGATCAGCAAAATTACAATCTTCCCATCCCACTTTTTGTTAGCTATATTTGCATTCAGCTCTGTCACCTAAACTCCGTCTTTGTTTAAGCCTCAACTTACCAGTTAAATATATTTAAATATATCCATGCTCACAATCAACTTTTGTCAAAGTTCTCCATGACATTTTGGTGAGCTGAAATGAGGTTCATCTTTCAGTACTTCTTTCCCTCAAAAAGGACTCATGAGAACATTTCCTGAGTTCTTGTATTGTTAAACCTGTTTGTCTTTAAGACCAGCCTTGCTGGGTATAAATCTTTGTCTCACACATTCTTTTCTTGAAGGTATCGTGGTGTTGTGTCATTCCACTTCATATTCTGATACTGAATCTTCTGATATTGAGTTGCTGTGGCCTGTAGAAAATCAGACTGATTTTTAACCCTTTATTATATGTGACTTGAGCTTTTTGCCTGGCTGGCCAAATAATTATTTCTTTACCTTTAGTTCAATAACTTTATCGGCATATATTATCAGTATTGACTACTTTGGATCAGTGTTCTCTGATATACAGTACCCTTTGAATATATAGATTCAAGTCTTCTCTTATTTGAGGAAAATAAATAAGTTAATCTCAATATTCACAAATTGTGTTTAATAGTTTCTACCACATAGGGTGGTTGTGAAGATTCCTGTGCTAATGCATGGGAACCACATGTTTCAGTGTCTAATTTCATCTTCAGAAATAAAATTACCATTATTATTATTACTATTTTAAAAGTATTGAATGAGTGCCTTCTCTCAGTTAAGCACAAAGTAATGCCAAAAATAGGTAAGTCACACACCTTATCCTTAAATACCCATGTGTGGTCATCATGTGGTGTGTGCTTTCATCGTGTAAACACACACCACATGATGATTTAGGGTATTTTGCTGGGAGGTGGAGAAACACCCTAAATCATCAATCTCAAGTTCAACATTCCACAGATACCTAGAGCAGGGGCACCATGCAGCCAGACTCTTTGCTAAGGTACAGCAAAAGTGCCCTTTACTCTACTTCCCAGTAAGTTCCTCATCTCCATCTGAGACCTTATCAGTCTGGCCATCTCTGTCCATATTACTATGAGCATTCAGGTCTCAACCATTCAACAAGTTTCTAGGATGTTCCCTCATCTTCCTGTCTTCTTCTGAGCCTTCTAAACTCTTCCAACCTCTGTCCATTACTGAGTTTCAAGCCACTTCCACATTTTCAGGTATCTTTTTAGTAATGCCTTACTCCTTGGTACCAATTTTCTCTGTTAGTCAGTTCTTGCACGGCTATAAAGAAATACCTGAGACTAGGTAATTTATAAAGAAAAGGTTTAATTGGCTCATGGTTTTGCAGGCTGTATAGGAAGCATAGTGGCTTCTGCTTCTTGGGGGGCTTCAGACAACTTACAGTCACGGTTGTGGGAGGTTAAAGGGAAGGAGGTGCATCTTACATGGCCAGAGCCCTAGCAAGAGAGAGAGGGGGAGGTGCTACCTACTTTTTTTGTTTGTTTATTTGCTTTTGTTTTTGAGACGAAGTTTCACTCTTGTTCCCCAGGCTGGAGTGCAATGGCGTGATCTCGGTTCACTGCAACCTCCGCCTCCCAGGTTCAAGTGATTCTCCTGCATCAGCCTCCCGAGTAGCTGGTATTACAGGCATGCACCACCACACCTGGCTAATTTTGTATTTTTAGTAGAGACGGGGTTTCTCCATGTTGGTCCGGCTGGTCTCAAACTCTTGACCTCTGGTGATCCACCCACCTCGGCCTCCCAAAGTGCTGGGATTACAGATGTGAGCCACTGCTCCTGGTCGTGCCACATACTTTTAGACAACCAGAACTCATGAGAACTCACCATCACAAGGACAGTACCAAGCGGGATATCCACCCCCATGTTCCAATCACCTAACGCCAGGCCCCACCTCCAACACTGGGGATTACAATTCAACTTGTGATTTGTGCAGGGACACAGATCTAAACCATATCGGCATCTATGTGGATCAGGGCTCCTGCCAGCCCCACTGCCCCTAAGCTAAGTGCCCTTTGCTGGCTACCGTGTACTTAACTGAACCCTTGGTCCCAGTGGAGTGAAGAGTGAACAGCTCTAAGACAAAGGATGGCATGACTCAGTTGGTTGACTGAGACAGATGAGGAAGAGGAAGAAGTTAAGATGACTCCCTAGGTTTCTGGTTTGAGCAAGGATGAGCCTGGAGAAGCCATTCACAGAGACCAGAAACACAAGGGAAGATGTGGGCCTGGTGTCAGATGAGTTCAGATGCCTTGGGGACATGGCAAAGGAAACACCTTGGAAATGTCCAATAGATGATTGGTAACATATTTCTGGAGCAGGAAAATATCTGATCTGGAGTGATCAGTATATTGTAGGTGGCATCTGAAAGCAGGGCACATATTTTACCTTCCGTAGATTAGAAATGTATTTCCTAAGATATGGTCATAAAAGTTCTGGACCAGTGGTTCTTAACCAAGATGATTTTGCCCCTAGGGGATACTTGGCAATATCTGGAGACATTTTTGGCTAACATAATTGATGAGAGGGGCTATTGGCATCTGTTGGGTAGGGACCAAAGATGCTGCCACATATTTTACAATGCATAGGGCAACCCCCTTAACAAAGAACTATGTTCACATTGTCAATAAAGTGATCTGATCCATAAAGCAACAGTGAGATCTTAATGATTAAGGACTCAGTGTGTTACCTCAGCAAGTGAGATCATATCTCAAATCCCATTTCCCACCTGGGTGACCAGCTGAGAAATTTACTTGCTCACCCAGGCCTCCAGTTTTCTTGTCTTTAAAAACAGGCATAAATCAGGCCAGGTGTGGTGGTTCACAGCTGTAAACCCAGCACTTTTGGAGGCTGAGGCAGGTGGATCACTTGAGGTCAGGAGTTTGAGACCAGCCTGGTCAAAATGGTGAAACCCCGTCTCTACCAAAAACACAAAAATTAGCCAGGTGTGGTGGCGGGCACCTATAGTCCCAACTACTCGGGAGGCTGAGGCAGGAGAATCGCTTGAACCTGGGAGGCAGACGTTGCAGTGAGACGAGATTGCGCCACTGCACTCCAGCCTGGGCGACAAGAGCAAAACTTTGTCTCATAAATTTTTTTTTAAAAAGGTATAACTCATCCTTACATCATTAATTTTGTAGGATACTTAATTACACATTAAAATGTGTATATAATAAGTACTCAGCCAATGTTAGTTTTTTTTTCTCTTACCCTACAAATCTCCTACCTTAGAAATCTAATTTCCATGGGGAGCTTGGGCATTCCAATCCTCCTCAATCAGGAGCTAGGTGGCAGGTGGTGGCAGACACAGTGGTCTTCAGACCTCATGTCAACTCTTGGCTGTACCGCAGGGCTCTCCATCACCTCTATTCAAAGATGTCTACCTCCCATTCTCCCTCTATCGCATGAATCTGTCTCATGCTCACCATGGCACTCAGAATGATGGCGTTTCTGTCTTTGCTAGCTGACCTGTTGCTTGCTTTCCCGCAAAGTGTAAGACCAGGAGGAAAGGGGCCCTGTTTGTCTTAGAATTCTTTGTGCATAAAACACTGCCTAGAACATCATGGGCACTCGATACATATTTTGCACATGAAATGAATAAATACACAAATAATTCTGCCCCAGTTTAAGAACAAAACAAACAAACAAAAACCCGTCAGAGCAAAGCTATAGTCACAGCCCTCTGTGACTTAGGGCTGAGTGTCTTCAAAGACAGAGACGGAGGAGGGGGAGGTGGCCTATTGGCCACAAAGACCCTGCTTGGGGAGCACACACTTGGAGCAGGTCTAGATATAAGGCCAAGCTCCTGGAGCTCAGAGCTCTGGAGGGAGCTGAGAATAAACTGTGGGAGGGAAGATGCACATAGCTTCAGATACCTCAGAAGGTGCTGTCTGCCTGACCTTCTTAGTGTAGAAGAATTTGGAGCTCAGCTCCTGCTTGGTGGAAACTAAAAGAGCATCCACAGATAAGTAAGTCCATTTCCTTGCTGCTCAGGAAAATACCCAGATCTGCAGAGGAGCAAGACCTGCCCAAGCCACAAGGAGAGGTAAGGAGAGGGAGGTACCAGGACTGCAGAGAAAGTTTAGAATCACATTTATTTGTCAGAAGGTCATTCTTACTGGCCTTTTCGTTCACACCCCTGTTACTAAAATTGCAGCATTGTCTTTCAAAACAGCCCCTTGAATGCTGCAGCATCCTTTACTGTATGGTGGCTCAAAGCTGTCTCTGGGACTACCCAGGTTGCTCCAGTGTTGGCTATCAGGAAGCATTCTCCTCTGCCCAACCCTCAACAAGAACTCATTCGTTCAAAAGTAATTTCCTGAGCATCCCTCCTGTCTGAAGGATGCAGACACAGAGGAATAAGATGCTGTCCATGATCTTGAGGAGTTCACAGTCCAGCAATGGAGGCAAACATGGGGGACAGCTTCACCCTGATGGCAATAGGTGGAAAGACATTTGTGGGGTTTCTAACAACCAAAGAAATCTTTATAGAGTTAGAGAAACGGAGGCAGTTGGTCTAAAGAAGCTTGTCTGGAATGCTCAAGTCAAAATGAGAAAGCTGAGAAAACACAGAGTGCCCTCTTAGGTGACTTGAGACTCTCTCTTAATGCCACCCATAGTTTTCCCTTCTCCTCCAAGGCCCCAGGTAGAATTTTCCCTTCTCCTCCAAGGCTCCAGGTACACAGGCCCCCTGAAGCCATGTCACATGACTAGGCGTGGCCAATGGGTCAATAAGGTGCAAGCAGAAGTGACTGGTGGCACCTGCAGTTGGCATCTCCAGTGTCCACTCTGCACGCTCCCCACTTCCTGCTGCAACGCTGAGCAATAATGCTCCTAATGGTGGCGGCCCCACCAGCTTGGGCCCTAAAGGTAGGACAAGTGTGTGAGCCCTCACCTGCTCCATGACAGTTACATAGGGAAAGAAAGAAATAAACTTTTATTGGTTACAGTCACTGAGATTTGGGTTTTCCTTGAAGCATAATCTAGTGTGCCCTGACTGATACCACCCAACCCCAAATGACCTAACTCACAAAGTCTACAATTTAACCCCTAGAAATTTCTTTTTTCAGGGTAAAGATGGATACATTTTATTGTATTAGTCAGGTGTAGCTAGTTTAGTCAACAACAAAAATTCCCTAAGCTAAGATGGATTTATTTGGTGCTCAGATCAGAGTCAGATTTGAGTCATGTGGCTGTGCTCTATATTGTACCTCTGCCATCAGGACACATAGCCTGCAAGGCTGCTGTAACAGGAGAAAAGGGAGGCAGCAGATTGACTTGTAACTGACAAAAGCCACTCTGCTCACAGTCCATTGGCCAGAAGTAAACACATGGCCCCATACTGGATCTGGGATGGTCAGTCTTAGTGTCAACTTGAATGAGCCACGAGATGCCCAGATTAAACATTTGTTCGGGGTTTGTCTGTGAGGGTGTTTTAGGATGAGATTAGCATTTGAATCAGCAGACTCAGTGAAGTAGATGGCCCTCCCCAGTGTGGGTGGTCACCATCCAGTCCATCGACAGCCTGCATAGAGCAAGGTAGAGGAATGGGGAACTTCCCCCCATTTTTACAGCATTACTGCTTGAGCTGCAACATCACATCTCACCTTCTCCTGCCCTCAGAATGGGATTGACATCATTGGCTCCCCTGGTTCCAGGCCTTTGGACTGAAACTGGATTATACCATGGGATCCACTGAGTCTTCAGCTTTCACATGGCAGATCATGGGACTTCTCAGCCTCCGTAATCACATGAGCCAATTTCTCATAATAAACCTTTCTTCTCTCTCTCTCCATATATATGCGTGTGTGTGTGTGCGTGTGTGTGTGTGTGTGTGTGTGTATTAGGTCCCTCTCCTGTGGACCCAGAGCATGATCAGTTTCCATACTGCCCCTGCAGACAGCAGGTAGGAGGTATTCTTGGGCATTTGTCATGCTGAACTAAATGCCTTTTACCTGTGTAACCTCCAGAAAGTCCTATAACCTCTCTATGTCTCTGTTCCTATATCTGTAAAATGAGAATAATACTGCCATCAATCTGACAGGATTGTTATGAGGAATCAATACATTAATATATAGGAAGCATTTAGAAGTCCCTGACATGGCCTGGCGCGGTGGCTCACGCCTATAATCCCAGCACTTTGGAAGGCCAAGTCACATGGATCATGAGGTCAGGAGTTCAAGACCAGCCTGGCCAAGGTGGTGAAACCTCGCCTCTACTAAAAATACAAAAATTAGCCAGGAATGGTGTCAGGGACCTGTAATCCCAGCTACTCAGGAGGCTGAGGCAGATGAGGCAGATAATTGCTTGAACCCGGGAGGCAGAGGTTGCAGTGAGCCAAGATCGCACCACTGCACTCCAGCCTGGGTGACAGAGTGAGACTCCGTCTAAAAAAAAAAAAAAAAAAAGTTCCTGGCACAAATTATACAAGTGCTAGCTATTATTTTTATTATCATTATTTACTATTATCTACCTATCTCCCGCCAAACCCTGTATTAACCACGGTCTGGCTAGTGTGAGTTACATAGGTGTACTACCCTACCCTGCATCCATCATTTGTTTACTGTACAAAAATTACTTCATATCCCACCCTACTTAAAAATGTGCTACTGAAGTCAAGCTAAGGGTATGAAAAAAATGTGCCGGTGGACATTCATGCAAGTAAAACAGTCGTTTATGATGATCTAAGCTCAGAACCTAGCTACATGTTACATAGACACTCAGACGGGCTTTTGTGCACACTGTTAATATTTCCTAAATGTTCTAGGAAGCAACTACAGTGTAAAGTGAGAGAAGCTTGTGCTTTGTTTGGTCTGGAGTTCTTTCAAGAGTCACTTGCTGTTTGGGAAAATTACAACACTCTCAGCAATTCTACTCATAGTCTCTGAATCACCAGCAAAACACACCCAAGTTGGTCTGTGTTTGTAAGTGTGCATTCACAGTGGTTCCTTATTTATAGGTGTTGGGAATCTGATTGTTTCATCATGTCTTCCAGTGTGGTCATGCCCAAGCACTTGCATATTTAGAAATATACTACAAATCATTTTTATTCCATTTCTCCTTTATATGTAAAAGCACATCATATCTATTGTCTTAAAATTACATATGTAAGGAGATCATAGGATCTATAATTTGGATTCAGATAGTAAAGAATATCTACTTTACAAAGGGGAATGGAGTCATGAGTTTTAGTTCTTTTCTAGGAAATAAATGGGTCAGAAAGAGGAAGCTTGCACTGGCAGAGGGTGTGGTGGAATTCCAGGTATGTAAACAGCATTTAGAGAAGTTACCCTATGCTCCTCTATCATTCTTCCCTAGCCTTCTGAACTGTATTTTCTTCCAGCTTCTAAGACACAGGCAGTATCTATGCATCTTTGCCTTTTAAATTATCTAGAAACAATTACGTTTCTTGGTCCTTGTATCCCAATGGGTTTGGGTTTTTTTGTTTTTTTTTAGAAGAAACAGCACTGGGTTAGGAGACAGAGGACCTCAGTTTGAGTCTTCTGCTGGTGACCTCGGGACACTGCACTTGTCTGGGCCTCTGTTTCCTCATCTGCAAAAGTGAGAGTAATCACCTCATTTCTGAGCGGGGAGTGTTTTGAGCTCTGTAAGGGGCCACGGGAAAACAAGGCAGCAGGCCCAGGAGGGCCAAGACCACAGCCCCTGGAAATAAATCAGGCTCACTGCAGAGCAAGGCGTGCTGGAAGGAGCTCAGACTAGCTCTGCCCCACAGCAGGCCCTGGGACTCAGGTCTGCTCTCTGAGCCTCAGTTTCCCCATCTGCAAA
The DNA here is from genome assembly GCF_000001405.40 of Homo sapiens. Lineage (NCBI taxonomy): Eukaryota > Metazoa > Chordata > Mammalia > Primates > Hominidae > Homo > Homo sapiens. The sequence continues at coordinate 133,342,164 of NC_000008.11, forward strand.
GCAGGCACAGGGGCAGAACTAACTAGATGAACTCTAAGATTCCTTTGCCCACAGAAGCCCTGTAAAATTAATTAAAGGTAGATTTGTCCATGGAAAGGAGAAATATATTTATTCAGAAGAGATAGTTTCTGTGATGGTTTAATTTTGTGTCAACTTGACTGGGCCAACGGGTTAATGCTCTGATTCACCAATTTTTTCCAGGTGTATCTGTGCAGATGTTTCTGGATGAGACTAGCATTCAAGTGGGGGAACTTAGTAAAGCAGATGGCCCTTCCCAGTGTGGGTGGAAACCATCCAATCCATCGAGGGGCTGAATAGAACAAAAAGGCAGAGGAAGGAGGGAAAGATTCATCCCTTTTGCTTCCTGCATGCCTGGTTGAGCTGGGGCATCTCATCTTCTCTTGCCCTTGGACCGGGACTTATAGCGTCAAATTCCCTGGTTGTCAGGCCTTTGGATTCAGGCTGGAATTACAGCACTCACTTTCCTGGGTCTCCAGCTGGTGGATAGAAGATGGTGAGAATTCTCAGCCTCCACAACCACATGAGTCAATTCCTCACAATCTTTTCATTAATTTATATCTATATCTATATATCTATATGTCTTTCCTATTGGTTCTGTTTTTTTGGAGAGCCATAATACCTTCTATTCTAATGATGGAAAGATGTTAAGCCCCAGTTGTTCCACATGTCTGGTAATTGCATTGGAAGAAACAGTCTCCTAGTGGAAGGTGACGGTGGTCATTTCCACATACCGTGGAAGCTCTCAGACAAGGGACATTGTATCTGAAACACAGGCAAAGGGCTGTCACTCATACCCTGGGTTAGCACCAGAGACATACATTCTCTCATTTGACTCACATCTGTTCTCTCTAACCATGCTCCGTGCTGGATGCACCACTTAGGCCACTCTAGGTCAACAAAAGAAGCGGGTACAGAGAAAAGCTGAGCCCAGGCTCTGTGCTAACTGTGATGACTGAGGTAGCTCAGACAACTATAGGAAGGAGTACAGAGCAGAGTCACCTAACCTAGCCAGGGAACGTAGGTGTCTGGGGAAATGCCAAGGAGGCACAATACTTCTAGATAAAGAGAAAGTTTGGAAAGCATGGTAGTTCCAGGCAGTGGGAACAGCCTGTGCAAAAGCATGGAAGCATGAGAAAATGCGGTGGGTTTTAGGAATGATTAATAATCATATCTGTTGGGCATAAAACAGGGGATTTGGAAAATCTAGAATTGAGGCTGATTGAGTAGATAGAGGCTGGCCAGGAAGGCCCTTGTATACTCTCATGAGTAGTCGTGATTTGCCTTTAGGCAATTGGGAGCCATTGAGGAATTAGAAACAGGAGGTTGACATAATCAGATCTGTATTTTCAAAAGACCTTGATGTCTTCCACTATGTGTGGAAACACCAAGTCAGGGAGAAAATGCGAGGCAGAATGAAAACTGAACCACGACTGTGTCTATGGGAGTCAATGCAAGACTGATCTGAAAGATACTATAGGAGGAAGAAGAGAAAAGGGAGATCAGAGGGCAGCCTGGGTGGCTGCTATCAACAAGTCCTTGGGCAGGGAATATTGCCCAGACACGTAGAGGATAAATGTAAGGCATTTGAGATATAAGATGATGATGGGCAATTGATGTAGGACAATGTCACATTAGTCTTTGTGTCAATCCTGAAAGTTGGGGATGTTGGATTTTCAGAGAGAGAAAGTGACTTGCCCAAGTTCACACCTCCAGGAATCCAGCTATGATTACAAGTGCCCTATATTAACTGGGACCTTGAATGACAGAAGTTTGAGAAGCCCTACCAGAAGCTCTCAGTGGCCTGCTGCTGTGTCATTGAAATGTATTTCAGTGTCTAAGAGAAACTGCATTGTCCTCCCGGCAGCCCTGGACTGGACCCTGTAATATCATGAGCTACTCTGGAAGAGGAGAGACAAAGTTCACTGCTCTGAGCAGCAGGGTCTTTGGTTGCCATGTGACTGAAGATGGGTACAGATTTTTTTTTGTAAACGTAATAAAAATCAAAAATAATAAAACGAGGTGTGATTTCTTCCATGAAAAACCATAAAATCTCTCTCATAGTCTCCCAGTCTGAATGCCTCCTTCCTTCTCTCTCCCCTTTGGCTCATGAATTTCTCATTCCTGCCAAATAGGTCGGTTGAGTTGGAAACATTAATTGTTTGCTCTAGTGGATGCCAAGGTTCCTGCCTGGCCTTCCTCATCTGACCCAACTTCATGTGCCTTTCAAAGCCCAGCTTAGATAGCCCCTTTTCTTGGACCCTCCCTGCTGCCCAGCCATGCCCCCACTGCACACATGCAGCTAGGTGAGGTCAGTCACTGCCTCTTGAGCCCTCCTCAGCTCTGGGGAGACCCTCCTCCTCTCAGCACCTGCTCCCATGGCCTTCCCCCTTAGACTCTGAGGATCCTGTCCTGGAAGTGGGGGCCTTGTCTTCTCTGCTTTCATATCTTCCTTCCTAAAATGACTGCCACCAAAATGCTGAATCAATGGACAAATGGATGAATAAATGAGTGGATTCAGAAGATGCTAGTGAGGTGAACTGTCATGAACACACTATCTCTGAGACATTAAAAATGTTTCATTAAGTTATTTTTATAAAACACACATACCATACACCATGGAATACTATGCAGCCATAAAAAATGATGAGTTCATGTCCTTTGTAGGGACATGGATGAAGCTGGAAACCATCATTCTCAGCAAACTATCTCAAGGACAAAAAACCAAACACCGCATGTTCTCACTCATAGGTGGGAATTGAACAATGAGAACACATGGACACAGGAAGGGGAACATCACACACCGGGGCCTGTTGTGGGGTGGGGGGAGGGGGAGGGATAGCATTAGGAGATATACCTAATGTTAAATGATGAGTTAATGGGTGCAGCACACCAACATGGCACATGTATACATATGTAACTAACCAGCACGTTGTGTACATGTACCCTAAAACTTAAAGTATAATAAAACAAACAAAAAACAACAACAACAAAACACACATACCAAGCCCAAAATATCCTTACAGTGCCCAAGGTTGTAAAATGAAAAGTGAGTCTTCTTTCCAGCTCCCAGGATCACTCTGCAGAAGGTGCTGCCCACAGGCGTCTTCTTCTGTTTTGAGACATTTCCCTTTTACATTCTTTACACAACTGGAGGCATGCTGCACAAACTGTTCAAATAAAAGAAATAAAATAAAAAGAAATCTTTTCGTTTCTTTTAACAATATCATGGAGATCGTTCCACACCATTTTCTGTTCAGAGTTATGGAGTTCCTTTTTACGTATGTATAATAGTTTATTTGGCCAAGCTTCTATTGGAAGACAAGGATGACATGCCAATTAATATTCTCAACTCCAGGGCTTCTTAGCCTTCATCCTCCCTAGCATTAGGTACTCTTTTATTCATTTTGGACCTTGCTGGTGACTTCTGGATGAAAGAGATGGTGTTGTCAGTCAATGTGCATTCAACTGTTCTATTTGCTTTGTGTTTACTTAATAATTAATGTTTTTAAATACTTTTGCCAACCACGGTGAAAATACTTCAGAGACAGGGACAATATCATACACAATTACTGCTCTCACGTGGCACTAAATACATGTCTGAAATGAATGGGTAAATGAATATCTGGGTGCTCAAACCTGGATGATAAGAGTTGGGAAGGGTTGGCAAATATTTTCTGAAGCAAGGTCAGTGGCTTAAAAGCCCAATTGATTAAGATATTTCCTGCATTATATTCCACCAAATCAATGAAACAATTCATTTAATCCACTTTCTATTAATGGCTGGTTAACTTCCTTTCAATCCTTTACTATTATAAACAATGCTGTGTACTTTTCCGAGTATTTTCCTATGAAATAGCTCTAGAAAGTCCTAAATGACAAATTGCTGAATCAAAACATTCACTGTTTTTAGAAGTTTTTGATATATATATGATTGATTTTTTCCTCTAGAAGATTTGCAGATATTTTCACTCCAACAGGGACCTCTGAATCTTTGCCATACCTTGTTCCATCCTTGAGCAGGGAAAAATGTGAAATGTAGACATGTGTTTCCCCAATTATTAGTTCTGTCGAGCATACTTTTACATGCGTGTTGCCATTTGTATTTCTTATGTGAATTATTTGTTCATTTCCATGGCCCATTTTTCCACTGGGATTTTGCCTTAGTTCTTTCCTGGCAGAATGTCACTGTGGGGTTTCCAATGAACCACGTCCCCTGGTGTGTGTGCCCTTGTTCCATTCCCCCTTGAATCTGGCCAGGCTGCTTGGGTGACCCACTCTAACTGACAGAAAGTGGCAGATGTAACATTGGGACAGTTTCAGGGCTAAGCCTTCAGAAAGCCTGGTAGCATCTGCCTTTGCTCTGTTGGAAGCCAGCAGCCATATACCAAGCCCAGCTACCTTCACACCCCCAGACTGTGAGAAGTCCCAAGCAGCCACATGGAGAAACCACGAGGGAGAATGCTGACGTCCCAGTCAATAGCCTTGCCTGAACTCCCAGCCAGCCACGTGTGTGAGCCATCTCAGAGGAGGGTCCCCCAGCCTCCCTTAGCCACCTGAGGTGCCACTCCCTGTCCAAATTGTAGAATCAAGAGCAAATAAGTAAAACAACTGTCATTTCAAGCCACTAGTTCGGGGTAGTTTGTTACACACCAAACTACCATTAAAAAACCAAAACACTTACATTGTGTAAGAATTCTACAGATTAAGATTTGTGTTAACTGTCAGAAGTTAACTATCATGGTTAGATATCAAGGTGAGATCCAAGAAAGATTCATACAGTACATTCTGTGCGTGATGCACTGTAAGTCTCTTTTAACCTGGAGGCATGTCTCCAGCCTGCAGCTTGATTGTTTTGTATTTTTGTCCTGGTGGAGAGAAGCCAGAAGTCTTGAAGCATGTCTCCTCTAGAATCGTCTGCCGCCTCCTCAACCACTTGCAGTTGGTTTCCAGCTGGGCTCGGACATGGTCATTTTCAGAGCCAGCTCTGGCCTGTGGTATGTCTTTATCAGCAGCCCATCTGCAAGCCACGATGAGAGGCCTCAGAAGAAAGTCACCCTGCCAAAGCCTTCATTTCAAAGTCCAGCCCCCAGAATTGTGAGAAAATAAATAAATTTCTGTTGTTTAGTTCTGTGGTACTTTCTCACGGCAGCACAAGCAAACTAATATAGCTGATAATCCTTAATGTACACCCAGTATGTAGGAATCCTTATCATTAAATATTACAGGTGAAGGAGGTGAGGTTAGAACAGATTAAGTCACCTGTCCAAGGCCATCTGATATGGTTTGGCTGTGTCCTCACCCAAACCTCATCTTGAATTCCCATGTGTTGGGGCAGGGACCTGGTGGGAGGTAATTGAATCATGGAGGCGAGTTTTTCCTGCGCTGTTCTTGTGACAGTGAATAAATCTCATGAGATCTCATGGTTTTAAAAAGGGGAGTTTGCCTGCACAAGCTCTCTTTGCCTGTCACCATCCATGTAAAATGTGACTTGCTCCTCCTTGCCTTCCGCCATGATTGTGAGGCCTCCCCAGCCATGTGGAACTATAAGTCCATTAAACCTCTTTCTTTTGTAAATTGCCCAGTCTCAGGTATGTCTTTATCAGCAGCCCATCTGCAAGCCACGATGAGAGGCCTCAGAAGAAGGTCACCCTGCCAAAGCCTTCATTTTGGACTTCCAGCCTCCAGAATTGTGAGAAAATAAACAAATTTCTGTTGTTTAGGTCTGTGTTATGTCTTACGGCAGCACAAGCAAACTAATATAGCAGTTAATCTGTGACACATTCCCAGCGTTTAGGAATCCTTATCATTAAACATTACAGGTGAAGAAGGTGAGGTTAGAACAGATTAAGTCACCTGTCCAAGGTCATCCTATTAGAAAATGGCAGAGCAGACGCTCAGACCAAAAACTGTCTTATGTCAAACTCCCACACCAAACTGTCCTCCAAAAAATGTCAACAGAAACACCAACATACTCAGAATGTTGTATGGACTGGGAATGGTATAAGATTCCTGCCCTCTGCCCCACTTTCTTGTGAAATTTTCTCCAGACCTGAGAGGACCAATAAATGACCCCTCCCTCACTCAACACTTCTGTCCTCTCTGGGCCACATATATTGGGGTTAAGAACATGGAATTTGGAGTTAAACTGGCCAGGATCTGAGCTCCTGGTGACTTAGCCATGGGTTTGCTGTGTGAAGCTGGGTGTGTTATTTAACCTCTCTGAGCCTCATTTTCCTCATGGAGAAGATTCATTTGCTCTCAACCTTGTGAAGTAACTGTGGGAACTCAGGAGACAAAAGCTGTAGCTCATGGCCCAGAGCTTGGCCCCAAGGGGGACCCAGTAACTCAGAAGACTCAGGGCAGGAGCCCCAGGGCAGCTCTTCTCTCTGGGCTGGCCTCAGCAGCATCCCCCTCTCCCCTAAGAGGTATCTTGGCCACCAAGGGGCTGAGTCTCACTGGGCTGTGTATCTTCAGAGCACAGCTCAGTGCCTGGCTCCTAGTAGACCCTTGGGAAATATGGGTTGTACAAATTCAAGTGGAAAGAGTAAATAGAAAAACAAATCTGATTGGAAACTTCTGTGATGCTGTTTGTGCTTTTAGATATAATCTCCTGGAATCCTCTTATTATTTTAGTAATTTAGAATTTTATTAAGCTCCTTAAGAAGATGCCAGTCGACCTTGTGGTACTACAGGGTGCTGGCCCATTCCAGAGCTGAGCTTCAAAGTGGGTCGGTGGCCTAGGTATAGTATTCTCTCTCATGGGATCTGAACTCTAGGTCTTGTGATTCACACAAACATATGCGGGGTGGCCCTCAGATGTAATTTAAGGAACCTCTCCAAGGGACAGGGCCAACTCTGGCTGGAAGTGCCATAAGTCCACTAGTAGGGTGGGCAGAAAGAAAAGACATGTGGGTGTGAAAAGACATGTGTGTGTGATGTTCCTCTCCCACCACGGGAAGCATCCAGGGTGCCAAGGCTGGCCCACACCACCTCTGTGACCTCCCTTCCCTACCCTGCCAACATCCAGTCTACTCAACACTATATCGTGCATTTGAAGCCCGGCAATCGTTTTCTAGGGCACGACTTAGAAACTGGGACATAGATCACTATTGATTGGTGAAGACCAAGAGCATTTCCTCACAGGGCAGAAAAGGTCATTGGCAATTCATTTATTCATTCACCCATGCATTCACTCACTCAAGAAATGCTCTGATCAAGTGCTTGCTGACCTGGGGGTTGGAAAATAAGTGAGACCTGGTCTCTGCCCTCTAGACACTTCTGGCCAAACACAAACAAGCATGACGCTAAATGCCCACAGTGGTGTGTGCTTTGCAGAGCCAGGTATGGCACTGGGGGAATAAGGGGTCAGCATCTTAACCAACCTAGTGTGAGGGAAGGGAAGGAAGGGGGCAGGGGGACAGGATGGTCTAATTAATAGAAGTGCTGGTCTTTAGGTTCCTGCTCATGAAAATACAGCATATACACCATCATCTTTATTCTCCTAAGAACTCCAACAAGATTTAATTCTCAGCCCTCATTTTACAGACAGAGTATCAAGGTTGACAGAGGTGGGGTAATTTTTCCTAACAAGAAAATGATGCAGATGGGATCTGCACCCAGATGCCTGATGCTGAGTCCAGCCACTACCATCAGACAATCAGGAAGGGGCAGATGCAACTAAGACAGAAACTCAAAAGCTGAGAAGGGGAAGAGCAGCCCATCAGAGCTGCAGTTAGCATGGCAGAGCAGGGGAAAGGGTGAGATATGGTAGGGCAGAGGGGGAGGATTGAGACCTAAGGGCTCTCGCCTGGAGCCTCCATTAGCTCAGGGTGGGGCAATGCCCAGAGAAGTGAAGGGAATTGTCAAAGATGCATGAACCCAGGGGCAGAGCAAGAATTTTGACCCAGCATTCTCTGCATGAGAACCTGCTGTTCTTGGCTGGGTGTGCTGGCTCATGCCTGAAATCCCAGCACTTTGGGAGGCTGAGGCAGGTGGATAACTTAAGGCCAGGAGTCTGAGGCCAGCCTGACCAACATGGTGAAACCCTGTATCTACTAAAAATGCAAAAAATTAGTCGGGTGTGGTGTGGTGGCACACACCTGACACATGGAAGGCTGAGGCATGAGAATCATTTGAACCTGGGAGGCGGAGGTTGCAGTGAGCCAAGGTTGCGCCACTGCACCCCAGCCTGGGTTACAAAGCAAGACTCTGTCTCAAAAACAAAACAAACAAACAAGCAAAAAACTGCTGCTCTTTCCTCTGCAGGGGCTGCCTGGCCAGCCCTGGTCAACCTTGGGCCTGAGAGGAGCCAAGGTCAGCTGGGCAGTGAGGTGGGGGATATGGGAGGGAAAGAACCAGTATCTGCTTTTTTTCTCTTCTAGTTAAATAAAAGCTCAAATAACAAAGGTGCTACCTAAGCCCTAAGCCCTCGTGCGCACAAGGCCATATCCAGATGGATTCGCTAGGCTGGTTGGTCGAACTCCTCTGGAGACGGGGCCAAAGCTGGCAAATATTTAACCAGGGAGGGGACGGGTAGGTCCCATGCTTCCCCAGACCTGCACGACTCAGCCCTAGCGATGACCCCAGGTACTTGGAAAAAGTGCTGTGTGAGATTTCTGCCTGAATCTGCCTCCCTGTCCCCTACCACTGTGGTCTGGGGGTGTCTCCAAGCAGCTGCAAGCCTGAAAAGTGCAGGATCCATCTTTTGCTGGAAAGAAAACTTCTCCAGACCCTCAGCACTGAACAGCTGAGGTGAAGAAATCTTCTACAATCAGGGCATAAACGCTTAGAGGGAAGGTTTATTGTCTCTTCTTTACAGATGGGGAAACTGAGGCCCAGAGAAGGGAAACCCTTGCCTAGTGTCACCATAGCAGAATAGGGATGTAAACTCAGTCTCCTGACAGCCAGTTGTGGGCTTTATCCTCCCCAGCTTAGTCTGCCCGGGCTGCCATAAACAAATACCACAGACTGGGTGGCTTAAAGAACAGGCACTCATTTCTCACAAGTTTGGGGGCTGGGAAGTCCAAGATCAAGGCACTGGCAGATCTGGTGTCTGATGAGGGCTCGCGTCTCAGTTTGCATGTGGCCACTTTCTTGCTGTGTCCTCACATGAAGGAGACAGAGATTTTGTGTCTCTTCCTCTTCTTAAAAGGACAGTTACATCACAAGGGTCCCAGCCTCATGGCCTCCTCTAATCCTAATTGCCTCTCAAACGCCTCGCCTCCAAACACCGTCACATTGAGATTCAGGCTTTAACCTACAAATCTGGAGGAGGCACATTCAGTCCATTGCACTCCCCAAGACTGGGTTATACCTTGTGCGTCTTTGGTTCTTCACCCAACTGCAAAATCTCCATCCCACCCCTCCCACTCTATTGTCAATATCAGTCTGTCTCCTCCCTGGGTCCTGAGCACACTCCTCAGGGGCTCAGGAACCTCTTCATCTCTCTCTGCAACTCTGGAGCTGGTTCAGTGCCTGGCCTAAGGCGGGTGCTAAGGGAATATTTATTAAATCTATTTAACTTTCTCTCTTAATGCATTCCACATCCTGCTTCCAGAGTTATCTTTCTGTTTGTGTACAGGAGGGTAAGGTAGGTAGAGGGTTCAGCCCATGCAAAGGCCTCATGGCAGGAGTGTTCATAGTCAGTACTAGGAACTTGGAGGAGGCCAGTGTGTAGCTGGAGCAGAGACCAAAGGGAAAGTCTCAGGGCAGTGTGTTAGTCCACTCAGGTTGCTGTAACAAAGTACCACAGACTGGGGGCTTAAGCAACAGACACTTACTTTCTCACAGTCCTGGAGGCTGGAAGTCTGAGTCCAAGGTGTCAGCAGGACTGGTTTCTTCTGAGACCTGTCTCTTTGGCTTGCCATCTTCTCCCTGTGCCTTGATGGGGTCTTCCCTCTGTTTGTGTGTGTCCCAGTCTCTTCTTATAAGGACAACAGTCATATTGAATTAGGTCCCACACTAGCAGCCTTATTTTATCTTAATTACCTCTTTAAAGACTCTCTCTCTAAATGCAGTCACATTCTGAGGTCCTGGGGTTTAGGACTTCAACATAGGAGTTTCTGGGAGACACAGTTTATCCCATAACAGGCAGGGCCTTGGAAGGCTTTGCAGAGCCCCAGGGAGTTTGGACCTTATTCCAAGTTGCTGCGAGACCAGCAGAAGCCTTTCAGCCAAAAGATAAAGTACCAGATTTGCTTTTGAAAAAGATCCCCATGGCTGTTGTGTGGTGATTCAGCTTCCAGGGGGTTAAGGGTTGAAACAAAGAAGAGGCCCTTGGAGTGGCCCAGTGGACAGATGATGGTAGCCAGACCAGGGCAGGTTGGGGAAGGTGGGGAGAAGTGGCTGGAGCGGGGTAAGTTTAGAGATAGAAATGACAGTCCTGCTGACAAGTGGATGGATGGAGGATTTGAGAGACAGAAGACATAAAGGAAAACTGGATTCAAATCTTGCTCAGCCTCATGGTGGTGAGGTGACTTTGGGGAGGTGATTTCATGTCTCTGGGGTCCTGCTGAGATGTCTGTAAAATCTGAATCAGGAGGCACAGCTCACTGGCAGACGGGGAAGTAATGTGTGGAAGGTGTTCCGTGGAGGCGCATTCATGGGTAGTGATGCTGAGCATCTGATATATGCCCCCCAGGCCAGACACTGGGCCCGACATCCACGTTGGGGGTGATCCACTCCCTGTAGGGGTATCTCCCGTGCCTCCCAGGGAGTCCATTCCAACACCTTGATGCTCTGTTAGATTTTCAGCAATGTCCACCCTTATTTCTCAGTTTTATCTCTCTGAGTCACCAAAGCAAGTCCACATCACACCTGTCCCTTCGGGTATGGGAGCCCCCTGTTGTATTCCTGTCCTGTGGCAGGATACCATGGAGTCAGAGATTTGGAGATTTGTATTTGCTTTTTTTTTTTTTTTTTTTTTTGAGACAGGGTCTTGCTGTGTTGTCCAGGCTACAGCCTCAACCTCCGGAAGTCAAGCTATCCTCCCAACTCAGCCTCTCGAATAGCTGGGACTACAGGTGTGCACCACTGAACCCAGCTAATTTTTCTATTTTATGTAGAGTCGGGTTTTCTCCATGCTGCCAAGGCTGGTCTTGAGCCCCTGGGTTCAAGCAATCCTCCCACCTCAGCTTCCCAAAGTGCTGGGATTCTAGGCGTGAGCCACCATGCCTGGCCTGGAGGTTTGAATCCCAGCCCTGGCTCTTAGACACTGTGTGATCCTGGCTGGTCACATCACCTCTTGGGGTCCTGCTTTCCTCAGACATAAGGTAAGCATAATCATAATCGAATCACAGGCTGCCGTGAAGAATAAACAAGATGAGCTCATACAACGGTCAGGACCCAATAAAGGGCAACAATTTTAACATCAAAATCTATTTGTGAGAAAATAAAAGTTACTTAAACTTTGTGTGGGAGGCTTCTTGCAAGCTTTAGGATGGGGAAAAACAGATATGGTGGATCTCACAGTTTTATTTCCTGGACCATGCCTATGCCACCACTGAAGGCATTGGCTGGATCATTGGTTGTGGTTATTATCTTTGCTGGGGTCCTAGTCATCTCCTCCCTGAGCACACTCTTCATGTGACCAGCATCTCAGTGCTTCTGTCCCACTCTTGTTACCGTGAGTTATGGCTGTCATCGACACCACCCTACAGCCCTTCAGAACCACTTCCGCCTGACGCCCACTCACTTCCTGCCGCCCTCAGCCAAGCATCATGGCCGCCCAGAACAGACTGGATGGGGATCAGGCTCTGCTTGGCCCACGGGCTTCTGCTGAGAGGAAACTCTCTGCCAACTGGGACATACTAGGGAAGGGGCTGAACTCTAGGTGGTCCCTACCCCACCTTACCAACCACACACCCCTTATGTCTTCCATTCCACTCTGCCTTCCCTTCCCCCCACCCCATAAGAGGCCCTTCCAGACCCACTCACCTTTTACACAGGAAATGACCAACAAGACCACCAAGGCCTGCATATCCCAGAGAGGGGCCTTAGGAGGATGCAGTTGGGGTTCCCCAACATCATTTTTGAGGCACATGCATAAGGTGTTAAATAAAATCAAGCCACAGCAGACAAAATTTCATCCTAGTTCCTTGCATCCTTCTAGTTACATCGAGGAGCAGGCCTCAGTTTCGCACCAGGGCAGATGCTAACACCTCCTCTGCTCTCCTTTTAACCAGGAAAGAGCAGCCTCTGGGCTGGGCACCTCCCGCAGCAGCTAGACCTAGCTGGAAGTTAATATCTTGTTTGCTTTTGATTGTGTTTATTTTTACCCAGGCCTTTGATTTATGACCAGCCAAACTGCTTCTCCACTCAGAACAGCTATACACTGGTTATCCTTTAATTTTTATATTTCAATTTATACAAAGGGATCCATTAAATTTTCAAAAATATAGAGGAATGAGTTTTACAAAGTGCACTTGGATTATGTCAAAAATCATAATTGTGGTACACAAAAAACTACCATTTGGGAAACATTACTTGGACACAAACAGGAATCCAGGCAGGGAGAAAGTGAGGCCCTGGAAGGGGCTTCCTCTCAGCTAATACTCAGTGGAACTGGGCCGATGGAGGGAGTCACATTTGTTATGGGCTCCCTACGCACTAGCGTTGTACACAACCAGTTACTCTACACAAGCAGCCTGTGAGATGCTATTTTCCCTGCTATGGTTCTGCAAACTGGGTTTCAAAGAGGTTGGGTGACTTTTCCAAAGTCACACAGCTAATTGAGGTACAGGCAAGACCAGAGGCCTTGTTTCCTGGGCATATGTTCTTAGAAAGAACTGTAGCCTAAACCCCTCACCCCAAACCCCCCTCTCCTTCCCCTGCTCATCTGGGTAGCTGAGTATATAAGGCCTGAGCTGACCTTTGTCTTGACATGAAGGGTGGAACTTCTCCTTGTACTGACCCACAACCAAATGCTGACTCACCTCCTAAACCCACAGAACTCAATTTTCTCCTACAAAAGCCACGTGCCAAGGAGTACCTACTTGGAGCTAGGGCCTCATTTATATTAAGTTGACTTTGCATACAGCCTTGTGTGTTAGCCCATTTTAGACCTCAGTATACTGAGGCCCAGACTGGTTCTATAACTTGTCAAAACTCACCCAGCTGAGAAGAAAAAGAACTGAAATTCCCACTCGCATTGGTCTGGCTCCGATGCTGACATCAGCATCAGTATCCCTGCCCTTGACCTACAATTTCAGAGAAGCCCCAGTCTTCCCTGACCCCACTATCTCTGCAGTAACCTGAGTTTCTCACCCCTAATCTCCCTCCTGGGGCTGGAAGCACTGTATTTAGCAGCATCTGTTAAAAAGGCCATGTGGACTCCCATGATGACAGTGGGCTCCTGGGAAGAGGTGGGATTGGGGATCTGAAGGAGGCAGGTAGGCCGGGCTCCTCCCATGAGAGATCCTGCCTCTGGGATGTTCATACCCTTGGCCTCAAGGGGCCAGAGCAGAGGGAAGGGTCTGGACTGGGAAATCAGAAATCTCTCTGCTGGACACTTACTCACTCCCAATGACCTTGGGCAAACTGTAGCCCCTCGGTTTACTCATCTGTAAAATGGAAAAGAGCTTCAGGAATTTTGAACTCGCAGGCATCATATGGCCCACAAGCTTGTCCTGGTGTTTTTTACAAAAGAGGAATAATTCTCATTATTTAATCTCTCTAAAGTAATGTCAGGGGGAGTCAGATAGAGGGTCTGTCTACAAAAGGTACATGTCCCTCCCTCCCTCCCTCCATTCCTTCCTTCCTTCCTTCCTTGATCCCTCTCTCCCTCCCTTGTTCTTTCCTTCTCCTTTCTTTTTTTCTCTCTCTTTATTCCTTTCTCTTCCTTTCTCTCCCTCCATTCCTCCCTCCCTCTAATGTCCCACCCTCTGTCCCTCCTCTTTTCTTTCTTTTATCTTTGCTTGTTTGTTTGTTTGTTTGTTTGTTTTGGGGGAGGGCACACTGATGCATGTATGGAAAGGAAAACTCTTCCTGTTAATATACAAAGTGAATCTGTGGCCACGGCTGCACTCCTCATTTTCATGGTCTGCTGCCTGTCCCGGGAGGCTGTGGCTCTGGACTGGAAGGGCTGGAGGTCCCCTCCCTGAGGACAGCCTCTGCAGCTGCTGGCCAAAGGCATGGCAGCCCCAAGAGTCAGCCGCCCGAGGCTGAGTCTGGAATGTCTTGTTTTGTTGTGTCATTAACACAGTGTTCATTTTTAGGGCCTGACTTGGGAACGGGTGCCAAGAGCATTCCTGAGGAGTCAGAAGGGAGGGTGTTTATTGTCAGGCTACACAAGTAACTTCCTTCAGTAATCCCTCAAGTACTCAGCAAACCTTCATTAGGCACCTACTACTGTATACCAATCACTGCACCAGGCCCAAGAGATGCAGAGAGGATCAATTAGCTATAATCCCTGTCCTTGGACAGCTCCCAGGACTGTGGGAGAGGCTGACCTATCAAGGGACAGCCCCCAGGGGTAAGAACAGTGACAGCGGAAAGCCCAGCGCACTGTAGGGTAGAGATGGTGACGCAGAGGGGTGGCCTCCGGGCTGCTTGAGTGCACTGGCCCTTTATTCTAGGGAATGTGCTAGAAGGACATAGTTACCTCTCCAAGAGGGCCTTTTGCAAAGGTATTCTTTTGTAATTCGTGATTATTTTTCCTAATTGCAAGACTCACTTATTCCTACTTTCAGAAATCTTAAATGCTATGAAATGTGTGAGTCCAACAGTAAACATTCCTCAGAGATAACCAATGTTGGCTGTGTGCATTTCTTCAGCATTTTCTTGCAGGCTTCAGCATAACTAACACTCCTGGGGGCTTACCGTGCCCCAGACCTCCTAAGAAGGCAGCATGCAACTGCTCACTAAGGTAAGTACCATCTGCGTGTCCAGCTTACACGCAGAGAAATTGAGACACACTCAGAATGAGTCACTTGGTCCAGATCACGTAGGAAGGAAATAGCAAACCAAGACTCAAACCCGGGATATCAGGCTCCCTCCAAGCCCTTAATCCTGAGAGGGAAGAAGTCAAACATGGCTGGGCATGGTGGCTCAGGCTTGTAATCCCAGCATTTTGGGAGGCTGAGGCGGAAGGATTACTTGAGACCAAGAGTTCAAGACCAGCCTGGGTAACATAGTGAGAGACACCATCTCTACAGAAAAAAATAAAAATTAGCCAGGTATGGTGGTGCATGACTGTAGTCCCAGCTGCTCAGGAGGCTAAAGTGGGAGGATTGCTTGACCCCAGCAGTTTGAGGCTGTTGTGAGCCGTGATTGTGCCACTTCACTCCAGCCTGGACAACAGAGCAAGACCCTGTCTCAAAAAAAAAAAAAAATTAGTCCAGTCACTCCCCCATCCTCACCTGGCTAGTGTAGGAGCCAAGGTATGCACCCAAGCAGTCTTATTCCATAACACTTGGACTTAACCACACTCTTTGCTGCCTTCAACCTAATGATTAAATATATATACTTACATGAAAACATTATTTACCAGCGTCTCATGGTGAATGGGACATTCTGCACTTCAAATAGAAGATCTTGTATCGCTTTCATTGTTATTACAAGCAAATCTGCCTCCTTCACTTCAAGGTCAATTTGGCAATCCAAATCTCAGCATACCATTGTTGATTTGCCCAATGTCTTCTTTATGATTTTTTGGGTGGTTTCTGATTATCTGCTCTTGCAAACAATGCTTCAACAGAGATCTCAGTAGAGGTTGCTGAGAGTTGCATGAAGACTGATTCCTAGAAAAGGGATGGCTGGGTCAGTGGTGTGCACCTGCATGCCCTGGCATACCTGCCCAGCGCCCCATGCAAAGACTTCCAGGGCTCATTTTCATCACCTAAAGAAAGAATGTCAGAGCCGGGTGGTGTTTAAAGGCTCCTCCCCACCATGGCTGGTGGCGGGATCCCATTTCACAGTTTTCATGCACTGTGCATTTTTATCTGTACTCTTAGATGGCTTTGGGAAGGTCATGATCTAAAAAGGAAAAAAAAAATCAATCATGCTATCAGCAAAAGCCACGGTGCAGTCAGCAGCTGGCATTTCCAGGAGGCTAGTCGTGGCTTGGCAGTTCTTGTGTGTAAGTTACACAGTGGTGCCTCTTCCTCCAAGCAGCCCCAGGGAGCAGAATCCCAGCTGGATTTCAGCTTCTCTGTGCCCCCATGGCCAGGTGCCCTTGTGCAGTGCACAGCCTGACCAACCTCGCACATTATTCTAGTTAGAGCTGTAAGCTGGATCCCAGCTGCCTGGACTCAAATCCAATCTTTAAAGCCTATTAACCATATGCCCTTAGACAAGCTACTTAAACTGTGTGTGTCAATTTCCTAGTGTGAAATAGAAGCTGATTATAATAATAGTGCCTCCCTTATAGGGCACAGCAGCAGCAGTGAGGAATTAAGTTAAAATATCAAAAGCCCTTAGAAGAGTACCTGGCATATAATAAACACTCCATAGATGTTTGCTACTAAGCAATTAATAATCCTACTGTGCCATTATTTAAGGAGGCCCTACTATTCCGCCCCAAGGCTTTATTTTTCTCCAAATACAAAGACTTCCTTGGGCTTTCAAGGTAGCACATTTTAATGGAAAGATGCTGGGTTTGGGAACCAGAGATAATGGAGCTGGAATCCCGGCTTCTTTCCCTTCCATCCTTGTGACTTCAAGCAACTCCCTTTGCCGATCTGATCTTTACTGTGCAGAGGTTTGTTTCTATGTTGGAGACCTAGCAGTGTCCCTGGCAAGGAACTGCACAGTGGATACTGGTTTCTCTCCCAACTCAGGGCACTAGGACTCAGCACAGGATGGAAGGTGAGGGTTTGGGTCACTCCCCAGGAGGGAGGTGGGAGGTGGAAGAATCCAGAGAGAAGCACACATTTTGTTCCCAGTGCAGCCTTGCCAAACTCTCCAAGGCCTGCCCCAGGGCCGTCCCAATGCCCAGCCCCTGGCAGGCTCCCACATGCCAGGCCAGCATTCCTGCACTTCCAACCTTGCTCATTCAAGAGCCAACACTTGCACCACCTCCTCCTGGAAGCTTAGAACCTTTCTCCAAACTAGGATTATTCCCTCCTAAGACCTCTCACATCTTTTAGCTTGTGCCTTTTTTGCAGGTGCTTTGATTCCACTTGTACTTCAACCATCTGTGAGCTACTTCTATTCTCTTTAGGAGACTGGCAACTCCCTAAAGGCAGAGGTTGGTGTAATGGGGGTGGGAGCATTGGCAGATGGTGAGATTGGGGACATTGGAGTTGAGGCTTTATCATGGACCAGTTCCAGGGTTTAGTTCTAGTCCCACCTCTCACTAAGCCAATATCCTTGGGTAAGGCACTTAACATCTCTGCTTTTCTTTTCCCTCCCTAGCATGAATTGGGGGATAATTGGCCACCATTACTGAGTGTCTACTTTGCCTTGCTCTGCACCTGTGGATCCTCCGAACAAGGAAGCTTAGTTCTTCTTCTGCCCATTTTGTAGGGGAGGAAACAGTGGAAACTCAGAGGTGCAGACATTTGCCTAAGGATATACAGAAGATAAGGAGCAGAGCTGACATCAGAACTCAAGCTTGCAAATGTGTATGCGGGCCACCATGCCACATCTGCCACCTCTCTCACAGCACTGCTGGGGGAACAGGAGAAGCATTGGAGGTGGCAGGCTTTGCCTTACTACACATGGCATATGCATTTTAAATAAGGACTTTGATCTGGAAGCAGGAGAGCATATTTATTGCCTCAACTCAGCTTGATTTGGGCTCTTCTGTCCCACAAATGACACCAACCCTCACTGGCCTGAAGACCTTGCCTGAAAGAGAAAGAGCAGTGGCATGAAGTCAGAAGAGGTGCGTTTACCTGCCAGCTTTGCCTCTGTCTGTGTTCTCTCCCTGAGCCTCAGGAATCGCACTTCAGTAATGGTTTTGCTATGAGAATTTGGAAGCAGCACGTGTAAAAACCCTAGCTCAGATTGGGTACTAGATAGACATCAGCAGTGAAGATTCACTGAGTTTGCCCCAGGGCAGGCAGTGGAACGGGTACATTAATGCATATCCCAAATCCTCACAGCCACCCAGAGGTAGATCCTGTTACTGTCATCACAGCTACCTGATCAGAAAACTGAAGTTCCAAACACAAGAACTGCATTGCGAGTGGATTTTCAACCCAGGTGAGTCGGCAGACATGTGTAAATGCTAGATTTGACCATTTAGTTCATGACACAGCACAGCCCATGAACTTGGAGTGTTTACATAAGAATTCAGAAATGCAGACTCAGGGCAGGCATTGCCTGGGTCCATGTCCTTTCCCCCTGGGCTGTCTGCCCCTGGACTGTTTATAATGTTGCTAGAGTTTACTTAATGCCAAATGAGTAACAGACTGTTCACCAGCACTTGTTTTGTGACTCTCACTTTTAAACCGAGTTGGAGTCTAACCCGATGAGGCCCGACCCAGTAAACAGCCTATGGAATGACAAACATTTCTGTTAGCCAGCAATGGCTGCATATGATGCCTCCCATTGGCTGAAACTGCCCCTTTGTAAAAGAGATGGTAGTTTGGGGATGACATAAACAAGGGTAGAAAAAGTCAATTCCTGCAAAGCTTTTTTTTTTTTTTTTCCTGAGATGTAGTCTTGCTATCTCCCAGGCTGGAGTGCAGTGGCGCGATCTTGGCTCACTGCAAGCTCCGCCTCCTGGGTTCACGCCATTCTCTTGCCTCAGCCTCCCGAGTAGCTGGGAATACAGGTGCCCGCCACCATGCCTGGCTAATTTTTTGTATTTTTAATAGAGACAGGGTTTCACCGTGTTTGCCAGGATGGTCTCGATCTCCTGACCTCGTGATCCACCCGCCTCAGCCTCCCAAAAGCTCTTTTTTTCCTCATCTTACTGTATCCATCCCTTTTATGTGGACTGGCATGTTGGAAGAACATTGCAGTGACAGGTGCCTGGGTTTGGGCTGTGTGACATCAGGCAAGTCACTTATCATCACTCAGTATTACTGTCTTCAAGAGGAATAATTACACATATCCACCTGAGTGGTGAGGAATAATAAGATAGAAAAAAGCAAAGACAGTGCTGACAGATGGGCAATGCTTGATTTATGTTAATCTTTTTCCTTTCCTCACTGTTAGGAGCAATTTTATCTGTTTCTTTTTCAGAAATGCACTTTGAAGAGACATGCGTTCGTAAGAGGTCGCTCCTGAGAATGTGACAGAAATCACTGTGCCACCTGGCTTTCTTCTTTGTGAGTCTATATCTAGGAGTGGACTAGACTGATGCTCTGTGGTATTATTCTAACCAACAGCAGGCCAGGCATGTTGGCTCATGCCTGTAATCCCAGCACTTTGGGAGGCTGAGGCGGGTGGATCACGAGGTCAGGAGATCGAGACCATCCTGGCTAACACAGTGAAATCCTGTCTCTACTAAAAATACAAAAAATTAGCTGGGTGGTGGCAGGTGCCTGTGGTCCCAGCTACTCGGGAGGCTGAGGCAGGAGAATGGCATGAACACGGGAGGCAGAGCTTGCAGTGAGCGGAGATTGCACCACTGCACTCCAGGCTGGGCAACAGAGCGAGACTCCGTCTCAAAAAAAAAAAAAAAAAAACAAAAAAACCAAACCAACAGCATTTATTGAATACCAATGTAAGTTTGGCTCGATGGAGCCAGGGGCTGGGGAGTTGAAGAAAACCTGGTACTGCAGAAAGGAGCTCACATCCCAGTTGGGGAGGCAGGAAGCTCTGGCCTGAATAAACCAGGGATTGAAGAGACAAGCACAGCCTGTGAGTATCCCCAGGGAGTTATTCCTCCAGACTGTGGGGATCTGGGGATACTTTCTGGAGGAGGTGGCGTGTTCAGAGTCCCCCAAACATGAGTGAGTCTGCTACTGACAGAGATAGGGAGAAAGGCATCCCAGGTAGAGGGAACAACAAAGGAATGGCTGTGCTATGCAATTTGTGAAACACTCATGGCGAGCAGCGGCTCTCAAACTCGAGTCAGCATTGGAATCGCCTGGTGGGTGCATTAAAACACAGACTACTGCACCCCGCGCCAGCACCAGAGTTCCCAACTTGGGCAGTCTGGAGAGCAGCCTATGAGTTTGCATTCTAACAAGTCCCCAGGTGCTGTTGCTGCTGTTGGTCCACATGGGAAGAAGACATTGTAGAGGAAGCAGATAGGTTGGATGGAGCCAAAGCATGGAGGAATGTGAGCACCCATCTGGTGCATCACTCACTGGCTATAGCCATCAATGTGTTCATTCAGTCCTTTACTGAGCAAGCAGCACCTCTGAGCCCTACTGTGTGCTAGTACAGTGATGGACTCTAGGTATACAGCGATGAATACAACAGTCTGGGTTTTGCCATATCTTTACCCTGCTGAGGCTCTCAGAGGAGGATGGATGACATTCCACGTGATGACACAGGCTGATGACCCTCTGGGCATCCAGGCACAGAAGGCAGGGGCTCTGGAGGTGAAAGTTGCCTTCACTCTCATGGCCCTTTAACGAAAGACCTTGTCTTATCCATGTTAAATTCAGTTTGGTTTAAATGTTTCTTCATACATAGTGAACTATCACCTAACTGGATGTGTAAACAGGCTATAACCAACTCTAGTACCAATCTCTGGGTTTCAGCCAATCACAGACAGCCAACTCTTCAAACCATGTTCAAAGAAGGCAAACGCCAAGCTAGAACCCATCCAGCTGTTTCTGTTCCTTACTTCTGTTTTCCATATGTCACTCTCTTTTTTCTGCCCATAAATCATCCTCGACCACGCGGTAGCCTGGAAGCATCTCTGAACCTATTCTGTTTTGGGGATTGCCCAATTCAAGAACCATTTTTCACTCAATTAAATTCTGTTACATTTAGTTTTTCTAAGGTTTTTCCTTTAACGCCCAAAACACCCTGTGGTGTTTAAGGGAAGAATTGCTGCAGAGCTGACTTTCCTAATAATGAGGGTGATTGAGTCTGTTTGTTGCAATATAGGGTCTGCTGCTCCAACTGAGACCAAAAACAATGTGATGGAAACAAAAGAGTATTTTATTTCTCTTTTCATGCAATGGTCTGGGCTTGGGAAATTCCTGGAAGAAATGTTTGTTTCATGGGGGCCCTGGCTCCTTCCCCTGTACTTCTCCACCCTCCCTGGGGTGTTGCTTCATCCATAGGGTTGGTGATGATTTATGGCCAGGTGCTGCAATGCATAACTCGTGGGCATGTTGCATAGAACACAAAGAGAGTGGTGTTCTCTGGAGCCATGCAACACAGTGCTGCCTCTGTGAGGAGAGAAACAGGAAAGGAGTGTGAAGAGGACATCCCTTCCCTTTTAGGGCTCACCCTGGAAGCTGTGCACCTCACTTCTGCTCACAAACCACAGACTAAAACCATCCTGTGGCCTCAGCTGGCTGCAATAGAGGTTGGGATGTGTCATCTTTATTCTTGGCAGTCTTGTATTCAGCTGAACCCCAGCCACTTAATGAATGCAATCTATCCTCTTTTACTTCATTCTTTTAGAGTAAGTTTTGTGTAGCCATTCTCTCTAAGATGTCCTACTCCATCGCCTTGCCTCCCTCCTTTTTTTATTGAAGAGATACAGATATTTCCTTGTGGACAATTATTTTACCCCATCAAAATTCTCTGCAAACCTTCTAGAATTATATCCATTATTCTCAATTCTAACTTTTCAGCAGAATCACTGGAGGGGTGAGGATGAAGATAGGGGAGGCTCTTAATACTGATGTTCCAGGCTTTTTGCCGGAAAAACCAATTTAATTTGTTTGTGGTAGGGTTGAAGCATCAGGAATTTTGTAAAGCCCCCACTCATTGCCCAGGTTTAGTTCTTTTCCCTTAAAGTATTAGGTTTCGGCTATTGGCCAGTGAGCTGAAAGTTGAGCCATAGTGAACAGGAGGTGTGCAAAGGTATGCATTGAAATGTTGAGTATTGGGTGCACAAAAACTGGGCCTGACATAAACACTCAGCATCCACAAGTGCTTGCCACACTGCCTCCGAAATGGAGCCTCCGTCCTACTGGCCCTCAGGTGTCAACTCTTTGATAATTGATCACCAAGTGTACTGTGAAGATGCAATCCACAGCAAGTTTCTCTGTAGTGGGAGGGGAAGGAAGATAGGTTTAAACAGCAATGTCAAAAAGAAGGGGGGAAACAAAAGATATTCTTTGGTGGTTATCTGGAGCTGTAATTTAACTTCCCTCTACAAAGGCTGTATGCCCTTAATTATAGTGGGTTTTCTGTATTTATTTATGTATGTATATGCATCCATTTAATAGTCTGTGTTTATAGGTTAATACCCCAAATGACCCTTTATTGGGATAAGACAGAATCATTCTTTGATTCCCTGCATCCCTGTTCACATACCCATTCCTCCAGATGCTGACTTGCTTGTCCCCTCTTCCTTGAAACATTCCCCTCAGGCTCCACATGCACAGTGAAGAAGCAGGCAACATGGCGTCAGCCAGGTAGAGAACCCAACTGCATAATAAAAGATTAGGGTGAGGCAGCCAGCTTCCTCGCAAGCTATGCAAACGGCACACCTAGTCCAAACCAGTTCTTCCCTCACTATGCAAATGGCATACCTGCTCCAACCAATCCTTTGTATCCTATGTAAATCAGACACCATCTCCTCAAGCTCATCTGTAAAACCTCTTGCACTTTGCCACAGACTGGAAGACCCACTCAGGAGCCCCTCTCTCTCTGCAGGAGAGAGAACTTTTCTCTTTCTTTCACTTATTAAACCTCTGCTCTTAACCTCACTCCTTGTGTGTCCACATCCTTGATTTCCTTGGCACGAGGGAACGAACCTTGGGTATTACCCCAGATGACGACGATTCTTCACCCCCACTGGTTGTGAAAGATGAAGAATGCAGCCCAGATTGCAGCTGGCAGCCACTTTGTGATCAGAGGGGAATGAGCCTGTGGATGAAGCCAACACAGTGGAGGGAAGGATGGAGACATGGAAGAAACTGGGCCTTGTTGATAGCCATGGAGATGCTGAATCAAGCCTTTCCTGAAGCCCTTTCTAACTGCCAAGATTTTCAGATCTTACACGAACAAATTCCCTTCATCATTTAGTCTGGTTGTTGTATGTATATGCTGTTTCTTATAGCTAAAACCATTGTAGCTTTTGTGAGATATTATAGTAGGTTCTGGAACATAGAAGATACATGCTCAAGTTAGCTACCATATGCCCTAGAGACTGCCAGGGTCAGAAAACCATGCATGCCACCAACACATCTGTCCCTCAGCATTTTTATATAGACAAAATCAAGTTAAAATGAATACCATGGATGGTCTTAAGTGGGCACAGAAATCCTTAGCCTTCTTCAGTATTATGGAGGGGGCTATCTAACCTTTTTTTACTTTCTTGAAGGTAGAGCTGATTGGGGTGGGCAGTCAGTGGTGCTAGTATATAAGCTTTCTGCTTTTTTTCTTTCTCTTTTTATTTTTATTACTATTATTATTATTTTTTTGGCTGCTTCTCTGAGTCACTGCCAAAGATTGTAGGACATCTTATTATTAAGATGGGGTGATTACTGAAATTAGCTCTAACTTCACATGGCTCTGCAAGAATTGGGTGAAGCGTGAACCCTGGAGATAGTCATCTCTTTCTCAAGAGTCAGCTACATGCACACTGGTCTGAATGTGATCCTTCACTTTGTCCAAGGGTAGGAAGCATTAGTCCCTTTGTAATGATGATTATTTTTGTTTGAGGGTGGGTGGGTAATTACTTTTGGTGTTCATATTCTTTTATTGAAAATGAAAATATATTTTATTTTCTGATAATGCCTTAACTTTATCAGCCTTTATTGTGAATTATTCCATTGCTATACACAGCTTGCATAATCTTTGAAATCTTGCACAAAAATACCTTGGGGTTATAAATTCAGTCACATTTGAATTGATTGTGGTGTAGATGAAGGTGAATTCAAACTGGGTCTCTGAATAGCTGTGTGGCCTTGGGAAAGTCACTTAGCTTCTCTGAGCCATTGTTCTTCCTGAGGAATGGGGAAAAGGGTTGTGTTAGGCCAAGTAATGGCCCGCAAGATCATCTGGGTCTTAAGCCCTTAAACATGTGAATGATACTTTATATGGCAAAAGGGATTTTGCAGATGTGGCCAAGCTAAGAATTTTGTGATGGAGAGATCATTCTGGATTATTCAAGTGAGCCCTAATTGTCATCATAAGTGTCCTTATAATGCAAAGGGGATTTGGCAGAGAAGAAAAGGCAATGTGACCACAGATATGGGGATCAGAGTGATGCGGCCACATGCCATAAAGTGCCAGCAGCCACAAGAAGCTGCAAGAGGCCAGGAACAGATTCTGCCCTAGACCCTCTGCAGGGAGCACAGCCCTGAAGCCATCTTGATTTTGGCACAGTGAAATTGATTTCTAAACTTCTAGCCTCCAGAACTGTGAGAGAATACATTTCTGCAGTTTTAAGCCACACAGTTTGTAGTAGTTTCTTACAGCAGCTCTAGAAAATGAATGCAAGCATCGCCTAGCACATTTAGAGTTCATGAGAGAACACCCAGCCTCCCAAAGTCTACTGCTCTGAAATAGCACCTAGAATGTGTGTCCAAAATTCAGATTCCCAGGCTCCACCCCAGAAATACAAAACCGGAATGTTTAGGGGGTAGGCCCTGGGCAGCTGCATTTTTAACAAGCTGCCAGGTGATGCATGTGATTGGGGAGCTCCAGTTCTATCATCAACATCAAGCTTGGCCCTCCCAGCAGGCCTGGGAGACAATTACCACTGAAGAACCCAGGGAAGCTGGGAGCAAAGGAAATCTCCAAGGAAGAAGGCTGGATGGGTACAATGTCTGGGCATATAAAGTTTTTATCTATATTTTCATCTGCATATGTAGAGTGAAGACACAGTGTACACGCATTAAAATAACCTAAACAACACCTGCTCTATAGAAGAAAAGGAGAGAAAATAATCCACACTTGCCACTTGAATTATGTGGGTGGTTTTGCTTGCTCTTCCTTCCCTCCATGAGAGTGTGCCCCCAGTGGGTGTGAAAAGGAGACAAGAGCCTGTTCCCTAAGTTTCCAAGTGCTCACATGGTGTGGGACCTTTCACAACACCAGTGCTGCTCCAGGATTTAGCCAAGTGTGTTTTGATAAAATGTGGCATAAACTGTTTTTGGTATGTATTGTGTATAACTGTGCAGAGCCATTGAACAGTTATGGGGGAACAAAGTGGCAAAGACCCTGTCCTTAGGGAGCACACATTCTAACAGGGGGAGCCAGGCAACACAAGAAATAAGGAACTAAACAGCTTGTTAGTTGGAAGTTAGTTCAGAAGAAAAATAAAGCAGACTAAGGGAGATCTGGTGAGTCAGGTTGAAGGGAGGTTTCAGTTATCAATTGCCACATAACAAAACCCAAATGTAATCATTTAAAACAACACCAATTTATTATTTTTTGAAATTCTGTCATCTGGGCTGGGCTCAGCTGAGTGGTTCTTCTGCTCCATGTGGAGCCTGCTGGTGCTACACCAACCGAGTGGGCATCTCCTCTTACATTTCTGGCACCTAACCTGAGATGGCTAGAACAGTTGGGGGTTCTTGGGCATCTCTTTTCAAGTGGCTTCTCCACCAGGCTAGCTAGGGCTTCCTCACAGCATGGTGGTCTCAGGAGTGGCAGATTTCTCATATGGCAGCTGGATTTCAAGAGGGAGGAAGGGGAAGCTGTCAGTGTGAGACACGGGCAGGTACAGTGTTATTTCCACCACATGTCCTGGTGGGCGGAGTCAAAATCCAGCCCAGAGTCAAAGAGTGGGAAAAATCTTGCTGCCTTTTGCTATAAGGAGTGACATGCACATACAAAGAGGGAAGGTGTTGGAGGCAGCCATTGTTGGAAACTATCCTTCACACAGAGGGGCACTCTTTTATATAGGGGGGGGCCTCACTGATAAAGGTGCACATAAAGCAAGGCCAGAAAAAAGTAAGGGAGATAGCAATATGGATATGTGGGAGGAAAGAATTCTAGGCAGGCTGGGCATGGTGGCTCATGCCTGTATTCCCAGCACTTTGGGAGGCCAAAGTGGGTGGATCACTTGAGGTCAGGATTTCAAGACCAGCCTGGCCAACATGGCGAAATCCCATCTCTTGTAAAAAAATACAAGAACCAAAAAAAAAAATTAGCTGGGTGTGGTGGTATGCACCTGTAGTTCCAACTACGTGGGAGGCTGAGGCAGGAGAATCGCTTGAACCCAGCAGGCAGAGGTTGCAGTGAGCCAAGATTGCACCACTGCACTCCAGCCTGGTCAAGAGAGTGAGACTCCATCTCAAAAAATAACAAAATTCTTGGCAAAGGGAATAGCAGGTGCAAAAAGCCCTGAGTCAGAAACATACTTGGCATAACTGAGGACCAGCAGGGAGTCCAGTGGGGCTGGAGCAGAAGATGTGAGGCCAAAGGTATGGAGGTGAGGTTGGAGAGGGTCTAGGTTGGCCATGGGGCATTGATGGCATCAGTGCATTTGGGGTCTTAGGGGCTATGAAAGGACTTGGTTTTAACCCTGAGAAGATGTAGTGTAGAGTAACCAGCTGACCCAGTTTGTACCAGATGGAGACGATTCCTGGCATATGGGAATTTCCATGCTACAATCAGGAAATAGACAAAAGAGAAGAGGCAGGAAGACTCAAAGTATGAGGCGATTGCAGTACCCTAGGCATGGGAAGATGGCAGCCTGGCCCAGAGAGGTAGTCATGAGGCAATAAGAACAGACATGGGCAATCCCTGCATGGCATGGTTTCCCCCAGCTGCATGGCATGGGCACCTTACAAGCTTCCCAAGGGTAATTTTGATTACACAAGACTTCGACATAACCAGTTATAAATTAACTGCTGCATAAAGTACAACTTCCTTGATGCCATATGTTCGGCAATGTCCCCTGGGTCCCATTCTGCCCAGCAACCACAGGCAAATGGGCAGGGTTTGAGTCCAAGGGGTCCTCATCATGAGGCTTCCCCCTGCCCCATGGCAATGTAGAATCTCCTCTGCCAAGCTGGTTTCAACTTCCTCCCACTTCACAGCTGTTGGGCCTTAAACTCTAGCCTTAAACAAGAAACACAGCACTGCCGGGAAAACCCAGGAAACTGGCACAGGCTCCCTGAACTCAGTGATTCCCCTGCTGGTTTTCTTCTCATGCCATATGGGCCAGCTGAGGCCAGTTCCCACAGTTTGCAAGGAGACTCCACGGTTCTTGGACACGTGTGTCTTGGTCCCTGTGGTGAAGGGACCACTTCCCCAGTGGGAGCCATGGAGACCCCCTGCTCTCTGTGTCCATGGGTTACTTTGGCAGTGGTTCCCTAGCACTGGCTAGGGACTGGACATTCAGAGAGAACTGGGGCAGCCCAGCCCCGCCCCTAGGAAGAGAGATGCAGCCCGCAGGGAGGGAGACATCACACACACTTCAGTTCAGTTGCAGGGAGCCAAAGTTCTGACAGATGGAGGCCCAAGGGGATGGGGAGGCTCAGAGGAGGCCCGGGTTCCTTCCTGGAGGAAGTGGCAGACAGAGGAGGACTAACCAGGGGCAGAAGGGGAGAGGACGTGTCCCAGGCAGCCCAACAGCTGGAGTGGGAACAGGAAGCCCCATGCCTGTGGTGTGGGGGTAAAGAGGCACAGAATTTCGGTTTTGCCAGAGTGAGAAAGTAAGACGGGAAGGAGCAGAAGGAGAGGAAGAGAGGCGAGGAAGTTGGCCTCCTCCCTATAGCAGGGAGCTTGTAGAAGTTTCCATGCCAGGCAGAGACAGGGGCATCTTTCTCTGAACCATCCCCCAACCCCAAGCCTTTGGCCACCTGAGCACCCAGCGGAGGCCCCTCTGCCTGCCCCTCACACTGCACATGAGCGCCCTGCACCCGCCTCTCAGCACTTTGCACCCTCCCCTCCCTGCTCCACCCTACCTGCAAGGAAACAAAAGGCACTTTCTCCTTCCTCCCATGACCCACTTTCCAGGGCCAAAGCAGGCTGCTGACTTGATAACCTCGGCCATAGGTACCCTGCCCACAATAACATGTTTGCTCACACCCAGATTCCAGTAGGGCAGGGCCCGATAACTGGAGTGATCTTCACCACAGTGCCTCAGATGCGAAAGGAAAGGGACCTCCCTCAAGGTCCCTCAGGTCCCACCAGGCCTGGAAGTAGGTTTCCAGACTGAGTCTCCCATCACTAAAGGTAATCAAGGATCGACCGTGGAAAGATAGAGATGGTCAGGGAGAATTGGGACCAGCCAACCTCCAGTCTCCAACCTCACAGGGTCTAATGCCCGAATTCGGTGTCTACCTCCTTGTTTATTCACTGCCAATCAGTCTGCAAGCATTCGCTGAGTGCCCCTGGGTGCCAGGCAAAGACGGGGCTGGCTTCCACTCCCAGCTCTGTCTCTCGCCAGCTGTGCAACCTGGGACACATAGCTTATCTCTGTGCCTCATCTACAAAGTGAGAATTCAGAGTTACTGTGAGGGTCAGAGATAAGGCATGCAAAGTTCCCTCTATACTGGAAGTGCTCAATAAATGCTAACTGTCATCATTCCTTAAGACATGAAGAGGTCTGAGAGCTCTGGAAAGTTCTGACATTATAGGGTATCTCTGCTGGCATCCCACAGGCCAGGAGGCCCTGGTATTAGCAACTTGCTCCTTTGCAGGGAGACAGCTGGTCCCACTGAAAATGTAGACACCCTTGTGGCCACACGTTCACCTGCATGCACGCACGCCTCACACTCAGCCCCCATGCCCTTATTACAGCAGTAGCTTTGAGGGGGCTATTATCCTCCCCAGTTGTATAGACACAGAGGTAGTGTGTCCAGGGCCACCCGGAAAGTATGCAGCAGCAAAAAGTATGAAGTCCAAGCCTCTCGGTTCCACAGACATGGTGCCTGGGCCATTTCCAGACATATCCGTGCATCCCATGGTGCTGCTCCTGGAGTGTCCTTCCTGGCTGTTCAAGCTCCAGCATTTCCTGCAGGCCCCAGTTCACAGGGTCCTCCCTGAGAGGGCTTCCTGTAGGTCCTAGCAGAGTTTTAGGTTTCCCCTCAGCTCCTGCAGACCTTGCACGTGGCTCTATTATGGCCTTTTGGAAAACCACCATTAATTACCTGTTTATGTCTCCATTCCCCTGATGTGGAGCTGCCCAAAGTCCAAGACCTTGACTTGAGAGGCAAATCTGTTATCTTTCAGACCTTATCTCGCTCTGCCCTGGGTCACAGTCATTTAGGTTTCTGCCTCATCTCCCTAGCGGGCTGTCCTCACTTTAAAATATTTTAAAAACCATTTTTGTGTCTATTAGCCAGACTTTTCCTAGCCACAACTAGGTTGAGGCTGACAGTTTCCAAACCACAGGTTGGGGGCATAGGCAGGAGGGGAACATGCTGAGGGAGAGGGGCAGGGGATTGCCATAGCCTGGGAAAGTTGGGGACAGGGAGGAGGGAAGAGAAGAGGAAGCAGGAGGAGGAGGAAGGAGGAAAAGAGAGAAAGGAAGAGGAGGAAGAGGGAGAGAGGAGAAAGAGGAAAAGAATGAGGAAGAGCAGAAAGGAAGGAGGAAGCTTAATGCATATAAAATGCACAGTGAAAACAGGGTTGACTGAGGTTCAAATGTGCCTCCCCGGGCAGGTCTTTCTCCAGCTCAGCTCTGGCTTCCCAGGGCCTTGTTTCCAGGTGCCCCTGTTCCAGGCCCACAGAGAGGCTCTTGTGTGGCTGATGCAAGTCGGCCATGGAGAAGCTGTTTCCAGTAGGCTCTTTGCTGGTGGAAACCTGCACCTGCCTAGGGTCTGGTACCACACTGTGATGGGCAGCCTAGCTGTGGGCCCAGATTCTGAGGCTGGCTTTGGCACCAGCTGGCTGTGTGACAGTGAGCAGGCTACTAGGACCTTTTGAGCCTCTATTTCTTCCACCATGAAACAGGACTAGTAATTCCCAAGCCACAGGGAACTTATCAGGGTTAAATGAAATGATGGAAGCAGAGTTTGGGGTACAAGGTGGGAGGGAGCTAGGAAAATGGTAGCTCTTTTCCTGTGAGCAGCATGGTGACAGCTCAGAGATGTGTGAATGCAGCCCAGGACGTGCAGTTCCTCTTGCCGGGACTTGTGTAACTGATGGGATTTGTTGGGTGATCCTGTGACCTGTAGAGCAGGAAGGAGCTCTGGCAATGGGGAGTACGGGGGAGAAATCCATAAACCAGGGAGCCTAAAACTGCATGGCAGAAAGTTCTGAGCATCAGAGATGATGTGGCTAGTGCCACAGTCTGAGAAGTTCCCATTTTGAATTCCAGAGTCTTTGGGGAAACAGAATCATAGGTATGTGTTTCTAAGGTGTCTTTCTATTCCAAGTGTCAGAAACTCAACTCAAATGGACTTAAGACACAAGGAAAATACTCTGGCTCATGTGGCCCAAAATTCTGAAGGGGCTGCGAGCTTCAGGCAGGGCTGGATTCAGATATTTAGACATTGTCATCAGAATAGCATGTGTGTGTGTGTGTGTGTGTGTGTACGTGTGTGTGTGCATGTGTGTGCGTGCATGTGTGTGCCTGTGTGTGCACACGTGTGCTCATGCATGTATCCATGTCCATGTGCCATGGCTCTGCTCTCCTTTATGTTGTCTTCAATGTCAGGCAAACTTCCCAAGCAATGATTAAGTTTCGGTCTCGCAGCAGCTTCAGGCTTGTATCCTACCCAGTTACCATTTCCTATAGAGTTTCAGCAAAAGCCCTCTGGGCAACTCTCACTGGACTGGTTTGGGTCATGGTCCAATTAGAGTCAGTCACAATGACCAGGGAAAGGAATGTTCGCCATGGCCAGATGCACTCGTTGGCTAAATAATGTATACGCACCATCATCCCCTTCTCCTATGTCCACATGCTAATCCCTGAAACCTGGGAATGTGTTACCTTCTATGGCAAAAGAGGCTTTACAGATAGATTTAAATTAAGGATCCTGAGATGGAGACGTTCTCCCCATTTGTCTGGGTGGCCCTGGTATAATCACAATAGTCCTTATCAGGGGAAGTTGAGAGAGAAGAGGTGGCCTTGGAAGCATAGTTTGAGCCATGGTTTGAAGATGGAGGAAACGGCTTTACCAAGGAATGCAAGCAGCCTCTAGAAGCTGGGAAGGTCAAAGAAATGATTCTCCCCTAGAGCTTCCAAGAGGGAGTTTGGCCTTGCTGACACCTCTTGATCCAGCCAAACCCATTTGAAACTTCTGATGTCTGGAGCTCTAAGAAAATACAGTGTTGGCGCACCTGTAATCCCAGCTACTCAGGAGGCTGAGGCAGGAGAATCGCTTGAACCTGGGAGGCGGAGGTTGCAGTGAGCCGGGATGGCACCACTGCACTTCAGCCTGGGTTACAGAGCAAGACTCATTTCAAAAAAAAAAAAAAGAAAGAAAGAAAAAATACACTGGTGGTATTGTAAGCTGCTAATTTTGTGGCAATTTGTTACAGCAGCTGTGGGAAGCTCATGAACCAGGCTGGCTCACGTGTGCATCTCTGGAGGTGGGGCTGGGGGACAGAGAGAGTCCCCCAAACTAGATGGACTGAGTGTGAAGGAGGGACAGGAACCAAAGGCAAACAAAGCCCCTTTACCAAAGAAAGGGGGGGTAGGAGATGGGCTGGCGAAAAAGAAGGCAGAAGTCACAAAGATACAGAGGCATTGTGGGGTTCCTTTCGTAGGAAGTTCAAGATCAGGCAAAACAAGCTCATGGAAAGAAAGGCTGGGGTTGCTTCTCAGAGAAGGGCTAGATATTGACCAGGAAGGGGCACCAGGAGTCTGCGAAGCCGGGGAATGTTCTCTGTCTTGACTTCAGTGGTTGCTTCATGATGTATACATATGTAAAAAATTCTCACTCTTAAGATGTACATCCACTTAAGATGTACACACTCTGTGCATTTTTCTCTCTGGGTGAGTCATTCCTCAATTAAACAGCAGTTATTGAAGGGATAATTCATGGCAGCAAAACTCTGCCATTTGAACCCAATTAGCTGTCTTCTCTGTGCCATAATAATATTCATTCATCTCAATCTTCACTCATTTGACAGAGGAGGAAACTGAGGCCCACGTGGTGAGGTGCAGAGCACAGGCAGAGTCATGTAGCCAGACCCAAGCCTGTCTGCCATGCCCTTCCTCAGCTCTGACTGCTTTGAGCTGGCCCAGTGTCCTGCTCTGCAGGCAGGGGTGGGTCCTTCACCGGCACTGCCCCCCCCACCCCTGCCGCCCGATGTCACAGTTACTCCTTGGGGCCTCCTGGGGAGAAAACATGAGTCTCTTCTTTTTTTCAGTGCTTTTAGGCTGCTAGAAACTTCCGATCCCTCACTCACCTCTGCGCTCACTCACCTGCTCTCACTCACCGTCTGCTCTCACCCACCTTCCGCTCTCACTCTCCTTCTGCTCTCACCCACCTTCTGCTCTCACTCACCTTCCGCTCTCACTCTCCTTCTGCTCTCACCCACCTTCTGCTCTCACTCACCTTCTCAGGATCTGGTGCCCAGCTGGGGTCTCACAGCAACCCTTGTTACTGCCCCTATGGAAACACAAGACCTCCTGGGGCAACGAGGTGAGGGTGTACCTACTCTCAGCATGCCTTTTGCTATCCACTCCCTTTTATTCATTCAACAAGCATTTCCTGAGGGCTCAGGAATTGGGGGTATAGCTGCAAACGGGGCCTCAAGGGCCCTGCCCTCAGGCAGCTGACAGTCTAGACAGGAGACACGCAGTAGCCAGATGAGAAACCATATGACTCCACAGATTACCCAGGCACCTGCCATGTAAGGGGGAAGCCACCTGGGCACCCAGGAAGCCCCTGCTGCTCACAGCCATCCTCTCCTCACCTTCAGCACACACTTTGCCTTAAGAGGGAGAAGGAAACTAAGCCGGGGGTATTAAATGAGGTCCCAAGTCCTCCATCATCCAAATCCTCTGCATGGCAAAGCCAGGCTTCTCCCCAGCGAGAATCAGGTGCCCTCCCTGCTCCAGGCTGGCCCGCTGCAGTCAGCCTCCTCTGAGCCAGCCTCAGCTTCTGACTTCACGGAGGCCCTGCCATCTGCACAGCACATGCCCTCAGGTCCAGAAGAGACTGGGCAGAGCAGGTGTTCGTATCCATTTTTCAGACCTGCAAGCTGTGGCTCAGAGAGCAAAGAGTCCCACCCAGGGTTACCGTTGCTGGTGGCAGGGCCTGGCACCTCACATCCATGCACCTTGGGGTAGAATTATAGGCCTGTCTCCTCCACTGAGCTGGGCTCCAGGAGGGCTGGGGCAGGGCCTGGGTTCAACTCCTAAACCCCAAGTGGGCCCTTAGCTGGGACCTGGGAAACCAGGGTCTTTTCCCCGTCGGGGCTTGCCCAGGCCATGGGTGCTTGTCACTGCCTGGCACAATCCCAAGGCCACTGTTCCAGGCTGGAGAAGGGGAGGGCAGTGGGAAGGCTGAAGGCAAGGGAGGGCTGAGGCTGGAAGCCACCTCCCATCTTCCTCCCACATGGAGACGTGCAGCACCTCACGCCCCTCCCAGGAATCCCTCAAGGCCCAGAGGTGACTCAGCAACACGTGAGCTAAGCTGTCCGAGCTGTGCCCCACCTCTTGCCAGATGCAGAGCCCAGTGGGGGGAGGGAACGTGCCACCCGCCACGTGCACCCCTGCAGCAGCTCAGCCTGCAGCAACAGAGCCGCCCCTGCCTCTCCCTCCCAATCTCTCTCTTCTTCTTTGTGGGGACCTCACATGTTCCTTCTGCCTCCATTCAACCCTCACCTCGCTCTACAGGCATTAAACGCAGGACTGGTAGTTTGCTGTGCTGATGGTGCCACAAAAGCTACCTCCTGCAATCCTCTCTGCAATCCTGCCAGGCCAAGTGGGGAAACTGAGACTCAGAGACAGTTTGTGACTTATGCAAGGAACCGAGATTCAAACCTAGCTCAGCCTAACCCTGAAGACTGTGTGATTTCTCTTTCATGAGCCATGCTGAGTGGGATCATTGACAAACTCTACCCCCTTTTGCGCATTTTACAGAGTGGGAGGGAAGACTGAGGCACAGGGAAGGGAGGTGACTGGTGGGGGAGGGAAGGGACCAGCATAATGTTGTCCTAGGACAGAACGGTGGCTCTCTGTGTCCCCAGGGCACTGTGGCTGACACTGGGACAGACTCCCTGCCCTAGGAATGTGTGGTGAATGAATGAGTAGGTGCTGGGTGTGCTCTTTCAACGTGATGGTCACAGGCCACATGCGGCTATGGGGCACTTGACATGTGACAAAGAAACTGAATATCTCATTTGATTTTATTTTAAATGTAAAATATCAATACTGTCTACAGTTGATATATTTCAAGACATACAGCATCATTTGCACCATGCTTTAGCACTTGCAGAGCAGTTTATAGCCTCCATCTGCTCTTTCGATTCTCAAAACTCACCAAGACCCACATCTCCACTTTCCAGAAGAATGTGAAGTTCAGAGAGGTCAAGAGACTTGCCCAAGATCACACAGCCAGGAAGTGGCAATGCCAGAGAACCTGGCCACCCTGACTGTCTGCCAAATCCCTTTCCACTTTGTGCTTTAGTCACAGTTGCAAGCGCTTATATGGCAGGTCCACCTCTCAGTGCTATGCCTGCATTACCTCAATGATTCCATCCATTTCCCTAGGGGAAAAGGACACCAGTGTTAAAGTTCTAAGATGAGGAGACACAGACAAGCTGAATTCTTTGCCCACTGCTGCCTGGTTAGAAATCAGCAGAGCTGGGGTTTGCATTTGAGGTTCTGGAGCTGGACTCCGACCTTTGTTATTACGTGAGTGGCCTTTGAGTGGTGTGTGGGGCGTGTGGAGTCAGCAATGCTCCTGTCGCTGAGCACCTTGGGTGACGCCTGAGTCTCTGAGCACTGGGAAGCCACTGGGAGGTGTTAAGCTCAGACCATGGGACTTTAGGAGAGGGCTCTGCTGAGGTCTGGGGAGGGACAGCTGGGGTGAGTTCAGGACAGGCGGCGCAGGGGGAGACTGCTCAATAGCCAAGCACTGGCCACAGAAAGGAAAAAACAGAATGACTAGTTAAAGGACTTGGCTGCAAAGTCAGGCTGTGCAAGGATGCTGTCCCAGCACAGATAGGGAAGGGACACAGCCCGGAATCCCAGGCGGCAGCCGCACTGCCACGTGGAGGAACAAGAAGGCCCATGCAGAATGTGGCTGGAGGCAAAGGTGCATGGTGAGGAACAGGCGGGGTCTGTGGGTGGAGCCCCCTATGGTGCAGCAGGCTGCTGCCCAGGGCCGGTGACCCAGCAGGAGGACACAGAGACTGCAGACAGGAGGCTCCAGGGCACAGGGTTTCCACATGGCTCTGTCCTTGGTGGCCTGAGGCCCCCTGTTTAACTCCAAGCTGCAACTGCAGCCTCCTACCCAACCAAGAACACCAAACATACCTTGTTGCAGGTTTCAACCAGACATACCAACGGTGACAGGGAAGATGCCTCCACCTGCATCTTCCACCTGCTCATGGCTCTGTGACCATTCACTTTAAGAGAGGGACAAAAACCTAAAGGGAAAACAAATAAAAAGCGTCAGGTGATTCTGCTTGTAAAAGGCTGACGTATGATTAACTTTGAAGAAGGCTTAAAAGTAGCTTTATTGGGTAACAGGACAAAAAAATACTTATTTAAAGGAACTACTTATTTAAAATTGCAAACCTCCCACACACCTCATGCCCTGTTCTTTCCCATTTCTCTTCCTTTGTGGCACTGATCAGGGTTTCATATGCAGCTTTATGTAAGATACAAATTTATTTTGCTTAAAGTCTATCTTCTTCTATTGGAAAGTAAGTTCCATGAGAGAAGGAATGTTTTGGACTTTCTTGTTCACCATTGAACCTTTGGAGTCTAGAATTGTGCCTGGCATATAGCAGGTGCTCCATACGTTTCTGTTCAATAAATGAACGAAAGGGTGGCAACAAGAAAGCAACGATGCAACAGTGATAACGTGGCACCCATGGAAGGAGGTGAGGAAGCATCTGTGAGGCCAGCCAATCACCGGGTGTCATGCATGTGACATGCATTCGGGGGCTGCTAGGGACCAGCCCTGGGCTAGAGCTTTAGAGAGGTTTCAGGCGAGAACATTGTCTGCTAAGTCACAGTATCTGGCTAGTCTCAGGTGAGGCACATTAAGCTCAGCTCAAGGCCATGAGCAAGGTGATGAGCAGGTTTGCCTGCTGCAGGCCGGGCTAGCCCGGCTGTTGGCAGAAATAGCAGGGAGAGCTGCCCTGAGCAAGGAGGGGAGGGGCTTCCTGGCCTATTTTATGTGCTGGCCATTCCTGTCTGCTTCTCCCATACCCCACCGAGCTTCCCCTTTTGCCCTGGAGACAGTCATCAGTGATTTGAAGCTGGGCTGGTCACTGCAAAGAATCCGGAATCATTTCTAGGAGTTAGAGCTGAGAAGAAAGTGATGAGATGCAAGAGGCAAGACAATGCCAAGCTGATTGTGGTGGACACAGAGTCCTAAAAGGGGCAGCTTGTGCCACAGAGGGGCCAGCAGAGCCATATCTCCTCTGTGAGTGCGCTTCTGTGTAAAACAAGTACCACAAGTTCTAGAGTCAGACAGGGCCACGTTCAAATCTACCGGTGGCCCTTCCGAGCTGTGTGACCTGGAGCCAGGTACTTTTCCTCTCTAGACTCTGGTTTTCTGCACCTGTGCATGCATGAACATGTGCCCACACATATACACACACACACACATGAGAGTGGTATATTTTTGCCTCACAGGGCTAGTGTAAATATTATTAAATGGCATACATATAAAGCTTCCCTTTCCTGCTTTGAGCTCAACTTTTAAATTCTTTTTAAAAAGATTAAAAATCAATAATCAAGTGATGCACACGTATTGCAAAACAATTATTAAAATGAGATAATCAAGAAGAAGAAATTTAAAATCACCTGTCATCACAAGAATGAGAAGACAAGCCACAGGCTGGGAGAAAATATTTACGAAAGACATGTCTGATAAAGGACTGTTATCCAAAATATACAAAGAACTCTTAAAATTTAATAAAGAAACAATACAATTTTTTTTAACGGGCAAAAGGCCTGAACAGATACCTCACCAAAGGAGACACACAGATGGCAAATAAGCATATAAAAAATGCTCAACATCATAAGTCATCAGAGACTTGCAAACTAAAGTCTAATGAGATGTCACTATTAGAATGGCCAAAATCCAAAACACTGGCTGGCAACACCAAATTCTGGAGAGGATGTGTGGAGCAAAAGGAACTCTCATTCGTTGCTGGTGAATTAGTCTGTTCTCACACTATAAAGAATACCACCTGAAGCTGGGCGCAGTGGCTCACACCTGTAATCCCACCACGTTGGGAGGCCAAGGCAGGTGGATCACTTGAGGTCAGGAGTTTGAGACCAGCCTGGCCAACATAGTGAAACCCCCGTCTCTACTAAAAATACAAAAATTTAGCTGAGCATGATGGTAGGCACCTGTAAGCCCAGCTAATTGGGAGGCTGAGGCAGAATTGCTTGAACCTGGGAGGCGGAGGTTGCAGTGAGCAGAGATCATGCCACTGCACTCTAACCTGGGCAACAGAGTGAAACTCTGTCTCAAATAAATAAATAAATAGAATACCACCTGAGACCGGGTAATTACAAAGGAAAGAGGTTTAATTGACTCACAGTTCTGCAGGCTTACCAGGAAGTGTGGCTAGGAGGCCTCAGAAAACTTAACAATCATGGCAGAAAGTGAAGGGAAAGCAGGCACCTTTTTCACAAGGCAGCAGGAGGGAGTGTGTGGGAGAATGAGGAAGAACCACACTTTAAAACCATCAGATCTCGTGAGAATTCACTCATCATCACGAGAACAGCGTGGGGTAAACCGCTCCCATAATCCAATCACCAACCTCCTGGTCCCTCCCCTGACACATGGGGGGATTACAATTGGAGATGAGACTTGGATGGGGACACAGAGCCAAACCATATCAGTTGGTGAGAATGTAAAATAGTACAGCTATGTTGGAAGACAGTGTGGCAGTTTCTTACAAAACTGGACATAATTTTACCATATGATATGGTTTGGATCTGTGTCCCTACCCAAATCTCATGTTGAAATGTAATCCCCAATGCTGGGGCCAGGTGGGAGGTGACTGGATCATGGAGGCAATTTCTTGTGGTTTAACACCATCCCCCTTTGGTGCTGTTGTCGTGATAGTGAGTTCTCATGAGAACTGATTGTTTAAAACAGTGTGGCACCCCCCTTCCTCTTGCTCTGGCCATGTGAAATGCTGGCTCTCCCTTTGCCAGCAAAATTGAGTAAAAGTTTCCTGAGGTCTCCCCAGCAGAAGCCGCTATGCTTTCTGAACAGCCTGCAGAACTGTGAGCCAATTAAGCCTTTTTTCTTTTTATTAATAAATTACCCAATCTCAGGTATGTATAGCAGTGTGAAAATGAACTAATACGCCACACTACCCAGCAACTGTGCTCCTTGGTATTTACCCAAAGGATTGAAAACGAATGTCCACACGAAAACCTGCATGCAGACGTTTGTAGCAGCTTCACACGTAATTGCCAAAACTTGGAAGCAACTAAGATGTCTTTTAGGGGGTGAATGAATAAATAGAATGTAGCTCATCTAGACAGTGGAATATCATTCAGCACTAAAAAGAAATGAGCTAACAAGCCTGAAAATATATGGAGGAAACTGAAATGCATATTACTAGGTGAAAGCAATTAATCTGAAAAGGCTACATATCATATGCCTCCAACTATATGGCATTCTGAAAAAGGCAAAACTAGTGACAGTAAAAAGATCAGTGGTTTCCGAGGGCTAGAGCGGAGGGAGGGAGGAATAAGCAGAGCACAGAGGATGCTTAGGATGGTGAAACTCTGCATGATACTCTAATGCTAGATTCATGTCATTATACATTTGTCAAAATCCATAGAATGTGCAACACCAAGAGCGAACCCTAATGTAAATGATGGTCTTTGGTGATGATGATGTGTCTCTGTAAGATCATCAGCTGTCACAATGTACCCTCTGATGGGGGATGTTGATAATGGGGGAGGCTATGCATGTTTAGGGGTAGGGAGTATATGGGAAATCTCTGTGCCTTCCTCTCAGCTTTGCTGTGAACTTAAAACTGCTCTACAAAATAGTCTAATAAAAAAATCAGTCATCATCCCATCCCCTGGTTGTATTTACTACTCTGTTCCTAGCACTTAGTGTGCTTCCTGGCACATAAATGGGCTGTTAACTCAATAAATGTTAGTTGGGTGAATGAAGGAATAAATACACTCAAAATAATGTGTTAACATTTTGGTGTATACAATTCCAGTTATTTTTTTGCTGGGTGAGGAATAGAGGCTCGCTTTGTCGCCCAGGTTGGAGTACAGTGGCACAATCTCGGCTCACTACAACCTCGGCCTCTCAGGTTCAAGAAATTCTCCTGCTTAGCCTCCGGAGTAGCTTGGATTACAAGCACCCGACACCATACCCAGCTAATTTTTTAATTTTTCAGTAGAAACAGAGTTTTGCCATGTTGGCCAGGCTGGTCTCGAACTCCTGACCTCAGGTGATCTGCCTGCCTCTATCTCCCAAAATGCTGGGATTACAGGTGTAAGCCACCATGCCTGGTCAAATTCCAGTTACTTTCTATGCACATATATCATGCTTTTTTCATTTAAATGACATTCTACCAGACACATGATTTTATAATCAGTTTCATCTCTTGATACACTGTTGCTCCAGGGCAATAAATACAAATATTCCTTAGGAACACTTTAATGGCTGTGCATTGTCCTGCCGTTTGAATAGACCATCATTCATCAAACTCAGCCCTTCTTTTAGCATCTGGGTTAATTTCACGTTGTTGCTTTCAGACACAACACAACAACAGGCATCTCCATATGCGTGTCATTTCCTACGTGACTGTTTATCTGTCAGGATCAGTTTTAAACAGTCTGGGCAGGAGAGAGGGAAGATGGTGGTGATGTCATCTTGGCTTCTGAGTCTACTGCCTGTAGGGGCGTCTCAGTGATGGAGTTCTGCATGACTCATCTTCTCTGAGAAATATCCCTGTGAACACACCGGGAACATGCCACCTGCATCAGCCCCATGGCGAGGGTGACCACATGACCAACCCCAACAGAAGGCCTGGTGGTCTGACATGAAGGAATATGCTCCTGGGGCCAGCAGGGCAGAGGGGGGCCTGGTCCTGTCACCCCTGAACACCCAGCAAGAAAGCCAGTCAGGCCTGGATTTGAGGCCTGGGCTGCCACTTGTTAGCTGTGTGTCTTTGGTGAAGTGACTTAACCTCTGAGCTTCGATCTTCTTATTTGTAAAACAGACATCACTCACCTTGTAGGGTTATCAGGGGGATTAATGGTGATGATGCAATAATGCTCCAGAAGGTGTTTGTGCAGAGCCCAGCGTGGGCTGTGAGTTCAGCCTGAGTTACTGTGTTGACATCACCACAAACCTGAACATAGGACACGCTGTGCATCTCGCACCACTCTGAGCATCTACCTGCTGTAACGTACTGCCTTTCAGCCTTAGTAGTGGACTGCTTCAGGAAATTTGTCAGATAGGAGCTGAGCCAGTTGGCCCCTGGGTTTAGAGTTTATTTTGGAAAGAAACATCCTCACTCTCCTGGTGGGGCTGTGTTCTCAGGGTGGGAAGAAGGGATTGAGCCATGAGACTGGAGGTGGAACCATGGCCCTCAAGAGCTCATGATCCTGAAGTCACCAGAGCTCTGAGCATCTGCGTCTCCATCTGTAAACCAAACTAGGGCTCATTGGGTCATTAGGCCTTCCCAGCTCTGAGAGTCTAAAAATTCCTTCTCAGAAATGATGAATACAACAATCTACACCAACCCAAATCCAGCCCAAAGCCCTTTCTTGTAAGGATCGAAAGCTAAGAATGGTTTTTACATTTTTAAATAGTTTAAAAAAATCAAAAGAAGAATATTTTGTGACATGGAAAGATGATATAAAATCCAGATATTAGTGTCTATAAATAAAGCTATAATGGAAGCCAGCTGTGTTCATTCATTTGCACACTGCCTATGGCGGTCTTGAGCTGAGGTGGTGGAGTGGAGTGGCTGCCACACGCTTCTGGCCAGCAGAGCCTGGGAGGTTTGCTGTCTGGCTCTTCACAGAGAATCCTTGCTCTTCCCTGGTCTAGGGTTGACTGCAGAGATTACTCACTATCTTTGGAATATCTGGAATTTTTCTTTCTTTCTTCAAAGGTCACTACTTCCAAAGACCAATAATGTTTAGAAAATAAAACAGAATGAGTAGAGAACTTCTTTAGCTTGTCCCAGATGCCTGGGCAGACAGCCCATGGCCCAGGGCTCTGCAGGGCTGGCCCAGGGTAAGGGTTTGTGGATGTGTGGAGTCTCAGTGCCAACCTCTCTTTTGACATGCTCACCCTGCAGAGATCCAGTTAAGACATGCCCCTCTGAAGGGGCCAAAAAGGGATTAAAAAGGAAAAATCTGTGCAGTGCAGTGGGGCTAAGTGCATGGGTGTGGAATCAGAGCTGAGTTCCAACCCCACGTCCCTACCTCTTAGCTCGTGACCTTGGACATGGTACATAACCTCTCACTGACTCAGTGTGTTTATTGGTAAAAACGGGGGAAATAATAGAATCTATCTGTATTAGTTTGCAAGGGCTGCCACAATAAAGTACCAGAGACAGGGTGGCTTAAACAACAGAAATTCATTCTCTCACAGTTCTATAGGCTAGAAGTTCAAGATCAAGGGATGGTCCCTACATAGCTGGTTTCTTCTGAGGCCACTTTCCTTAGCTTGTAGCTGGCCTGTGTCCTCACTTGGTCTTCCCTCTGCACGCTTTTGTGTTCAAATCTCTTCTTTTGAGAAATCAGCCACGTTGGATAAGGGTCCACCCTAATGAACTCATTTTACCTTAATTATAGCTTCAAAGACCCCATCTCCAAATGCAGTCACATCCCGAGGTCAGGGCTTAGGACTTCAACATATGAATATTGGGGGCACGTGACTGAACCCATAAATGCTACCTCATAGGGGAATGCGGGGACTGAATGGAATTGGGAATTTGGAATATTAGTGGTTTATGGAAACTTAGTGAGTCTTCAGCCAATGGAAGCTCTTATTTTCATTCATCACAATTCGTACGCATCATGATGGAGCTATTGCAGTGTGTGGAAGAACACTGGAGGGACATACACGCAGGGTTGGAGGGGCTCCTGGGTGGTTCTGAGCAGCCCTGTTGGGGACAGTTGGGTAGTTTGTTCACTGCACAACCCCAGAGGTTGGTGTTTATATGTTATTATCATTATCAATTTGCATACTGATTAGAGACATTTTTCTGGCAGATGTCAGAAGAAAGAGCACCTTTTCTGAAATCCCCATGGAGGCTCAGTACAGCCCAGGGCAGTCAGTGCTGCTTCCTAGCCTGACACTCAGGTTGAAGAACACCATGCAGAGACCAGAGCCCGACACATAGTCAGCACTCAACACAGCTGTGCTGGACAAGTGCACGTGAAGGGTCCCTCTCCTGGCCATTCCACTAGAATGTAAACTGCGCAAGGGCAGGGGCACTTTCCCAGTTTCCATCTTGGCCATTGATGTGTTTCAGCCCCTACACAGTTTCTGGCACACAGTAGGTGCTCAGTAAATATTTATTGAATAAAATAAATGGATCAGTTATAGCATGGTTTTTTCCTTTCCATTAAACAAGTCTTCTACAAAATGCATAGGGACTCAGGATGGGGGCACAGTATCTATTGAACACTACTGTGTGTCAGCTACTCCCTCACTCACTGTAGCCTTTATGCTTCCCTGTCCTGTTTCTTAACATCACAGCCCCATGGGGTGGATCTTTTCCTGGAAAGGGAATGCACTGTCAGTCAGAGCCAGCTGCTCGAGCTCTGAGCCGCCACTCCTTTTGGCTGGAAGTATTAGATGAAATGGCTCAGCAGTGTGTCAAGCACATAGTAGGTGCTCAAAAAATGTTACTTTGCCTTCTCCTCTTTCTCACCCCAGGATGGTTTGAATAATTCTCTCCATTCCAGCCATCAGCATTTCAAGCCCTCTCTTCATCCAGAGGGCCCCACTGTTTGTCCCTGGGACTTCAGAGGTGAAGGATAAGAATAGAGCCACCGAGTGGAGGAAGAGGAAGGAGAAGGAGACCCCACCCAGGCCATGGGACAGGGCCTGAGGAGCCAACCCATGAGCCATGAGGGAAAGGGTCACCACCCCCACCCTTGCAGGCCCAGGGACCTCCCGTGCAGCAGCCAGGGGTCACAGGTGGCTTTGGGGATAGATAAATGTGACAGCTGCCTGGGCTCCAGGCCTGGAGGAAGCATTGAGCATCTAGGGCCTAGAGCTGAATGGGCCCTTTCTCTTTCAGTAACAAACACATCCCTTGTTTGTAGGTTTGTTTGTGTGTTTGTCTCCCCAGGCTGTTGCTGTTCTTCTTCTCCTCCCACACAGCTCAGCCTCAGGCAGGCAGCTCCAAGAGCCCAGGGCTTCAGCACTTCCAGAGCATTGCTCATCTCTCCTCCAGCCAAGTGCAGAGAGCATCTGGGGATCAAAAGAGAAGGGAGGTCTTCAACTGATCCAAATCCACTCGGAAAAACAACCTGTCTGCTGAACCGACCTTAGGGAGCCCTTAACAAAGACCAGGCACCATGCTGGGCTTAGGCAGATAATCCTCACAACAGTCCCTCAGGGCCAGGCTAGTTAGCCACACTTAACATTGTGTCCCCCACCTAGCTTCAAGCCCTTCAAGGCTCCACTTTGCTCACCAGATGAGGAGCTTGAGGCATAGAGAGCTCAGTGCCTTTCCAATTACAGTGGTTGAATCTGACCCCTGGACTTTCTACCCTTCTGCCTTGGGTGAGGATCCAGGCTCAGTACCCTCCTGCTTTGGGTAAGGATCCAGGCTCAGTACCCTCCTTCCTTGGGTGAGGATCAAGAATCAGTACCTACACCTCCCAGTTCAGCTTCCAGCTCCATCATCCTTTTATTTACTACCACACCACTGGCACCTAAGTGCTCCTATGCTCCCTGGTCCTCACTCTCCTCTTCTGTAAAATACAGACACCAACAATCCTACCTACCTCAGAGTCTGTCTTCAGGATGAAATGTTTTAAATCTTAGGAAACACTGAGACCATGGCTTGGGCAAGAGAGTCCAGTTGTTCATGTTTTCTCATCTTTGAAAGAACATCTCAGGGAGATGCTGCTGTTATTCCCATTTTACAGGTGGGGCCCTAAAATGCAAGGAAATTAGGTAACTTGCCCAAGGGCATCTCACTGCTAGGAACTAGAGCTGGCATGGTGGTTGGCTCTTTCTTGTCAAGGTCCCACACTGGAGTCCAGATGGGATGGAGGTAGAGCTGGGAAGTCATGTAGCCTGGATAATGACCAGAGGAAATCAGGAAGCTGGAGAATTTCATGTGATTCCACACATTCAGATTTGTGAGGACCAGAAGCAGAGAAAGGCTGGGTGCCAAGATGTCTCAAAGGGGAAACCGATGTACTTGGTTGGCTTGCAGACTTTGAGGGAGTTTGAGGAAG
Organism: Homo sapiens; assembly: GCF_000001405.40. Classification (NCBI taxonomy): domain Eukaryota; kingdom Metazoa; phylum Chordata; class Mammalia; order Primates; family Hominidae; genus Homo; species Homo sapiens. The sequence goes on from NC_000008.11 coordinate 133,386,685, forward strand.
TCCTGATGCCAGCACCTGTGCCTTCTTTTCTGTTTCCCTGCCAAAACCAACATAGCAAGCATCCCTGAGTCACTCAGAAGCCTTGGGCTGATGTGGCCCAAGTATCAGTGAACACTAGAAACTATCCCTCTCCATTTCTCTTGAGCCCCCTTCTCCTGTTCCCACACAAGGCCAGCCTCACTGATTGCTTTCTTCTGATGGAGTCTTCCCATCCCCCACCCCTCCCTCTTCCAAAGCAATGAGGCAAAGCAGTGGGGCTATGGGCTGCCAGCACTGTGCTGTGCAAAACAGAAGGCCTCCTGATTAAGGTGAAATGGCATCGTTGTCTGGGATAAATCCTGAGATCTTTTGTCTCAAGGCCACAGAAAGCTAGGATGAGGACACACAAAGAGTGATGTTCAGAGTGGAAGTTTAACAGGTGAAAGAAAGATAAGAGCTCTCTCTGCTGCAGAGAGAGGGGTCCTGGAGAAATGGGTTGCCACTTTGGCAGTGAAATGCAGAAGGTTTTATAGATGAGCTTGAGGAGGTGTCTGATTTACATAGGGCACGAAAGATTGGTCAGACCAGGTGTGCCATTTGCAAAGTGCATGAAAAACTGGTTAGGATTAGGTGTGCCGTTGCATTGCACACAAAGAAGCTGGCCACCCCAGCCTAATCTTTCATTGTGTAGATGGGTTCTCTACCTGGTCAGTGCCATGTTGCCTGTTCCTTTACTGTGCATATGGTGACAAAGAAAAGGGAAGATGGAGCCTCCATGTTGAACATACCTGGCTTCCAGGTAGCCCTTTTTTATTGGTACAGCTGCCGGCATTCACCTGTGCAAGTTTGCAGCTTGCTTATCTACGTTTGCAGCTCAATTTTTCAGGCTGCTCTTTGTTAGAAAAGAAATGATTTGGGGGCTGCTTTTTGTTAAAAGAGAAACCTTGCTGGGGACTCTTTTGTCCTTACTATCTGCCTAAATAATTTCTTTCCATCTCCTATATCAAAGGCAAATGTGCCAAGGCCTCTCCAGTTGCCTTGACCACACCCTGGGGGCTCGCCCAGACTCAGAGAGAAGCATGCCCAGAAAAGCATATATTCTTCAACCAGGCAGGGTCTCCCAAGGAGATTCTGCACATGCGATGCTCTCCCTCTGGGGTGGGGGAGGAGGGCAGGAATAGGTGGAGAATGTGTGTAACTGGGGACCCAGGGTTGGCTCATGAGGGAAGACGGGGTCAGCATACAGTTCTCCAAGGGTAGTAGGACTTAGTACTCCACTTGGGGGTGCGGATAGTCTTGGGCAAGCTGCTGAGGCTTTTAAGCCTCAAGATCCTCTTTGGTGAACGGAGAGCACTGGGATTTCAGGCTCACTTCACCACCTTTCCCCCTAAACTCTGAGCATCTAAGTACTGCAGACTGCAATTCCATCACCTCCCTATCCCCAGGGCCTGGGCCATTCCAGGTACCCCATTTACTGGCACTGTTGAGTGCACAGTGCATGCCAGGTACCCCGCAAGGACCTTCTCATGTTACCCTCCCTGGCCCAGTTAGTATCTCCATTTTACCCGTGACAAGGCAGAGGCTTGGAGAGGGGAAGTCAGCATGCCCCAGATGGAGTTAGGACATGGTGGCCATCAAATCACAGCCAGGCTGACGCCTCCAGAACCCGCCAGCTTAACCACCCCACTACACTGGTACTACATGTGTTCCAGAATTACTTATCAAATGATGGAATTCAACGTTCAACTGAGGCTGTTGAGAGAATTGAATAAAGTGATGTATATATAGAACCTAACACAGGGTATGGTATTCAGTAGGAGTTTAATAAATAGTGTGTAGCTCCTCAAAGGAGCTGCCCTTTAGGGCTTTTGGCAGATTTTCTTGAGATAAAGCCATACATAATCCAACAGCACAGAATGCTCAATAAATGCATCAAGTTCAAGTGTCCTGACTTAGCCCTGGAGGGGCGGAAAATCCAGTCCAAGAACATCTTTCCCACTGAGAAAAATGGTTGGAAAGGCTGTTTGCCTTACTCAACTGATGTTTTGTCTGAGCCTGAAGTACCACCATAGGCACAGTTGGGAGGGGAAGGCCGAGTCCTGGCAATACTTCTCACTGGTTTGAAACTCTGAGCTCTGGCCACAGAAGCACCATGTTTTCTGGGAGTAGCTATTGCCTGGAGAGAATGTGGTGAGAGTGAGACCTCATTCTTCCCTCAGCAGCTTCAGGAATAATAACACACAACAGCCTATGATGATAAAATCTATTATTAAGACTGTTTTAAGCACTTTGCATGAGTCAGCTCCTGGGTAAGATAAATACTATTCTTTTTTTTTTTTTTTTTTGAGACAGGGTATCACTCTGTCACCCAGCTAATTTTTGTATATTTTGGTAAAGGCAGGGTTTCACCATGTTGGCCAGACTGGTCTTGAACTCCTGACCTCAAGTGATTTGCCTTCCTCGGCCTCCCAAAGTGCTGTGATTATAGGCATGAACCACCACACCCGATAATCACTATTCTTATTCCCATTTGTAGATGAGGAAACTGGTACAGAGAGGTCAGATAATTTGCTGAAGGTCACACAGCTAGCTGGTGGTGGAGATGGGTGAGGTTTGAACTTGGGCTTTCAGGTTTCATAGTGTTCTCTAGTAACCCTCCTTCCCTGCTGCCTCCCACAAGCCAGTCTCTAGCCAATTCTTCTGTGGTTAAGGGAATCATTTTTCATGATACTAACAGACAAACATTCCTTGTTCAATGTTATTATTTTTCTGAATTTTCAAAGCAACTTTATATGGGTCCAGAGATGAGTAAGATAGCTTCCCTGGCCCTTGAAGGACTTATGCTCTACTGGAGAAGGAAAAATGAAGCTATAATTTCACTTTCTCCTTTTGACAGATGATGAAATATCAGGAGAGGCATGAAATCGACCCAAGGTCCCACAGGCAGGGAGTAAAGTTGGGATTCTACCCCAGGTCAGGCTGCCTCCTTTCCACGCTCCCAAGCCACTAGAGAATGTACTTTGGCAGACATGACAGCTGTGTGCTAATATTTGATGGACCCTTGAGGGGAAGAAGTTCTGCCTTCTTCTCTGCGACTCCAGAGGAGAGGACTACAGCCTTGGTTGGGATTTAGAGGGGACAAACAGAGATCTAATATGGAGCAGACTTCATGGAGGGGAGCTCATGTATTTCTGAGAAAAGCTTGTGTTTCAGGGACTACAGTGTATCTCTGGTGGTATAGAGAGACTAAGAATCCAGCCCCAGGTTAGCTCAGGACGAAGGAATGCAATATCTTCTTGCATCTGTTTCTGTCCTGTCTAAAATTGTAAGTGCTGTAAGGAAAATACCCAAGGCACTCATGTTTCCCCACACAGCAGGCAGCAGGCAGCAGGCAGCAGACTGCATCTTGATTGGGATAATATTATTCTGTAGGTTCCTTCCATGATTTCCTCATAAATTCACCCTCATGAAAATCCAAGAGGAGCTCAGTGTTTATGTAAGACCCTGAGCTTATTCTTCTTCCTCTTATGAAGTTAGATTAAATTAGTTAAGAAATGAAGAAAAAAGAATTTAAAAAAATTTCATCTCCTTTTCTCTGCATGAGTAAGTATGTTTGCATGAAAAATAACAAAATGAATCAAGGAAGGAAGAAAGAAAAAAAGGAAAGAAAGATGGATTCATGTTGCTGGGAAATGAATACATCTTAAGGAGAAAAATAGGCTGGCATGGTAAGCCTACCCACTGGATAATATCCATCAGAGATCAGGCAGCTGGAGAAGCACCAGTATTCACTTTCCTGTTCTCAGCTTAATGATCTGGTTAGGGAATATAGCCTCCATCAAATCTGGGATTCTAGAATCATACATGAATTGCTGTTTTTTTCCTCCCTCCTGAAAATGACCCTAGAGATTGCCCCCACAGGATTTAGAATCACGCGCACCTGGATTTCAATACTGGCTGTGCTTCTTGGTGACAAGACTTTGGGAAAGCCGTGTCATCCCTCTGAATCTTGGCTCCTCCTCTTGTGAAAGGGAAGGAGCAGTCACACCTCTCCATGAGATCATGTGAGGGTGAAATGAGATTGCATGTGAAATGCTCAGGAAATGAGCTTGGCTCATGATAAGTGCTTTTATACAAAGTTATTTCCTTCCTCTCTTTTAAGAAACTTTCCTAATTGGATTTTTTAAATTGTGAAATACTTTTCATTGTATTTAGCTAAACAGTAGAAAGTCTGTTTCAAAAAAAAGTTGATAAACTTTTTGTGGCAGGGAATGCTATTTGGCCATCCAACATCCATTATCCATTTCTGGGTTAGTAATAAAACTCTTATATTATCTGGGCTGCCCAAACGCTGTAGCATACAACATGATACAATACAATGTAACACAGTTACTGTGGCCAGCTAAAATAAAACTACATTTCCCAGTTTCCTTTGCAGTTAGGTGTGGTTGGTGGGACTTCTGGGATAGCTCCCTAAAAGAGGCATAAACTATTTCTTCCATGCTCCTGCCCGGGCATGATGTTGCAAGCACTGACTGTCATCTTAGACCACAGGTGGCTTGAGGATGGAAGGCCGTGGTTAAGGGCAGTGGAATAGAAAGGCAGACAGAGCCTGAGTGATGACCTAGAGCTACAGCCATATTAGTTCAGGACCATCTATTTCTGAACTTCCTTTACAAGAGAAAACTAAACTTCCTCTTTACTCAGCCACTTATTTTGGGGATTTCTGTTGTAGGAACCTGAATCTAATTATAACTGATGACACGTCTTTTCCTTCTAGTCCCCCCTCTTGACATAACAGGCATTAACAATTGCGTTTTTCTACACGTTTTTTTATGTTCATAGCAAAGATATTTTTATGTACACACCTGTATAAAATGGTATCATGCTCTATACCATACTTTTTCATTGCTTAGTAATATACATATCAAGGTAAAATTCCCAGATCAGGGTATGTAGATTTCTAACCTAATCCTTTTAACATTAGGCTATAAAATTATAGTATGGATGCATCGTAGTTTATTTTTTTTAAGTTACTCAAATATGTCAATTTTATTGTTTCTCTATACACACATTTATTTGATACTGAATATTGCAAAAAAAAAAATAGCACATCAAATTTCCTTTCATTGGTATCCAAATTTTTGAAAACCGGAAAATCTAATTATTATGCTCTAGCCAAACTACCCAATGTTTTCATTACATTCTTTCCCCACAAGTTACTTTGCATCAAATTCTTGATATTGGGTTTCATCTCACTGACTTTAGCCTTCTAAAATACATGGGAATACTTATGTCCTTTTCGTATTTCTTCGGGTCAAAACAGTGAGTAAAGGTAAAGTATACTGAGGTTATCCAAATACATTCAAACTACATACACTACATACATTACTGATTTCATGGTAGGAAGGAAAAAAAAGAAGAAAAATATATCATAGAACTCATTATCAAAATTATTTGTATACAATCCATTCTAGCATAGAGTAGCTTTCTCAACCTGCTACATAAAATTGCCAGCAAGAAAGAAAAGTATGAGAATAAGCTTTCTGGCTGAATTGGCTCAGTGCCATAATTCCCTATTCTAGCATTCTCAGAAGAATCCCATCTATGATACACATAGAAACCACAGCCACATTTGAATGGTTCACTTCTTGATCATTCTGAACTCCCTTAAGCCCAGTGTTTGTTTTCTTTCAAGCCTAGGAAGCCTGCTAAGTGACACGTATCTACATTTTAGCATCATTTCTTTCCATACAGACAGCAATGTTCTTACTCCCTCCTCCTGTAAGGTAAGCCATCTCTGATGTCCTGGAAGATCATTTCTCTTTTCTCCTATTGTTGGAGTGAACCTTCTGGTAGAGAGGAAGGGAATTTGATACCAGAGCTGAGAATCAAGTTTAAGGTTCTTTATCAATGTCTCGGAGCAGAAGTTATGAGAGGCCCTGAATTGTCCTGGGAATTTTCTTCAGTGAGCATTTTTGAAGGCTTTGGGATCAAAGTTGGGTTAAACTTCTGTGATGGGTCCATTGGCAATCTAGACACAGCACTAAGCTCCTCCTGGATCTTTGGAACCCAGCGGAAACTGATATCAGACTTTCAAATTGCCGCAAGATAGCCGGGAAAGAACTCTCTAGCCCAGAAAGAGCCTGAAAACCTGAACTCCAACAAATGGTAATGAAAGAACTGACCAGAAATTTAGGTCCCATCTCCTCTTAAAATACAGATAAGCCAATTATACATCGTAATTCATTCAATAATTGTCCTATTGCTGTACTGAGAAGGTTTCTAGTTGTTTTTCAGCTAACATAAACCTTGCTACAATAGACACATGGTACAAATAGCCTTGCCAATACTGCTTTTATTTTTTAGCACAGACGTCCACAGTGGGGTGAGTAGCTCTTTTCACTTTTACGTCTCCTCTACCCCTTCCTTTTGTAGCTGAGGCAAGAGAGGTCCTGAAAGATGGTGTGCCAAAGACAACAGAGAAATACAAAGCCAACAATGCCTCCAGAATCCTCCTGATTAGAATCTGAGGTCCACACCCCTATTTTCCTGTATTTTGTAGCAGTAAATATTTGTTGAAAGAATATGCTAGTAATCTCTATTAAAAGCTGTTCCACCAACTCTGCTTAAACATATCTGATGAAAAAGAGAGTATCAACTGCTAGAATGTTCTTCCTACATTGCGTTGCAATCTAATTTCTTGAAACTTCCACTTGCTAGTCTCTGTTCTGACTTCTGGGGTACTGGAGAACTGATCTACTTCCCCAAAGGACAGGTAGGACTCACGAAGGCAGGCACTTGGTGATAAAGGCATTGAGGATTGTCTCTTTGGGGCGCTCCACACTTCTCACATGTGGAGTGTATGCTACTGGTTAGGCAAGGAGCATGGGTCTGAGGATGGAAAGAAGAATAAGACATGGTCTTTGACCTCAAGGTAGTTACTATCCAGGGTTTGGGGGACAACTCACAGAGGTGTAGCTCATCCTCTGACAAACTCAGCTTTGGGGTGACCTGAGAACCCAGAATAATGGCCACAGGGCACTACTTGAGGAATGTTCAGAGGGGGGAGGGGGATGTTTGGAGGGAGGAGAGGAAAGCATGCTGGTGGGGCTAAAAGGTCATTTGAGAGAAATAACTGGAAATAAAGTTGGATGAGGAAGAGGGCAGCCTGTTCTCACCCAAAGGAAGAAATCAATTCTGCTATAAGTGATTTGCTTTTTCTGGAAATACTCCTTACTCAAAAGCACAAAAAGTCACATTCTCATGAGTCCCTCTCTCTCTCTCTCTCTGAGAGAATTTAGAAAAGAAACTGAAAGAGCACAGGCTCTATCTGCTTTTCCCTCCCAACATTCTAAGAAAGTCTGCTTGACTTGGTCATTACTAAGAGACATTACAGCAATTAAATTTTCCTCTTATTAAAACATTAGGTAATTTGGTGGCAAAATAAAAGTTAAAAAAATGAATGGTTGAAATCTATAGAAATTAAATCTTAAACAGCAAAAGGCAAGCAGGCAGTCCTTTGGTGTAGAAAAAGCATGAGGTATAAAGCAGGGGGCATTGAGTTGGAATACTAACTCTGTCACCTGTGGCTGGGGAATCTGACTGTGTCACTTCTCCTTGCAGCTTCATTTTCTTGTTGTAGAAAAAGGAGAGAATGGTACCTACATAAAAGGTGTCTGCAAGAGAGTAAATAAAATAAAATAAATAACTTCTATAAAGTGCTTAGCCCACTGGAGGTGGCAAGTGCCTGTGGACATTCCCCTTGAATGTATTTCCACTTGCCATAGTTTGGGCACATACACAGAACATTCTCTCTGTTTTTGTTGGGTGGCTGAGGTCCTGCTTTAATTTTCAGAAAATAATACATGAAGAATGTGGATCAGAAAAGGCACAAAACTCTACACAGTTCTCAGGGGTCCAAAGTGTCTGCTATGGTCTAAATGTTGGTGTCCCCACAAAATGTATATAGTGGAATCTAATACCCAATGTGGTAGTTTTAAAAGTTAAGGCCTGGCTGGGCGCGGTGGCTGACGCCTGTAATCCCAGCACTTTGGGAAGCCAAGGCGGGCGAATCAAGAGGTCTGGAGTTTGAGACCAGCCTGGCCAACATAGTGAAACCTCGTCTCTACTAAAAATACAAAAAATTAGCTGGGCATGGTGATGGACACCTGTAATTCCAGCTACTTGGGAGGCTAAGGCAGGAGAATCTCTTGAACCTGGGAGGCAGAGGTTGCAGTGAGCCAAGATCATGCCATTGTATTCCAGCCTGGGAGATAGTGCGAGACTCCATCTCAAAAAAAAAAGAAAAAGTTAAGGCCTTTGGGAAGTGATCAAATCATGACGCTTCCAACCTCATGAATGAGATTAGTTGTCTTATAAATGAGGCTCAAGTGAGACCCTTTGCCCCTTCCACTCTGTGAGGACACAGCAGGAAGTTTCCATTGATAAGGAATGGGCCCACACCAGACACCGAATTTGCTAGTGCCTTGAATTTTTTAATTTATTTGTGGTTTTTTTTTGTTCGTTTGGTGTGTTTTCTTTTTTTTCTTTTTTTTTTTTTTTTTGAGACAGTCTTGCTCTGTTACCCAGGCTGGAGTGCAGTAGTGTGATCTTGGCTCACTGCAACCTCCACCTCCTGAGTTCAAGCAATTCTCCTGCCTCAGCCTCCTGAGTAGCTGGGACTACAGGTGCATACCACCACGCCTGGCTAATTTTTGTATTTTTAGTAGATATGGGGTTTCACTAGTTCACCATGTTGGCCAGGCTGGTCTCAAACTCCCGACCTCAGGTGATCTGCCCACCTTGGCCTACCAAAGTGCTGAGATTACAGGCATGAACCACCATGCCCAGCCTCATGCCTTGAATTTGGACTTCCCAGCCTCCAGAGCTATAAACAATAAATTTTTGGTTGTTTATAAATTACCTAATCTAAGGTATATTGTTATAGCAACCTGAATTGACTGGGACAGTTTGTGTTGGGCCTTTGCCCAAATCCCGTGATGCATAGATGGCCCGTAAGGTTACCAAGCCAGGGGGTCTGGGCCACAGGTTGGGTTCTTCTATCATATATATGGCTGACTGCACTTTACATAAGTCAATAGATGACAGGAGAAATGCAATGGATTTAAGGAAAAAAAAGTGGGGGAGGAAAGGGAGGGAGCTAAGGTCTTGTCCTGGTTCTGCCTCTGGTGACCTGTGTGACCTGGAGCAAGTCAGTTAACCAGAGTATCAGGTCCCTGCTGTGTAAAATGGGGGTATTAACCCTCTTCTTGCCTCCCTGAAGAATTCTTCACAAATTCTATGGAATGCAACAATGAAGCGGTTCAGAAAGTTATTTAGTGGTAACAATGTAAAGGTTTCATAGGGACAAACTGCATGGGTGGTGAGAATAGCCCATCTAAGGGACCACCAGGGAGTTGAGTTTTTTGCCTTTGCTTTGTGGAGAGAATACTAGGCGGCCCTTGTTCTACCTCAGCCCCCATCAGGCTGTACCTTTGCCTTTTAAGGTCTTGCTCTATTTTTTATGAGAATCCTAAGCCCCCCCCCCCCCCCATGGGCTTGGCCTATCACATGCTGGTGATCAATTAGCAGCCTGATCTCTGCTTTGGCAAAGCAGGAGGATTCCAGGTTGTAAGATCTCTGCTTGCTCGGGTGAGTGTGGGTTACTGAAGATCTCAGATAAACAGCTGATGTCTGCAACAACCGAGACTCTTGCAGATGATGTCTACAACAGCTAGGCCTAGATACAGCGGCCCTAGTCCTTGGAGTAAGGTGGCTGTGTTACCTTTGTTACCAATACACTTTGTTAACCCTCATATGGAACCAAATGCTGATTGGGAAGCATTATTATTTATATTCTCATAGTGATACTCTTTATTGAAGGATTATTCTATGCCAGGTGCTTTTCTTACATTATTTTTCTCATCTGCTCCTCTTGCAGACTTTTGAATTCAGTGGCACTTCTACATAAATTAGTGCTTGACTAGTCATACATATGTATATTTGAAAACCGGTAGTACATTTTGTGTGAGAAAATGTTCATTTAGTGTACATGCCATGCCAGGTGGAATATGGCTTTAGGAACCCCTTCCACTACTCTCTAATGCTTTGGCAAACTTAGCCACAGGTCAGTAGAACATACTGATTGTGTTGGTTAACATATCAGTTTGGCTGCTGTAACATAAAGTCCTAAAATAATAATGGCTTAAATAATGCAGAAATTTAAATTTAATTATCTTTCCCATAATGGTTGGGTAGGTGGGCCAGGTATGGTGGTTCACGCTTGTAATCCCAGCACTTTGGGAGGCTGGGAGGATCATTTGATGTCAGGAGTTCAAGACTAGCCTGGGTAAAACCCCGTCTCTACCAAAAAAACAAAACAAAACAAACAAACAAACAAAATACAAAAAAAATTAGCCGGACATGATGGCCCGTGCCTGTAGTACTAGTTACTTGGGGGGCTGAGGTGGGAGAATCACCTGAGCCTGGGAAGTCAAAGCTGCAGTGATCCATGATCATGTCACTGCACTCCAGCCTGGGCAACAGAGTGAGACCTGTCTCAAAAAAAAAAAAAAAAAAAAGTTTGGGCAAGTGACCCAGGGCTCATACAGTGACTCTATAGTAATCAGCATTCAAGCTTCTTCTGTCTCATTGTTCTAGAATTCTCAATATGTAACTTATATCTCATGATCAGAGATGGTTGCTTCAGTTCCATCTATCATATTCTCATTCCATCTAATGCGCATGGGGAAAGAGGAAGTTGCACATAATATTTCCCCTCATATCCCATGAATGAGAACTTAGTCCCATGATCAAATTGCAAAGGACTCTGGGAAATGTATATTTTAGCTGAGTGTTCTGCTTAGGTAAAAATTCTGCAATTCTAAAAGAAGGGGTGAATGGATATTGAAGGGCAACTCATGTCTGCCATAGAGGTCAAGATATGAACTTGGAGGCCTATAAACATGAACTGAAACCCCAGCGCCATAGCTTCCTAGCTGTGTGACCTAGCAAAAGTATATCAGTTATCTATTGCTGTGTCACAAATAATCCCAAAACTTACTGGCTAAAAAGAACAAGTGCTTATTATCTCACTGTTTCTACAAGTCAGGAATTTGGGGGGCAGCGTAGCTGGGTGATTCTGGCTCAGCGTCTCTCATGGAATGAACTGTAATCATGACATTGGCTGGGGCTATAGTCACCAAAAAGCTTGACCATGGATTCCAAGAAGGCTCATCCACATGGCTGTTAGCAAAAGGCCTCAGTTCCTTACCATGTTGACGTCTCCATAGGGCTGCATGGCTGTCCTCATGACATGGCAGCTGCCATCCCCACACTGAGAGATCCAGCAGAGAGAGCAAAGGTGAAGCCCAGCACCTCCTATGAGTCCGTCTTTAACACCATCACTTCTGCTGTATTCTATCCATTACAGTCACCATGGGCAGCCCACACTCAAATGGAGGAGAATTAGCCCCACCTTTTGAGAAAGGAGGATCAAAGAATTTGTGGACATATTTGAAAACCAGCAGAGCAAGTTAGTCATTTTTGCTAGCTGAAGTGCAATTTCTCCATCTATAAAATACCAGTAACACTCGAGTCATAGGGCTGGGGAAGGGTTTATAAGAGAAAATGAATGCAAAGGAGCAGATACATACTAATTACTCAGTAAGTGCTAGCTAACATTGTTCCCCAGTTTTCCCAGATAGGCCTGGTTTCACTCTCCCACCACCCACAATGGCCTGTGCAGACACAGAGCAGCACACCTGCAGCACTCATTGCCAAGATATCATCAGAGAGATGTGTTCGTCAAGATCACTCATAACTGTAAACATAGGAAATGAATTCAAGAGCAGTGCTGCAAAGAGTGGGGATGAGCATGTCGGTTCCCAGCTAGGGCAGCACAGCCATGTGGGGCAGCATAAACACAGCTCATAGCACACTCCACGTGCCAACTTTGAAATTATGTGATTCATATATGGTGGGGCTGGAGTGGGAAATTTGAAATACTTCAGATTTTGCACACTGAGAATGTTTTCTCATTTTACATTGCATGACATCAAAATCACAGGGTTTGGATTCACTCGGAATGTGATGACCTTGTAGGTATTCATGTATCTGTTTCTGCCGCTACATGAATTGTTTGAGGACAGAGATCAGGACCCTCAATAAGCCAGTTCATCTTTGAATCCTCAGTTTTCTTCATCTGTCAATGGGGATGATCTCATTCACTCACACAGCTGCTGTGATGATTAAATGATCTAATGCGATAAAGTGCTTGACAGAAATCTGTTCTAACTGAGCACTCATTAAATGGCAACTACTATTTCTTTTTAACTTTTATTTTAATTTCAGGAGTACAAGTGTGGTTTGTCACATAGGTAAAGTTGTGTCATGGGGGTTGTTGTACAGATTATTTCATCACCCAGGTATTAAGTCCATTACCCATTAGTTATTTTTCCTGATCCCCTCCCTCCTCCCATCCTCCACCCTCCAAAAGGCCCCAGTGTGTGTTGTTCTCTATGTGTCCATGTGTTCTCATCATTTAGCTCCCACTCATAAGTGAGGATATGTGGTATTTGGTTTTCTGTTCCTATGATAGTTTACTAAGGATAATGGCCTCCAGGTCCATTGATGTCCCTGCAAAGGACATGAACTTGTTCTTTTTCAGGGCTGCATAGTATTCCATAGTGGATATGTACCACATTTTCTTTACCCAGTCTATCATTGATGGGCATTTAGGTTGATTCCATGTCTTTGCTCTTATGAATAGTGCTGCAATAAACATACCCACGCATGTGTCTTTACTGGTGGTAATCACAGAAAGTCTTTCCTCAAGGGCTCAGTGGAGACAAAGTCCAGGAGGCCTGAGGTAGGGGGAAGTCAAGGGTAAGGGGAAAAAGTGGGAAGTAGACCAAATAGAGGAACCCTTCAAATAAGGACTCAAAAACTGGTATCCATGAGAAGTCAAGGCTCCCACAGGTCAAGGGTCTAAGCCAGGTTAGCTTCCAGAGCAGGAGCTGACAGGGCCCATGGGAAACAACCAGAAATGGTGGCTGGGCCTGCCTTGGGCTGGGGACCACTCATCTTCCAGCTGCTGTGGCCAGACACAGAGCTGGGCGTCCAGGTCTTGATGTAGCCAAGAAGCCAGGGACTACCAGCAGCCCTGAACCCCTCTTCTGTAAGCAGCCGCCCAGGCTTTCTTAAGCTGTAGATTTCCAGGACCTGGCACTTTCCTGCCATCTTCTTTGGCATGTCTGCAGGCTCTGCAGACCCTGCAGACCCCGCATGTTCAAATGGGTCTCCTCCCCAACTGGCCAACTGGCTTCCCGTCATGTTCTTTTCCTTGGCCTGCCTCTGGACCAGCCGTCTCCCCCATCCTGCCTTCTCCCCATGTTTCTGGCCCACCTGTCTGTGCCTCATCTCCTGTCACTTTTCTTCTCCCTCCCTTGGCTGACATGGCTGGCGATGGCCTCTCCTGCTGCTGACCCGTCCTCTGCAGGGCCCTGCTAATGGCAGCTTGGAGCACTCCCACCCCTGCTCCAAGACCTTCTGTGACTTTTTCTGACACACAGCTGGAAAAAACCCAGCAAACCAGGAGGAGGAAGTAGTTTACCTCCCAAAACACTCAGCATGAATTAATCCCCCAGCCCAGGAAACCCAAAACTCACCCTCGAAATTCCCCTTCCTTCCTGACAGTCCCTCTCTCTCCTCCCCAGGTCTTCGTCACACTCGGAATCTCTCCAATATACCTCATCACCACTTTTCTGCTAAATGGCTATTTGTGTACCTATTGATTTAACTCCACTCGACTGTAGCTTAAAGACTTTTTCTTATCCAACTACATAAACATGATAAGTATCAGGGCCAATACTCAGAATATTAAGCCCCCTGCAGGAGCATCCTGACTGAAGAGAAGGCCTAGCTGTTGGATTAACAGAAGTAAAAGAGATAAAGAAGAATCAGATGGAGATTTTAGAATGAAAAACTATAAAAACTTACATAAAAACCCCATCCACCAATGGGCTCAACAGCAGAAGTGGAATATAATCCTAACTTCAGGATTAATCTCCTTTGTCTCCTGCAGTATAACAATGGCTCCTGAAAATCTGGGAACTGGGAATAACCATCTCTGTACCGTGGGGGGCTAACCCCAGGAGTGGCTCAGTGGAGAGGCTTGCTTAAGTGTTAGTGGAGTTTGATTTTGGCTGTGAGGCCACTAACGGGTAGATGAAGCCTCTAGAGAAGTTGAAATCTCCTTCTCCTGGGTTAATGCAAGGGCAACATATACTCACCTCCCTGGATAAAGCTATGGCTTCCAATTTAATTCAGCTTGCCCAACGCACCACTGGAAAGTTTCATCCTTCAGTGGTCCTTCTTCCAGGAGATCTCAGCCTGCAGGGAATAGTTTCAAAGTTTCTAGCCTACAGTGTTGACAGGGTCATCGAAAAGCATCACACCTGGCCCATTTTTCCTCCAGGGAAACTGAGGCACAGAGGAAAAGGGACTTAGCTAAGGATCTATTTGAGTGAGCCTGTAAAAGAATTAGAATGAAACCTAGGCCTTCCACTTTACAGTTTTTTCCCACCAACTCCCAGGAGTCCTTATATTTCAAATCATGATTCTTAGTTCCTGGGAGCTGAGCCTGGGCTTGGTAGAAAGGCCAAGGTAGGGAAAGAAGCTGTTTTGCTCTCCATTAGTTCAAAAATTATTTACTAAAAACCATATTGTCATTAGAATTTGTAATGTTTGCCATTGCTGTGTAACAAACCACTCCAAAACTCAGTGGCTTGAAACCGTAAAGTATTTATTATTGCTCACAAGTCTATGGGTCCTTCAGTGGGTGGTTGTGGTCATCTAGTCAGGATTGGCAGATCTTGGCTGGGTTTTGTGCCAGATCAGCTGGTAGTGGCTGGCATGAAAGTGCCTCACTCATGTCCTGCAGTTGGCTTGCTGTGGGCTGTGGTGACAAAGGTGTCTGGGTCATATATCTCTCACCCTCCAGTAGGCTAGTCCAAGCTTGTTTACATGGTAGAGAAAAGTTTCCAAGAGAAGATGAAATGATTCAAAGCTTCTGAGCCCTAGGTTTCAAGCTCCACATCACTTCTACCACATTCTTTTGCCATAGCAAGGTCCAAGGCTGGCCATGATTCTAGGAGAGGGGAAATAGCTTCTACCTCTTGATGGACACAACAACAAAATCCCAGTGCCAAAAGGCATGGATGCAGGAGGGCTGGACAATTGTAGTCACTTTTATAGTTTACCATGAGGCTGTTCAAAAATTTTGATTCTATTTCTGTCTGGCTCTTTAGGGCTGTGTGAGCTGCTTTGGTCAATAAATTAGAGTGAATGAAATACGGCACTTCTGGGTGAAAACTTAAAAATCCAATGTGTGATTCTCTTCTTTTCCTTCCTTCTACTGTGGATAGCAGAGGATCACAACAGGGGCCTCCATGACCCCAAGTCCATAAATGACTGGGATGATCAAATTCCATCCCCTAGGCCCTCTGTCACCCACGTTGCACATGTAGCATGAGCGAGAGCTACAACCTTTGTTGCTTGAAGTCCCTGAGATCTGGGACTATTTATTACTGCATCATAACTTGTTATATCCTGACAGATACAAGCCCCTACTATGTGCCAGAGACTATCCACTGGGCATAAATCAGTGAACAGGAAAGGCACAATCCTTGCCCTTGGTCAGCTCACAGTCTTTTGAGAACAAAATACAAAACAAGTGAACAAATAAATGTATACTTATAAGCATGTAAATTATGATCTGTACTGTGAAGGAAAAGAATTGGAGTGAAAAAGAAATGAGGAATGAGAGGGATTGTGAAAGAAGGGAATCAATGCAGATCACGTGGTTAAAGGCAAGCCTCTCTGGAAAGGAAGCCTGGAAGCCAAGACATGGAGGGTGGAAGGAAGACAGCTGAGGCAGCCTGGGAGCAAAAGCAAAGCATCCTGGGGTCGAACAGTGGATGAGAAGGCAGAACAGAGTGTGAGAAAGCAGAATAGTGTGTGAGAAGGTGGAATAGATTGTGAAAAGGTGGAACAGTGTGTGAGAAGGCAAAACAGTGTGTGAGAAGTCTGGAACAGCATGTGAGAAAGTGGAACAGTGTGTGAGAAGGCTGGAATAGAGTGTCAGAAGGCAGAACAGAGTTTAAGAAGGCGAAACAGAGTGTGAGAAGGCAGAACAGTGTGTGAGAAGGTGAATCAGAGTGTGAGAAGGCTGGAACATGTGTGAGAAGGCTGGAACATGTGTGAGAAGGCTGGAACATGTGTGAGAAGGCAGAACAATTTGTGAGAAGATGAAACAGTGTGTGAGAAGGCTGGAACAGTGTGCGAGAAGGCGGAACAGTGTGCGAGAAGGCGGAACAGTGTGTGAGAAGGCAGAACAGTGTGTGAGGAGGCTGGAACAGTGTGTGAGAGGGAGGAACAGTGTGTGAGAAGGCAAAACAGTATGTGAGAAGGCGGAACAGAGTGTGAGAGGGTGGAACAGTGTATGAGAAGGCAGAACAGTTTGTGAGAGGATGGAACAGTGTATGGGAAGGTGGAACAGTGTGTGAGAAGGCAGAACAGTGTGTGAGAGGGAGGAACTGTGTGGGAAGGCAAAACAGTGTGTGAGAAGGCAGAACAGAGGGTGAGAGGGTGGAACAGTGTGTGAGAAGGCTGGAACAGTGTGTGAGAAGGCAGAACAGAGTGTGAGAGGGTGGAACAGTGTGTGAGAAGGGTGAAACAGTGTGTGAGAAGGCAGAACAGAGTGTGAGAAGGTGGAACAGTGTATGAGAAAGTGACACTGTGTGTGAGAGGGCAGACTAGAGTGTGAGAAGGTAGAACAGTGTGTGAGAGGGCAGAACAGAGTATAAGAGGGCCAGAGAAGGAAGCGCTGGCTCACTGCAGAAGTAAAAGGAGGCCACATAGCAGGGAGAAGTGAAAGGGGAGGGTTCCCCAGGATGAGGATGGTGTGAGGAGGGGGCCAGGCCACAGGGCCTCAGAGCCTGTGGAGAGGGCTTGGGCTTATTTGAGGCACCTGGGCCCCCCCAGTGCTCAGGGATGTGAAATGGAGTCCTCTGGGAAGCTTCCCATTTCCTGCTGGGCTGGGGGCGGTGCAGCAAGCTGCTCACATCCCTTGTTCTTGGGCATAAGCTCCAGAGATGTCAAGGCTCATGCCAGGCCTCACGGCTGCCTCAGAGAAAGGGAAGCGTGACTTCCCCACGGTAATTTTGACACAGTACAATAAACACTCCTCTCTTCCTGCTTGGCTGAGGCCCTGGTCAGGTGGACGCTGGCCATAGGCACCTCTCCGGGCTCTAGCCCCACTCTGGATCCTGCAGAGACCCAAGTAGGGGCAGCTGGTGACCAGAAAGCTGCCTGCAGTTGCTCACCCCTGCCAGGCTCCAGCAGGGCAGGAGACATAGGCCCAGGGCTGGCTGGAGTGACTCAGATGTCCTCATAAGACACCAAGGCCAGGCCAGGCCAGACTCTGGGATCCTCAGTGGTGTCCCAGCTAGGGTTTCAGTCCTCCCTCCCACAAGCCTGCAGGAAAAATAGTGTGTTGTATGGTGCCCATGAAGACCAGAGGCCAGCAAGGCTCAGGGCCTGGGATGGGGCTGTGCAAACACACTCTTCTCCTCTATTCTCTCAGACTGTGTTTCTGTCCCCTGTGACAGCTACTGATGGGTGACAATGTCCAGGCTTGTGGTTGAGTGTTTTGCTTGACAGTGGGTGGATGGGGGCAGGGAGAGGTGGGGGAAGCACAGACGGGGCTTCAGCTGGGCCTCCCTTTGTGTTCCACCCTTCTCAGTCTACACACCCGCACCACACACACACACACCACACCACATATCACACCACACACATACCACACACAGATCACACACCACATACATCACACTATACACACCACACACACACCACACCACACACGCACATCACACACTACACACATATATCCACACACCACACACATGCCACACACAAATAGTCACACAACACACTACACACAACATACCACACCACACACACATACACACACATATATCACACACCACACATAAATACCCACATGCCATACCACACACACCACACACACACCCCACACTTATACCATACACCACACACACACCCCACACATATGCTCACATAGTACACACCCCACACACACACCACACACATATACCCACACACACCATGCACACATTACACACATATACACACACACCACGCACACACCACACACACCACACACATATACCCTCCCACACACACCACACACCACCCCCCCACATAAATACCCCCACACACACTGCACACACCATACACATACACCCACACACACCACACACACATACCACACTGCACACACAGCCCACCCACTCTAATCTCTGCCTCCATCTCTATGTGCCATTCCCCTCTTTGTGCCTCAAATCTCCCTCTCCTTTCATCTATAAGTAGATCTGACTTTGGATTTAGAGCCCACCCTTAAATCCAGGACCATCTCATCATGAGATCCTTCATTACATCTACAAAGATACTTTTTCCAAATAAAGGTTTTTCCAGTGAGGTTCCAGGCAGCTGTATCTTTCCATATGACGTTCCAGGCAGCTATATCTTTCCATATGAGGTTCCAGGCAGCTATATTTTTGACCCACAGGGTCAATGGGTTTCACCAGACTCCTAAAGGAAGTCTTGGAGCTTGAGCCCTATGACTTTTCTCACTTGGCGACTCTGCCCAAACACATCACAGGTCACAGCAGTAATGAGAGCAGAATGGTGCCTCCTGCGCTGGGCCCCGCGAGCCACCATGCAGAAGGGACTGGAAGGGCAGGGACTGCAGGAGCTTCCTGCGTTCTCTCTTGCCTCCTCCCCTTGGGTAATGGGGTCCTCTAATATGAGCATGGTGTAGTTGCAGCTCGCCCAAGTGCCCCATGAACAGGTGAGGAAACTGAGGCCTGGGTCACATGAGGAGGCTAGGGACTGGGACTCTGGATTTTTGTATTACCTGGAGTAGGACCCAGAGGTGAGAAAGTAGTTTGATAAACTGAAAGAAGTTATTGTGGCAGACGTGACATGGACCCTGGGTGAGGCTGACAGGTGGGCTGGGTGGGCTGGGGGAGACCTTCCTATACCCACTGGAACAGCAGGAGCCCCTGATCCAGGATTCACTTCTATCTGGTGACCTGTCCCATAGAGGGGCAGACCCTACCTATCTTCCCAGATCAAAACATGCTTTTGAGGGAGACACAATGAACTCCTTCATGCTAAGGCACAAAGGGTCATGGGGACAATCAGAGTTGACCTCTTCAGAGGTGCAGGCTTTTTCAGACCAGGACTCTGAGAAGACTCCACTTACAGGACAATCTCCTGAACCCTCTCCCATCCCCTCTCTCCAATGCGTAAGGATGCTGGATTCAGAGAAGGGATACGACTTGCCAAAGTCGCACAGTGAGTTAGTAGCAGAGTCAAGACCCAAGCCACGAGACTCCTACAGGTATCCTGCGCTGTTTCTAGCCAACAGCCCCTGCACGCAGTTCTCCCAGTCCAAAAGCTCTCATTCTACAAACGAGCAAGCTGGGGCTGCCGGCTCAACATTGCTTTGTTGGTTTGGGAACAAAACAATAAAAACAATGTGTTGTGTAGACTCTTGTTTTGCTCACAAGCTGAGATCTCTTGGGGCAGAGTTCTTTCTGGGCCCCTCTGAGTCATTAAACTTCAGGCCATCGCAAGCCAGAGAAAAGAGATGTTTTCTGGGTCTGGAGTAGAATGAGGGTGTCTTCCTCCAGCCCCCCAGATCCAGTCCTTGGTTCATGCTCCTTGATCCCAAGGCCACTTCTGTTCTGAGAGTCATTTCAGGAGGCAGGCTATGCGGGCTCTGAGGTCTGGAAGAATCAACTTTGTGTCCTGGGATCCCCTCTTCCCTGCTGTGTGACCTCAGGTGGGTTGCTTAACTTCTCTGCAGTCTCTGGTACTCCCAGCTCAGGGATGCACTGAAGAGAAGACACACCCTGCCTGGAGTCAGGAGCAGCACAGTCCTCCATGCAAGCCAGTTTCCTCCATTCCACTTCAAACTCAAGGCGGTCCTTTCCTAGTGGTACAAACAGGAACTGAGCAGGCTGGAATGGCTGTTTGAAAGAACTTTCTGGCCAAGAGGGTGTGTCTACACAACTTGGTTCTCTGCCCCCAGGGATCTGGGAAAAGTTCCAGGCCTGAGCAAGTTTATCAAATTCCTTTCTTTACCCACCCAGCCTTGAATTTCATGGAAAACAAAATAGAGAAGAAAAAAACAAAGTAGCCTAACATTTGCTTTAGTTAGTGCATGGATTTTAAAGTCTCTCGAAGCTGGGTTTCTGCACTTCGCTGTCTCCTTACTGGGTCTCCTGGGTAAGATATTTCAGTCCCTCTGAGCTCAGTTTCCCCATTTCCTGCACGTAAAATGGGTTCAGTGATGAAGCTCCTGCTCTGTGTTAAAGGGCGAGTGAGCCATGCCCGAGAGCGTGCAGCACAGCTCTTGGTATGACGTCAGTGGTCACGGTATGACAGAACTGGTTGTTGTTGCCGTGGACAGCCTTTTTCACACTCTGCCACAGTGTCTCCTGCAACAGTTCTTGGCTCTAGCCCTATTTCTGTGTTCATCCAGAAAGTTCTCTTTCTTCTCCACACGATTGCTCAGCTGCTCACTTGCTGGTCTCTCTGGGCCACAACTTTCTCCCCTGAACAAGCAGAGGCTTAGTGACCTCTGAGGGGTTGTTCAGCTGTGACATCCTCAGAGCCAGCGTGGCCTTTGCATATTTTCAGAAAGCTATAACGTCCTTCTCCTCATACGTTAACCTCCTCTTCTCCAACCCAAATGGAGGCAGCGCATGTTTTGGCTCTTCAGTATCCATTCCCCCTAGAGTCTGACAAGAATTTTGTTTAGAGGGTCCGGGCATTGAGCTCTGCTCAGTGCATGCAGCCACACAATATGCTTTTGGACGTGGCTTCCTAGAGGGGATGTTATCTCCCACCTCCTTGAAGGCGCCCATTTCTGGGGTTGCCCCATCCAGGGAGCTGGTTCCTAGTTAAGAATATGAGAATGTATGCAAAGGGAGGCAGGCAACAGCACGAACAGCCACGCTTCTAGAAGATTCTAGGGAGCGCACAGGAGCAGCGCAGAGGGAGTAGGAATGAGCAGGCGGAGGACTCGGGGTCACGAGACCGTTGGGTGGGAGGAGCCAGCAGCCAGGGAGGTTCTAGTCTGTTCTGCCTCGCGGCAGCCGCCCTCTTCTGCGTGGTCATGCCAAGCCAGCACCTGGGCCTGGAACCGGGCCGCAGCCCCCCAGCTTCGCCCACCGCCTCCCTACCATGGACCCCTGCAAAGTGAACGAGCTTCGGGCCTTTGTGAAAATGTGTAAGCAGGATCCGAGCATTCTGCACACCGAGGAAATGCGCTTCCTGAGGGAGTGGGTGGAGAGCATGGGAGGTAAAGTACCACCTGCTACTCAGAAAGCTAAATCAGAAGAAAATACCGAGGAAGAAAAACCTGATAGTAAGAAGGTGGAGGAAGACTTAAAGGCAGACGAACCATCAAGTGAGGAAAGTGATCTAGAAATTGATAAAGAAGGTGTGATTGAACCAGACACTGATGCTCCTCAAGAAATGGGAGATGAAAATGCGGAGATAACGGAGGAGATGATGGATCAGGCAAATGATAAAAAAGTGGCTGCTATTGAAGCCCTAAATGATGGTGAACTCCAGAAAGCCATTGAGTTATTGACAGACGCCATCAAGCTGAATCCTCGCTTGGCCATTTTGTATGCCAAGAGGGCCAGTGTTTTCGTCAAATTACAGAAGCCAAATGCTGCCACCCAAGACTGTGACAGAGCCATTGAAATAAATCCTGATTCAGCTCAGCCTCACAAGTGGCGGGGGAAAGCACACAGACTTCTAGGCCACTGGGGAGAAGCAGACCATGATCTTGCCCTTGCCTGTAAATTGGATTATGATGAAGATGCTAGTGCAATGCTGAAAGAAGTTCAACATAGGGCACAGAAAATTGCAGAACATCGGAGAAAGTATGAGCGAAAACATGAAGAGCGAGAGATCAAAGAAAGAGTAGAACGAGTTAAGAAGGCTCGAAAAGAGCATGAGAGAGCCCAGAGGGAGGAAGAAGCCAGACGACAGTCAGGAGCTCAGTATGGCTCTTTTCCAGGTGGCTTTCCTGGGGGAATGCCTGGTAATTTTCCCAGAGGAATGCCTGGAATGGGAGGGGGCATGTCTGGAATGGCTGGAATGCCTGGATTCAATGAAATTCTTAGTGATCCAGAGGTTCTTGCAGCCATGCAGGATCCAGAAGTTATGGTGGCCTTCCAGGATGTGGCTCAGAACCCAGCAAATGTGTCAAAATACCAGAGCAACCCAAAGGTTATGAATCTCATCAGTAAATTGTCAGCCAAATTTGGAGGTCAAGTGTAATGCCCTTCTGATAAATAAAGCCCTTGCTGAAGGAAAAGCAACCTAGATCACCTTATGGATGTCACAATAATACAAACCAATGTACCTTCTCATCAAGAGAGCTGGGGTGCTTTAAGATAATCCCTACCCCTCTCCCCCAAATACAGCTGAAGCATTTTACAGTTTGCCATTAGGTTTGCCATTAGGGTATTCATTCAGATAATGTTTTACTACTAGGAATTACAAACTTTAAACACTTTTTAAAACAAATGTAAAGGGTCTGTTAATTCTTATATTTTTCTTTACTAATCATTTTGGATTTTTTTTCTTTGAATTATTGGGCAGGGAATATACTTATGTATGGAAGATTACTGCTCTAATTTGAGTGAAAGTTATTAGCGTGAGGCAAACATAACTCATTTGAGGATAAAAAAAAGAAGAATTTTGTTTAAAGAGTTATTCTCCCTCACTTGTGGGCCAGTTTGGTGGGATATAAGTCAGGATGGGATACACACCCCTGGATGAGCTGTCGGTGTTTGGCCAAAGCCAGGCCCTTTACACTATCTTACCAGACTTTGAATCTCTGGCAGAAATATATGAGATGGAGGAATGAACAGAGGTCATTTGTTCCAGTGATTGGCCCCATGGTCATCTGAATACAGCCCCCAAAGATATCCATGTTTCTAATCCCTGGAACCTGTAAATATGTTACTTTACATGGCAAAAAGCCGGGCGCGGTGGTTCATGCCTGTAATCCCAGCACTTTGGGAGACTGAGGTGGGTGGATCATGAGGTCAGGTGTTTGGGACCAGCCTGACCAACATGGTGAAACCCTGTCTCTACCAAAAATACAAAAATTAGTCAGGCGTGGTGGTCCACACCTGTAATCCCAGCTATTCAGGAGGTTGAAGCGGGAGAATCACTTGAACCTCGGAGGCAGAGGTTGTAGTGAGCCAAGATCATGCCACTGTGCTACAGCCTGGGTGACAGAGCGAGACTCCATCTCAAAAAAAAAATAAATAAATAAAAATAAATAAACAGCAAAAAATTTTTGCAGATGTTATTAGGTTAAGATTTGAGGTGATGTATTAGTCCATTTGGGCTGCTATAACAAAATACCTGATACCAGGTAACTGATAAACAGCATAAATGTATTTCTCACAGTTCTGGAGGCTGGAAAGTCCAAGATCAAGGCTCCAGCACATTCAGTGTCTGGAGAGGGTCTGCTTTCTGATTCATAGATGGCAACTTCTAGCTGTCTCCTCACATGGTGTAAGGAGCAAACAGGTTGCTCAAGCCTCTTTTATGAATCCCATCCATGAAGATGGAGCCCTCATGATCTAATCACCTCCCAGAGGCTGCACCTCTTACTACCACCACTGTACGGAGTAGGTTTCAACACATGGGTTTTGGGGGAACAAAATCATTCAGACTATAGCAGTTGAGGAAATTATATGGATTGACCTGGTAGACTAATATAATTACAAGGGTCCTTAGGAGAGGGAGGCAGGAGGATCACAGTCAGAACTAGAAGAAGGTGATGTGATGATGGAAGCAAGGGCGAAAAGGGCATTTGATATGGGGGCCATGAGCCAAAGAATGTGGCAACCTCTAGAAGCTGGAAAAGGCAGAAAATAGATTCTCCCGTGGAGCCCTCAAAAGGAAAGCAAACCTGCTGACAACTGGATTTTAGACTTCAGACCTGAAGAATTATCGGTGAACAAATTTGTGTTACTTCAAGCCACCAAATTTGCAGTAATTATTACAACAGCAAGGGGAATCTAATGTAGGCCCTGATGAGACATCGGCACTGAAGCCCTGGAGCTCCTGATTCCAGCCTTTTCCTGAGCCTGCCTGTCCGGCCTTCTCTTTGATTCTGCAAGATTCCTGATATTGCATTTTGCCCATGCTCCACTGAAGAGCTGCTCTACTGTACTTTCCCCAGCGGAGCATGTTCTCCACCCTGTGTGGTGCTGTTTGCTCCACATGGTTGCTCCTTTGGTTGTTTATTTCACATTTAGGTTGGCAGTTCTGACTCATAATAGCTGATAAGGCATGTGTTGATGATGTTTGTTTGGACTTGTTGCAAACACTCAGAGGAAGAATATTATGCTGGATGTAACAAATGCAAGTTTTCAGGTTCCTTAAGCTGCCTTTAAGAAAATGTTAGAGAAGGCCGGGCGCGGTGGCTCACGCCTGTAATCCCAGCACTTTGGGAGGCCGAGGCGGGTGGATCACGAGGTCAGGAGATCGAGACCATCCTGGCTAACAAGGTGAAACCCCGTCTCTACTAAAAATACAAAAAATTAGCCGGGCGCGGTGGCAGGCGCCTGTAGTCCCAGCTACTCGGGAGGCTGAGGCAGGAGAATGGCGTGAACCCGGGAAGCAGAGCTTGCAGTGAGCCGAGATTGCGCCACTGCAGTCCGCAGTCCGGCCTGGGCGACAGAGCGAGACTCCGTCTCAAAAAAAAAAAAAAAAAAAAAAAAAAAAGAAAATGTTAGAGAAAATACAGGAGAAAGATGAGCAGAGCCTGGAATCCTCCTGAGAAAGTTGGCCACAGTTGTATGCATCATGGTAGTTCATAGATCATAGAGGCCACCCCATTTATGACTTCAGGGTTGGAAGAGAGCAGAACGTGTGTGATACAGAGAGCTCATGCAAAGACCGCTCCCTTTAGCTTTGATTTTGTTACTGCTTTCATTTCCACGAAAGCATTCTTAGTGCTAATGGTCTGAGCCTTCAGTTATTTATTTAACTCAGATATCTCTGGAAATCATGTTTTCCTGTCTTCACCCATCACCATCTTCATTTTGTTGTTGTTGTTCTGTTGTTGTTGAGGCAGTCTTGCTCTGTCACCCAGGATGGAGTGCAGTAGTGCAATTACAGCTCACTAGAGCCTCCACCTCCTAGTCTCAAGTGATCCTCCCACCTCAGCCTCCTGAGTAGCTAGGACTACAGGCATGTGCCACCATGCCTGGCTAATTTTAATTTTTTTTTTTTGTAGAGATGGGGTCTTCCTATGTTGCCTAGGCTGGTATCAAACTCCTGGGCTCAAGCAATCCTCCCACTTCAGCCTCCCAAAGTGCTAGGAATACAACAGGCATGAGCCACCACACCCAGCCACCATCTTTACATTTTACCTGTACCCTTCTCTGTTGGCCTCCAGACTCTTCTCCTCTGGAACAGGAGTGATCTAAAAAGCTAGGCTGCTGAACATTAACTCTCCCCTGCTTTACATTCATGAAAGCTTTCTATTGATCTCAGGCTAAACGTTCAGCCTTTAAGCATGACTGACCAGGCCTTCCCAGCTCCATCCATGCCCTTTCCCACAATGGGCCCATGACATCCCCTCTTATTCCAGCCACGTGAGATGTCTCTAGCTCCTGATCCACTTTGGATTTCCTGTCCTCCAACCCTTTCCTCTGCCCACCATGCCAAGCCCATGAAGATGATAGAGAGCAATGGTTACATGGGCACGCGTTAATGGTCATAATCCCAGTTCTTCCATCTCCTAGCAGTGTGGTCTTGGACACATGACTTAACCTCACTGGGCCTTTGTTTCATCATTGCTCTGATGAGGAAAATAATATACCTCCTTCTTAAGGGCAGGGGTAAGTTTAAATGAATTTTTATAGGTAGGTCTTAGAACAGTGCCTGGTATGTGTTATATGATATTCTAGTTGCTATCTCATTTCTTTAGCTAAGAAAATATTTTCCGGTATTTCAAAACTCCATTCAAATGTTAATTCTTCCATGGAAACTTCTTTGAATTCTGCTATTTCACCTTCTGTTCTGCCAATGTTTGCTTCATATATCTAGAATCGCTCATGTTTGGTACACAAATATTTATAATTGTTATGTCTTACTGCTGAATTGACCCCATTATCACTATATAATGTCTTTCTTTTTTTCTCCTGTGTCAATATTTGATTTAATGTCTGTTTTGTCTGATATTAGTAAACTATCCCTACTCTCTTTGGGTTACAATTTGCATAAAATATATTTCTCTATCCTTTTACTTTCAGCCTATGTGTGTCCTTAAGAGCTTAAGTGAGTCTCTTATAGGCAGCATATTATTAGATCCTATTCTAAAAATATCTGTTCGGTCCATCTATGTCTTTTGGTTAGGGAGTTTAATCTATGTGGAACCTTCTTTAACCATCCCTTTCACTGTGAGAGCTCTTGGTGCCCTCAGAGCCTGCACATCTCCCAGCATGGCACTTGAGCTACTAGACTGTTGTATTTGTTTAATCTCAATATTTCATTTAAGTCTGTGGCTCTTTGAGAACAGGAATTTTGCCATTTCTCCAGCCACTTAGTATAGTGCCTGGCATTTAGCAGCCACTCCATGCATTTTATTAAACAAACACTATAGATGAGAATAATAGTAGCTAATATTTATTGAACACTTGGACTAGGTGCAGTGTGCAGCTCTTTACTTACATTATTTATTTCAATTCTTACCACAAACTTACAAAATAGAGACTATGATTATCTCTATTTTACACATAAGGAAACTCAAGTTCAAAGGAGTAAAGGGAATTTTGAAATTTACCCAAATGGAAAATAGCAGACCAGGATTCAAGTCCAGGTCAGCCAATTCCAAGACTGAGTTTTTAACCCACCTCACCTTTGCATCAGTTAGCATTAGGGGTTGCTGCATGTAACAGAAAACCCCAAGTTGTAGTTTCCTAGACAGGAGGAAAGTTATTTCTCTCTTATGCAAATGAAGCCCAGAGGAATGCAGCCCAGGCTGGCCTGGCCACACAGCAGTTTCACCAGGAGCCCAAGTTTCTGTTTTCTGTGTGCCTCCCTCAGTATATAGCTTCTGTCTTCGAGGTGTCATGGCCCAAGATGGCCTATATAGCTTATATAGCTCCAGTGAAACATGTATTAAGCACTGTTCTAAGCCCTACTGATAACATCCACATTCCACATCAACGACAGGGTGGGGCAGGTGAGAAGGGGCACTCTTTCCCTTCAAGGTAAATTGCTGGAAGTTTTATGCACAATTTTTATTGCTGTATAAGAAATTACCAAAACCTAACAACTTAACATGCCTGTATTACATCAGGTTCTGTGAGTTAGGAGTCTAGGCATGGCCTAGCTGGGCTCTCTACTTCAGGTTCTCATGAAGCTGAAATCCAGGTGACTTTGGCTGTGTTCTCATCAGAGGCTCAACTGGGGAAGCGCCTAGCATAATAATAGACTAGTAAGAAATCCACTCCTTTAAAACAGCAAGGATGCAAGCTTTTGCCTATCATACTAAGTTTACATTTATGTATGCCTGCTGCATTAGCACATCTCAACACACCTATTCTGTCTTTGGCATCCTTAATTTTTGTAGAGGCTGTCTCATCAGTTATAGTCAATATTTTTCTGGGCAATAACACAAAAACCAGGATGTTTCTTCAGTATATTCTTCTTCACAGACTTGTTCTGGCATCAGGTTTTTATTGGAAATGGCCTTGGCAAACTCATCAATTAATTTCTCTGTTGCTTCATCATCAGCAGATGCTTTATCATTACAAATCATTAAAAATTTAATGTCATGTCTTTTCTCCAAATTCTGCAACCATTTTGTTGAATTATCACAGTTTCCTTCGATTTGCAGTTCACTGGGATTGATGTTTGCTTGTTTCACGATCACCATACTATTAAGTGGCATGTGTTCACTGCAATGCTGAGAGATCCACTTTTTTCAAAACATAACTGAGACCTTCATTTTCAGCTTGATGCTAAAAATTTAGTGTTTTTCTATTTTTTTAATGTATGTTCATCATTTTCAGCATAGAACTTTAATGACTTATCATCTTGTTTCTTCAGGTTCTATATGGTGGACATTACAACACTACAGTCTTCTATAAGACGTTTCACACTTACACCATTGTCTAGTTTCTCCAACAGCTTTGACTTTCTGTGCTATAAGCATAAATGCTTTCTCTTTTTCTTATCATTCTTATCCATAGGGGTATCTGGAGGCCTTGTTGACATTTTCATCAATGTCTTTACACTACAGAGCAGAAAATAAGCAAATAAACCATGAGTAATGCATGATGGTCTTGGCCCCATGTGGTGCATCATGGAGAATCTGCTGCTGGTGCCTCCAGCCTGCACACATGTCAGGTAATTATCCTTTGTGTGCTTGCTTTCATGAGAAAATCTGGGCATACTCAGAAAAGATACATCATGGCTAAACAGGGCTGGGAGGATCTTTTTTCCCTTGGGGACACTGAAGAAACTATGTGTTGTGTGCCTGAGTTTTGACTGTGACCCATCATATGAGGTCAAGTGTAGCATTTTTTAATTTGTGGCATCATATTGACACTCAAAATGTTTTGGATTTTGGAGCATTTCCAATTTTGGATTTTCAGGTTAGGGATGTTCAACCTGTATAACAGCAACAACAAAGATGCATTAGGTTAAAAAAATAGGGCAGAGAACTGTATGTACAAAATGACCTCAATCATGTAAAACATATGTGCAATAAAAATAATATGAAAGATAAATTACAAAAATAATTACAATGTTTATATTTGGCTGATGAGATTCCAGGTGCATTTTCTTCCTTCTTTGCATATTTTTATGTTTCCTATATTTTACCTAATTGGCAAGGATTACTTCTAGTGTCATAAAAATGGAGGAGAAAGACAGACATCCACTTGCACTGACGGGGAACTGCATGAGTGGGACATGGTTGCAGTGGCAGCTGGCTTCAGGGCTCCCTCTGTCAAGCTGAAAAATGAGCATTCCTCCCAGAAAACCATCACCTAGCAAGGGGGGAGGGTCTCTGAGCCCATTAGGCTAGAGTTACTCTTCCCATTGCATCCAAAATGATCAGAAGTGGAAGAGTTGTTTTGAGGCTGGGACAGGATGATATGCAATCCATCAGGGCCCATATGATGCTCACCCATAGGCAACAGCAACCTAGGAAAAATTCTCTGCATCCTGCCTGCAGCTGATGCTGTCAATGTCCTGTCTAGATGCCCTCAGCGGCCTGTTGCTTCCTTCCCAAAGCACCTGCATGTATGTCTGAGCAGAAGCTTGCTCGTCCTGTGCAGAGAGCAGACCAGAGGAGCCCTGGAGTCCAGGAGCAGCCCGTAGACAATGACAGATAGGATTTGGTGGATACACGTCCAGCTCTTTCACCCACCAGTGCTGAGTCAAGCTCTCTGCTGTCTCCCAGAGACACCCAATAGGACTGAGCCATGGTGCTCACAGTTGTGACTGCTCGTTGGTGCATTCTGCATCGGCGTTCTCTTCCCTGCCTCACTTTCTTGCTCCTGGTGCTTCCTGAGATCATTTCCTGAGTAAACTATGGCCACATATCCCTGTGTTAGAGTCTGATTCTTGGGTAGCTCAACCTAAGATTTCACACCTCTCGCTGGCTCTGCTGCAGCCTCGTAAACATTCTTAGCTCCTCATATATCTTACCCCAGGGACACAGGAAAGGCAACTGTCAGCATAGGACATAGAGGTGGAGAGAACGCCAGAAATAGGCTAATGATGAACACTGAGTTCATTCAAATGTTGAAGTAGTTCAAAACAAACGTGAGACTCATGGCTCGGAAACAGACTGCAAGTAATTTTAAAAATCACTAATAAAAAGTACAATAACTAGGTGATGGAAACAGAGGAATATTATAAACATAGGTAGGGGCACAGGCTTTCTCATTTTACGTAGTGCGAACTTAATGCCACTGCTTGACATTGGAGCATGTAGCCAAAATCAAGAAAAGAAAAAAGAAATGCAACCTCAATGTTTTTCCTATTGACATATATTTTTAGTAGAAAAAATATTCAGAAAATAGCATCTTTTGCTGTACAAATTTTTATCAAGTTCCGCATTCTCTTGAATTTCATTGATATTTCCTTTTCTTCATTTTAATTTAAAATTTGAAGGGATACTCTAGTGATCTAGAGTATCTCATTTTTGTCAAAGTACTTCTATTATTAATTCAACGCCTATGTATTCGGCACCTCCTCTGTGCCGTGTGCTGTTCTAGATGCTGGAGATGCCTCAGGGAAGAAGGCAGACAGCCGTTCTCTCTCCAGGCGCTCTTGCTGTGGGGTCTCCGGGGTAGGAAAGACTTGCGGTCCATTCATAAACTGTATGCGATGATGTTTACCAAATAACAACAGTTTTTCTTCTGGGTGGTGGGATTTTGGATGACCTTTTACGATCTCTTTCTTCTTTACAGTATTGCTTGAACTTAAAAGAAAAATCATACATAAGTTTCACAAAAACACCAGCCGGGCATGGTGGCTCACGCCCAGCACTTTGGGAGGCCGAGGTGGGTGGATCACTTGAGGTCAGGAGTTCAACAGCAGCCTGGCCAACATGGTGAAACCCTCTCTCTACTAAAAACACAAAAATTAGCCAGGCAGGGTGCCGCACACCTGTAGTTCCAGCTACCCGGGAGGCTGAGGCAGGAGAATCACTTGAGCTTGGGAGGTGGAGGTTGCCGTGAGCCCAGATTGCACTGCTGCACGTCAGCCTGGGTGACAAAGTGAGACTCTGTCTCAAAAAAAAAAAAATAAAAAAATAAAAAAAAACCACAAAACTGCCTTTTTGTTTGTTTGTTTGACAATCCTTGGTCTCCAGATTTTCAAAGACCTCAGCCTGACACACAAGGCACTGGTGTCTGGGAACTGATGAGAGGATGTCAGCCGCTTGTCCCAGCACACAGCTGCGGGCCCCCTATGTTGCTGGAATAGAGCCATAGAGGCAGGGCCCAGTGTGTTCCCCAGTGTTTCCCTCCCTGAGAGAGCCCCCTTCCTTCTGGAGATGCCTCTCCTGCATTCCTCACTGACTCGTAAAGTGTCCCCCTGCCCCTCCCCTTGGCCAGGTACCCACCACATCAATGTCTTTCTGTATCTGGAACCCTTAATGCTCACTGCTGGTTTCAGCCTGTCTGCTTCCTTGCAGTGTCTCGCTTGCCTAGAGAGGGCAGATTGACCATGACATTTGCATAAGAAGGACACGTGGACTGGGTGGTCCAGAGAAGCCCAATCCTCCAGCACTGGGGTGGTCTGTGGTCTCTTGAGCAATGGGGTTGTGGAGAGGGCCCAGCTTTAGTCAGAGGGGCTTCTATCTGGTCCCAGGCTTGCCTAACCTCCCCACATCTTGGGGCTCCTGTTCTGAGGACTGTGAGGGCTGAAACTGAACTTTAAAGTTACCCTTGTTTTGAGTTATGACCTGGCTAATGTCATCCCTGTCATTTTTTATTTAAAAAGACTCTGGAGATCACACCTGACATGGTTTGGATATTTGTCCCTGCCCAAATCTCATGTTGAACCATAATCCCTAATATTGGAGGTGGAGCCTGATGGAAGGTATTTGGATCATGGGGGCAGATCCCTCATGAATGGCAACAATCCCATCTCTACCATCTCTTGGTAATGAAGAGATTCTCTTGTTTATGACTTTGGATATTGAGGTTCTATTTCCCATTCTGTTACCTATTAGTTGTGTGGTCCTTGAAAAACTAATTGATCTAAATGGGTCACAGTTTTGCTTTTTGAGAAATTATAATCCTGCCATCCTATTTCACAGGCTTTATATTACAATCGAAGATTGTAATATACTACAAGATGTGAGTTCTTAAGAAAAGCCTGCAATGTAATTCCCAGTTCCATGTGATCTTCCTAAAAAGTCTATTCAGACACGGAGTCTTTTTTTCCCAGGGCCTTGGCATCTGGGTCAGTCTTTGTGATTGCTTCAGTGAATGAGATGTGGCAGGAGGGATGCAGCATGACTTTGGAGGCCAGGGTAGCAAAGAGGATGTAGTCTCACCTTCTCTTCCCCAATTAAGGTGACAAGATCTTGAACTTTCAGGCTGACACTGTTGCCACAAAGAGAAGAGACTCTAGACAGTATCTAGTTCTCTCATCAACCTGTGGGGAGATATGGCCACCGTTCTGCGATTTACAGTGGTTTTAAGTCATGTGGACACTCCTGTGGATTGGGAGATAATCTGATAGACAGCTCTGACAGAAATTACACGGACTAGTGAGATAACAGTTCCCCCAGTCGGTTGAAGGAGCTGATAACAGAGGAAAGTGAGAATTCTTAAGGAAAAGAAAATCAGTAACAGGTTTGCACATGTTAGATTGAGTTAGTCCAGTAGACTCTACCTCCTTAACAATTTTCAAATCCAGCCACTCATTTTCATCATTATTAAATCAATCACTGTTAGTTAAGCACTCACTATGTATCAGACCCTGTTCTCGTCTCTGGGGATAAAACCATGAATGAGGCAAAGTTCTGCCCTTGTGGAGCTGACATTCTAGTGGGTACATGGATGGTAACTTCTGCAACTTGCTTAGTTTATCTTATTGTTACGGTTCCCTTGAAAAGCTCCAGAGCCCATCAGGCTTGTTAATGCTTCTAAGTGTAGTCTCTACCTGGAACATTTTTCCCAACCTTCTCTTATTTTGCCTTTTTAACTCCTACTCAACTTTACTCAGTTTAGGCATTGCCTCTTCCAGGAAGTCTTGCCTGACTTCACACTCTGGGTAACTAGGTATCCTGCTAATGTGCCTCCTTCAACCACATCTCCTCCTATTCCTGATAATTTTTCTATCCTGATGCTTATCACACTTAATGTAATTTGTTTTTGTTCAACTTTCAATTCTTTTAGAAGCTGAACTACTCAAGATAGGGATTATGTCTTTTATGCACTTGTGTTCTGAACAGAGTGCCAAGAAGATAAATAGACAAGTGTTTATTGAATAGAGACATGATGAATGGAAGGACTGAGAATGAATGAATTGAAGAATGGATGGGTAAACAGTTGAACAGGTGGAAAAATAAGTGGGTAGACGGATGATGAATTAAAGAGTGACTAGATAGTTGAATGAACAGATGGATGAATGGACATTTGGAAGGAAAGATGTTGAAATTAAAGAATAGACAGATTAGTTAATTGCATGTACATATGTATGTATTGTAATAAAATGGTTTGAAAGATTGTGAGAATTACCAAAATGTGACACAGAGACACAAAGTGAGCACATGCTGTGGAAAATGGTGCTAATAGACTTGCTCAACACAAACCTTCAATTTGTAAAAAAACTCAGTATCTGTGAAGCACAACACTGCAAAGTGCAATGAAACGATGAATGCCTATATGTATTTTGGATAAAGAATAGACGGATGGAGAGTTGGATGGATAGATGATGAATTAAAGAATGAATGTGTAGATAGTTGAATGCATGAGTGAATGGATGGAAGGCAGTCAATGAGCTGGTCTCTTGTGCAGTGTCACCGTTTACAATGCAGGGTCCATTCTATCATTGCCAATGGGAAACCTCACAGTGTCACACCATGCTCTCAACCTTCCATCTTCTCTCCATCACCTAGTAGATCAAGTCCAAGCTCTTTCTTGTGCCATATCATGTGCTCTATGACCTCGTTTCCGCCTTCCTCTCTAAGTTCTTTTCTCAGAGCAACTCCTGCCCCTGACTCAGCATCGTATATAACAGAATCTACATGCTCTAAGCTACACTCCCTCACATGGCCTTTAACAGGCATCTTCTGATCTTTATGCTTCTGCTTTCTGTACTTGGAACTTACTTCTCTCCCAGGTCTCTTTCTCTCATCCTTTTGTTCCTTGTTTCTTTATATAGAATTACATCTTTGCCCCTCCAATTCCTCAGCTTGCCTATTTGTTTACCTGTTTGTCATTGGCGCTACCCTGTGAATTCCTTCAGAAAACAGGCTTAGATTTTATTCAACTCAGAGTAAGACACTGCACCTGGCAAAATGTAGGCACTCAATAAATATGTGTTAAAACATAATAGTATGACAAGGTAGAGTAATGGCCCCTAAAGATGTTCATGACCTAATCCCCAGAACCTGTGAATATGTTACTTTACATGGAAAAGGGACTTTGCAGGTGTTATTAGGTTAAGGATTTTTTTTTTTTTTTTTTTTTTTTTGAGATGGAGTCTCACTCTGTCACCCAGGCTGGAATGCAGTGGTGTGATCTTGGCTCACTGCAAGCTCTGCCTCCCAGGTTCACACCATTCTTCTGCCTCAGCCTCCCAAGTAGCTGGGACTACAGGTGCCTGCCACCATGCACCACTAATTTTTTGTAGTTTTTAGTAGAGACAGGGTTTCACCATGTTATCCAGGATGGTCTCAATTTCCTGACCTCATGATCCGCTCGCCTCAGCCTCCCAAAGTGCTGGGATTATAGGCATGAGCCACTGCGCCCGGCCAGGTTAAGGATTTTAAGACAGGGAGATTGCCCTGAAGTATCTAGGTGGGACAAGGGTAATCACAAGGGTCCTAAAGTGTTAGAAGAAGGAGGCAGAAGAGCCAGTAAAGATGTGATGATGGAAGCAGATGTCAGAAAGATGTGATTGTTGACTTTGAGGATGGAGGAAGGGCCACCAGCCAAGGAGTGCAGGCAGCTTCTAGAAACCGGAAAAGGCAAGGAATCGAAATTTCCCCAAGGCTTCCAGAAGGAGTGTAGCCCTGTTGACACCTTGATGTTTGCCCATTGAGTTCCATTGAGTGTGCCTGACCCCTAGGTCTGTAAGATAATAAGGCCCCCAGGACTGTAAGATAATAAGTTCATGCTGTTTTAAGGCACTAAATTTGTGGTTGTTGCAGCAGCAATTGGAAACCAACGCAAATGGTAACAGCTCACATTTTTGGAGGGGAGGGGTTGATGACTGAGGCAGAGCTAAGATATTGTCTTTCTTTATGCTTCAACAATTATATGTGCAGCTTTTACATAAGATATTAGAAAATTGGATCAATTTTCCTAAGGATTTTTAAAGAACTTTTAAAAGACATTCCATTTACCAGTTAATATCCCCTGTGCCGTATGAGCCAATGCGATGTTGGATGTTTAAAATGACCAAAACTCAGTTGCTCAGTCCTAGGCCGTCTTGCCAACTGAACAATTGTTATTATACCACATCCACAGTTTCTGGCAGCTAAATGCTGCAAGTGAGAAGATGTTCACTAAATCTTCTGGAACAGCTAACAGTGATTGAAGCCTTCCTACATGCCTCCACTGTGTTCCGCACATTGCGTTCAGCTCCTGGAGGCTGAAGGAAGTGATGTCACTGTCACCTGGATAGTAAGTGGCAGGTGGGGATTGGAACACAGGCAGTTTGGCTCCAGAGCCCCAGCTCTTAGTCTCACCCCTGAATAAAAGAAATCTAGAAACCTGCATCTCTGTGATCCAGAGACTCACCGGCTGGCTAATTTAGGATCAATTCTGAAGGAGAATCTAGAATGCTCCTAGGACCTTCCTTAATCCAGGCCCCAGAAGCAAGAATCTCTTCCTCCTCTTCCACATTTTTTCATCTTCTCTTCTCCTTCCTTCCTCACAAGGAAGCCATCAGCACTAAGGAAAACAGGCTTCATGGGAGCCAAGTGAGCTGGGAGGCAGCTCCCTGAGCCAGCCAGGCCGCATGGCTGCCTCTTCCTCAAGGCTCCCCCTCTCCTGCCCCATCCAAGCCTCCCACAGAGGAAAGGAGGTGGTGGGGTGCCAAGTCAGCCTCAGGTTCTAGCCAGGTGGGCTGTGGCTTTTCCCAGAAACCTCTGTGCTGTGCCAGATTCTTCTGGAATCTGCCTGCCCACTCTGCCAGGTGAAGTTCCATGCTGCTGCACTGATCTGCCTCCCTGGAGCAGGCAGCATGAGGCAGGGTGCTGAGACCCAGCAGCTCGGGGCAGACCGTCCAGACTCAGCGGCCAAGGCCCTCTCCAAAGTCAGTGCTTGAGGTCTACATCGTTGGCTCCCACGGGCACAAAAGACAGCAAGAGGAAATGTGAATGGTTCAGGAATTAATGGAAAAAGATTTCCCCCACTAGCAGTCAAAGAAACATATTGCTTACCTAGCAAATTCCCAAAGTTAAAAAAAATGCTAGTACTCATCACTCTTGAAGTTCCTGGAACACGTTTCTTACAATTCAACTTAGCCTTATGTATTCCTTTATAAACTTCTTATCCTCTGAGCCCCTAATTCTACTTCTAGGGACTCATAATAAAAAGAAAAAAAAACAGACATCTGGACAATTATTAATGTTGAAAAATCATCATTGTTGTGTTATCTATAAGAATAGAAAATAAGCAGCAATACAAATGTCAAACATCAGGGGGTGAAATAATTCTATATGATGCTATGTTAAAGAGACTAACTAGAAAATGAAAGTTTTGTAATATGTTGTTAACACGACACCTTTTTTCTGATGAAGGATTATGTGAAAATAAGAAGATTCAAATATGTATGAATCTACATGATTCAATAAGAATACACACACATGCACATATGTACATATACATGGGTGTACACACACACATGTTTTTTAAAGAATACATGAGAATGTTAAGCATGGTTATCCCTGTAACTGGGTTGTAATTTTTTTTTTTTTTTGTGATGGAGTCTCACTCTGTTGCCCAGGATGGAATGCAGTGATGTGTTCTTGGCTCACTGCAACCTCTGCCTCCAGGGTTCAAGCAATTCTCTGCCTCAGGCTCCCGAGTAGCCGGGATTACAGGTGCCTGCCACCACACCCAGCTAATTTTTGTATTTTTAGTAGAGACTTGGCCAGGCTGGTCTTGAACTCCTGACCTTGTGATCCACCTGCCTTGGCCTCCCACAGTGCTGGGATTACAGGCGTGAGCCACCGCTCCCAGCCTGGGTTGTAATTTTTAATTTTCTCCTTATAATTATCTGTGTTTTCCAAAATAACATTACATTAAGTTTATGTTACATTTAAATCAGAATAAATATAGGTGTTCTTTTTTTAACCTGCCTCTGAGCTATATTGTCTCACTCATTCATTACATTGACCAAGTGCCTACTATGTGGTAAGCACTCATAAAATCGGGAGTTACAGAGACAATTAAGGTCTGGTGTGAGTTCCTTCCAGGAGCTGTCAGATTTGTGGAGGAGGTGAAAGCCGTGGCTGGCCCAGTCACACAGAGCCTTTAGTGAACCACCTTTTTAAGGAAAGGTCTTAGGATGAAAACAGGTCTGTCTGCAGAGCTCTACCAACAGCTGCATCTTCAGCAATCAGCCTCCAGTGTGGCACTGACCTCACCTCCGCACAGGTTTCCAACATGCCTTCCTGGAAAGGGCTCCAGGCCTCTCAGGAGGTCGGTCATAGTTTTGAAAACAAAGCTGACCAACAATAGACAAAAGCATTTTCTGGCTCCGCTTTTCAGGAGCCTGGTCCCAACTCTGGAGATTCAGATCTCACTCCACAATGGACCCTCACAAACCCCTCCCTTACATTCCACATCAGGTTGGCCTGGCCTGGCCTCACAGGGCAGCCCCTATTCTCCCAAGGCACCAGACTCCTTCCCTCTTCCTTCCAGCCATGGAGACTGTGCTTTTCTAAAAGGTTGGGTCTCGCACAGTTGAGAGCACAGTTTTGGAGCTGGAAACCTGAGTTCGAATTTCAGCTTCATCACTCACAAGTTACGTGGTTTAATAACTATGCAGATTGCTAAACTCCCTAAAGCTCAGTTTCCTAATTTGAAACATAGAGGTAATGCAATGACTCTCTCAAAGACTGGATTGTGAGAGCATTCATCAGATGTGTATTACCAAGTTCTTTATGTGGGTGGGCCTGGTACAGAGGGGAAGAGGCTGTACTGGGAAACCACACTCTGCGAAAGAAGAAAAAACCCCTGATTTTTAGCCTTTGCCAATTCTCATGCTGTAAATACTCCCACTCAGGCCAATTTCAAGCTACCAAAGTTTAACTGGTTGGCAAGAGTCCTGCGTATTTGACAATCAGCTTTTGGGATCTCTATAAACATCAGCACACCATTTGTCCCAAGAAGACAAACTTGGTCCTGGTCTTCATGGAGTTCATGATTCAATAGGAGGAAACCAGTTTGTGCCATTTGTGTAATTGCTTAATATATACCTGTCTTACCTCTAGCCTGGAAGCTCTGTGATGGCAGGGACAATTTATTTTTTAAGAAAACATATTCTTGCTATGTCATCCTCAGCCCTAACAGATTGTATGTACCTTATAATATGTGTTGAATAAATGAATGTCTTTAGTAACAAACATAATAATCAGAAGTTGAGTTAAGAGCTGAGATCAAGAGTGATATGGTTTGGCTGTGTCCCCCCCGCCACCCAAATCTCATCTTGAACTGTAACTCCCATAAGCCCACATATCGAGGGAGGGACCTGGTGGGAGGTAATTGAATCATGGGGGCAGGTTTTTCCCATGCTGTTCTCGTAATAGTGAATATGTCTCAGGAGATCTTATGGTTTTATAAAGGGAAGTTCTGGCTGGGCGCAGTGGGTCATGCCTGTAATCCCAGCATTTTGGGAGGCTGAGGCAGGTGGATTGCTTGAGGTCAGGAGTTTGAGACCATCCTGGCCAATATGGCGAAACCTGGTCTCTACTAAAAATACAAAAATTAGCCAGGCATGGTGGCTCATGCTTGTACTCCCAGCTACTCGGGAGGCTGAGAATAACTTGAACCCAGGAGGCAGAGGTTGCAGTGAGCCAAGATCGTGCCACTGCACTCCAGCCTGGGCAACAGAGTGAGACCCTGTCTGAATAAATAAATAAATAAATAAATAAATAAATAAATAGCAGTTCCCCTGCACATGCTCTCTTGCCTGCTGCCATGTAAGACATGCCTTTCCTCCTCCTTTGCCTTCCACCATGAATGTGA
Source organism: Homo sapiens (assembly GCF_000001405.40). Lineage (NCBI taxonomy): Eukaryota > Metazoa > Chordata > Mammalia > Primates > Hominidae > Homo > Homo sapiens. Next base: position 133,425,765 of record NC_000008.11, read on the forward strand.
GGCCTCCCCAGCCATGTGGAACTGTGAGTTCATTAAACCTCTTTTTCTTTATAAATTCCCCAGTCTTAGGTATGTCCTCATAGCAGTATGAAAATGAACTAATACAAAAAGTAATAGGAATAACTATTTGAAATAGGTGGACTCTTTAAAGAAGAGATATTTAAGAATGAAGTGACACCATATAGCACAATGGACATAGCACAATGTCCACTATATGGAAAGTGCTTAATAACTCAGTACATGGTACTTAATATTTCCCTTGCTTTGTTCTTTGGACCAAATCTTACTACTATCTCAGCTCAAATGATTTGTCACTTTCTGGCACAGTACCCTCCTACTTCCTATCCTCACAATCACCCCCTGTGAGACCCCCACAGTGGCTCTGCCATAGCTTCCTGGAGGTGTTGATGTCTTTTCCTGCCCTTGGCCTTGGTTGCTAAGTCAAGGCATCTTCATATTCCCACGTATGAGCTCTGGAATAATTCTGGCTGCCAGTGCCCAGCATGGACTATGGGGCCTTCTTTCCATCAGGGGTGGTTGGGGAGCCTGAAGACACTGGAGAGAAGCCTGTTAGGTTAAAACTGGTGGGGTTGAGGTTGCAGGTTGGCTCTGGTTATGAAGAACTGCTCAGATTCCTGGCTAATACCTTGGGCAAGTCCTCATTCCCTGAGAGCTCAGTTTTTTAGTCTGTAGGATGAAGGTTTAGACTCATTCATGTCTGAGCCTTCTTCCAAGCTTTAACATGTTCCAATTACATGAGTGGATACTCTACGAAATGTCCTTGATGTTTTCAAACTTCTGGACCTGGAGAATAAGCTGTGAGTCCTTGTGACCCATCAGCTCCACTGCTCTCTTGCCCTCATGGCTCCTGGCTCCCCAGTGGTCAGCTGCCCTGGAGTATCCTGGTAGCTCCCTGTGGCTCAGTTGGATCTCAGGCCACTGAAGGTGGCCATCTTTGTCAATTTTTCTTAATGTCAGAGGCATTTGAACAGAGTGACTCCATCTTGAATAGGGGCTGGGTAAAATAAGGCTGAGACCTACTGGGCTGCATTCCCAGTAAGTTAGGCATTCTAAGTCACAGGATGAGATTGGAAGTTAGCATAAGAAACAGGTCATAATGACCTTGCTGATAAAACAGGTTGCAGTAAAGGAGCTGGCCAAAACCTGCCGAAACCAGGATGGCAAAAAGAGTGACCTCTGGTCATCCTCAATGCTCATTATACACTAATTATAATGTATTAGCATGCTAAAAGACACTCCCACCAGCGCCATGACAGTTTACAAATGCCATGGCAACATCAGGAAATTACCATATATGGTCTACAAAGGGGAAGAGCCCTCAATTCCAGGAGTTGCCCACCCCTTTCCCAGAAAACTCATGAACAACCCACTCCTTGTTTAGCTTATAATCAAGAAGTAACAAGAAGTATCTTTAGGCCAGCAGCTCAAGCTGCTGCTCTGCCTATGGAGTAGCCATTCTTTATTCCTTTACTTTCTTAATAAACTTGCTTTCACTTTACTCTATGGACTTGCCCTGAATTCTTTCTTGCACAAGATCCAAAAACCCTCTCTTAGCACCCAGATTGGGACCCCTTTTCTGGTACCATTAATGCTCCACATGCAGAAGTCCAATTTCTGCTGAGATGCTTCTATTTATGGGGAGCTCCCTGCCATACAGAATAAAGTTTTCCATTGTTGGGGGGCTCTGAGAGCATGGGCAAAGGCAATGAAGCTGGAGAGAAAAGGGGGCCAACTTCTTACTAAGCCCTTAGGAGGTGCCAGTCACACTGGACACAGCTCTCTGGAAGTCATCTCACCAAATCTTCCTAACAATCTTGGTGTCAGAGGCATTTGAACCAGAGCAACTCCATCTTGAATAGGGGCTGGGTAAAATGAGGCTGAGACCTCCTGGGCTGCATTTCCAGACAGTTAAGGCATTCTTAGTCACAGCATGAGTGAGATAGGAGGTAGGCACAAGATACGGGTCATAAAGACCTTGCTGATAATTGCAGTAAAGTAGCCAGCTAAATCCCAACAAAACCAAGATGGCAATGAGAGTGACTTCTGTTTATCCTCACTGCTACATTCCCACCAGTTCCATGACAGTTTACAAATGCCATGGCAACATCAGGAAGTTACCCTATATATATATCATCAAAAACAACCATAAAAATGGGCAACAGCAGCCCTCAGGGCTGCTCTGACTATGGAGCAGCCATTCCTTATTCCTTTTTCTTTTTTCTTTTTTTGAGATGGAATTTCACTCTGTCCCCCAGGCTAAAGTGCAGAGGTGCCATCTCCACTCACTGCAACCTCTGTCTCCCAGGTTCAAGCGATTCTCCTGTCCAAGCCTCTGGAGTAGCTGGAACTACAGGCGCACACCACCAATATTTGTGTTTTTAGTAGAGATGGGATCTCACCGTGTTGGCCAGGCTGGCCTCAAACTCCTGATGTCAGGTGATCTGCCCACCTTGGCCTCCCAAAGTGCTGGGATTATAGGCATGAACCACCGCTTTAACTTTACTCGATGGACTCGCCCTGAATTCTTTCTTGTGTGAGATCCAAGAAACTTCCCTTGGGGTCTGGATCTGGACCCTTTTCTGGTAACATTGGGAGGCATGACTAATCATCCTCCTTTTAGAGATGAGAACATTGAGGCTCGGAGACACTGGGTCACTTGCTGGAGGATGTACATCAGGGATGCCTGAGCCTGAGCACCTTGCCTTGTGCCACATGCTGGTCGGGACACAAAGCCCAACCTGATTTCACTGGGAGGGCAACTTCTGCACCACTCTCACCTTAAGCATGCCCCCAGCCACTCTATGCTTCTCTCTTAGACACCCTGGGTCTCTGGGAGCCCTTGGGAGAAAACTCTCACCACCTTTATCTACACCCACGGACTCAGAGGAAGATTTTCAATTATTGAATACTTACTAAGTGCTAAAAAAAAAAAAATCTCACATCTGCTTTGCTCCATTGTATCACATGTCCCTTAAGACAGGTTGCAGAGTTTATGGTTAATAAGTAAACCATACTTGTTATTGAGTGGACAAAGTCACGTCTCTTGCAGAGTTGGAAGTGGAGGCGCTAAGAGGCTGGTTGACATTCCCATCCCACAGTGGATAAGGAAAGCTGGGACTTGAATCCAAGGCTAGCTGGCTCAGGGCTCAGGACCCTGTCCCCAGAGGGAGCCACACATCCTCAATCGCATCAAATTTACCCCTGAACCCCTACCCCCAAACCCTGAGCTCAAAGTCCCCAGGGAGATTAAGGCTAATCAGCTGTGTTTATAAAAGGCAGGTATAGAAGCCTCCGGACCCTGGTTACTCATTACATTGTACTAAATGCTGATATCGCAAACTCTCATAAATAGGCCAAAGGGTAGTAAGTCACCAAAAGGCCAAGCCAGACAAACAAGAGCCTTGCTGGATAACCAAGGCCCTGCCTTCCAGGCCTGCCAGCTGCCCAGCAGCCATGGAGGGGCCAAAACTACTGCCTCTGCCAAGGTGGCCAAGCATCAAAGGCTGGGCTTGTTTGCTAGGCGTCGCTCATCAGGAATCTGAAAACCTGGCAGCCGAAAGGAGCCCTTGACTTTGGTGCCAACTCCCAGAGCCTCTTAAAGGCCCCATTGCTGGGTGACTTTAGGAAAGTTGTCTCTGAGTCCTGCTTTCTCTGACGCCATGTGGCTCACTGAGGGGAAATGGAGAAACGCGCTTTCCTCCTGCCTTCCTCAGGGACATCTGGGGGGCTTGACTGTCTTCTCTCCCACTGGACTCAGGGCCTCAGCTGCCACCACTGCTCTGGTCCTCAGGCTGGATGGAAGTCAGGGCCATTGGTGACATTCTTTGGTGCCCCCAAGATAAGCCCACTATTGTTCTTGGCTTCAAATTTTTCATGAATAATTTTTGTGGAGAAACAGAGAGAGGGGAAGGAGAATGACTGCCAGAGGAAACAAACAACCACTAAAAAAAGTTCTGGATATTCCCCCTGTCACTGTCTTGGTTGCTGGGTGTATGAGTTTGCTATGGGGATTGTTGCAAATAACCACAAACTCAGTGGCTTAAAACAACATGAATTTGTTATTGTAAAGTTCTAGAGGTCAGAAGCCTAAAATGCATCTCCATGGGCTTAAATCGAGGCAGGACTGCATTTGTTCTGGAGGCTCCAGAGGAGAATCCATTTCCTTGCTCCTTCCAGCTTCTGGGGGGCTGCCATCATTCTTTGGCTCAGGGCCCCACACCACTCCATCATTACATCTCCTTATCTGCCTCCCTCTTATAAGGACCCTTGTGATGACATTGGGCCCACTCAGATAATCGAGGGTAGTATCTCCACCTTGAGATACTTAATTTAATCACATCTGCAAAATCCCTTTTGTAATGCAGGGTAACCTATTCCCAGATTCTGGAGTTTAGGACATGGGGGCCATTATTCAGCAAACCACAGTGGCTGGAGCTCTTTCTGCAGTGATCATAGACAGACCCTTTGTCCCAAAGGTCACCAAGCTTCCCAATGACCCAAAAGCACAGGCATCCCAGACTTCTTTTTTGGGGCTCTCTCCCCATGGCTCAGGGAGTAGGCACTGGAGACCCCTCCCTCAGGAAGGCAGGGTGCACCTTTTAGCCTCCAGGTGCGGAGGTTCTCATGCTGCCAGGCTTTGGGCCTTCAGCAATAACCCTGTGGCCACTTCTCCACCCTTAGATCCTGATGGAGCTTTGGTTTCTGTTCTCAACCACATTTCCCCTCCTGGGCTTGGGTCTGAAATCAGACTTGACTGTGCCAAGGTCATGTGTGATTATAGACTCCTTCTAACCCTCCATTTCTTCATAGGCATGAAAAAGCCCAGTATCATCTCTTTCCTAAGCTGTTGTGAGGATGGACTGAAATGATGGCCATATAACTCAGATACCTGTGAAGGTTTCCTTGGCCCTTGGAATCAGGATATTTGAAAAACACAGCTCAGATACCAGTACTCCCCTGCTTTAAATCCTGCAGTGGCTTCCCATAGCACTTAAAATTAAGACCTAAATGCCCCTCCTGTAGCCTGTGGGAACTGCATGATCTGACCACTGCCTACCTCTGTAATCTCACCCAAAATCATCCTCTCTTTGGCTTACCAGGCACCAGTCACACTGAGCTATTTCTTGTTCCCTGAACACACCGAACTATGATTGTCTTCTTCAAGTTTCTGTTGCTATAAAAGAATACCACAGACTGGTAATTTACAAAGAAAAGAAGTTTATTTCTTACAGTTCTGGAGGCTGGGAAGTCCAAGGGCATTGAGCTAGGATCTGGTGAGGGTTATTCCAAGGCAGAAGGCAGAAGACAGAAGGCAGAAGGGAGAGAGGAGGCAAGACGGAGAAAAACAGGGGCCAAACTTTTACAGCAACTCACTCACTCCCATGATAGCAACATTAATCTATTCATGAGGGCTACCACTATCACAGTAGCACCAAGTTCCCAACATAGGGGCTTCTGAGGGACACATTTAAACCATAGCAAAGTCCCAATTCTGAGATTTGTCCTTGTTTTCCTTTGATTCTAGAACACTCTTCCCCCAAAAATTTGAATAGCTGTCTAATTCCTCTCCAGATCTCAGCCCAAATCCCACGTCCTCAAACAGTCTTGACCTGGCCATTCAATATGAATTAGTTATCCCAATATGAATTAGTATTCCCAGTCTTGATACCTCCTTGATTTCCTTCATAGCATTTGTCTCATTCCTTCTCCTCCTCCTCATCCTCCTGGGCACCCTGCTGGACCACATTTCAAGCCTTGTTTGCAGTGAGGTGTGGGTGGCTTTATGACGATGCCCCAGTCAATGGTATGTGGGTGAGAGTAGTGTGGTCTGTTTTGAGTACTGGTTTGAAAAAAATCTTCCACATTGTCCTCTGTGCTCTCTCTACTCCTGTCTGTAAGGGCAGGCACAGAGAATTCAGTGAGGACTAGATGTTCTTAGCCAATTGTGGAGTCATGAGATAGTGGAGCCTGTACCCCCACATCAAGGAAGACCTCCTAATAAACCCCCATATTGAGTTTCTGTCTGAGGAAAAAAAATGTATTTTCATTGTGTTAAGCCACTGAGATTTTGCAGGTGTCAGCCAACCTGACATTTTTATTTGTATTATATTTTCTTACTGTTGTATTGCCAGTCTTTTCCTACTAAAGTAGAACCTCCATGAAGCCAGTCCCTGGCTATTTTTGCCCCTATTGATGCCTCAGCAACTAGCACAGTCTCTGGTGCACAACCAAAGCTTGCTGAATGAATGAATAAATGAATGTTCTATGGAGTTCTATGTTCTATGGAGATCCAAAGCCCACCTCAAGTGTCTGCTCATTTCTGAGGACTTGGGTTCAAGGGCTCAGGGTTCTGGCACTTTGCTTTTCTTCCTGTTGAATTCATTAATTTTCAGTGTCATCATTCCATCTTTATTTACATTATGATAAGTCAGGCATAAGACTCCATCCCTTTCTGTGACTGACACACACACACACACACACACACACACACACACACACACACACAGCATCCCAAGGCCTTTGTGTGTGTGCAGGATCCTTGGCTAAAGGTGGAAGGCAGAGGAGAGCCTTCACTCCATAGCTATGTCTACACATGCAACAACCTATTTTTTTTTTTTACTTTGTTTATGTATTTATTTCCTAAGACAGGGTCTCCCTCTATTACCCAAGCTGGAGTGTAGTGACACCATTACCACTCACTGTGGGCTTGATCTCCTGGTCTCAGCCATTCTTCCATCTCAGCCTCCTGAGCATCTGGGACCTCAGGTGCAGACCACCACACCTGGCTATTTTTTTTTCTTTTTGGAGATAGAGTCTCACGACGTTGCCCAGGCTGGTCTCAAACTCCTGGGCCCAAGCAGTCCTCCTGTCTTACTCTCCCAAAGTACTGGGATCCCAGGCATGAACAACAATGCTCAGCAATGACCCATTTTTAAATGTCTAGGGCCACCTCTTATCTCGCCCAGGCTGTTTTCACTGCCATTCCCTCCACATTTTGTTCTAATGGCATGCTAGTTTTCTGGGTTTCCTCTTCTTCTTCTGCCTCTCCTCTATTCCATATTATGCTTTTTGACTCAACAAAAGTTGCAACCATATATCCCATCTCACATGCTCTTCTACCATGTAACTCTGCCATGCTCCCAACCAGAGTGGCAGTTTCTGCCTCGCCCCTGGACTACTCAGCCTGCGACGGCTCCACCCCAGCAGGGCATGGAGAGAGTAATTATGTTCCCTGCAAAGCAGCTTCCACCTCCTCCACTGGACGCTGCTTTTGGAAACCTGAGCTGACAGGTGAGAGGTTCGACTCCCCTGAGCCACAGTACTGTGAGGAAGTCTTGATCACCTGGAGAGGTTGTGACAGATGCTCTGGTCACCAGCCCTGAATGAAGCCCCATCTGTAAAAACCAAAAGTGCCATCTGTAAAAACCGAAAATAGCAGGCCCGAGGTGCCTGCTATTGAGTCACCCCAATTGGTTGAGTCTTCCCAGTTGAGGTCCCAGACACCCTGGAGCAGAGGCGAGCCACCCCTGCCATGCACTGTCCCAGTTCCTGACCCACAGAATTCGTGAGCACAATAAAATAGTTGTTTTATGTCACTAAGTTTTAGGATCTTTGCTCCACAGCAATATATCAACAGGAACATCTCTTCCCTGCTCTCTCAGAGGCAAAGAAAAAATTCCCTTCATTTTCCTCAGCAGAGCTGTGCAGTCGGTTCTTTCGTTGTCTCAGTCCCTGCCCTCAGGGTCTCACATTCTACCCCAAGTGGCTTGTGAAGGTATTTTCTTAAACAAAGCTTGGAGGTGCTCTGATGCCAGCAATTAAGATAACAAAGTGTTTTATCTCTGCCAAGTTTTTTAGTACTTTGCACATAAGACGCTTAATGAATGTTGGTTTTAAATTCCGTATTCTTCTTTGAACTCATGGGGAGTGGGAAGGTGAGTAGAAGGCTGGAATAGGGAATAATCTGAGGATTCCAGAAATATGCATTGGCTCACATTGAACTCAGCATCTGTAGCAAGTAGGATCCAGCAATCAAAGAGCTTCTACTGAAAGTTTAATAGAGGAAATTTAATCCAGAGAATTAGGTTCAATGGTATTGGAAGAACTGAGAAGCCTTTTATGTAGGGTTGCCAGATAAAATACAGAATTGCCAGTTAAATTTGCATTTCGGATAAACAATGATTTTTTTTACATGAAACTGTATGTCCCGTGTAATATTTGGAAATAGGTTTGTTGTTTATCTGAAATGCAAATTTAACTGGGCTTCCTGTGTTTCTATTTGCTAATTTTGGTAACCCTACTCACAAGGAGGACATTGAGACAACTGAGAGGTTAGAACAGCAGGAAGCTTCCTTTGCTGGGGCTGGAGGATGCGGTGTTAGCATCCCAGGGTTAATAGAGCTAGAACCCCAGGAGGGGCTGCCTGGCAGAGGCTGGGACCAGGGAGGAGGTGCAGCCACTGCAGAGATGCTGCCTGAAGACCAGCAAGAGGGGAAAATGCCCAAACTCCTTCCTTCCTCCTGCCCTCATCTCTTCTCTCAGTGTCTCCTATTGGTTGAACCCAGCCACAAGCCATTGGCAAGGAGCTTGGGAAATGTAGTTTGCAGAAGTCAGGCCTCTGGGACCCAGGCAGAGCAGGACAAGGGCACAGTGTCTATCCTGTAAGTGTCACTATATTTACCAAAAATGTGATATCAGACTTCCACAGCCATTTCTTGAGCTCTCCCAATATTTGTGGCTCCATATTAAGCAAACTCTATTACTTCCCTCAATCCTTAACCAAATGAGGAAGGCACTATTTTTCCCCCCATTTTACAGGTGAGGACGTTGAGTCTCAGATAAATTAAGAAATGTTTCCCAAGGCCGGGAGCGGTGGCTCATGCCTATAATTCTAGCACTTTGGGAGGCCAAGGTGGCTGGATCACCTGAGATCAGGAGTTCAAGACCAGCCTTGCCAACATGGTGAAACCCTGTCTCTACTAAAAATATAAAAATTAGCCAGGCGTGGTGGCAGGCCCCTGTAATCCCAGCTACTCGGGAAGCTGAGGCAGGAGAATCACTTGAACCCAGGAGTCAGAGGCTGTGGTGAGCCGAGATCACGCCATTGCACTCCAACCTGGGTGACAAGAGCGAAACTCCATCTCAAAAAATAAAAAAATAAAATAAATAAAAGAAATTTGCCCCAAATCTCACATAAAATGTATATGGTGGGGTCAGGTCTTTGCTGCACCAGCAGGGGGTGATTCAGCATGGTGGGCAGGCCGGGGAAGGTTAGAAGTCAGAGACCCATGGAAAGCATCCATTCATCATAGGGTGCTGGGTCTACAAATGACACTGCCCTGATCCATGGTGCCCATGCGCTTTGGCTGATGCTGTACCTGAAATGCCGTCTAGTGCTCTCCCTTCTTAAAGGTATTACTTTCTTTCCAACATTCAGATCATACACATTGGCAGCCAAGCACGGTAGAAAACAGCAAAGCATAGTATAATAGCCAAGAGCTTGAACTCTAGAGTCAGATGTCCAGGTCAAATCCAGCTCTGTCATTTGCTACTACTCTGTCATCACAGAGCTAGTCAATTACTAGTAATTGACTAGCTCTGTGACTCTGGGCAAGATACTAAAGCTTTCTGGGCCTCTTTTTTTTTGAGATGGATTATTGCTCTGTCCCCCAGGCTGGAGTGCAGTGGCGCGATGTTGGCTTACTGCAACCTCTGCCTCCTGGGTTCAAGCAATTCTCATGTCTCAGCCTCTGAGTAGCTGGGATACAGGCGCCCGCCAAAACATCTGGATAATTTTTGTATTTTTGATAGAGACAGGGCTTCACTATGTTGGCCAGCCTGGCCTTGAACTCCTGACCTCAAGTGATGTGCCTGCCTAGGCCTTCCAAAGTACTAGGATTACTGGCGTGAACAACCTCGCCTGTAATCCTTTCTGAGCCTCTTATTACTCATTTTTTACAGTGCAGCTGGTGATGCCAACTATAGTGTTGATGATGATGATGATTATGATGTCTATATGACAGGCAGGTCTGCCACGGACAGTCACGCAGGTTGTTCACCATTCAAGGGTGCCTCTGAGTGTCTGGGGCCAGCCACAGCCCTGCCCGTAGATGTGAAGGTTCAATAAATTCTTCCATATGAAGTCCTGGCCCAGTGCCTAGTCTGCACCCGACACATATTGGCTGTTACGCATATTACAGAAGAATCTAAGTGCAGGATAGTGTGTTAAGCATGGGGACACAAAGCTAAAAGTCCTTGTGTGTTGTATCATGGGGAGGTAAGAGGTGGCAGAGACCACACTATTTTAATGTCTTACACTGAGTTCTAACTTGGGCACTGTCATTAGTCTCAAGGTGGGCAGAGGACAGAAGGAACCAGCTCTGACTGAGGGGTGAACTGGCATTTCTATTATACTTCAACAAGGAGGAGTTGATCTTGTAGAGAGTGTGGGGAAGAGCATTAGAGGCAGAGAATAGCCGGGACAAAAGCACAGGGCACGGGAGACATACAAGTGGAGAGAGTGGTGAGATGTGGGGCACCGCAGGGGCGAGATGAGAAAAGCTGGCGATGTGAGCCACGGAGCTGGGAGAGGTTAGCAAGAGGCAAATATTGTGGATCTCACTAGGACCTCTGGCTTATCAAAGATTTCAAAGGTGGGAAGTTGCTTGTGCAGTGGTAGGAAGGACAGGAGGGAGCAGGCTGGAATGAATGACTCTCCTGATGCCTTTCTTTATCCCTGGATACCAACCCTGTTTTCCTCCTACTCCCCCACACCCTTGTCCACCCTCATCCTTCACTTTGCCACTCCTTGGACCCCTTGCCCTCAAATAGCACCCAAACTGGCAGGACACTGCATTCTGGAGCTTCCCTGCCCAGCCTGATCCCTTCAAAACATATGTGAACTCTATTCTCAACCCTCTGTGCCCTGCTAGGGACTCAGGAGAGCGTGCTAGGTAATTTACACAAAGGGGTCCTGGGCATCTGGACTTACTGAGCTCCTTCTCCTAGATCAGTTTTGCATTTCAACAGATACCTTCAAAGTCCAACAAAGGACAGCAGTGTTATGTTGTTGGGAGCCCCTGGGTAAGTAACTGCACGTCCCTACATGTGGAGCTGGTGGCCCCTGCTCCCTGGCTCTCTGCAAGAGTCAAAGAAAGCAGATACAATGGTGGACACTAAAGTATAAGGGAAAAGTCAGAATGCGAGTCTAAAGCAAAGAACCCCAGGGATCTAGATTGGTCCTCCTCCCTACCCCAGGTGGACCCTTCCGTGGAAGGCAACTGTCCAAAACTCCCTGACTGGAGCCTTTGGCCTTGGTAGGGTCCCCTCCATCCCACTGAGGAACATGGGCTCCAAATCTTATAGAGGATCAGAATAGGAAAGGCTTTGAGGGACCATGCTGCCTAAACCCCATATCTTACAGATGGGAGACCTGGGGTCCAAGGAGAAACAGGGTGGTCCTATGGCTTCCCAGTGAGTTGGGATCAATGTGGGAAGGAGTCTCTGACCTTGACCTCTAGTCCCCTTTCATTTGCACTCAGCTCCAATCCTTCCATTTACCCATCTACCTATCCATCCAACTTTTAAAAAGCGATGCCCTTTTCAATTCAACCAGCCCTTACTGAGCTCCTACCAGATGCCAGGCACTGTGTCAGGCACTGAGAACACAAAGAAAACTCACACATCTCTAACTCAAAGCTCCCCATTACGGGAGGTAGACAGAAACAGAGAAACAGTTCTGATCAAATGAGAGCAATAGTGGTCCTGGCAGCTCTGGAAGCCTGATAAGGGATAGAAAGAGGCGACTGATGCTCCAGCCAAGGCTGGAACGGGCAGGGGATGATTTTCTCATAGACCGGAAGGCTGCTCCCATCCTGGACGAACTAGTCCAGTAGCAGAAATGGAGACAATCGCTGGCAGCCACAGCAACTAGCTCAGCAGGGCTGGGGGACAGGGCCCTCGGGGAGAAGAATTTAGGGCCTTTTCACTACAGCTTGAACTTGATTTTGCAGGGGGTTGGGAGCTCTGGGAAGAATTCAGCCAGAGGGATAATCTGATCAGCCCTGCTTTTTCCAACACTCCCACCCTCACTGTGTCTACGTGAGCCAGGGCAACGAGACTCCCACTGACCACGCAATCATGGCCCAGAGTGGCGGTGCACTCTGCATTTTCCATCTTACTTCGGAAAGTTCAGCGGGTAAAGGGAAGCCACGTTTATGTAACAGGAAGCCTGATTTCCAGGACGTGCAATACAATCAAAGCTCTATTTGTGGAACAATTCTGTGGGCTCCAATTTCCTTAGAAACTCAAATGAAACCTCTGCCAATGGACAATGGAAGGGCTCAGCTTTTCTCTCTCACTGTTCCTGTTCTGACCCTCCCTCCTTATTTTTCTCTGCTCCTTTCTATTCTAAAGGCCTGCTGCTGGGAATGTGTAACCTGTACCCCCTAATCGGGGCTTCTAGAAGAATTCCCACCCATCGAGCACAGGACTGGACAGCTGCCCTGCGACTCAACCTGCAACAGGCTCCTGTCTCCCCAACCTCTGGCGCTGAGGCCCAGCAATGGAGATGCTTGACCCCTACATTCTCCCCAAAAGCAGTAAGGGGGCTAGCTTTATCTAAGCTTTCTATTGTTGCTAATGCCCTGTGAGATTCTGAGCACGTCTTCTAACCACCCTGGGCCAAGGTTTTGACATCCATGAAAAGGGGTTATTAACACATGCTCTGCCTGTCTCATAGGGCTCATTATCAAATCAGAAAATATATAAAATTTTAATATAATATTTATATTCATAACATGAATATTATAATAATATAAGATTCGCATTTAATATAATAAATATAAATTTGTTTATTATTTTTAGTTGTTTTTTAAGTTGAGGTGAAATGTGTATAACATACTGTTAGCCATTTGGAAGCGCAGTACTTAGTGGCATTCAGTACATTCACAATGTGTAATCACTATTTCTATCTAGCTCCAAAATATTTTCATCCACCCCAAATATAAGCCTGTCCCCACTAAGCAGTCACTCCTCATTCTCCCCAACCCATGACACCCCTCCCTCCCCCAACCCTGTCAGCCACCGGTCTGCTTTTTGTCTCTATGGATTTACAAATTACGGATATTTCATATAAATGGAATCATATGACATGTGACTTTTCCTACCTGGCTTCTTATACTCTGTATGATGTTCTTGGGGCTCCTCCACACTGCGGCATGTACTTCATTCCTGTTTATGGCTGAATAATATTCCATCTTATGGTACAGTCGGCCCTACCTATTTGTAGATTCTGTATCTATGGATGCAACCAACCACAGATTGAAAATATTTGACAAATTTTCATCTGTGCTACATACGTACAGACATATTTTCTTGTCATTATGCCCTAAACAATATGGTATAACAGCTATTTAAATAATATTTACATTGTATTAGGTATTATAAGTAACCTAGAGATGATTTAAAGTATACAGGGGGATGAGCATAGATCACAATATATGCAAATACTACAGCTGTTTATATCAGGGACTCAAGAATTTGCTAATTTGAGTATCCATGGATTTTGTTTTTATGGATTTTGGTATCCGAGAAGCACTTCCCCACAGAAACTGGGTGATGACTGTATATGCCATAATTTGTTTATCCATTCTTCTATTGGCCATTTTGATTGTTGCCACATTTTGGCTATTGTGAATAGTGTATGTGTTTATTTAAGTACCTGTTTCCTATTATTTGGGGTTTATGCCTAGGAGTAGAATTGCTGGGTCATATGGGTAACTCTATGTTTAACTTTTTGAACTTCATGTTTAACAGCCAAACAGAAGCTGCACAATTTTACATTACCACCAGCAATGCACAAAGACTCCAATTTCTCCACATCCTCACCAACACTTGTTAGTTTCCATCTTTTCTATTATAGCTATTCTAGTGGGTGTGAAGTGTTACCTCAGTGTAGTTTTGATTTGTATTTTCCTAATGACTCATATGTTGAACATCTTTTTAATTACTTGTCATCCATTTATATATCTTTTTTGGTGAAATGACTATTGACACCTTTTGCCCATTTTGAATTGCCTTTTTATTGTTGAGTTTCAAGAGTTCTTTATGTATTCAGGATATTGGGCCCTTATTATGATTTGCAAATATTTTCTCCCATTCTTCAGGTTGTCTTTTAAAAAATGATTTATAATGCTAGTTAGAAATAATTTTAAAAAGTTGTGTAGTAGTAGCTTTTGTATTGCCTTACTTACTGTTTGTTATTTATTTATTTAGGACACTAGCTATGTTCTAGCAACTGTGCTAAGAGCTTTACATGCCCTTCCCTTCCCTCCCTCCCTCCCTCTCTCTCTCTTTCTTGTCTCTCTTTCTTTCTATTTCTTTTTCTTTTTTTGAGACAGCGTCTCACTTTGTCATCCAGGCTAGAGTGCAGTGGCATGATCATGGCTCACTGCAGCCTCAGCCTCCTGGGATCAAGTGATCCTCCTGCTTCAGCCTCCCAAAACATTTACATGTATTTTATAATTTATTCTGGAGGTACAGTCATTTTTACTTTAAAGAGGCGGAAATGAAGGAGCAGAAGGGCTTTGCATGTGTTTTTCTGCCTGCCTGGACATCCTTCTCTGGCCTCTTCACTTGGCTAACTACTGCTGTCTTCCCATCTCACCCAGCCCTTCTGTCTCCTTCCATCAGCCTGGGCTTCCTCTAGCAGTGAGAGGTGTCTTCTGGGTCCCTGAGGCATCCTGCCCCCTTCCTATCAGGCTTGTTCATTCAATGATAATGTTCCCCCACTAAGCACCCACCAACCCCCCGACTCCCTGACTGCCAGGACCAAGGGCCTCTCTCTGTGTTCCATAACACCACATGCAGTGCAGTGCACAGTGAATGTTCAATAAGGTGTATCTCCTAGATGAAGGTGCTCACTGCTGTTGAAGGGGATTGGGAAATGTTTCAGTGTGGAGAGTAATGGTTATAGAATAACAAGCCAATAAATAAAATCCAAAAAATACATCACCCTCTATTATTGCAATTCTGTTAAAATACACCTGCATATATAAGGAGGGGGGAAGAAGGAACCACCTACTGGGTTCTTAACTCTCCCGCCCTCCAGGCTTTCCCTCCCTTCCTCTCTCCTCCCCTCCTCACCTCTCCTTTTCTCTCTTTTCTTCTCTTTCTTTCCTTTCCTCTTTCTTTCTTTCTTTTCTTTCTTTCTCTTTCTTTCTTTCTTTCTTTTTTTCTTTCTTTCTTCCTTTCCTTTCTTTTCTTTCTTCCTTTCTTTCTCTTTCTTTTTCTTTCTTTTCTTTTTCTTTTCTTTCTCTCTCTCTTTTTTCAAAAAGAAAGAGGAATGGCCTTGTATTTCTGTAAGAGAATCCAGTTAGAACTTCTGGAGCTTTTGGGCTCTTTTGGGATGCCCAGGTGGCTATTGGTGAGGCATCTCAGACTGCCCTCTTTTGAACAATAGAGCTGGCCGTCCTCGAAGCTATTGGGTGCCCACTGCCCACCTGGGGGAGGGGGGCATTGAACCTGGGAGTGCAGCTAACCCCTGACCAAGTCTTTGTGACAAAAAAAAAAAAAAAAGCCCCAGAGCTTGAACTTGAACTTGGGTCTTCCTTCCCTTCCCTCCTTCCTTCCTTCCTTTTTCTTTCTTCCTTCCTTCTTTCTTTCTTTCTTTCTTTCTTTCTTTCTCTCTCTCTCTCTTTCTTTCTTTCCCTCCCTCCCTTCTTTCCTTCCTTCCTTTCCCTCCCTCTCTCTCTCTCTCTCCTTCCTTCCTTTTTTTTTTTTTTTTTTTTTTTGAGACAGGGTCTCACTCTGTCACCCAGACTGGAGTGCAATGGGATGATCTCAGCTCACCGCAACCTCTGCCTCCTGGGTTCAAGTGGTTCTCCTGCCTCAGCCTCCCAAGTCGCTGGGATTCCAGGCATGTGCCACCATGCCCAGCTAATTTTTGTATTTTTAGTAGAGATGAGATTTCACCATGTTGGCCAGGCTGATCTCGAACTCCTGACCTCAAACGATCCACCCGCCTCAGCCTCCCAAATTGCTGGGATTACAGGCATGAGTGACCGCGCCCGGCCGGGCCTTTCTATTATAAATTGATTCAGTCCAAACCAGTTCAATTCCTCACACACATTATGTGCCTGAACCGGTCTCTCCCCTCATCTCTGGGGATCCAGGGTAGTCCTGGTTTTGCAGGATCTCCAGGCCATCTGGGGAGACACATGCTTCCTCCCTTAATCCCAATACGAGTCAGACTGTCTGGAGAGTGTGAGAAGTAGGCTGGACACTGCACCTGGGCTCCCTCATCCTAAGTCTCGGGGTGGAGTGGAGGCAGATATTTCACTGCCAGAGCCCGTGCTGACTTAGTTGCTCCTTGTGGGATGTTGCTTAACTGAGAGCAAGAATGCAAAGACATTTTTAAAATGTGCATGTTATTCAAATACACGTTCAACTACCACTCCAATGTTTTTCTTTGTGATGGCCCTTAAGATTTCCCTGTTGGCCTCACTCTGCACCCTTTGGTGGCCCCCAGTTTTCTTGGGATAAAGCCCATTTTTCCTAAAAGACCCAAAGGGGCCTGGATCCTGCACCCCTGCTCCCATCTTTTGCCACTGCTTCCCTTGTTCCCAGGGTCACTGGTACGAAGATCATCTGCCTTGTGATTGTGCCCTACTCTCCCTCAGCACTGGGACTTCACAGTGCTCTTCCCTCTGCCTGGCACACTCTCTTCCCCATTCCGTGCTTGGCTAACTCTTATCCCTCACATGTCAGCCTAATGGCCTCTTCCTCCTGGAAGTCCTCCTCCTCCTGGAAGTCCTCCATGACTTCTCTAGGCAAACTCAGGCTCTGTACTCTTCCTTGGTCACTTGTCACACTGTCTTCTGGTGGCTAGTTTGGCCATCTCCATTGGGAGAATGCAAGGATTTTATCAGGGCAGTAAGAGCCTCTGACAGCTATTACAGTGCTGAGACCAATGAACTTGGCTGGAATGAATAGATGTGGTAGCTATCCCCAGGTTCTTGTGGGGCATCTGAATCCTCAGGTAAGGGCCAAACCAACTGTTATCTACCCCAGAGGTTGCAGCCAAGACTGAGGCACTCATGTGCAGGGAGGTTGTTGGTGGTTGCAGGAGGCAAGTCCCCTTCTTAGCTGACAGCTCTCCAGCCTCCTTTCCACTGTCCTCAAGCCAATGGGCTCTTGTCCATCCAGTCCATTCACACAGGACAGAATTGAGATCACCCGAATACTGCTGCCCTCGCCCCACCCCCCACCAGGCCCAGCTCAGGAAGCATGCAGCCTATTTCCTCCTCTGCCTCTTCTGTTGGGGTAACGAAATGCTTGCCAACCCCTGTGGCATCCCACTACCCTGGATTACCAAGTCTGGTCACATGTGGGCTCCAGAGAGAAAGAGAAGATGTCAGCTATACCTCCATCTTCTGCTTCTGCTGGGGTTCCGCTATGCTGCTGGAAGACACCTGGGCTTTGAGATCCAGCAGATGTGGTCTTGCTCACAGCCCTGCCACACACTGGCTCTGTGAATTTGGGAAGTTATTGAGCCTTCTGAGTCTTGTTTTTTTTTCATTTTTCATCTCATGAACAATGTCACTGCTGCCACTGCCACCTCCACCGCCACCACATAGTGAGCTTGGTGCTCGCTATGCAACAAGCACCGACCATTCTTCACTTCATCCTCACAACAACCCTCTGAATCCCTATTTCCATCATCTAAGGGAGGGAACAGATATCCACCGAGAGCATACTATGCACTGAGGTGAGGTACCAAGAACCTCATGCGCTGGCACAGGACAGGTAAGACAGAAAACGGCAATGGGCTGGAACAGTGAGAGAAAACCACATGGCATCTTGTGGAGGATGATCTCATAGATTATAGGGATGGATTGAAGTTTGGGAGTTGGTGGGAGAAAGTGGACTCAAGGCAAGTCCTCGTGGCTTAAGCAACCGAGCAATGATGGAGTCTGGCCTGAACTGAGATGGGGAGGGCCTGGGGATGTCTTGGCGCACTTCCTTCTCCATGTGCAGTGCCGGACCCCTGGCGCCTGTAGCCTTGCTCCATCAGGGCCTCATTGTAGGATGAGGCGAACAATGTTTTTACTTGCTGTGGAGACTAGAGGTGGTTCCTGGAAGCACCCAGCTCAGTGCTTGGTGGAGCAGGTGCTCACTGGATATTTACAACTCCTGTTGCTCAAGTGCCCCTTCTGGTCCAAGCACGTTCCAGGCTCTGAGGACATCGTACCAAGTACAAACTGAGTCCTGGTCTTCAGGGGCCCCAGGCTAAGGTTAGAGATGGATGAGTACTGAGATGACTCCAACTACGTGATAAGAAAGCTTGGGATCCTTTAGAAGGTCTCTGTGCTCCTATGGGGAAATCATGGAAGACTTTCTGGAGGAAATGACATCAAATCTCGGATCAGAAGTTGGCCAATCCAAGGAGAATGAGAAGAGCACTTTAAGAAATACTGAGAGCAGGCACTGAGTCCCAGAGGTGAAGTGCAACATGGGCCCTCAGGGACTGTTGCCTCACTGATGGGGCCTGTGGAATGTGGTGAGGAAGAAGGTTGGCTGGAACCAGCTCCTGGCTCTCTTTGGAGTTTGGTTTTTACTTTTTCCTCAGTATTAGATAAGAAAGTAATGTCTATCAAGATAAGTAAATTCTTGCATATCTACTAAGTATACACACATTGCTTATAATTAACCCTTTAAATACCCCTTGTATAAGTTTCCTTATTTTGCAGCTAAGAACATGAAGTCTAAGAAAAGATACCAGGACTAACAAGTGATCTGCTGCAAAGCCTTTATATCTGCCACCATGTCACTGTCCTTTAATGAATGTACTGAAGACAGATAAATTCCACTGAAATGTAAGCTTCAAGATGGTGGACGTTTTGTCTGTTTTATTCATTGCCATATTGCCAACCCTAAGATGGAAACTAGTATACACTCAATAAATATTTGTTGAATGAATGAAATGCTTTGAGAAGTCCATTATCATCTTTTAAACATGTTTTTGTACCTGACAAAATTATGTGTATATTTATATACTTTTATTATATTTCTACATAAATATATGTATGTACTTTTATCATATTTATATATTAATATATAAACATATATAATATATACTTAACATATGCGTTACATCATATCTTTTAGTGTGTCACGAGAAAACTTTTTTGGTGAGAAAAACTAAATTCTCTTAGCAATTTTCAACAATACAATACAATGTTATTAACTATAGTCAGCATAGTGTACAATAGATCTTGTAAACTTATTCCTTCTATTTAACTGAAATTTTGTATCTTTTGACCAGCACACCTAGTCAACCTCACCCCTAGTTTCTGATAACCATTCTACTCTCTGCTTCTATGAATTCAACTTTTTTAGATTCTACATATGAGTGAGATCATGTGGTATTTGTTTTTCTGTGCCTGGCTTATTTCACTTACCATAATATCCTCTATGTTTATCCATATTGTCAAAAACTACAGGATTTCCTTCTTTTTAAAGGGTGACTAGTATTCCATTGTGAATATATACCACATTTTCTCTGCACATTCACCCATCAATGGACACTTAGGTTAATTCCATATCTTGGCTACTGTGAATAGTGCTGAAATAAATATGGAAATGCAGATATCTCTTTGAGATCCTGGTTTCATTTCTTTTGGATATATACTCAGTAGTGATATTGCTGGATCATATGCTGGTTCTCTTTTTGATTTTTTGAGGAACTGCCTTACTATTTTCCATAATGGCTGTCCTAATTTATATTCCCACCAAGTGTGTGCAAGTCTTGGTCTTTATCTTGATGGGGGAGCCAGTGAAAGTCTGAGCATATGAACAACATAGTCACTGCAGTAAATTAAATGAGTGGCCCCAGTGTCTTGTAATGGGGTACAGCTATACCCTTGCCGTGGCTTCCTAGTGCGAAGAGAGTCTTTCCTCATCATTGACGCTGGGCTATCTTTTCTAGTTATCCATTGCTATGTAACAAACTACTCCAAACCTTAGTGGCTCAAAAAAAAGAACAAACTAAACCCAAACAAAAAACTAATTTACCCAGCTCACAAACTTGCAATTAGGATAGGTCTTGGTGGGCATGATTCATCTCTGTTCCACATGATAGCAGTTGGAGCAGCTCAATGGGGACTGGAGAATACTCTTCCAACATGGCACCCTCACCTGGTTGGTGAGTTGGTATTGGCTTTGATTCCTGTCCATATGGTCCTCTCTGTGGGGCTGCTGGAGCTTCCTTGCACTGTCATGGCCAGCTCCCAAGAGTAAGTGTCCCCAGAAACAGAAGTTGGAAGCTTCCAGACTCTTAAGGCCTGAACCCAAAACTGGCATAGGCTTCCCTGCCATTTTATATTAGTTGAAGGAGTCAAAGGAGCTTGTGCAGATTCAAGGGAATCTGAAGGAACACTCGATGGGAGGAATGTCAGAGAAGTGGTCATCTTTAATCTGTCTCATCATGTGATTTTCTTCAGTTCACCTGATTTAAGAGGACATAACACAAAGGCTTAAATGTGCTTTACCAGTGGGACTTGTATCCTTGTGCTCCTGCATTATGCGGATGTTCTGGACAAAGAGTGATGAGTGGACAAGACCTGGATGCCCTTGCAGGCTGAAGGTAAGTGCAAGTGAGCAAAAACCTGGAGCAGAGCCTTCTCAGGTAACTAGTCTCATAGTTTGTTATGCAGCATTACTATGGCAAATAGCTGACAGATACAATCAGATTTGGAATTTAGATAGATTTGTTTGTACACTGTGTAGAGAATGGATTGGAACATGGTAAGATAAGTAGCAGAAAAGGAAATCTGTAGCTAGTAGGTTCTTAATATCATCTCATTAGAGATTACAGAAGCAGAATGGACAGAGTTTGGTGATGGGGCAGCCATGGAGGATCAGAGAGAGGGAGCATCCAGGATGGTGAGCTGGCCTCTGCCTGGCATACCAGGGGGGTCAGTGTGCCTGCAATAGAGACCCACGGAGCAGGAGCAAGGGAGAGGGGAAGATGAGGATGGTGGCATGGGCCTGTGGTTGTTGAGAGTTTTCAGACATCCAAGAGAAGCTATTTAGAAGGTTATAGATGTGGGAACCCGAGTAAGGAAAGAGAGGAAAATGGGGAGCTGGGTACCCATGGCCAGGAAGAGTGTGCTGTGACTGTGGTTTATAGAAATGGGCCAGGGATGGAGTCTTGGCGAGTGCAACTAGTTGAAGGCAGTGTTGACAGTGGGGGACCTGCGAAGTGCTTGAGAAGGAATCAGAGAAGAAAACAGCAAACAAGGACAGAGGCGTGTCCTGGAAGTCACTGGAGGGCACCTTTTTGGTAAACTCCTAATTTACCCTCAGCAACAAGCTTGGTGTGACCACACTCTCATCTCTGAGCTGCATGAGCACTCTCCCTGCCGCCTGCTACACTCCTCCACCTGGGGCTGCTCAGTGCTCTTGGACAAAAGAATCTTCTGGCATCACCTGGTATTCCCTGGACAGGGCTGGCTCGTTGGTGATGAACCAGCTGACAGGGGCCACCACTGTAGTGCCTCTGGAGCAAAGCTGAAATTCTCCGTCCCTACGACCTTGAGGGGGATGGAGTGCGAATCATCACTAGCCAGGGCTCATATCATTTCAGGCACATTTTCTCTCCAGGAGCTCGATCTCTGCTGGTGCTAACACAGCATCAGGTGTCTTGAAGGCATGTGTAATGGCTGTTTCAGGGATGCTGCAATGGTACGGTTTGGAACTCAAGCTTTGAGCCTGACTGCCGGGTTCACATTCGCGGCGATGGCTGCTCAGCCATGCACCCTGGGCGAGGTGGTCCACCTCTCAGAGCACTTGTTTTCTTTTCCGTAAAACATGCATGTCAGTGAGGCTCCCTGTCCCCGGGGTCATGTGAGAAGCAGATGGGTGACCTCATGCAAACACTGAGAATGGGCTGAAACATGTGAAATACTCAGCAGATGTTAGCTCTTATTCTACTTAAATAAACAGGATTTTTATTTGCACGCCTACTATGTGCCTGGCATTGTGTTAGGTGCTGGACATTCAGAAGGGAAAAAAGAACACCATTTCTACCCTCAGTGAACTTCTTTGTAACTATCCTGGGAAGTGAGCAATTAGGCAAAAAATTGTAAGACAGACTGATTTTTTTCCAAGCCCTCCAATGTACAGATTTGGAAACGGAGGCACCAGAAGCCAGTGTAGGGAAGCAGCCAGCTGTCTGCAAAATAGCAAATGGCCTGGATTCATTAGCAGAACCCACTCTCTTTCCATTGTTTCTTCCCTGATGTCCAAATTGCTGTATAGCATCTCCAAAAAGCAACTCTCCAGCCTTTGCCCATATGGCTCTGAGGACAGAGCTCACTTCCCCATGAGACAGCAGCCCAGCCATCACAGAGTCTGCAGTAGGAACAGGCTTTTGCAGAAGGGGCCAGAGGCCACCAGGAGCACACCCAGCTCCTATCCAGCACACCAGCCTTTCAGACAGCAGGAGGCAGGGATTGAGACTGGGGTAAACAGCCTTGATCCCAGCACATCTGTCCCCTGGAGTCCCTGCCGAGGGCCTGCCCTGGTCTGTCCACCCCACTGAGCCTGCAGCACTCCTGTCCCCTGGAGTCCCTGCCGAGGGTCTGCCTTGGTCTGTCCCACTGAGCCTGCAGAATGGAGCACTCGGCCTGTGTTCGCTCAGCACTGACAAGGGCAGCACCAGGAGCCTCTCACCAGTCGGCTCCAAGTCCAGGCCTGTGATATCGAGGAGAGGCATGAGGGAGCTGGTTAGTGCCCCTCCACTGTTCCGGAGGCTCCAAGGCACCTTCCAGTTTTCTTACAGCTTTGATTGGACAATGTAGCTGGTTTTGGCTCCAGAGCTTGATTGAAAGCGATGGGTATCGACTCCATGGGGAGAGTTAGGAGCCAACAAGCCACCTTTATCTCCTTCTCCCCTTGTGCAGTGACCTTGAAAGGCACATGCTGAAGTTGAAGTTGGCAATGTCCCAAGATGAAAACAGCTGGGTAGCCTGAGCCGCCACATGCAGGGCTCACGTAGGACACTGCAATTTCCATCAGACTTTGACCCGGCAGTGAAGAAACCTTTGTTGTTCCATCTTAGGTTGTTGGGATTGTGGAGTTTGTCAGTATTGTAGCAGCAGCCTCTTCTGTCCTGACTGAGACAGAATCAGACCTGGTTTTTAACCCTGGTTGATCAGTTATGAACTGTGGCTACAGACACATAACTAATAGTCTCTGTGCCTCAGATCTTCCATGAGGATACCACCCCCATGTCATTCATGGGGGTTGTTGTGAGAATTAAAGGAGAAAATGCGTGTGAAATGCTTGGCACACAGAAAGGACTCAGAAAAGTCTGCCTGCCGTCTTTCCTTAATATATACTATGTCACCTTATACCCATTTTATAGATTAAGAAACTGAGGTTCAAAGAAGTCAGGTTTTCCCCATTGGTCACACAGCTAAGAAATCACTGCAGAGTCAAGGATGAAGGGTGGGAGAGGGAGGCCAAGTAGAAACACCAAGGTGTGGAGGTCTGGGCAGGCAGGAGCCGGTGGTGCCACGTGGCCCTGTGAAGCCGTGGGCAGCTGGTCAGACACTCACCCTTGCTTGGGGCTTTGACATTTTCCAACTGGACACAGACTTCTTCTCAATCTATTTTGTTAGCTGGATGACAGAGATATAATCTCCTCATCTGGAAGGTGTTGTCCTTGTTACTATCTAAGATCAAGTTCTTTTAAGTTCTGGCCTTACACGTGGGTGTGTGGCTTTTCCCTTGAGGTTTTCAGCTTGTGTCTGGTTCCCAACCAAACCCCATGTTGAATCTGGTGGAAGGTGGGTCCGTTGCGCCCTCTGGTGGCCACCATCACCAGGCGCTCTTGGCCAAGGTCCTAATGAATAAACCTGGCCGTTGGGCCGGACCAGCTCTGTCGCCGTGAGCCAGCCATGGGCACTCATCTTCAAAGTGCTTTTCTCTGGAGCAACACCGTCCCCTGTCCCCACACCCCTGGGGAGTATGGCGCACTTGCAATCTTTACCCGGGACTCAGGAACCCCAGCCCTTGCGATTTAAGTTCTGGCTACATCCCTAACCCCCTGGTAAGTCACTTAACCTCCTTGAGTGAAGCTCAGTTTCCTCTTTAAATTCCCCTCTCGAGAGACCAATGCCTCTTGGCAGGATTGTTGCAGGATTAAACGAGCTTAATGGAGGTAAAGCACTCAGCCCCCGTTGCCAGCGTGTGAAAAAGAACCAGCCGCGGTCATTAAAAGCTCCTTTATTTCATGGGTGTTGCAGCTGTCTGGCTGCCCGCCCGTCCCCCCACTAACTCTCACACTCTGGTGGCAGAGACCTTCTCTTGCCCATCTCTGTATCTCTAGTCCCCATGGCCCTCAGTGCGTATTTGCCAAGTGAAATATATACATAAAGCACATTCGCTTATCACAGTCCTGTGAGGCAGACACCCCCGGAATCACTGTTCCCGGTTTGCAGAGAGGGTCTATCCGTGGACCCCGGTCTTTGACTGCTGGGGCCTGTGACTGTCCATGGGTGTCCATGACCCAGTCATGGCGCCCTCTAACGCATCCTCTCTAACTTCAACCCGGCCCTCCACCCTAGCCACCAGCTGCCTGTACTCACAGTCATTTTCTCCGACGGTTCACAGTCCATGGGAAAACGTTCCTCCATTGTTCTCTCCTCCTGCCTTCGCCTCAGCTCAGCATTTTATCTCCCCAACTCTAGGGGAAAAGGAAGCTATCAGACGGCAATGACCTCAGCTTCGTGCCGCTAAAGCTGTCTGCCCCTGCCTGGATCCCCACCCCGGCCCCTCACCATCCTCTTGTGATGGAGGCGGGGGTCCCTCCAAGCCCCTTCCCTCTCGAGGGCCCTGCTCCACACTCCTCCTTCTCTCTGCTGCATCTTCCTCTCTCTACTGGCTCCTTCTGGACAGCATTTAAGTCTGCTGCAGTCTCTGCTGCTAGACAAAGCATCCTTCCTCAAATATGTGACCTTCTCCTTTAACCCTGCACCCACCCCTCATGGCCCTTCCCTGTTTCTCTCCTGGTACACTGCTGGAGTGCCCTACTCACTCCTTATACATGGGTCTTTGTAGCTATTACTCTATTCCAGCCTAGTTTCCACCTCCATCCCAAAGAGAGCTTGCTCTTACCCAGGCCATACATGGTGCCCCTTCACCTCTCTGGGGACAGGCGTCACCAGGGCAAGGCCTCAGTCTCCTTGAAGTGACCTTGCTATAGCCTCAGAGGCACCACGAAGCCAGAGACCTGTGGCCTCCCTGGCTGCTTCTTCTAACCTCCTTTCCTGTATTTTGCTCCTTGGACCATCTCATTCAACTCCCTGCAGGCCACATGCAGACCCAGGGCTTCGTGATCTATAGCCTGATGAGGCCCAGATTTCTGTCTCCAAGTGGGTGGGGTCTTAGGGCCTCAATCCCATTACCCTCAGTATGGGCTCTGAGCTAATGGAGGGATTGATTCAGGAACCACCTGCAGCTGTGTTCTGAGTCAAGCTGAATTGGGGCATGTGGCTTAGAATTGCAGCAAAATGTCCCTGCTCGTTATCTCATCCAGTTGAACTGACTTTCTATACCCAAACACAACCTCCTCTTTGCGGCAGCCCCATCAGCCTGGAAGGTGAGCCACATGGAGCCACGTGGGGGCCCAGAAAACAGGAAGCCTCTGCTTTTCACAGCTGAGCTGAGAGGTGACTGAGCTGAGGGCCCCAGGGTCTGATCAGTCAGCTGAGTCTTTTCCACCTGCAGGAGGTGCAGTTCCAAGGGAATCAGAGGAGGGCAGAGCTGCCGTATTCGGGGGGCTTAGGGCTGGGGAGAGGGAGAAAATGGTTCCCTGCACCAAGCTCCCTCCTCGACCACCATCTGCAGCCCGCTACTCCATGTCCCCTGCTTGGCAGACATGGGTCATTAGTCTACCCCTTACAGCAACCTTTCAGGGCAGGTGTTATTATTACTTCTATATTTTGAGGGGGGAAACTGAGGCTCAAAGAGGCCAAGTCCCTTGCCTGCCTGAGGTCCCTTACCCTGTGAAATGGTGGCAGTGTTAGTGTGGGCATGTGAGTCAGCTTAGGCTACCATTAAAAAAATACCATAGATCACTGATTTAAATAGAAATGTATTTTCTCACAGTTCTGGAGGTTGGAAATCTGGGATCAGGGAGCCAGCGTGGTGGGGTTCTCGTGAGGCCCCTCCTCCTGGCTGCTGATGGCTGCCTTTCACTGCAGCCTCACATGGTAAAGAAGTCTCTGGGGTCTCTTCTAGGGCACTAACCTGATCATAAGAGCCCCCAGTCACTTCATCAAACCTTAATTACCTCCCAAAGGCCCCATCTCCAAATACCACCCCAACAGGGTCTTAGGGTTTCAACATATGCATGGGTGGGGGTGGCACAATTCAGTCTCTAGCAGTAGGACTGGAGTCAAGCACTTGCAAGATATTGGGGGGATACGGGCACGTAACAGCTGCATCTCTGAGAAGCAGGTAACCTGGAATTTGCTGAACTATGAGGACCTCAAGTTTCAGCTGAAAATGACCAGGAGAGCTTTGACTCTGACACGTGGATGAAGCTTCACCTTGTTCTCCAGGAATGGTTGGGCCCAGCACAGGCATCAGAGGGAGGGAGGGGGCAGGGCAGATAGATACATTGTTACCATCATTGCTATAGGGAATGTCATCAGGGTAATATCCCACAGGTGTTTGAAAATGACCCCCAGAATCCTTGAATGAAGCAATGGAAACAGCAGAGGCTGGCTCTTCCCCAGCAGGCGAGGAAGGCCTGGAGAATCATAGATATTTCCTCTCCAGGTCCCCTAGGGCATCAGCTTCCTGGACATGCCTCAGATAGCCTCTGTCCCCTAGTAGGGGAGGAGACTCTGAGGGCACACAGACAATTTCCTTTTGTGGCATGCAGACATTCAGTGAATCCTGTGTGAATAAACCACCTGCCAGAGGCATTGGGAGGACAAGCGGGGAGGCTCCTATGACTGGACATTGGAGGACAGGGCCACCCCCACCCCCTACCCTGCTAGGTGACACTGTGGTCAGGCAGGACGGCTGCCCCTGGAAGGTGCTCACTCACAGTCAGGGGCAAAGTGGCAGCCTCTGAGGGTCACCCCTGGTCACTGTGGGCCATCGACAAAAGAAAAGAAAGAAAAGAAAAACGAGGGGGCATGGGTGGGAAACACCAGCCATGGCTGAATGTAGAGAATGACCCAACAGGGTCGCCACACTCTCCTTTCAATCCCTGTGCACATTAAATATCCTGGGAAAGCGAAGAGGAAATCGGAAAGTTCCACTTAGGAACTTCTTTTTAGTCCCTTCGCTTTTTGTTGACGGCCAAGCATGTGTTTGGAGCAGCCTCGCGGTTATTCCTAGGACTTCCCAGCGTTCCCAGGCCAAATCCTGGGAGGATCTGCATTTTGGGGAGGGGTCGGGGGGGTGCAGAAGCAGATGGGCCTTGGCTCTGGTCCCAGCTTCCAGGCAGGTGCCGGGGTGTCTTGGAGGAATGCCTTTAGGCCCTCAGGGCTGTCCAAGGAGGGCCCTGACAATTTCTTTCCCTGGCCATGGGCTCTAGCCTGAGACCAGGGTGCGATGTGCAGGACAGGGCGGCCAGGCGCTGGAGCCCTACAGAGCTGGCCTGGAAAAGCGGGCGGCGGGGCCGACTGCAGCATAGCACCACCTCGTGGCCGCTGGTCCACATTGCAGCTGTGATGTGAGGCCAACCAGGAGCGAATTTGGGGGAGGCTGTGTCTCCTATAGAACGGATGGCTGGGTGGGAGCGCGTGTTAGCGCCAGATGACGGCAGGGCCCTGTAGGGAGAGGACAGAGAAGTGATAGGGCAAGGAGGAAAGGGAACTCTAGAGTTGAAGAAACAACTTAAAGAAGATACACAGGCAACATGAAGGCCCGTGGCAGGGGGCAGGAGCAGGACAGAGGCATGGGGGGAGGGAAACAGACCGGGCTCCCCGACAGAGCCTTGCTGTTCATTTCAGTCTTGCACACAGCTCCTTCTCCTCTCCCGTGTCTGATGTACTAATAACTAACATTTGTTGTTGTAAGCCTTTTGCGTGTGTTAACTCATTTTATCCTCTATGTGTATTTATATAGAGGTATTATATCATTCCAAACTTATCCATCAGGAGATTAGGCAGCGAGGTTAAGTAACTTGCTCGGACTCACACAGCTAATAGGTAGGACCCAGGGCGGCCTGGCTCCAGAGCCCCTGTGTGAATCTCTGCCCCATCCTTCCTCTGGGGGCTGCCCTCAGAAGGTCCCCATAGACAGTGTCTCAAATAACTCAACGTCTTTGCTAAGCACAGAGTGACAGGGAGGCGGCAGGGCAGACAGGAGGCCCGGGACTGGAGAGAGGCGCCTGGCTGTGAACCCACCTCCGCCCTCAGCCATGCAGCAGCCCGCAGGGCTGTTCTGAGTTAAAGATCACGCCCATGGAGGTATTGTGTGCCATACAAACTGGGAGGCCTGGTTACTGTGTATACCAATTTTATCTTACAGGCTCGCAACATTGGGTTTCTGAATCTGTTTTTTTTTTTTTTTAAAGGGAGATTAGTGCCAACTTTGGACCAAACTCTTGTCCATCCCTGGGTGTGCCCGTCTCTGTCGGGGGAGGACAGACACTAGCCCAGCCCAATCAGGCCCTGGCCAAGGTGAATTCACTCAGCAAACGTTCAAGCAGGTGGTGCATGTCTACTGGGCCTCTGGAGATGCTTTTGTTTTTACTCCCACATCCCCTCTGAAGGCCAGTGTTGTCGCGCCCATTTAATACATGAGACACGCAGCTGAGGTTCAGAGAACTTAGGTGACTCGCCAGTCACACGGCAGGTAATGGGACTCCTGGGCTTGAGAAGAGGCCTCTCCAAGGCCTACGCTGGGGCTCTCCTCTGTATCCTGAATTCTGGCCATTCGGTAGTGGCGACGCCAACCCAGGAGGCCCTCTGAGTTGGAGTGTTGAAGGAGGCGCAAATGCATGACCCTTGTAGAAAAGCAACAAACACACCCAAACAATAAAATAGCTCTTTGTTTATTCACTTTGATTTGGATCATTGGAAATATTAAACAATAAATAAAACAGAGCGGGGGCTGAGGAAAGCAGGATCTTGCTGAAGTCATTCGAATGCATCCCAACCAGTGCTCAGCTGCGTAACGACATGGAGAGAGGCAGGGGGGAATAGAAAGCAAATTTAAAAACACCAACACCCAAACACACAAGACTGCACACAAGAAAAAGTGCTCAAGAAACTTTGGCTTTGAAGGGAATTCAGTGAAGGGAAGCGATTGTGCAGGAGGAAGGGAAGAAACCCACGATCACCCTAAGGGGCGGGGGGCTGGAGGGCGAGGCCCTGAGACAGGCTAGGGTTAAAGCTGACGTCCCACAGCTCAGGACGTACAACCGATGGCAGTTTTGTACTAGGAAGAAGCTGAGTGATGAGGCTGGGTGATGGGATCGCTTGACGGGCTGGGAGGGAGGACAGGAGGTGTAAAGGTGGCTCACCTTCCCCTAGGAAATTCAGTGCTCTTTTGGTAAGAAAAAATAGTCGGTAATGCCCTGATCCTGACAAGCTGTGAGATGCTGTCTTGCCTGTCTCTGCCTTTTCTTCTAAGTTTTCCTCCTTTTCTTTGCACAGGTGTCAGGTAGCACCCCAGGGGTGCAGGAGCTGGTGTTTTCATGACAAACAAAAATGGGGAGGTTGACTCTATCTCAAAACTAGCTAGCCCAGTCCACAGGGCAGGATAATCCTGATGGCGTGTAGCCACATTTGCTGCAAACCAGATGTCTGCGATGGATATAATGATACCCCCGGGGCTCTTCTCAGGGGTGAGGACAGGTGCTGGTTCCTGATGGTGCATGGCTGGTGTCCAGTCATCTTTAGCTGGGCAGTGGCCCCTCGAGGCTCGGGCTTCCCTGCACAAGGTATTTTTGATCCTTGCCAGCGGAGGGAGAGAGAGTTATCTTGGTTTCCTTTCACTTGTTTTCGGGCTGCTTCAAAGCAAACATCCCAGTTCCAAATGTTCTTTGTGGTTTGAATCCTGGCAGAGGCCAGGGTCACATCCAAGTGGGACTGGCCTCTAGCACCACCTTCTGGCCACAGCAGAGAATGGGATTCCATCAAAGCCTCTCAACCAGCCGTTTCCCTAAAGAATCACCCAGATCTTAACTGCCCTCTCCACCTTCTTTTTTTTTTTCCCTCCTATTTTACATTCTATTTTCTCATATCCAGCTTTTCTCTCTAAGCCTAACCAAATGCTTTGGTGAATGATGCTTGGAAAAGCTGGAGTTTTAAAAGGCATTCATCCATTTATGAACTTTCTTCCAGCCCAGGATCCCTGCAGAGAACCAGAGGTTACAAATCTGCCCTCCTTTCTCCCCTAAAAGGTGGCTGAGGGGAGGAGAGGTGCATGTAGCTCCAGCTATAGCAAATCAGTGCCCTGACTCACTGGGGAGACCCAGGGGGTTGGGATGTTGCTGACACCTCATGGGCCACCTCATCAGCCCATCTTTGTAGCTTCAGGTTCAGCTCTGGGTGCTGCAGGCAGGGACCCCTCTGCTCCCTGCCTGAATGCAGGGCCAGTCTCCAAGGAACTCTGTCTGCAGAGTAGAAAGAGCTGTGGGCTGGGAATCAGGGGCCTGAGGGAGCCCCTGCCACTGCCTGCCCAGAACCAGTGCTCCTCATTCTCCTGCTGACAGCATGCATGTGCCTTTTGGCTAACACACACTCTTGTCTAATTCCCAGCCACCTTCACCCCAGGGATGAGTTCCAGTTGGTTTAAGCCAGACTGGTGCATTTAATTCTGGCTGCAACAACTGGATTCTGTTAAGTGCCCATTGCTAAGCCAATGAGCTATCTGCTGGGCTGTGGGAAAGAGAAATGCAGTCTCCTGCACGGGAGGGTGTGAGAAGGCCACCCAGGCAGCCTGCAGCTAGAGCTCGGCGCTGAGAGAGCACAGGAGAGTCAGACACCTCCATTCTGGTTACACTTTTTCCAGATGCTGAATGGAGACTCGCTGGGAAAGCCCGCCTCCAGACAATTTCAACATAGCGCCGGTAACACCCTAGTTTTGCTCAAACTCTGACTTGTGCTATCTGTCCCAGACAGTTCACGACTGCCCGTCACTTCCCTCCTTCACACTGCACCAGGAAAAGGCCACACCTCCCTACACAGCAGCAGCCTTTTAGGAAATGTGCTCTACAGGAAAAGTGGTTTTTCTGATTAAACATCAGGAACTAGAGTCAACAATCGCTGTCCTCTCCCGTGCCTGTCACGCTCCACTCCCCACCCAGCTGCAATGTGGCCTTGATTTTCTCATCAGTAAAATGGGAAAGCTGGATTTGGAGGCTGGAAGAGATCTCACAGCTTGACCACCCTAGTAGGAGGGAGGGAGACCAGACGGAGGCCAGGCAACCGACCCAGGCAGCATCTGGCTCAGACGCAGACACATCTTCATGTTGAGGGACCTATTCTTACACAGCAAAACCCAGAGAAGTCGACTGCTCAGCCTGAGCCTGTCATCCCTATATAGACTCAGCTTTTAGGAGAAGAGGGAGAGTTGAGGAGATAGCATCGCTCTCTGTATCAGTGTCTGATGATCTGGAGTCTGCCCCTGGGGTCACTCAGTCACTCAACAAACATTTGTTGAGCTCTTAACGTCATATATGGGTGTGAGCTCTGCCCTTCGAGGCTGTATGTTCTGAATGATGACTCAGTGATTTACCAGCCTTTCTCAGAAAAAAGAAAAGTCTTTAAAGTTTTGGAGGATTTTAAAGCTGAAACAGGTTTTCGGTTTGTTTAACACATTCCCCATTCTGAACCTTTGAGAATCTAATAAAAGCTATGGTCCTTTCTCCAGAAAAATGCTCATATGCAGAGATTCAGGGAAAAAACCAAACTTGGCACGCAACTTCCGGGGACTCTTGTGAATGGCCTGAAGCCACCTGTGACCCATGACTGATGTCCCCAAGTTCCTCCCTCCCCGTGTGCAGAGGGGGCTCCCCCGAGCCTGGGAGCACAGGCCCCATGCCTCCGTCACACTCCACCAGGAAAAAGTCACGCCTCCTCAAAGCAGCAGCGACCTTTTCAGGGATATTTTCAACAAGAAAGTGGTTTTTCTGCTTAAACATTAGTAACTGGAGCCAACAATCACCGTCCCCCACATTCCTGTCACTCTCCACTCCACACCCAGCAGCAATAAGGTTTCACGGAGTTTTGGAGACTCCTAGCCTGAGAATAAATCCAAGTCCACAATGAGGAAGAAGGAAGGTTGGGTTGGGACGGGAGGATGCTGAGGACATTCCACAAACCATCCAAGCCCTAGATACCCCCAATATCCCACGTCCGAGGACTCCTACAAACCTCCCTTAAGCACCCCCACCTAATTTCCCAGCTACTGGGTGAGGCAAGCTTCATTAAAACACCAGGACCACCAACAGAGCCAGGGTGCAAACAATGTCAGTTGAATAAAAAAAAGAAATCAATAAATAATCAGGAAGGCTAATGAGGAAAAGAGAGTAGCTGGGGAGTAAGAAGATGAGGTATGTGGCAGTTACCATTCCTGGGATGTCCTTGACCCAGACCCCCAGTGACAGCCCCAAGATGGCCAGCAGGGACTTGACCCTGAGCTCAGGCCCTTGGGGAAAATGCTGCTGGCAGCCTCCTGTGTGGCTTTGGAGGTTACGGGCACCATATTGAACAGTCTGAGAATGAGAATGTACGTTCCATTCTGACGCACTGCTGGGTGGTGTTGAGTATCCTCAGAGCTTCGTTGCAATTCAGGTGCTGGCTCAGGAAACCAGAAAAGATGTTCCCAGCTACGGAGCAAGCAGGGCCGCTGGTGGGGGTCCCTTTTCCCAAGTAAGGGCTTTTGTTTCATTTCAGCCAATGCATGCTTTTCTTTCCCAAATACAAAGGCACATGGAAGTGGTCAGATCCGCTCTCGCCACGATTAGAACCATGAGACTGACTACTCAAAGGAACAACTGCTTGGGAAGAGGCATCTGCAGGAGTCAGAAACACGGTGCCAAGTTTGGGGTTTTTTTTCTTTTCTTTTTTTTTTTTTTTCAGAGACAGGGTCTCACTCTGTTGCCCAGGCTGGAGTGCAGTGGTGTGATCACAGCCCACTGCAGCCTCGAACTCCTAGGCACAAGAGATCCTCCCTCCTCAGCCTCCCTAGTAGCTGGGGCTACAAGTGTGTGCCACCGTGCCTGGCTAATTTTTTTAAATCTTTTATTTTTGTAGAGACAGGAGTCTCACTATGTTGCCCAGGCTGGTCTTGAACTCCTGGGCTCAAGTGATCCTCCCGCCTCGGCCTCCCAAAGTGTTCAGATTACAGGTGTGAGCCACGGCACCTGGCCTCAAGTTTCTGTGAAAATCTTTGGGGTAGGAGCCTCTGGTGGCTCATAAATGAGCTTTGGGAAGATGACAGGGTTATCACGCCAAGCAAGAGGCCAGGCTTCGTGCAAAGAAGGGCAGCATCTCGCCCCGAGCGCCAACACCGCCTGGCACGTCTCTGTGCTGGAGGTAATCGCCACTCAAGTCTCTGCCCATCTTCCTGGGAAACTGTCCTGTCTCTCAGAATATAGGCATCTTCCACATTCATTCCCCAAGCTTGCCCCAGGAGCCAAAATGATTTTAGTGTGTGGAGGTTGAACCTTTCCCAGCGTCTCCCCAGCTCTAGGGCAGCAGTGGGGGGACGTTGTCCCCACTCAAGACAGGTTCCAAGACATGCTCTGCCACGCTGGCAGAGCTTAGTGACCTTGCTGAGTAGATGCTGCCAACGGCTGGGTGCAAGAGGCTGTGAGCGGTGCCCAGGCACACACCTGAGGCTGCCCCTCCAAGCTCCGGGATGGAACGGCTCCAGCAAGATGCTGGGGCTGGAAATGCAGAGGTGTGACAGTGCGTCCATCCTCAGCCCTTCACTGCGTCATCTCCCCTTGAAGATCCGGATTTTATTGATGGAGGCCAAGGTGGCCGTCACGTTAGACTCAAAGTCTGCATCGTGCACCCCCGTCTTGCGAAAAGCCCCCGCGGATGGGTTGTTCTCCCAGTAGTGGTGCCAGTTCCCTTTGCTGTCTGCCCCGAAGCCGTACAAGTCCACCTGTGGGAGCAAAGCAAAGATGAGAACCAGACAGCAGGGCTGCTGGTGGCACCTCTGAGAAAGGAAGCCTGTAGGCGTTCCTGGAATCCCACAGGACCATAAACAGCATTTCCAAGGACTCTGACTAACCCTTCATTAAAAACCCTTCTCTACGTTCCTGGAACTCTCAGAGTCTTGGTGAAGCAAATGCAAGTTAAGTAAAACTCAAGTCTAATTCCAGAAGCACCCTGAGAGATTACTGCATCTGGGTGGTCTCAGGGGCCCGGGTCTTACCTCTGCAGCAAGTGCAACCTATTCTCCCAGGATTGAGGAGCTACAGAGGGAAGGAATAGGAAGGAGGGCGTGGAATGGAAGAGAGTGGAAGGAGAGCAGGGCTTTGGGGCCAAGCAAACTGCCCCAAATCCCAGCTCTGCCACTCCGTGGTGCCCTGGGCATGTGAAGTCACTTCTTTGAGCCTCACTTTCCTCATCTGGAAAATGGGTCCAAGAATCATGATTGCAGTGAGGCAGAGGGCAGGGCTGATCCCTTTCTTCTCTGTGGCCAACATTCATCTGGTCCAGGCGCCCTCAGGGCCACTAGACCAGGCCTTTCACATACATGACAAACCCTGTGCATTTATTCTGAGCCCAGCACCCTGCTGGCTGTACTGAAGTTCAGGCAGAGCTTGATCAGATGCCAGCTGGGCAGCTGCAGGGGGAAGCAGCCTTGGAGCTTATAGCTTCTTGGAGTCACTGACTGAGTGGTCCTTGTTGGAAATGGGGCTAAATTCAGGGCTCCCGCAGCACAGAGGAGGGAGGAGCTATGCCCTGAGAGGTCAGAGGAAGCTCTTCAGAGGAGGTGGCATGTGAGTTGGGTCTTGGAAAATGAGTACAAGATGACCAGAAGGAATTGCATGGAGGGGCTTCCAGGGAGAGGACGTGCTATCTGGGCTGCAGCGTGGAAGATAGATTGGAGGGGTGGGGACAAAGAGGGGACGGGGACAGCACCATGCCACATGTGGCTTTCTCAGGAAATGCAACATGGACATGGGCCTGCTCCAGGGCAAGAACGTTAGGGCCAAATCGGTGGGACGATGGGAGAAAGGGCTCTTGAGCAGAACCTCAAGCAAGGGTCTGGGACCAGCTGGCTGGAGGTGGGTGGGGTGGGGAAATGACAGGGGCACCCATGTTTCTACCTGGGAACACCAGGGTGGGGCTGAGCCTGGGGACCTGCCTTGCAATGCCTCTGACCCTTTCTGAGATTCCCACCAGGCACCAGGCAGGGTGGGGCTGGGGCTGGGCTGAATGAGACAAGAAGGGACACGTGAGGGCCCTGCCTGAACCCAACATCAGGGAGGAAGTGGGGGCTGTGTGGCCTGCCCTCCTGCCCCTCTTCCTGGGGTGGCAGCAAACCTCTCAGAGCATAAGTGGAAACCCGAACACAGCCTAGCGGACAGCGAAGGACATGGGAAGGCAAATGCATGCTTCTCGAGATCACGGGTTCTCAACCTCGGTAGACAGTGGAACCCCTGGGTACCTGGCTCCCATTAATTCTGGTAAAATTGGGCCAAGGTGTGGCTTGGGTGCTGGAACTTAGACCCACAGATGATTCTAAGGAGCAAGTGGGATTGAGAACTGTGGCCTTAGACAACTCTCGCTATGAGAATCCGCTTCTGTATCCGGAATCTGCTGCGAGATCCGAGCTTCCACCACCACGGTCCTGGGCACTTACACAGAATGTGCCAGAACTATTGCTCCTGAGAACTTTCTCATAGAGCACTGTTACTCACTAAAACACCCTGGGAGACACATGTTGCAAGTCCTGTCGTAGAGACAGGGAATCCGAGCTTCCGGAAGAGGCAGGCTAGGTCTACCTGCCCTCCCCCTCCCTGGCCTCTCTTGGGAACACAGGACGGTGAGCTTCGAGGCAGCCCTGTGGGCAGGGGGAGGGTGGCATACCTCATCGCAGACATGCATTGAGAAGATGACCGAGAGGATGCCGGTAGATGGGTATCGCCCGTGCCCTTGCAGCCAGTTGTCAAAGACATACTTGATGAAGGCTGGGTGGTAGATCAGGATCTGCGGGGATGGGAAGACACGGCCCTTAGTGAGTTCTGGGGGGCAAAGGACATGGAGCGCCTGTCAGATGTACATACTGTTGTGGCCATGGAGGCACAGCCATGAGCCTAATAGATACGCCTGCACTTGTGGGCTTCCATGCTCGTAGGAAAGATGGACACTCATCCACATCACTAAGAGACAGAGGTGCTGAGCTAATAAGTGCTATGGAGAGCAATGATGCAGAGGAGGGCCCTACAGGACCGTGTGAGGAGGATCACTGAGCTGACACACAGAAAAATCCAAGGAGGCCAGGGAGTGAGATGGGAGGCTGCTCAGGAGAAGGGGGCTCCAGGGAACAGTGTGAGGTGGGACTGGACACTGTCAGTGAGTGAAGACATATGCACCAAGCCACCTGATGATGGCTGGAATCATCGCCAATCCTTAAAATGACCTCATGTCCCAGGTTTCCCTCTCCTCATGCTGCAGATAAGAAAACTGAAGCCCAGAGAGGCTAAGTGATCTGCCCAATGTCACACAGCCAGCAGTGGCTGAGCTGGGAGGAGGCCGATATCAGGCCTGGCCTTGATTCCACCACCCAAAGCCTGCCTTGAGCACAACGAAAGGGAATTCTCAGGCAGGAGAGGGCGTGCACGTCCAGAAAGCCAAACTCCAGCCCCTAGGAATGGACTGGAAGGGTGGATTCTGTGGGTCTCTGGTAAACCATTCACCTCTCAGTGTGGCCTCCTACCATCTCTAGGAGGCTGTCCCTTCCACCAACCCCACCCTATAGAGACACATAAGTGGCTTCTTCCCTGAGGCAGCACAACCCAATGCAAAGGGCAAGATGCTGGAGGCACGGGGAGTCTTCAATTCTAGCCTTATCCAGAACTAGCTGTGTGTCTCTGGGCAAGTTTCCTGACCTCTCCGAGCCTATCTAAGTTTGATAGAGTATGCAAAAGGCCAGTGTGGTGGGTACCTCACTTCCCTCCTTCTTCTGCCCTTTGCCCATCTCTTGGCCAGCCCCATGCCAGGGGCCTGCTGGGGAAGATGGAGACATGGAAAGAGATGGAGAAGCAGGAGGTGCAGCCTGGCTTTGAGAGTAATTCACAAACCGCAGCAAGCACAGGGGTCCCCGGAGAATGTGTTAAAACCAGAATGCGGGGCAGCCAGGGTTTCTGATTCAGTAGGTTCGAGATGGGCCTGAGGATGTCCATCTGTGACAAACTCCCGGGTGATGCTGCTGGCCCGGGGGACCCCACTTTGAGAATCTCTCCCAGTGTTTGACCTCTTCCCCCAGGGGGATAGCTAAGTGGGAGATGCTACCTCCAGCGGCCTGGGGATCTGGGGGCTGTCTTGCAACTCAATGCCGTACCTTAGAGCAGAGCCTTAGATGAGGAAGCCTGAACTTAGAACAGAGGGGCCGGGGCCTCCACTCACCTTATCCTGTTTCACTCTGATCTTTGCAGGAACCGGGATGTAGGTGCTGCAGTTGGAGAAAGAGAAGCTGGTTAATGGGGCAGGGGACAGGCCCAGGAACCTGGGCATGCAGCTCTGGGGGTAGTGGCTAGATAATGAAGCAGGCATAGCCTCTCCTGCCCCCCATAGCTTCCCTCAGGGACCCCCACCTCCCTACCCCAGCCGGGTTTCTGCCCACAGCAAGCCCCAATAGACACCAGAGGACGGCCTTTCCTAATTTGAGGACATTCTGCTGGGTTTTGGCCCCATTCCCCAAAAAGGTGAGGAGGACTTGCTCCAAGCACAGCCTTAAGGAGTGGAGTGGGGCCGTGGTGCCTCCACCTCTCAGGGCCAGAGCACCTTTGCCCAGCTGCTGGGGCACTGGCTGGTGAGGCCCGCGGCTGCCCCTTTCTCACCTGGGCGGTTGCATGCACCCTGAGTGCAAAGGTGCCAAAGCTGGTCCCACGGGTGTGATTCCTGCTCCCAGAGAGACTGCAGCTGAGCCACTTCTGGACCTGGGTCCCACCCCACCCCACCCCGCCCCGGTCTGCCTCCCTCACTCCCGGTCTCCTGAGGGCACAGCTCCACAGTCTCCTGCACCCACATCCGGGGGCTAGCTCTGTTCCTAGAAAACCTGGCAGAAGACAGACAGCTTGTGGAAACCTGGACATCAAAACACTTCCCTTCAGTAAGGGTCAGATGACAGCACAGGCTCTGTGTCGAGTTCAACCCTAGGCAAGGTGCTTGGCCGAGCTCCAGAGTCCTCACTGGGAGGAGCTAATGATAATGGCTATTGTGAGGATTCATTGAGATAATATGTGCCGAGTGCCACGTGCGGTGTCTGCTCAGGAAACTAAGCTCCTGATTGTCAGGGAAGCCACAGCCGCGTTGCTCAGCACTGCTTGCCCTGGGGAGGGGCCCAGGCTGCACCTGCACTCCCCACTCCTCATTTCTTAGGAACCCTCACCCTGCCACGCTCACATAAGTTTGAAAAATAAGGTGTTGTTATTTGTCAGGCTGCACTTCAGAAATAAAGGGAGGCTGAACTCACATGGGCTGACCCTTTCTAGTGGCGGCCCCTTCCCATAGAGTCTCCAGGGCGCGTGGAGGTCCCTTCAGGAATTGTTAGCAAGAGGACACTAAAGCTTGTGGTTTGTTAAGTGATAGGGAGAGAAGAGTTGGAGTAGTCGGGGAGGCGGCCACGGGAACTGGGCTTGTGTGTGCCGGAGGAGGCTGGGGGAGGGGAGGCACCCCGGTGGAGGCACAGCAGGACCACGGCAGGGTGGGGGGACAGGGTGCCACTGCAAGGGGCAGAGCAGCGAGGCGGGGCCACAGGAGGGACTCACTGGGAAATGGTGCCCGTGGTGATGGCGCTCACCACCCACTCCAAGTCGATGGTCTTGAAGGGCACCAGGATCATGCTGACATTATCTCCCAGCTCCCGGAAGCTCTCAGGGTACACCAGATGGTGGGTGGTCTTGGTCCCAACATCAGCTTCAAACCCTGCCGTGGGCGCCTTGTTCATCCTGGGAGAGAAGGGGAGAAAGCTGAGTCTTGTAGCACGGGCACCCGTTCTCAGACAGCCTGAGAGCTCCGAGAGAGTGAGCCTCCAGTGTGACTTCAGGGGTGTCACCTGCCTTCCCCGGGCCTCCTTCTCCTCATCTGTAAAATAGAGACAATGAAGACATAGCTGGAAGGCTTCTGCTATTTTTCTCTCTTTCATGACCTCAAGGGAGTCTAGCCATCACCACCACTGCCCGCCTGTCACAGACAATCTCATCCAAAGGATATTTCCACAGCCCTTTTTTTGCAGTCAAGGAAACCTGACTCTGATCCTTACCATGGATGTACCCATGGGACACCTGGTACACTGAGGCTCTGAGAGGCAGGTAAGTGGTCTAAGGACTAAAGTCAGGAATCACAGACAGGAGAGACTATTCTAGAAGGCTGCTGGGGATGGCCAGCCCCCACCCCTGCACTTCTCAGCGTGGAACACTTGTGAGTGGTATAGTGGGAATGGCAGGAGACCCAGGACAGACTTGGGGCATCTTCCTGAAATGTCTGTTTCACTTGGCGACAGGGGAAAATATATTTTACATAAAATATGTGGTTTTATTATGGCCTAGATTACAAAATGGGGATGAATTTTAAAGATAAGAGTCCTCACATTAATTTTGCCCTCTCCCCAGGCCTCCATGTGCCAAGCTCCCAACAACGGGGGACCTCCCGTGTATGGCTTCCTCTCTGCACGCAGAGGCCCTTCTAGTCCATTCCAATCCTGCAATGATGCAGAGATGGGGAAGCTGAGGCCCAGGGGGTGCAGTGTGGAGCCTGGGGTCCCTGGGTAAGTTCAGTCCCAGGACTGAACCTTGCCTTCCTGAGCCTGAGCCAAGATGCTTCCTACAGCTCCAAGGGGCCCCTGGGTGCAGCACGGTAGGCTTGGGAGAGGGTCTGGCACTCACCTGAGGACAAAGTCGTGACTGTCTATCTCAGGCCCATAAGAAGACTCCCTCAGGTTGCCCGAGTTGCCCACAACGGCGCAGCGCCGGCAGCCCACCGACCTCTTCTCCAGCATAGGGTCCACATTCCCAGGCACCACTCTGAACAGCTCCTTGATGGTGTCATTCAAGTTATTGGGCTTCTTCTCCCGCTGGAGCCTCTGTGGGCGGAGGACAGAAGGTGGTCAACCTGGCTTTGTGGCTCCAGCCTCCTGGCAGCAGAGCCCCTGAGCTACCTGCTGTCGTTTACTGGGGCCCTCCTGTTCACCCTTCTCTCTGCTGGGCCCCCGGAGATGGAGGCGGCTCACACACAGACACCTCCACTTCCTCCTTCAAGGAGACTAAGGGTTACTCAGGAAGTAAAGAGAGCATTCATGTATTCTGCAAGTGTTTACTGAGCACCTACCATGTGCCAGGCACTGCTGAAGCCGCTTGGGTG
Organism: Homo sapiens; assembly: GCF_000001405.40. NCBI lineage: Eukaryota > Metazoa > Chordata > Mammalia > Primates > Hominidae > Homo > Homo sapiens. Next base: position 133,466,369 of record NC_000008.11, read on the forward strand.
ATCCAGCCACACCTGGACTCACAGGCCCCTCCCACTCCACATGTGATCAGCGTTTCTCCAACCTGCTCCTCCCTGGGGGCTCCTGTCTCTCTGAAAGGCCCTCCATCCCCCTACGTGTCACCACTTGAAAGAGAGAAAAATAGCAGAAGCCTTCTAGCTGTGTCTTACTCCCACCCTGCTCAGACACCAGGGCCCAGGGGTTGCGTGCTCCCGCTCAAGCCTTAACAAGAAGAGCGAGGAGTAGGTGGAAATGCCAGTTCTCCAGCCCCGGCCAGGGATGGGGGACAGAGCAGTAGGGACATCTGCCATCTTTCCTGCCTGACCCTCAGTTCCCCCGGCCCCAGCACTGCTGGGCTCCAGCCAGATTGAAGAATCAGCAGTTTGCTGGATGCACAAGGCTTCTGCGATCTGCCTAGCAAATTGTTTTCATCTTTTAAGACCTAGCCTGGGCCAGGTGCGGTGGCTCACACCTGTAATCCCAGCACTTTGGGAGACCGAGGCAGGTGGATCACGAAGTCAGGAGTTTGAGACCAGCCTGGCCAATATGGTGAAACCCCATCTCTATTAAAAATACAAAAAAGCCGGGCATGGTGGTGCCCACCTGTAGTCCCAGCTACTTGGGAGGCTGAAGTGGGAGAATCTCTTGAACCCGGAAGGCGGAGGTTGCAGTGAGCCAAGACAGTGCCACTGCACTTCAGCCTGGGTGACAGAGCGAGACTCCAACTCGAAAAAAAAAAAAAAAAGACCTAGCTCGAGGGTCAGCTGCTCGCAGATTGAATGCCAGTCTTATTCCAGGGTGACTAAATATTACTTATTTGCCCAGGTTAAGGGGTTTCCCTAGATGCAGGACTCTCAGTGCTAAAACCAGGATGAGTTGGTATCCCTATTGGCCCCCGGTGGTTTCACTATTGGCCCCCGCTGCATGCCCAGGCCCGCCCGTCACCTCAGGTGGAGCTCTGGCCACACTATGTAGTGATGCCTGTTGGTGCCTCAGCCTTCCTCACTCGTGGTAAACCCTGGAGAGATTTCATAAAAGTGTTGCATCTGACCTTGTCCCCATGCCACAGTGCTGTGTCATTTCACTGTGGGTGAGGTAGGATGCTCTGAGGCCAGAGAGGTAAGCAACTCATCCCAAATACAAACCAGGATTTGAACCCAGGCTTCTAGAAACCCACCAGCAGGTTTCTCCCACCACACAACCCTAACTCTGGCTCTTGGAATCTTGGCCTTTGGAAAGCCCAGACCCTGGATTTTGGGGTAGGGGTGATAAGCTGTGGGGTGATTCCCATCGGCTACTCCGGGCCCCAGGGGCAAGGGGTGGCTGGGAGAGGAAGGAGTGGCCAGCAGTGGCTTTGGCCACTGTCCAGAAGATGAGTGACCTGGGCATATGTAGGGAGATCCCGGGGCACCCAGTCCCCACTGCAATGGAAGGAATCGGATGCCCCAAGGGGAGGCACACAAGCAGAACCAGATTGCTCTTCCAGTTAAACCCAGGCAGCCTCTCCTCTGGCTTAAGACCGTTAGACACGTCATGGGAAGCAACATGATCTGGACCACACTTCACACCCACTGCTACAGTTATCATAAGTAAAAGGGCAAAACAACAGGTATCGGTGAGGATGTGGAGAAAATGGAACTCGTGCATTGCTGGTGGGGATGTAAAACCGTGCAGCCGAGGTAAAAACTGGGTGGTTTTTCAAAAGGTTAAACAGAACAGCCATGTGGCCTACCAGCTCCACTCCTACGTATATACCCCCAGAAATTGAAAGCAGGGTCTCAAGCAGATATTGGTATACCCATGTTCAAAGCAGCATTATTCATAATAGATAAAAGGTGGGAGCAACCCAGTCTCCAGCGATGGATGAATAAACAAACATAGTACGTTCCAGACATATGATGGGATATTATTTAGCTATAAAAAGAAAATTTTGAAATAGGTTACAACATGGATGGACCTTGAAAATACTAATATTATGATTAATGAAAGAAGCCAGACATAGAAGGAAAAATATTATATGATTCCACTTATGTGAGGTACCTAGAGTAGTCAAATTCATAGAGACAGAGAGTGGCAGCGTGGCTGTCAGGGGCTGGGAGGAGGAGGAGGTAAGGGGAAGTTACTGTTTAATGGGGACAGAGTTTTTGCTTGGGATGACAAAAATCTGCTAGTTATGGTTATAGATAATGGTGATTGTTACACACACTGTGAATATATTTAATGCTACTGAATCGTACACACACAAGTGGTGAAAATGATAAATATTATGAATATGTTGTCACACACACAGATGTGATATCCAGATAAAATGCCTGATTCTGATGGGATCATCCAGGGTGGCTCCATGATCCTGAATGTGCGGAAAACCCCCTGGAGGCTTGCTAAGGCACAGATCTTACTCAGTAGGTTTAAAGCTGGCCCCGAAATCCTGCATTTCTAACAGACTCCTGGGTGATGCTGCTGCCAGGGCTGGTGGGGGGACTACACTCTGAGAGCCCCAGGGTAGAGGACCACAGCCAGACTCCCCTGAACCTCCATGGAGGTCTCCAACTAGCAAGGGCTGCTGTGCCCCTTAGGCTTGTAAAGATGTGCCCAGGCCCAGGGGGTGGCCTTCCATCACGCCGCTACTTTGATTTGGGAGCCTGGCACCGTGTATCCATCATGCAGTGACATTTACTGAGTGTCTACTGGGTGCCACAGAGGCCTGAGAAGCCAGGACTCAAGCTCGGCCATGGACGTGTGTGGAGAGTATGCTGCCTGCTTCACACAGCACCACATCATCCTGCTGGACTCTGACTGACTTACTTTTCTTTAATGACTTATTTAAGAAAAATAAATTGATTGATTGATTGATTGATTTGATTTGATTTGATATGGAGTCTCACTCTATCGCCCAGGCTGGAATGCAGTGGTGCGATCTCGGCTCACTGCAACCTCTACCTCCTGGGTTCAAGGGATTCTCCTGCCTTAGCCTCCCAAGCAGCTGGGATTACAGGTGTGCACCACTGTGCCTGGCTAATTTTTGTATTTTTAGTAGAAACACGGTTTCACCATGTTGGCCAGGCTGGTCTCGAACTCCTGACCTCAGGTGATGAACCCGCCTCAGCCTCCCAAAGTGTTGGGATTATAGGTGTGAGCCACCATGCCTGGCCAAATAATAAAAATAAACTTATTAGAAAGGAAACCTCTCATCTCTACCACACGTAGAAAGCAAGAATTACCTGGCAGAAGTAAAATGGTAGTTGTACAATGCAATGAAAACAAAACTACTGTATTCGGTTGCAGCTCTACCCTGCTGCCTGCCCAGGCAAACTCTCCTCTCCCTTAGAACAAGGCTGACAAGCGCTGACAAGGTGCAAAGTAAGACACCAGGCCAAACTGAAGCCCCAGCACTGCAGAGACAGGTGGGAAGGAGGGACGGCAGAAATGACCTCCGGGCTCTGTGATGCGACTTTCTCTAGTGCCCTGCCTCACCTAACATCACAAGCCCCACGCTTCAGAAATCTCAGACCCATTCCAATCTTTCATTGGCAAAAGGGGAAATGGAGGCCCAGACCCTGGAAAGGGCTCACTTGAGGTCCCAGAGTGAGTGCAGGGCCAGGTAGAGCTCAGATGGGAAACTGGCTCTTTCTCTAGATTATCATAGTAAGTCCTCCCCACACCAGCTGAGATGGAGCAGGCAGGTTACTCCATGTGGCGTCACTGTTTTGGGAAAGAAATATTCTGGTTTTCTCTGCCTTTTGTCAGTGGCAATAAAAGAACAACAGTGCTGGCCAGGTGCGGTGGCTCACGCCTGTAATCCCAACACTTTGCGAGGCCAAGGCGGGTGGGTCACCTGTGGTCAGGAGTTTGAGACCAGCCTGACCAACATGGAGAAACCCGGTCTCTACTAAAAATACAAAATCAGCTGGGCGTGATGGTGCATGCCTGAAATCCCAGCTACTCAGGAGGCTGAGGCAGGAGAATCACTTGAACCCAGGAGGCGGAGGTTGTGGTGAGCCGAGATCACGCCATTGCACTCCAGCCTGGGCAACAAGAGAGAAACTCCATGCCAAAAAAAAAAAAAGTATGACAGTGCTACTGATATGAACACAGGACAGAGTGTTTGGAAGTTCAGGGACACGCCCTCTCCAGCCTTCCAGACTAGTTTCCAAGTATATACAATCAGCGCTCAATCTGCATACAATCAGCGCTCAATCAATGCCTGCCGCCTGGTGGCCTGAGCTCCTTGGGAAGCACGGGGCCTCGGGTCAGCTTCCCTGGAAGCAGAGGCTGGGGCACGGATGCAGGTGTCCATGGTGGGTGCTGTCTGGAGAGGGATGAGAAGCAAGGCAGGAGAAGGAAGGGGAGGTCTCCATGGAGTCAAGCACTGCAGGCTGGGGGCGAGGCGAGTGAGGAGTCGGGCAAGTGGGATAAGGAGGCCCACTCATGCCCAGGGGCACGGCCCGAGAGCGGACATCTCCTTGAAGCTGGAGCCCTGGGTGCCTCACCTCACCCTGCACTCGGGCATGATCCACAGGAACTCTGGAGCCTGTGCTATGGCAGAGTTTGTCCTGTCTTGAGGCACGATGGCTGGAAGTCCTCCCTATCCACAGGCCACACCCGTCCCGAGAGTGTTGGGAAGAGGTACCCGCGCTCCCTTCCCATCCTCCTTCCTCCTTCCACGGCCAATGAATGATGCATCGCCTTCTGAGAAGCCTCCCTTGGACCCTGGAAATATCAGTCTCTGGCCTTCCACACATGGGTGGCACCACTGGGGCCTCACCGCAGGCCTCATTCCAATCCCCAGCTGCTGTTGGTTTCCCTGGCCCCTTTGGCATCCAAGCAGCAGACACAAGCATGCTAGGTAGTACAGGCTCAAGATATGTCCATTGAATAAGTGAATGACAACTGCTAAAGCTAACACACATTCATTCATTCAACTCATCACAACTGAGCCCCTATCACATCCCCGGTGCCGTGTGGGGTGGACAGGTGGGGTGGACAGGTTAGCGCCGGGACAGGCGGTGCTTAGAAATGGCTCGTGCAGGACTCAGATGGCTCACCCTGAGCAGAAGCGCATGTTCTATGGTTGCCCTATGCAGGACCCTGTGCTGATAACCTGATAGGCAGCTTCTCACTGAGTTTCTATAATGGTTCTATGAGAAAGGTGATCTTATAGACCTATTTTACAGGTGAGGAAACTGAGGCTTACAGAGGTGAAGTGAGTTTCCCAGGACCAAAACAGTTTGAATATCCTGGGCCTGACTCCAGACCATGTCCTTTAACTACAAGGGGATCTGACTGTGCCCTTTGACAGTGGGTGACCTGGTAAGTGCAAAGTGAGGACAATGAGATACCTACACCCTCCTGGTGGTGGGGGTGGTAAGGGCGAAGCAGTGGTACCTGGAAAGCTGGGCCCAGGACCTGGCCAGAGTTGGTGCTAGGCGCCGGGTGGACAGTATGATGGTATTATTTTGCATTTGGGCACTGGGCATGGATGTCTGGGATGGGAAGATGCCTTAGGAGGGCAGGGGGCGGAAATCAGGGGAGGGTCGCACTCTTTCTGTCCCTTGAGAATGTCCCCTGCGTATCACAAAACGGTTTCCCAAGTTGGGGGCAAGTAGAGAAGGCAGAGTCAGCATTCGACATGGCTTGTCTCTGAATTGGACATGGGGACTGGGGAAGAAGGAATCCCTGTTCCTGGGTGTCTGGGACAGAGACCCGAGGAGAGGGTCACAGGGGTCAGTAGGTCCAGCCTGGGATGGTGGTGCAGTCTCTTCACTTGCAGGGCACGGGGCTGATTTGTAAACTCAACTCAACTCAATTTAACTCAACTCAACTCAACTCAACTAAAAGAGTGAGCCCTGGTGACTGCTCCTGTGTCCCTGTTCCTGCCAGGGCTGGGACGAGCTGGAATTGTGATGCCCACTTGACTGAGGAGGACTATGAAGCTCAGGGCAGGATGGGAGCTCGGGACCTCACATTCTCACCTAAGATTCTTCCAACCCCCTCAACAGTATGGGGGAAATCGCCCCCATGATTAATTATCTCCCACCAGGTCCCTCCCACAACACGTGGGAATTGTGGGAGCTACAATTCAAGATGAGATTTGGGTGAAAGCCAAACCATATCATGACCCAAGTCCAGTTCCATTCATGAAATGGTCCTGCCTGCAGGGGGGCCTTTAAGCAGAGCAATGGCGCAGCCTGGAGTTCTCAGGATGGCTTTGTTGTCAGATATTCCATGCCTGTATCCCGATTCTTTATTCAAAGCGTGTGGTTTCCGTATTATCTGTGCATTTTTTAGAACCCCAAAGCTCTAAAGCCCTGCTCCTTTCTGTTGATTTCCAGAGGGTGAAGCCCCATTCCTTCCAAGTGGCTGCCCTGGGATCAGCCACCAGAGGCTAAACTTCAGAAAAAGACTGCAGAGAAGGGCTGCAGGTAGGGGAAGACATCTGGTAAATGGGAAACAACTAAGTGGAAATATATTCAGCCTTAATTAGTACTGAAAAAAAAAAAAAACCCACCTAAGTTCAGTATTACTTGCCCATTAAACCAACAAAAATAAATACAATTGTTAAAACTAATGTTTGCAGGGTTGTAGAGAACCTGGTGAAGTAACATTTCTCCCATGTAACACGAAGGAGGCTGAGACTCAGTGAGATGAAGAGCTTCTTCAAAGTCACTCCTGATGGGACCTACAAACTCTGCGACAAAACCTAGGAACGCTGATGCCAGGCCCCAGTTCCTAAGTCTACATTATAGCCTGTGTTCTTTGAAGACACATGGCTTATATCCAGAAGCTGATGTTTTTCCCTTACGCCTTTTTAACCCTCCTGGGCGACACCAGCCTAAGAGTTTTAGAAACCGCCCTCCCCAAGAAGAAAGATCGATACTGTCTTGGTGATACTCTCTAATAACAGTTTTTAATACGGTATTTCCAGAGGTTGGATTTGATGTTCTCTTTTGCAAAAGTCACCTAACTTTTCTGAGTTTCAGTTTCCTTGTCTGTAAAATGAGGACAAAGGCCCCCAAGTTTCTCCTTTACCTGCTGTTGTGTAAGGTCCCTTCCTGTTTGGTTTATATAAACAGGCTGTGTAGTACCCTGTTTGTCCCCAAAAGGCCTTTGTAAACAGAATCCCATGGTGACACTGAACATCACAGACTCCAGGCTCTGAAGAGGAAGTTTGGACTTAACGTGGTCCCAGCAACTGCTGCTACAGGGGGAATCAGATCCAGAGAGGAGATGGGATGTGTGTGAAGCCACCTCTGCCATCAATGTGTCATTTTCCCAACCCTGCTGGTTCTCAAGGGAGGGCAACTTTGTGCATGCATGTGCACCCACACACACGCACACCCCACCTGGGACACCTGACAATGTCTGGAGATCTTCTGGCTATCGCAACTGGGGATGGGGCACTCCTAGCATTTAGTAGGTAGAGACCAGTGATGCTGCTAAACATCCTGCAATGCACGGGGCAGCCCTTGTGACTAAGGCTGATCCTGCCCCACAAGTCCATAGTGCTGAGGCTGAGAGCAGACCCTAATCCTTACCATGCCTGGCTCGCCACCTCCTTCCCTAGACCCTTGGATCTTTGAAAGGGAAAAGACCCTACCTGCCCGGTTCTCTGTTACCTCCCCAGAGCCCACCCCAGGACCTGCACACAGTGGTGCTCAACACAGATTAGCAAACCAGGACTCAGCCAGGTCTTTGGAAGCATAGCCCAGGGCTTTTGACCTTTCTAAGTCTCACACATGTTTTCTGTTCATTTCAAATAGACCTTCCCCAGAATCTACCTGGATAACCTCTCTGAATCCTTCATGATGAACCTGGCCATCACTCCTGTAGGAAGCCTTCTGCGATAACCCCAGGCTCCAAGGGGAGTTGGACATGAAGACCATCGCTCCTGTGCCCACTTCCTGCACAGCACCTATGGTCCTGGCTTGAGTTTGTCTGTTTTCCCTTCTCTCCCCATCACTCCTGCAACCCAAGAAAGGAAAGACTCTATCTTTTCCATCTCAATGTAGTGATGCTTGGCATATAGTAGGTGCTCAATAAATAAGACATGAACACATATATCTTGCTCTTCTTCGATCTATTTTGCATTTAACATGGGAATGACCTTTCAAATGACAAGATCAGATCATGAAACCCCCTGACAAAAATTCTACAGTGATTTCCTGTTGCACTTACAAGAAATCCCAGAGTCCTCCCCTGGGTCTTGCTGACTCTCAGGCCTCGTCTCACTGCACCTCCCCTGATTTACAGCCCCCCAGCCATGCAGAGCTCCTCTACTCCCCATTACATCCAGCAGAGGCCACCCTCGGGCTCTTGCACCCGCTGTCCCAGACACCTGCAGTGCATGGTCCTGCTCTTCTCATGGCTGCTGCCTTCTCTGCCTGTGGGTCTCAACTTGAGTCCTGCTGTCTCAGAGACCTCCCTGGTGACCCCATTTACAGAAGCCCCCTCTAAGTTTCTATGACAAACCTCATTGGATCTGTCTTCAAAGCACTTCTGTGTGAGCCTACCTTGTTTATTTCTTATCTTCCCCTCCCAGCCAGAATAAAATTCCATGAGAATAAGGATCTCTCTCTCTTTTTGCATTTCAATAGCTGTAGTGGGTGAAATAGTGGCTCCCAAAAAGATACGTTCAAGTGCTAGTCACCGGAATCTGTGAGCATGACATTTGGAAAAAGCGCCTCTGTGGGTGAAATTGTTGAGGATCTCTGCATGAGATCATCCTGGATTAGGGTGGGCCCTAAACCTGATGACAGGTGTCCTCATAAGAAAAGGAGAGGGACATGTGAGACATAAAGGGATACAGGGAGGAAGGCCCTGTGGAAGTGGAGGCAGAGGCTGGACTGCTGCAGCTCTGAGCCCAGGAACGCCCAGCACTGCCGGCAGCTGGCAGGAGCCAGGAGCGGGCCTGGGGCGGCTTCCCCCTCAGAGCCTCCAGGAGGAGCCAAGTCTGCCCATAATTTGTTTTCAGACTTCTGGCCTCCAGAGCTGCAAGAGGATGCACTTTTGGTGTTTTGAGCCATGAATTGTGCAGAAATTTGTTATGGCAGCCACAGGAAACTAAAGCCGTGCTTCCTGCTCTGACTTAGATATAATAGATCCTCAATAAATAGTGTGGGACAATAATCTGAATCCTACTAACTGCCTGGCAGGGCCCCAGGTGTACACGGGGACTGAGCATTTAACTCTGAGAGCACCTCACTCTCATTACCAGACCCCTACCCTCAGCCCAGACTCCCACTTTCAGCCCAGGCCTCCCACTCTTATCCAGATCCCCACTCTCAGCCCAGACCCCACTCTCAGTCCACACCCCAACTCTCAGCCCAGACCCCGCTCTCAGGCAGCATCTCACCAGCCACCATCGGTAGGTGTCGTCCTCCAAGAGCGCGTTCTGGGCGGTCAGCAGCGGCTGCATGGTCTGGTTGAACCTCTCATCGAACCAGGCCGAGAGCTTGCGCTGCCCGATGCAGTGGGTGCAGGTGCAAGGCCTGTGCTTGATCAGTCTCTTCAGGTTCTCGGAGAGCTCCAGGACCATCTGCTTGGGGAACCAGGTGGTGGCCACCATGGTGTGGGAGTAGTTCAGGAAGAAGGAGGTGAGGAAGATGAAGAGCACGAGGAAGGTGAGCACTTTCAGGGTCCTCTTCCGCAGGGTCACCATCTTCGCAGTCCTGATGGTGGCCTCCCACGATGGGTAGCAGGAACTCCCTCCTAAGAGAGGAGAAAAATGGAAGAAAAATCCCAGAGGTGGAGGCTCAATCAAAAGGGATGGCAGGAATTCCAAGGGAGGACACAAGGGCCGCTAAGCTCGACTTCACTCCTGCTGGGGGATGACCCCCAACTGTGTCCCAGACACGGCTGTGTGGTAGACCAACGCCATTCGTGGCATGTTGGCTTTGCTTGCATATATTTACCTTTTCAGAAAATAAAGTAGCCTATTCTTCTGCAATCCTTAAAGAGCTGATAATGTCTCTCGATCAAGCTTTAACCAGTGATTTCCTTTCACATCCAAAGAAGATAAGGGGTCATTAATCTCTGTGACAGTCCAGGGTCCCTCAGGAGCGAGGACCTCGAAGGAAGGGTGTTGGTATAGCGGGGAGGGAAACTGTCTCTGCCGTCCTCCTCCAACTGTGGTTTCTGACGATCCTTAATTAGGGCTTTTTCTTTCCCATCCTGTCGCCAGGGACATGGTGGGTACACAACCAGCTTGATGAAGGCACAGAAGGTTGTCTGTCATCTGCAAAGAAAAGGAGGAAGAAAACAGCGTGAGATTCTGTGATCCTGCTATAAAAAATGTTTCTCTCCACATCTCCACCAGGACGTATTCCGTGGTCTTCCTTCTGGTGTCATGCCAACCTGGCAGGTGGCTCTGGATGGTTTATCTACCTTTGTGAGCCTGAGTGCGTGCATACAATGGATGTTATCATCTCTTTGCAAGGTTATTATGGGATGCAGAAGGTGTCCCCTCCATGTTTCCAACAAGAACCTAGCACATTGACACACTCAACAAACATTTGTCAAAGAGCTCGTGATGCATGTAGGTACAATATACACAGGAATTGTTAAATGCATGTTATTTGCCTTTCTCTCTACTTCATTCTCTTCCAGATTTTGGATTTCAGCAACAAGCACAACAACAATGGTATGCTTAGAGAGTGGCCCAGGGTTCCTTTTACCTGGGCATTCAAGCTCTGCCAATTGGCCTCAGTTCCATAAAAAGGGGCTTTAGATGGTCCAGGTTCAAGTTCTGATTTCCCAGCTGTGGAGCCTTGGGAAAGTTATTTGACCTTCCTGACCCTCAGTTTCTTCTTCTGCAAAGTGGGATACTAACACCCCTACTTATAGAATGGTTATGAAGATAAGATAAAATGATGTATGCTGGGCTTCTGGTATCTATTAGGCCATTGCTGAACTTTAATTTTTCTTCTTCAACATGTGAATGAATCAATATTCTCTGATGATCCACTAAGAGCTGAGAGGATGAGATATTCATGCATACGTATCTCTTCAGATAATCCTCAGAATATACTGTCAGCTAGATATTAGTTTCCCTTTTTGTCTTGGAAGAAACTGAGACTCAAAGTGCTTAGATGACTTGCCTAAGGAAAGGAAGGAGCAGGATCCGAGTCCAAATCCACAGTCCTCTGATTCCTTACATCGGGAGGGGTTGGGGGACCAGGAACAGGGGGTTGGGGGGCTCTACCCTGGAGCAGACACCTGTCTTGTTAACTGGTCTTCAGATTACTACGGCTGGAGGGATATAGAGCAAGGGGGGAGTATTCTTTTGAAGAAGGCAAACAGGTACCTCTCAAATGCCCATCGGAGACCCCTCTGGCTCTCACCGACACCTTGGGATTTCTGTATGGTACAACTGTGGTTGCACGTCTGCCCTGGAGCGTGGTCTTTTTGGTCTTTGCTTGGAATGCTGAAGAATGGAAGAAATCTGATCGATTCCTCCCCATTCTCAAGGTGTAGATTGTCAATAAGCAGGGTATATTTTTTTCCAGGAAAATTAGAGTTGAAAGGAGATTGATCACCTTTTGGTAGAAAGGGGGACAGCTCCAAAACCATATTAAATCCACAGTGCCCTTCTGAAGACATCCAGGGCCCAAGATGCATAGGGTGCAACCCTCTACAGCTTCCAGAACTAGAAGCCCAACGTATGGAGGACAAGGTCTGAGCTCTGCAGCTCAGTTGGCAACGTCATTTTTATCCGGTCTCTGCTCCAGTTTTCACTTTTCATGACAACCTAGATTTTGTTTATAACCTAGTGGTGTCCACAGGTATCCCATCCAATTCTCTCCCCACCTGCCCCCATCAAGGAGCAGCTCTGTAATTTAAGTAAGAATAACTTCTGCATCATCACAGATAGGCTCACAATTCACTTGACTGGCAGAGGGTTCCCACCTCTTACCCCAGTAATTGATCCAGGGATGGGCATGTGCCTTAATTCATCCAGCCAAGCTTCTGTAGGGAGGGAAGAAACTTTCTTTTGCTCTGGCTGGCTTGTTGTTGACATGTGGAACATCCTGCTGGCTATTTTGCTAGCGTGTGTAGAAGAGACTAGAGCTGAACAACCCGAACAAATGGTGCTAAATCCCTGATCCTGCTCAACCTGCAGCCCCACCCTCACCTTGACTTTTCAGTTACATGAGGGAATAAATCCCCTTTATGGGGTAAAGTAGGTTATTTGTAACTTGAAGCAATGTGACTGACCCAGAGGTCACAGTTGCTCCTACCTCCGTGTCCCTGCTCAGGCTGTCCCCACTGTCCAGAAAACCACCCCACCCTGCTTTGCCGATGGCTCTTACTCATTCTCTAGGGCTCAGCTGGTGCTGACTCCTGGAGGAAGCCCTGCCCTCTCCTGGGGTGAGTTAGGGGCCTCTCCTGGCTCCCTAGGGTCCTGGCTGCACTCTGTCTGTGCTCTTCACACATATGTCTCCTCCCTGGACTGGGAGCAATGTGAGGATGGAAACTCAGCCTCACTATGGCAGTGACCCTGTCACCCGTGCACACACTCAATGCTCAGTGGAGGCTTGGGTCATGAAGAAACCCAGAAATGAATGAAGGGAAACAAAACGGCCAACAGTCCAGAGGGAGAACTGAGAAAGAAAGCACAGACTCTGAGTCACATTTCCATTCTCAGCAGCCTGTCCCACACTACTCACTGCGTGACCATGAACAAGTCACCTAGCCCTTCCGAACCATCCCTTCAATGGGAAAAACGGATTGATAACACAAATTCTGCTCATTTCTCGGGGCCGTCAGCCCATCAAGGTTGTCCATTCATCTCATTCATTGACTGCATATTTGCTGGTCCTTGCGTTCTCCAGGCCCTGGACAAGGTGGCTGGGGTGCATCGTAAAAGGATCTAAGGTAGGCGCCTCCCAGGCATCAATAGGGCCCCAGACCCTGTGGAGCAAAGGAGGCCTGTATGGCTGGATCAGACACAGTGTGGAGGAGAGGAGTGGGTGGGGGGTGAGGGGGAATCTGAGCATGCAGCTGGGGTGAGAGTGTGTTGGGCCAGAGAAGCCACAGTCAAGACTAAGTTTTCTCTGGGTGACATAGAAACCTGCTGGTGGGGCTGAGCAGAGGAATGCCATGGTCTTACTACATTTGCCTTTATAATGAGCAGGGCCTAGGACACCCTTGCCCTTAGTGCCTCTGCACCCCTAATGCCAGGGCAGAGATGAGTTCCCTGAAACAGATGACTGTTGATCCGTGTTGATCAAACAAGGCTCTGGATGAGAGGTCAGGTTTCCTACAATGTCCTGCCTCTGCGTGAGAGATATTAATGCTCTAGGCTGCTGCTAGGGATGGCGTGAGAGGCAGGGCAGAGGGCAAGGTTGTGCTGCACAGGTTGTGGGACTGTGACAGCCTCCTCTCCTCTGGGGCATCCTGCAGCCACACCTCCAAGGCCAGGGCACTCCCCATAACCATCAGAGGCTTCTGAGCTGGTATCATTTAGCGCTTTCCAAAGCCCTGGATAAAACTGCAATGGAAAAGCAAGAACACCGCTATACCCCTTCCCTGGCTGCAGGGAAGAAACCAGGACTGCATGTCTTCTCCGTGCTCTAGCAAGCGTGGGGCAGCCTGCAGGCATGGGGGAATGCCAGCCCTGGCTCCCGGAAATGACATCTGGGCCAAGACGCCACAGACCAAAGATCTCTGCATGTCAAGTGTGCGGTGAGGGAGGCCGGGCCCCCCAGAACAAGGAGAAAGAAGAGAGGGAGCAGGGAAGGATGGGGAAGGAGGGAAGCTGGCTCCCTGTCCTCTGCCAAATGGCAGTCATTTCCCAGCCACATGCTCAATACGAGGAGGCATGAAGCACCTGCACACAACAGAGCTTAGCGGGGTCACCAGCACAAGACTGACAAATGTCAGCACACTTTTGGGGACTGAAAAGTAAGAATTTCCCTAAGGAGAGTCCCTAATGAAGATAAACTCCTCTGGCAATAGGGAGTTGAGGGGCAATGACCAGAGACTGAGAGAACTGTGTGAAACTCCTGGAAACACAAATGAAGGAACCACACGGGGTTTTGAACCTGTAGTAAATACCCACTGAACGGGATGGTAGTAAATACCCATCACAGGCTGGGATGCCCTCCCAGCCCTTCACACAGCCCCTGGCACTATGGTCACTAGAGAAATGCCTGAGCGAACTGTGCAGGCTGTTGGCAAAATTGACGCTTTCAATACAGAGTGGCCACAACTTTCCTCATGTGATCCCCAAGCCACCAGGAGAGGTGGGTAACCCTTACGCTTGTCTCCCTGAAATGAAAAACTAAAACCCAGAGAAGGCAAGTGACTTATCCAAGGTCACACAGCAAAATGGTAGCAAAGGCAGACTCCTGCCTTCTCCTGTGGCTTTCTGTGTAGCCGTGGCTCATCATTCAATTCCATCAATACCTGCTCTTATCTTCCCTATCTTCCCCATTCCCTTTCTGATAACTTCTTTGGACTTGGTTTACTGTCATCTTTCCAGCCTTGTTTACTCCCCCTTCTTGCTGTGCCTACTCTATTTGAATTATGAATTCAGTTCTTCATTTCAGTGGTGTCTTTTAGTTCTGGAATTTCTACCTAATTTTTTGACAGGTTCTACTTTGCTGGTGAATTTCTCCACCTTGTCATCTATCTTTGTGCAATTTTATTCACCACAGCCGTCTTAAAGCCCACATTGGATATCCTGTGATACTTGGATAATGTGGGTGTATTTCTATTGTCTATTTTCTCGGTTGCTCTTTCTTTCTTTGGTTATTTGGTTCTGTCCTTGGCAGGCCTGGTTGCTGTTTGTATTGTGTATGACAAAAATGCAGAGGCTCTGGATGAGGCTGTCCTCCTTCAGAGAGGACCGGTTGTCTCCTGATGAGCAGGTACAGAAGTGGCACATTACTTTGTTCTAACTGCAGCTGTGTTTCACTTTTCATGAAGACTGGTCTATTTCTGGTTTACTCTTACCCCTGGGGCATAGCCGTTCTCAACAGGTAAACCAAGATGCTTATCAGGGTGACTCTTCCTTACAGGCTCCTATCTCCAATTTCTGTCTCCCCTGTACTATGAGATCACCGTAAGCTTAACTTTTTAGCCTTTCTTTTTTGTTTGTTTGGGTTTTTTTGTTGTTGTCATTGTTGTTGTTGTGTTTTTGGTTTTGAGATAGAGTCTTACTCTGTCGCCCAGGCTGGAGTGCAGTGGCCTGATCTTGGCTCACTATTACCTCCACCTCCTGGGTTCAAGTGATTCTCCTGCCTCAGCCTCCTAAGTAGCTGGGACTATGGGCACATGCCACCATGCCTGGCTAATTTTTGTATTTTTAGTAGAGACGAGGTTTCTCCATGTTGGTCAGGCTGGTCTCGAACTCTCGACCTCAGGCGATCCACCCACCTCGGCCTCCCAAAGTGCTGGGATTATAGGCATGAGCCACCATGCCCAGTCTTTTTAGCTTTTCATCTGCTGTTTTCTGCTTGGTTTCTTAGACTCTGGACCCATGAAACTTAAGTGCTGGCAAATGCCTTGAAAGGAAAATTTTAGAAGGCACAGAGCACATGTTCTTTTCTTTGTGGTTGTTTTTGCTCTAGGTTCTTGGTTCCTTGGGTTTTGGTTGACCTAGCAGTCCTGAACTCACTGACTCCCTCTACCTACCTACCTATCTCTGTTTTGTTTCCCCACCTTGCGAGACTGCCAAACACTCTGAACTGCTGCTCTCTGCTCGTCCTCTGAACCCTCTGCAAAAATCAGCACATACCTCGTGCAGAAAATGAGCAGGGAATATTGGGTTTCTCCCAACTTATTTCCTTTCTCTTGGGGGGTCTTCGCACCTCAAGTCCTGGCTGCTTTAGTTGTTCTCTAATGCCTTCAAAGAGCTGGATTTCAAGTTTTTCCAGCTTTTATAGTTCTCAGTGGGAGAAAAGATCTGGTACAAGCTTCTGCCATTGCCCAAAGTAGAAGTCACAGCATCTTTTCTTTGCCTTTCCATGTTCCTGTTCTTGGAGTGGTTGCCTGTATGTGTCACGGGCGTGGCAAATTCAGAGAAGAGGATGGGGCCCAGAGAGGCCCCAGAGGTGCCGAGGCAAACCTCCTCACACCAGCCAAGTGCACAGATGGTGGGAGGAAGAGGCAGATCTGCAGGCTGGAAAGTTGCAGCTGCAGCCATGGCAGCCACCACCTCCCTGCCCCACCCAAGCGGCCCCACTGCATCTGCTTTCACTTTATGTCAGAACCTCCTGCTCCCAGGCCAGCTCTGCACAGACAGTGAGATGACTTCCAATGCAACACATCCGGGGACTTCCCATTATTGAAAAACAGATCCTCCCATGTCCTGGCCTTTGGGATCCTGGCCGGCTGGCTTCATGTATGGGCACAGGGTGGGACCAAGTAAGACCTGACCAGTAAATCTTGGATACTTAATGGCCCTCAAACCTTCCAGTAAGAAGAATGACTCCTTTCTGAACTGCTGTCCGGCCCATGCCTGGTCACTGGACGCTTGGAACCCATTTATTCTGGTTTTGTGAAGAATTTCCTAGTGGATCATGGCCAACAGTTGTCAACAACAACAACAACAACAACAACAAAGGCATGAGAGACCTGCATGCAAATCCTGACTCTTCCCATTCCTGGCTGTGTGTTCATAGGCAAGGCACTTGCCCTCTCTGATCCTCAATTCCTGAATCTACAAAATAGGATTAAAAATGCTCACGCAGGCCGGGCATGGTGGCTCACGCCTGTAATCCCAGCACTTTGGGAGGCTGGGGTGGGCGGATCACTCGAGGTCAGGAGTTCGAGACCAGCCTGGCCAACATGGTGAAACCCTGTGTCTACTAAAAATACAAAAATTAGCCGGGTGTGGTGGCAGGCACCTGTAATCCCAGCTACTTAGGAGGCTGAGGCAGGAGAATCGCTTGAACCTGGGAGGTGGAGGTTGCAGTGAGCTGAGATTGCACCACTGCACTCCCGCCTGGCCGACAAAGTAAGACTCCATCTTAAACAAACAAACAAACAAAAATGCTCACACGAAGCGTTGCTGTGGGATAAATGGCCTTGCACAAAAGTGAACAGCTCAGTTCCCGCCACAGAGTAGATGACCACAAAGGTCAATTCTGTCTCTCCCCACTAAGCTTCAAGGTCCTCATTTGTAAACAAAAAGGAAAAAGTCCAGCAGAACCCTTGGCCTGTCCTACTCGCAGGGTTATTTAAAAGACCAAATGAAATCAGGCATCAAATCATGCAAACCAGTGGTATTACACAAATGATGATTCTGGCCGAATTCATTATTTGTGTGAATTCCTTGATGTGCTGAACAGCTAAATCTTCATGCTTTCTACTCCCGTGGCCAAGACCTCCCAGGACCTGCAGGAAGGAGCTCCTAACACACTGGGGGAAATGTCAGGGTTCCCAGGGGCTCCCAGACCCAGACTCTGCAACAGCCTTGCCTTGGGTCAGGAGGCAGCTGGTCCCAGAGGCTTATGTAGAGAGTCAGGCCCACCTGAGTTTGCCACCAGCTTTGATCTTCCCCAGGAAAAGGTTCCTCAAAATTGCTCTGGTAGCTCCAATTTTCCACTCTCCAATCAGTCTTTTTTCCCACACACTTGGAAACGCAGATGCATTGTCTTCTGAAGTATCCAAGATTTACACATCCGCAGGAAAGCCTGGCCACCTCACAACCTCCGACTGCCAGTCTTGAATTGGGGGTCATCTCTTTTTTTGCATTGTTTTTTATAGTTTGCCAAAACAGTCACAGCTGCCATCCATTTGACCCTTTCAGCAGCCCCATTCACTGGGTGGTGAACAGAATATGGGTATTGGGGGTCAGCCAGATCTGGGTTTGATTCCTAAATTTCCGACCTCCTAGCTGAGAGGTCTTGGGTAGGGACCTCGTCTACCTCATCAGGCTCAGGGCCTGCACCAGCAAGATGGGGAAAATCACATCTCTTCAAAGGTTCACATGAGAGTTAAGTGCATAAATGCTTCACATTTAACAGATGCTTAATACACGGGAGTTACCTTCACTGTCAACTTGCAGACAAGAAAACTGAGGCTGAGGGAGGGCAGGCACCTGGATTGAGTTAAAACAACTAGGAGATGGCAGAGCCAACTTGGACCAGGTCTTTTGTATCTTTGGGATCAATGTCTAAACGTTTCTTTCCTCCCTCCTTCCTTCCCTCCTTTCCTACACACTCTGTGCTCGGCATGGGTCCCCAGGAAGAAGATGCTGTCTCTGGAAGCTGAGTGTGTGGAACTTCCACATGGAACTCTCCCAGCGCAGTCCCTTGTGCCCCTGTGTTATTACAAGGGAGTGTGTCTGACCTCCACTTTAATCCCTCATTTGGAGAATCAGCCTAATAAGAAACCTGGGCCAAGTGAGTCAGAGCTAGAGGCACCTGGTTGGAAGCCTTGCTGGGCTTTAAAAAGCCCACCCCGCCCCAGGATTCCTGCCACCTGTCCATCCCCCTGAAGCTAAGGGGTACTCCTGGCCTGATACCGCTGACCCTGGGTGATGAGGCCTTCTCTTTGCTGATGTCCTTAACCCTCCCTGCTCCCTGGGTATCACGCACTGGGAATTGTGATGGGAGACTGTTCAGAAACATTTAAGAACTCAGCAAACTTGTAGCTATGATCAACGAATAAGGCTAGAAGCTAGAGTGGTATCTGCAATCCACATGGCTCAAATCCCATATTGAGAGTTGCATCAATCCTGCCTGCATTCGAGGGTTCTCAGGGCACCCTGTTTCTTGCTGCCAGCAGGGGTTCCTATGCTGGCCACTGTCTACAGGAGTGAGAGTTTGTTCCCACTCGCTGTGTGCTTCCCCTAACTGCAGGGGCTGGAAGCCTGGGAACTACATTTCCCAGCATCCCTGTCCATAGCGCTTTGGAAGTAGTTGAGATCTGACCAGTGATAGCTGGGACGGGCAGGTGGGCGAGGCAAGAGCCTTCCTTCCTCTGGCAGTGGTAGAAGCTGCTGTGTAGCTGCCCCAGAATCTGGACTCCAGAACCTGCCTTCTTCTACCTCCAGGCAGCGGGGCAGCTGCAGATTCTGCCCTGACTTCCTGAAGCTTCGTGGCCTGTGGGCCTCAACCTGAAGCATTGCAGCCCAAACCCTGGAGGTCCCCCATTCTCACTGCCCTTCCAAGAACTTCATAAGCACCTGGATCCCCGAATCAAATCCTCACGCTTCAAGCTGCTGCCTCACTTCAGTCCACAGATGTGGAAGCTGAGCTCAGAAACGGGAAGTGACTTTTCCAAGGATACACAGGAAAAGTGCACCAGGGCTAAAGAAAACCAGATGCCCAAGTCCCAAGACCCGCTTGACTCCTTAGAAAAAACCTGCTGTATTCTACAGGGTGGCTACCCCGGAGTAGGTGTTCTTCCCATTCCCAGGGGCAGGATCTTAGGAGGTGTCATGGGCTGCAACTGAAAAGAGAGGGTGGAGCTTTGGGGGGGATAGAAGGTCGGGAGTTGGTTTAGCTGCTGCCACAAGGGGTGGGGGGCTGTTTGCGGTGACCCCCAGGAAGTTACATGGGCTGCTGAGCCTCAAGTTCCTCATCCATAAAGCGGGGGTTAAAAACCATCCCTACTTGAGGTGACTGCACAGAGCAGTAATGTGTCAACACTGAGGACACCTACCATCACCTTTGTCTTTTCTATACTGTGTTCTAAGCACAATACCGGTGCACATTGGCTGGGCCCACAACAAGCTCCCGATGAAGGTACTGGGTATCATCTCCAGCTTTCAGAGCTGGGACAGAGGCCCACAGTGGTCAAGCCACCTACCCAAGGCCCTCGGCCGGTAGGTGTAAAGTCAGGATTACGGCCAATGCAGAATCCCAACTTCACACCTACTGGTGTGAAGTGGATGGTGCCAGGCTGAGGTCGGCCCCTGCCCTGGGCCTCCTTGCTGTCTGAGCTGTGGAAGAGGAACCAGCCTATCCCCACTCCATGGTGGCACTGTGAGCACTGAGTGGGCTTTGTGTGTGGCGCAGCTCAGGGCCTGGCAGGGGCGAGTGTGAGCCCTCCCTTCCCTTGTTTTGTTTTCTCCTTCCAGCTGGGCTCCACCCGCTCTGAGTCACCCCTGAAGCTGACAGCTGTGCTCTCATGGCCGAGCCAGGCCTGGACCCACTCAACGCCGCTCTCCTCCCCTGGGTCAGGAAGGATCAGCCGTGAGGGGAGCCAGACCCGTTTCCCTCCAGAAAACATCATCCAAGAGAAACAGGGCCACAGTGAGGTGAGGCCTGAGAGGAGGTCCTGGCCACTGCAAGGTAAACAGGTGATGACAAGCTCCCTGTCAATGGCAGGACTGGGGTGGACATTTCTCTCCTTATGTCGATTAAAAAAATCAGTCTCGAATGAAGCCAGCCAGCCAGCAACTGTGCTGCCCTGAGGCTCCCTGCGCCTCCCAGGAGAGGAGAGAACACCCACCCCCAACCCCAGGGACAGCAGCCACGGAGCACAGCGTGACTTGGGCCACTTCAGAAGCCGAGGCCAGTCAGCTCCTCATCTGTAAAATGCAACAATGATCCCAGCCCCTGCTCACCTAGACTTGGCTAATTGAACAAATTAATGACTATTGGTTAGTCCTGAGAGTCACTTTCTTACTTCTTTTTTATTGAGACGGAGTCTCGCTCTGTTGCCCAGGCTGGAGTGCAGTGGTGTCATCTTGGCTCACCATAACTTCTGCCTCCCGGATTCAAGCGATTCTCCTGCCTCAGCCTCTCGAGTAGCTGGGACTACAGATGTGCACCATGCCTGGTTCATTTTTGTATTTTTAGTAGGGACGGGGTTTTACTATGTTGGCCAGGCTGGTCTCGAACTCCTGACCTCGTGATCTGCCCACCTTGGCCTCCCAAAGTGCTGGGATTACAGGCATGAGCTACCACACCGTACAATCATGTTACTAATAATCTTGAATATTTAACACATATTGGAAACAATACTATTGGTATATATATATATATATAGTGCTTAGAACAATTCCTGACCATCACAAAAGAATATTTAACATTAACATTAACATTAGGAAAATGTCACCTACCCAGGATCATCATTCCTCTGAGAAATTCAGAACTGCATATGTGTGTGTGTGGATAATGGCTAGTGGGGTTGAAAATGAAGAAGAAATGGCATGTGTGAGTTTCACACCTACTACATGCAGACCCTTTACATACAGCATCTCACTTTGTCTTGGCAACATCTCTGACTTGGACACTGCCAAGCCCCTTTGTGGATTCTCGCTCTTGCTTTCATTCTTTCATTTGACAATTACTCACTGGGCTCCGGCCATCTAGCAGTTGCTGTCAAGTGCTGAACAAAACAAAAGTTAGACAAAGTAGAATGGCTGGGTGTGGTGGCTCATGCCTGTAATCCCAGCACTTTGGGAGGCTAAGGAGGGTGGATAACTTGAGGTAAGGAGTTCAAGACCAGCCCAGACAACATGGTGAAACCCTATCTATAAAAATACAAAAAAATTAGCTGGGTGTGGTGGCGGATGCCTGTAGTCCCAGCTACTCAGGAGGCTGAGGCAGGAGAATTGCTTGAACCCGGGAGGCAGAGGTTGCAGTGAGCCGAGATTGCACCACTGCATTCTAGCCTGGGCAACAGAGCGAGACTCTGTCGAAAAAAAAAAAAAGGAGAGAGAAAGTAGAATGATCTTCGTCCTTGCTCACTGAAAGCAACATCACAGGGTGGGACAGAGGCTGAGATTATTAAGGAATCACACAAAAGACCAGCTGTGATGGTTAGATTTAATGTATCAGCAGGCATGTGGCTTGCCCCTGTCATCCCAGCTATGTGGAGGCTGAGGCAGGAGGATCACTTGAGTCCAGGAATTCAAGGCTGCAATGAGCTATGATCATACTCCAGCCTGGGGGAGCGAGACTTATCTCTAAGTAAATAAATAAATGTAATGAGCCAGCTTGGCTAGGCCATGGAGTCCAGTAGTTTGGTCAGACACTCGTCTAGGTATTTCAGGGAAGGTAGCATGCAGATGTGGTTAAGCTCTCCAATCAGTTAACTTTAAGTAAAGGAGATGAATGCAGGTGGGCCTCATCCAATAGGTTGAAGGCCTTAAGGGCAAAAACTGAGGTTCCCTGGAAAAGAAGAAATTCTGCCTTAAGATTGTAACAGAGAAGTCAAGTCCTGCCTGAGATTTCAGCCCTCTGGCCTGCCCACCAGGTTTTGAACCTGGCAGCCTCCACAACTGCCTGAACCAGTTCCGAAAGTTGAATCTCTTAATATGCATACACAAATATGGGATAGGCTCTGCTCCCCTGGAGAGCCCTGACTGGCAGCCTTCAGTGCCACGAGCAGAGGGCGTAAGAGGGACTGGCTGATGTCTGGGGGAAGTGGTAGTGACTGAGGGTCCACAGGGTGGACAGGTGATTGGGCAGGGAGTGTGAGAGCCTCCCAGGCAGGGGAAGCTACAGGTATGAAGGCCTGTGGGGACAGTAGGTGAGTCCAACGAACTGAAAGAAAACAAAGTCAAGTGGATTGGAAGACTGCAGCGGCACTGGCAGACAGGGGGGGCCAGGCAAGGTCTGGTGGCCCCCCTAAAGTCTGGACAACCTCCTGGGAGCCACAGGAAGCCCTGGAGGAAGGCCAGAGGGAGAGAGGGAACTGGGGACAGGCAGTGACTGCCTTGGCGCCCTCCCTGTGGGACAGCCAAGGGCTGATGGTCCCTTGCTCCTGTCAAATGACCCCATCCACACATTAGCTGTGTCCTGGGGGTCTCAGTAAGTCTATGTCCTCTTGTCCCTTCAGCCCTAGGGTTGGAAACAGTCCCACCATTTCCAGCCCCAGGGACTGCACCACACTTGCTGTTTCCTACACCACACTATGACCTTGTGAATGACCTTTCAACTCAGCTCCCCTCCACTGCCCACTTTGAATGCACCATTTGTGTCCTGCCAGCACCATGACCAGTCCAGGTGACCCCGCAGACCTAACTCCAAGGGGCACAGCTGACAATGTGGTCTAAGCAATGAGTGCCCCAGGAGCTGTGCCCCACAGAAAGCCATGCCTCCCGCCCCTCCCCGGACACCCCTCTGAGGCGCTGGCCACCTCAGAGGATTTGCAAGAAGCACGTGGGTCAGCTGGATGCCCTGAGCCCTGGCCTCCCCTCCACCTTGGGTAGCTGCTCTCGCTAGAATCTGCCCAAACTCTGCTCCAACTGCTGCTGGGGCACTCACCCATCGGGAGATTTCATCCTCAGGCTCATGACACTGATAGGGTCTTTGGCAGGGATGGCACCAGGGGATCCCTTGCACCACTCAGCCAAGTTCAACACATTCCAGGTCCCACCAGGGGGACACTCCAAGAAGCCTGTCCCCCAAGCTCCCTGATGACAGCATCAGTCCCTCCCATAGAAATGTAGTCAACACCAGTAGAGCCAGAGGGCAAGGTCCCCTTAGCCCGCCCATGGCTGCTCCAATCAGCGCCTGTGGCTTGACCACCGCCCACTCCTGGGCCCCTCTTGGAGTTTGATCTGCTGGGTCCTCTCCTGTTGTTCTCTGACTCCTGCCGGGCTTAAATATCAAAGAATCCTCATTGTTTGATAAGCCTGCAGACAAAAGCCCATGGAATATCTCTAACTAGATCTAGTGGCCTCTGGTCTGCCCCTCCTTCTCTCCAACTCACTCCCTCCCCAACTTATCTGTGCATGCCTGACCCATCCATAGCTAATACATTTCTTGTGTGTGGATGCCTGGCGAAAGTCCCCAGGGGCTCTTCGGGCAGGCATTTGCTCTTTGGGCAGAGAAGGAAGTTGGGCTTTGAGAGACTACGCAGTATTTTAGGGACTAGCTAAAGTGCAGTTCCAGGTCCTATGAGGGAGGTGACACCATAATCCCATTTTACAGAAGGGGATGCTGAGGCCCTTGGGTATCAGTGGCTTACTCCAGGTCACATGGCTAGGAAGGGGTGAGGGCCGATTCCTGAGCCTGCTCTTCCATGCTCCACTGCCGTACCTCACCCAGGTACCCAAGCATGCCTGCGATGCTTCAAGAACACAGCTGGCGGCATGCGTATCTTCACTGCTAGATAGCGAAGCCGCACACTAGGCCGGCTCCAGGATCTAGCCCAGGGCAGTTCACACGCATAAATCTGCTCAGGAGGAACCAGTGCCTCCCAAGACATGATGCCAAGGGCCTTAGTGATCCACAAGTGGCAGGTGAATGACAACCAAAGGGAGAGGGAAGGCTGTGTAAGGCAGGTGGCCATGGAGACAGGGGGCATAGCACTGATGGAGGAGGGCAGAGGGGGAGGGTAAACCAGGCCTGTGCCCAAAAAAGCACATGGTGGTGATGATGGAGACGCTGGTATGTTACAGAAAACAGGGCGCCCTTCAGAGGGGCTGCTGTGGGTGGAGCTGGATCGTGGAAGTCCTGAGGAACGTGGACTTGGGGACTGAAGGCAAAGGGGAGCCCGGCTGGCTTGTGAGCAGCAGACAGTAGTGATTGCAACTGGCACATCGTGGCTGGACTGGAGAGGGGTGCACAGGACACCCTGTGGGAGTCTAGAGAGTGGCCCGGTCTCCATGAGCATGACTTGGGAAGTCCGTTTCCTTTGGAGCCTGTTTCCCTGCTCCTTTCTGCATCGGCGCCTGCCCATTTGCCCCACAGCCCAGCAGTGCCAGCAGGTTGGGAGAACCCTTCGATGTGCTTGCAAATCTTCCTCTTTGCACCTTAGTGCCTCCTGCTTGTTCCTTTGCTGGGGAAGTCGGGGAAAAAAAAGATTCTGCTGAAGCACAAATAGTGGCTCAGAGTAGGCAGTGTGGAGAAGTGCCCCAGAGAAACACGATTAACCAGGATTAGGGTCACATGAGAAGGAGGCGAATATGTTTTCATATTCATAGCCTCACAAAAAGAATTTAAATCCACAAATCTTCTTATGTGTGTGGATCGAGGAGTGCTACATTTGGAGTCCTAGGATAGCCAAATGACATTAGAAGCGTGTAACGTGGCTGGGAATTCCAGGGGTTGCACTATGCGCGCACCCAGGCTCACACCTGTCCCAGAAGAAAGGATTTCCCCCCATTTGGGTGGTGCTGGAGGCTGATAAAGAAGAGACAATTCAGAGCTCCTAATGCCCCTTACACCTGCCCTCAGGCATCTGTCGCTGGTTCTAAAACCCTCAGCATAAAGGAAGGGCTGGAGGTGTGGCCGCTCTGGAGCCGAGATTCACAGTCTGACACGTGGCTTAAAGAGGCCCCTTTCTCCCTAGTCCGTGACTTCACGGAAATATTTTAATGCTACTGATTTTCAGGGGCATCCAGGAGGTGCCTGAAGGAGCTGAGGGGCAGCCTCTAGCAGTGTCCCTAATGGGGATTAAGATCACGTTATAAACCCAGCTACTACAATGGCGAGGCATGCAGCACCCTCCAGGGTTCCGGGATGGGTGGGAGCGTCAGGCGACAGCAGGCATTTCGCATGAACCATCCCATCCCTACACACTGAAGGTTGGAGGGGTGTCACGGTGTCCAGTTGGATCACAGGATTAAACTGCCCTGGCCCAGGCTCAGCCCCACCCCCATACCTGGGCCCCAGAGGAGAGGAAGAGTAGCTCTCATCAGAAAGGGCCCAGCAGTCAGGAAAGGAGGGAGACCTTGCCCTCTTGACCAGGGGCTGCCAAGCTGTCCAGTGGGAGGAGCGAAAACATGGGTGGCCGGAGCATATGGGCAAGGATCGGCACCACGGGGTCAGGGCATGCTCAGAGCAGCTGAGGCCTGGCAGCCCTGGTGAGGCTCGGGATGGACGATACGAGGGGACACTGGGCAGCTTGGACCAGCAGAGGCCCAGCAAGCAGGTGGGAGAACAGAGGCCAGTTCTGACCAGGAGGCATTCCCAGAGCCTGTCCCTGGGGGTCAGGAGGCGTGGACCATGGAGAGACTGAGATACTAGTATTGATGTCTCCCCAAGTGCACCCCCAGCTCATGAGTCCTGGAGATGGCTGGGGAAGAAAGCACTGGGTCCTGTCCCTAAAGTGCACCAACTCTGTGCCAGGCTCCAAGTCAGCACTTCTCTTAGGTTGCTTGTTTGACCTCAACAGCTTTACCAAGGGGTGGTATGTTCTCTTTCAAAGTGAAGAAATGGGGCCAGGCGTGGTGGCTCAAGCCTGTAATCCTAGCACTTTGGGAGGCTGCAGCAGGTGGATCACTTGAGGTCAGGATTTCCGAGACCAGCCTGGCCAACATGGTGAAACCCTGTCTTTACTGAAAATACAAAAATTATCTGGGCGTAGTGGCATGTGCCTGTAATCCCAGATACTGGGGAGGCTGAGGCATGAGAATTGCTTGAACCTGGGAGGTGGAGGTTGTAGTGAGCTGAGATCGCACCACTGCACTCCAGCCTGGGTGACAGAGCAAAACTCTGTCTCAAAAAAATAAGATAAAAGGTGATCCAAACAGCCCGGCTCCAGAGGCCCAGCTCTTCATGCTAAGAATCTACCTTTCGGCCTCAGCTGGTCTCTCTGGATGGCGCCCATACCCCACCTCGGGGAGCGTCCATGCGGCAGGGGGAGTTCACCTCCACTCAGCCCTACTCTGCCCACTCTCCCCACAAAGTGATCACGAGTGCTCCTCACCCTCCGTCCAATAAGGAGGCGACTCTGGCAGGAGAGATAAACTGAGCTACGCCGAATGACCGCTGGGAATGGCCAAACACCCTCATGGCCAGAGGTGCTAGAGACAGCTCTGTCCCAGCTCTGTCTGAGCTGGCCACCAGGTAGGCATCCAACACTGGGAGTGTGCCTCCCATCCCACACTGCAGTCCTTTCCGGGACCTCCCAGGGGTGGGAGGACTGGACGCACTGTCCCCAGCTGATCATTAGAAGGCCTCCCACATAGGGAACACAGCATTTTAAAAACATCTTGTTCTGCTCAACTTTAAAACACACAAGTCTCATTTTATCTCCTCCCACAATGCAGTGATAAGAGGTGGGCCTTGCCAAGGCTGGCTGTACTGCTTGGGTCTTGGAGAGAAACGAAGACTGGAAGGGCAGGAGGTCTAGGGACGGCGATGGCAGAATGTGCCCAGCACTGGCTAGAGACCGCCATCTGAATTCCAGCTGTAATGCTTGGCCAGCTGGCTGAGCATCCTGGGGTGGGTGGAGGGTGCACATGAGTTTGCATGTGGGGGATGCTGTGTATAAGCCTCAGCTCCCTTCAGATGTACAGAATGGGGCAGGAGGAAGAAACATGATCTAAAGAAAAACCACCCTGACTGGGCGTGGTGGCTCATGCCTGTAATCCCAACATTTTGGGAGACCCAGGCAGGTGGACCACAAGGTCAGGAGTTTGAGACCGGCCTGGCCAATATGGCGAAATCCTGTCTCCACTAGAAATATAAAAAATTAGCCAGGCATGGTGGCATGTGCCTGTAGTCCCAGCTACTCGGGAGGCTAAGGCAGGAGAATCACTTGAACCTGGGAGGTGGAGGTTGCAGTGAGCTGAGATCACGCCACTGCACTCCAGCCTGGGCGACAGAGCAAGACTCTGTATCAGGAAAAAAAAAAAAAAAGAGAGAGAGAGGCCACCCTAGCTATTTTCTCTTGCCTCTCTGGGGTTCTGACTCTTTTCACCTTCTTCTCTCTCCTTCTCCCCTAAATGACCAACACCACCCTTTATCCAGGAAGACGCTGGCAGGCACATTTTGCAAGCATGTCTGAGTGTGTGTGTGTTATGCACTAGAGCTACAAAGCAAACATTAATAGCTTCTCAGTGAAGAAAAGGGATAATCAAAAACCTAGAAGGATAAATTATTAGGAAGAATTTGCTGTTTCTTATTAACGCAGAGAATAAGCACAGGGTCTTCAGATTCAATTTCTATTTACAAGACCCCACAATATGCCTGGGAAGCAATGTTCTCCCTATTTTGCAGGTAAGACATGCAGGCTGAGAGAATAAGAGCCTTCTGATACACTGTGCCCTGGAATCTGTTCCAAGATTCTCATTCCTATTTGTTGACTGAGGCTCAGCTTCTGAAAGTATGGACTGAGTTATCATTCCCCTTCAAACTCAGAAGAGTTCCCTCTGAGCTCAGGCTTTGTGCACAAAAAGCAGTGAGATCTTTCCCACTTTACAACACTCCTGACCCAGGAATCTCATGTCTTCTGCCAGGATCCATGAAACACTAACAGGCTAACTTGTTAGTAGCAGCAGGATAAAAGCAAATCCCAGACCTTGCAGCCTCTCCTGGCCTCTTCCATGCTATTTTCTGCTTATGCCCCTACCTACCTGAAGCCTCCAGTGGGTTCTCTGCACACCCACAATGCAATCCAAGGCTCTCACCAAGGCCTGCAAGATCCTACATGAACTGGTCCCTGCCTACTCTCTGATTCCATTTTCCACGACTTTTCCTTGCTCACTCCAGCTCAGCCTCCATGCTGTCCCTCAAGCAGGCCAAGCACAGGACCTACACACAGCCTATCTGCTCTGCCCAGAATGCTCTTCCCACAGGTAGTAAGGTCATTCCTTTACTCAATTCAGGGTGCTGGGTCACATGGCAAATCCTTGCAGCAACTGTCCCTGAACCATGATGTGTATCGGCCTCTGCGTTTTTCCTCTATTCTTTTTTTTTTTTTTTTTTTTTTTGAGACAGAGTCTCGCTCTGTCACCCAGGCTGGAGTGCAGTGGCACGACCTTGGCTCACTGCAACCTTCACCTCCTGGGTTCAAGCAATTTTCCTGCTTCAGCCTCCTGAGTAGCTGGGACTACAGGTGTGTGCCACCACGCCCAGCTAATTTTTTGTGTTTTTAGTAGAGATGGGGTTTCACTATATTAGCCAGGATGGTCTCCATCTCCTGACCTGGTGATCCGCCTGCCTCAGCCTCCCAAAGTGCTGGGATTACAGGCATGAGCCACCGTGCCCAGCCTCCTCTATTCTTTTCCACACACATGACTAACTGGCATTGCATACTTAATACATAGCTGAAAGGATTCCCCGTGCAACTAAGTTTCTTGAACTCAAGGGCTTTCTTAGTTCACTACTGTGTTCCCAGACGAGTGACCCTACACTCTCTTTCACAGTCACCTGGAAAGTAGGCATTATCCCCATCTTATAGAAGAGGAAACTGAGGCTGAGAAGTTCAGCCATTGCAATTTACCCAATTTCGCACTTAATTTCGCACTTAAATTGTTAGACGTAGGATTCAAATCCAGACATGTGCAATGCTAATGCATTGTTTGGAGACACTTCTCCATGAGTTTCTTGCATTCCTACACATCTTGCTGGGTAGACAAAGAATGCAAGGCTCTGACTGCTCTGTACCTGGGTTGGGTTTGCAGCAACCAATCCTGAGACATGAGGTAATGTTTCTCTCTGAGACAAAAAGCTGGCTTGCTTGCTGTCTGCCACAAGATGGTGGATACCCCAAGCTCGGTGTTCCTGTCCTATATCGTAACCCATAGCATGTGTGGCATCTATATGGGCGTTCTGCCTGCTCGTCATGACACTTAGTGGGTGAAGGGGAGCAGACACAAAAGCTCATGCTGCTTTTGAACTGCGAATAATAAAGTCAAGAACTTTCTGGAGTTTAACCAAATAGAGAAAGTGGTCAGGTTGCGCCTGAACTGCTGTGGAGGGCACACGCTGTGTCTTATTTAGTCTTAGTAATCTCGGTATGTGCCCCTGGCCCCAGGCCCTCATAAGCACTTGTTTAATTGACAGACGGACAGATGGATAACCCAGTAGTGCTGAATGATGATGGGCTTGCTGGTCAACCACTGAGCTGCCTGCTCCTTGGAGGGAGGCTACAGGGCTGGGCTCCGAGTCACACAGCGCAGGAGTTTTTTGAGCCTTTCTTAAGAGAACCCTTCAGGAGCTTACAGGCCAGAAATCAGATAAAATTGCATCCTGAGTATTATTTTTCCAGCTGAGTAAGATGCAGTTAATGGAAGGCTTAATACATACTTCTGAGCCCTGCGGAAAGAGAGACATTCTGCTGCTTCTGGAAATGAGTTTCTGGTTCTGCAGCCACAGGTCTCAGGTGAAGGAGAGGTGAGAATGGGCTGAAGCTCCAGTCTATATGTGCAAGACAGGATCACCAAGGTACTGCCCTTCCTTCCTAGGACATCTCTTTGCTAAGAGCCAGAGGTCTACAAAATCAAAGGGGAGCTGACAGAAGCCCCGTCCCCATGCCTGGCTACTACCTGCCTTAGAAGCAAAGGTTGTAGCATTTCCAGATCACAGAGGAACACACAGATGACCACACCTTTCTGTTCCATTTTCAGAGTCTCCAGGAGGGGGCGTGACTTGCCCAAGGTTGTACACTGGCTGAGGTGGCACTAAGATGAGACCACAGCACCTGAGGAGACACCTGGCCCTGCTGTGGAGCCCAGGGTTCTGGTTCCTAGAGCGCCTGGAGCCTCGGAGCAACTTTCCTGAGACGGGGACCAGGGCCTCTCTCGGCCATAATGGGCTCAATCCTGAACTCAGGTATGCTGATGCTCTGGGATTGTCCAGGCCACGGCACCCAAGGGGGATGGGGCTGTTTTTCCCAAATACCACCCCTCTTCCGAGTTCTTGGCCCCAGGAGCCCTTCTTTTTTAACAACTCACAAATCTATGTGAGCAAAATAAAAACAGAAAACAAAGTCAGAGAGAACCTGGGGTCCCTAACTTCTCAGCACGTCTCTTCCAGCACACCCAGCCCCATGAACTGCTCCCCCAGGCTGGTGCCAATACCACCCTGTGATGAAGGAGGGACCTGAGCCCGCACACAGGGGCCTGAGCCTAATGGCTGTGCCAAGACAGAGGTCTGTCAGCCACTGCACCCCTACCTGGGCCCTGTCTGCCTGCTGCACCTCCCTCCCTGAGCTCAGCACAAGGTCAGCAGTGTAGTTGCCAAAACTGTTTCTTCTGCTATTTCTGTGGTTTTTGAATCCGGATTCCTGCCCTGCCTGGAAAGACGGGCCTGACACAGTGGACTGCAGTGTGCTGTGAACTCACAGCCTTAGTTAAAGAAGGCATTTTGAGAACACATGCAAAGCAAGAAGACAAAACCATTGCAAACTTCACCAAACACAGAAATTGTGCAAAGAGGATTAAGGACTAAGACAAGTAGTTTCCTATTAGAGATACACCTTTCTTCTCTCCCATGCAATTTTGTTGGAATTTTTTTTTTTTTTTTTTTTTTTTTTTTTTGTGAGACGGAGTCTCGCTCTTTTGCCCAGGCTGGAGTGCACGGGCGCAATCTCGGCTAACTGCAACCTCCGTGCCTCCTGGGTTCAAGCAATTCTCCTGCCTCAGCCTCCCGAGTAGCTGGGATTACAGGAGCCCGCCACCATGCCTGGCTAATTTTTGTATTTTTAGTAGAGATAGGGTTTCACCATGTTGGCCAGGCTGGTCTTGAACTCCGGACCTCAGGTGATCCGCCTGCCTCGGCCTCCCAATGTGCTAGGATTACAGGCATGAACCACCATGCCCAGCGGATTTTTCTTGCTACACAACCCCCACCCCACTGCCACATTCCTGCAGACACTTGGAGGTAACTAAGGAAGGGATACTAGAGGTGAGCAGCCACTGTGATGGTAGTGGGGTATGGGAGCAAACACCCAGAGAATCAAACTCAAAGAGCGGGATGTTACACCAAGCACACTCCCTGCCCCAGGGCCTTTGCACCTGCTGTTCCCTCTACCAAAACTGTTCCTACCCCAGAATCCATATGGCTTGCTCACTCACTGCATTCACGTTTCTGTCCAAATGCCTTCCTTGGAGAAGCCTTCCCTGGTCACCCTAAAATCGCTGTCTCTGCCACTTGTTCTGTGGCATTCCCCTTCACAGCCTTCATCAGGAACTGGCGCTCGACAGTGGACTGAATGTCTGTCCCTCTGTCTTCCCCCGCCAGAAGGCAGGCAGTTCATCCGACTCCCTGACTGCTGTGTGCCTGCTGGGAGCAGTGGTAGGCCCTCAATGAGTACATGTGGACTGCAGGGACAGTGAGCTGTGAAACAGCAAAGCGCTCAGCACTCAGGGAGCAAAGATTCATTTTGATTTGTGCCTCCCAAGAGGTGGGGGTGTGGTTGTTTCTGGGCCTCAGTGTCCTTATCTGGAAAATGGGATGATTATAATGAAACTTCCAATGAGCCCTGCCCATGAACAGCCAGGGCTGGTGTCCAGCTAGGGCAGGTGCCCTCAGATCTGTCAACCTCGTGTTTGGAGGGTTTTTTTTTTCTCTAGCTGAGCTCTGCTTGTCCCTGACTGAGCAGACCAACTATCCTCAAAGAAGGGAAGGTAGAACTCAGCCCACAGACTTCCTTTGGCTTTTGCAAAAACAACAAAACCAAAAATACTACAAACCACACGGTGTAACTACGCAACCATCCAGAGTGGTGCTGAGTGAGATTGAGTCCTGCCTGCCGGGCTCCTCTGTGGCTGAGGCAGAATGTGAGGCACACAGCACACGACGAGGCACCTGGGCCCTGCTGTGGGGTCCCAGGGGTCTGGTTCCTAGAGCTCCTGAGGCCTCGGAGCAACCCTCCTGGGAGAACAGACCCAGGCTCCTGCTGGCTACAGTGAGCTCGATCCTGAACCCAGGTGCGCCTAAGCTCCGGGTTTGTCCCGGCCACGGCACCCACTGGGAATGGGGATGTTTTTCTCAAATGCCACCACCCTTCTGAATTTTTGGACCCAGGGGCCCTCTCCTTTCAACCCAGGAATCTGTGTGAGTACCATCAAAACAGAAAACAAAGTCGCAGGTCTCCCCTTTTTAAGGCAAAGAAAGCAAGGCAATTTAGAGCACAGGTTCTGGAGTGAAAGAGAGCTGGGTTCGAATCCCAGCTCTGCCACTTACCGGCTGTGTGACCTCAGTGGAGTCTCTTAACCTCTCTGAACCTCAGTTTCTTCATCTGAAAAACAGAAGAAAATACTCGGGAGACTTAGCATGGGGAGAGGGCGTGAGGATTGGTGAGACAGTTTCTTTCCCTACTTGGCTCAGATATACACAGTAAATGTTAAGTGCTCATGTGAAGCCTCTGAGCCCTTTCAAGCCACTCAGTGTGGGGAGAGAAGAGAGTCACCTAAAGAGCACTGGATGGGAGCCAGGGGACCTACGTGCAGAAGCTTCCTGTCCCAAACTGCAAACAGAAAGCTCTGAACCGCATGATCTCTAAGACCACTTCCTGTTGTAAAAATGCTAAATTTGGAGAGCCTGCCCCAGAGAGTTTTAATCAACATGCAAAACACCGAAATGGGGGAAGAATGAGGCAAAGAGGGCCAGGACAAAGGGCTCTTGCTCAAACCCTGAAGGATGAGGATGGGTGGGGTAGACAGAAAGTGAGAGGATGGCACATCCTTTTTCTGGGACCTGCTGTGTGCCTGGCACTGGGTTAAGGCCTTTCACATACATTATTTAGCCTCATGACAGTCCCTTGGGGTAGCTCCAGCCTCGCCATCACACACAAGGAAACCGAAGCTCGGAGGTCGAGCAGCTCGGCGTACTAAGGGGAGCAAGGGCAGAATGGGGACTGGAATCCAGGTCTGCAGGTCAAAGGCTGTTCTCACCCACCCCCATCCCCAGGGAAGCGTGTGCACTCGCAACAGGGCTGGGGGCAGGTCACAGATCTCACTGGGCAGGGGCGGGAGGTAGTTCTGAGTCTGGCATATTCTTCTAACTGGCAGGAAACAGACAGCTAGGCATTTTGCGAAGGAACAGAGAGACGTGAATCTAAGACTCAAGATCAGAGAAGTGGTGTTGTCATTGTTGTAATGTTTTTCCTAAATCTTGAATGAGAAGAGGGTGCTCAGTTGAGGGCAATAACAAATGATAATCATGCTCTACCCACAGCTGGCAGCAGCTTTGGTCACAGCTGCTTTTGCTCCTGTCACCTGTAATGCACTTTTCCACCAGGGACAGGGATAAAAAGAACTTTCTGAGCTGTTAAGACCGCCTGGGCCTCATTCTCACCCTCTCCCCATGCCCCATCAATAATGGATGAGTCTGAGGCCCTCAGACGTTAATATCACACCAAGAGGCCCACGGGGGCCAGAAGGAGGGAGGAGGTGCCTAGGGTGGGGCTGCCCTGCCTCTGACTCTCTAAAGAAACAACTCGAAAGGGACATTTTTAGTATAATTACAAGTAAGTACTTTTCAGAACAAGCAACACCTGCTCTTTGCGTCCTTTTCCCCAACACTGCAGGGAAGGTTATAGGGAGGAGACACAGCTTAACATAACTAATGTCACCTGGGTCTGAGGGCAGTGATGAGGGTGGGGGGCTATGAAGCGAGACAGCCTGGGTCCAATTCTCAGCCCTGTCATTCACTGGCTGTACATCCTGCCAGGAGTCACTTAACCTCACTGTGCCTCAGTTTCCTCATCTGTAAAGAAAAAGAATAGTAGTCCCCACCTCCTAGGGTTGCCAAGAAGATTAAGAGGATCAATGAATATGAAGTGCGTAAAGCATGCTTGGCCTCTCAGCCATGCTCCCTGAGGGCTGAACTATCATCATCTTCATCATCATCATCACCTTCTACTCTGGGTCAGATGCTGTACATCTCACAGGAGGTATCTTTGTTCCTGTTTCCCTGATGAGGAAGTTGAGACTGAGAAGGTCAAAAATGCACTGAATTAGTCATCATACAAATAATGAATTAGCAGTGAGCTGGGAGGGCACCAAGAACTTTCACCTGGTGCTCTCCTTCCTAACACTGCTGGGCTGAGCCACACCAGGCAAGGGGACTTGGACAGGCTTGGCTGTCCCCACGGCCTTTAATCTGTCTCTCCTCGGCTAACAGAGCTCTCTAATAAACAAACAGCCTCAGACATCGTTCTTTCTAAGCAAGGCCAGATGTGGGAAAGGTAACATGAGCGAGGATAGAAAAATCAACACAGGGTTTTTCAGTGTTGCCATGGAATCCCAAGAGTTCACCCCAAGCCTAGGTCGTTCTGTGTCTGTGGGTGGCTACTCAAGAGCAGGAAAACACTCAGGCTCCTAGTCATAACCAGAAACTGCCCCAGACACAGGCAGCTAGAGTAAGTTCTCCTATGCCCGTCCAGCCCAGCCCTATCCGGCAGGGTCATTAGGTGCTCTCTTGAGGTGGGGAGCAGTAGCTGTGGGAGAGGGTTTGGAGAAGTACTGTCAATTTGGAATCTATAAGAACATTTATGTAAAAGAACAATCTCTCTGGCCGGGTGCAGTGGTTCAGCCTGTAATCCCAGCACTTTAGAAGGTCGAGGTGGGCGGATCACTTGAGGTTAGGAGTTCAAAGACCAGCTTGGCCAACATGGTGAAACCCTGTCTCAACTAAAAATACAAAAATGAGCCAGGTGTGGTGGCAGGCGTCTGTAATCCCAGCTACTCAGGAGGCTGAGGCAGCAGAATCGCTTGAACCCAGGAGGTGGAGGTTGCAGTGAGCCGAGATTGTGCCACTGTGCTCCAACCTGGGTGACAAGAGTGAAACTCCGTCTCAAAACAAACAAACAAACAACAACAACAACCAAAAATCTCTAGGACTTTGGCTCTGAGCACTACCCAATACGTAGGAATAGCCACAGAAGGCCATGGGGAAATGAAATCTGCTGAGATGTCGTGGGCAGAACAAGCCTTGTCTTAATGAGGTGCATCCTGGCTGGCAGAAGATGGTGGCTTGGCCAAAGTCTCCAAGCAGGTCAGCAACACAGCAGGGAGTGCAGCCCAGGGCACCTCAAACCCTGCGTGCCTTCTGTCAACTGCCTCAGGATTCACCGGGGGACTCAAGCATCCATTTCCTGGTCACCTCATTTATGCCAGGAATTGGGAGAGGTTGCCAAAGGACAAAGAAAGCAAATGAGGCATTATCAGTGCAGGGAATAGCCAATATGATAATGTGAGGCCTGCTATCCCTGGGGTACTAAGAGCAGCTTAGCTCTTATTCAGTGCTTGCCTGTAGGCCAGACGCTGTCCTAACCCATTTAAATCATCACAAGAGCCCTGCAGAATTGGCCCTTGCTATGGAATGAACCGTCCCCCACACCCCCACCAAATTCATATGTTGATGCCTTAACCCTCAAGATGACTGTATTTGGAGATAAGGCCTTTAGGAAGGTAATAAGGTTAAATGAGGTCATAATGGTGGGGCCCTAATCTGCTAGAATTGATGTCCTTATAAAAAAAAAAAAAAGAGGTGCCAGAAAGCACTCTCACCATATGCACATAAGAAAGCCATGTGAGGACAAATTAGAAGGCTGCCATTTGCAAGCCAGAAAGAGAGCCCTCATCAGAAACCAACCCTGATGACACCTTGATCTTGGGCTTCCAGCTTCCAGATCTGTGAGAAAATAAATTTCTGTCGTTTAAGCTACCGAGTTTGTGATATTTTGTTATGGTAGTTCTAGCAAATTAATGCAGGACTATAATTATCATCCCCATTTTGCAGTTGAGGAAGCTGAGGCACAGTGTGGTCAAGCACTTTGCTGAAGGCCATATGACTACAACTATTAAGTGACAGAGATAGGAGTCAGACCCAGGCATCTGTCTGCAGAGCCCAGTGTGGCCAACTGCATTATGCAACTATTTATTCCCCTTCTAGCAGCCTCCACCTCTCACTGTGGGAGGACAGACAGTATACCTCCCTGCTCCACTGACATTGGGCTTGGCCATGTCACTTGCTTTGGTTGACAGAGTGTGTGCAGTTCTGGTATGTGCCATCTCTGAGCAGAAAGCTGAAATCTGACTAAGTAGTTCTTTCAGTTCTGGTTAGAGGACAGCATGTCCTGGTTAGCGACTACCTTCACCCTGGACCTTAAACTGAGAAAATTCACAGAGCATTGCTGAGCCACAGCTGACCTGCAGGTTACCCACAGCATTTTCACTTGTAACGAACAAGAAATAAACACCTGTTGCAAGTCACTGAGCTTGGAAGATTTTGTTATGCAGCAAAGCTGACAAACACAGAGTTCCTTTTGCAAGTATTCTAACGCCCCCCAACAAACGTTTGATTTGTAAGAACTGAGTAGATAGTCAGGAGAGCCGACTTCCACTCAGGCTCTGCCATTTTGCAGCTCAGTGGCCATGGATAAGCCATTTCATCTCTGAACTTTAGTTTTCTCATCTGCAAAACAGGGATAATAAGCATCCTTACATTCTGGGGCTGTTGTAAGGATTCAGTGCCTGTAACAATTAGGATCCACTGTCTGCTCCCCCTCCGCCCCATCTCCGCCACCCCTCCTTGAAGGCCCTCCCTCCTTCCTTTCCTTCCTCCCTCCGTCCAGCCCCCCACTTCCTGGCTGCCTTAAGAAACTCCACCCTAGCTGGGCCAATTGTTCTTTGATCAATTGTTTTTCCTTATCTGTGTCTAACCCGCATGGACTCTTCTGCCTGGCTTTTACAAATGGCAAGTACGTCGCAGCTCCACCCTAGGCCTTATCGTTAACAAGGACTTTCCTGAATATCTCCAGATGTAGTGAAAGCAGGTACATGTCAAGTATATGGAACTACATGGCATTTCCTAAAAATAACTGAACGAGAGTGGAGAAAAAAACATGCACTGCCCACCTTGAAAGGCAGAGATGGCAGCACTGTGAATTATGTTTACGATGAGGTGATGCATTAGGGCTGAAGATAGAGGAGTCTGGATTAGAATCAAGTGCTGCTCTTTCAGCACAGCCTTACAGTAGGTGCTCCCTCAGCCAGGCAGTGTGGGATGTCTACACTGTACATGGAGAGGAGGGGAGGCTGGTCCTGCTCAGGGAGGTGGCAGAAAGGAGGCTGGGAGGAGCAGAACTTCACTGGGTTCCTGTGAAGGCTGGGCTTTCCCAGCCTGGAGGATCACTGAAGCCCAGCATGGAAGGTGGGGAGGGAGGGCATCTGGAGAGTCTGACTCCTCTCCCCCTCCTCCAGTCCTGCATCATAGATGAGAAACTAAGGCCTGGAAAAGGGCAGTGCCTTCCCCAAGGTCATGGAGCCAGCCAGCCTCAGAACTTGGACTAGAACCCAGTCTCCTGAGACCTGCTCAGTCATCATTCCATCGCTGGGCCTCCTGCTCAGTTAGAAGGAAATGAGATTCATCCCTTTTGCTGGCTTGGAAGGCAAATGTCAAGTTTCTCTGCTCTTGTGGGTGGATTTACCAAAACTCAATCCAATCCAATCAGCTTTTCTTTGAGTCATTTCAAAACATCTCCCGTTTCTGGGAAAGAATCAAGCCCATTCACCCACTGCCTGGGGCCTGGAACTGAAAGTGGGTAGTGAAGTGGGAAGTCAATCCCAGGCATAAAATAATAGCTGCTTGTTTCTGGTTTGGTTTTTTGAGTCCTTATTTGTTAGTTTGTTTTTCCCCCAAGTCCTGAGATAGGCCATGCTGGGGGAGAGTGGCCACAGGAAGGTACAGGCTCTGCCCTCAAGAGCTTCCACTCAAGAGTATGAGATAGGACCTTCTATGGTCGAGAAGAGACAGGGGAATTCAGCATAGGTTGGGCTGGGCAGGGAAGGCTTCGGAGAGGAGGTCAGACTGGCAACTCTTCTGGAAAATGGGAAGAAGATGACAAGGCAGAAGAGAAAAGGAATTCTAGTCTTGGAGGGTAAAGTTTTGAAAAGGAGTGAGGAGGACAAACATTCCAGATTTTTGTTTTTTCGGGGGATCTAGGGGGAAGTAGAAAGAGTTGGTAATGGGGAGGAGAATCCACGATCTCGAAGTTCAGGAAGTTGGGTGAGAGTGAGCCTCAGTTTCTTCATCTGCTAAACAGAAAAGACGGGCTAACTCTGCAGACACCTGGGGGTGGTCAATGATGTAGTACATGTGAAACATCCCAGAACAGGCACTGCAGACAATTTGGAGTTGCAGTATCCAATGCAGGATCCATGGTTGACAGACAATTCTTCATGGGTCTCTTGCACTTCTGTGTGTCTTGCAAGCAGAAGCACTGACAGCCTTCTTTTCTGAACTACCTTTTTAAGGAGGCACAGAGCCTGGAACATAGAGATAGTGTCTCCTTCCAGAGCAGGGCTCAGGTGTGCTTACTCTCCAGTATCATAAAGATAATGCCTCCCTCCAAGAGAGAAGTTGAGTAGGTTCACTTGCAGCCCATTATAATAAAAGATTGTGGTTCCTCATCTATGAAGCAAGCCCGTGGGTCTTGGGGTACAAGTAGAAATGATGTAAACATGAAACTTAAGGCTGCCTGCCGTGCTGGAGTAAAGTCTTTTGGCTCTGATCCAGGAAGCTGCTATCTTTTGTCAGCATCTGCCAACGAGCTAATTTGTTGGCTTGCAAATAGGTTGACATCTCAGGTCTGTCACAGTTCTTTATATCTACTAGCCTCACGTGGCTATTTCTTTTCTTTCTTTTCTTTTCTTTTTTTTTTTGAGACGAAGTTTCACTCTTGTCGCCCAGGGTGGAGTGCGGTGGTGCAATCTTGGCTCACTGCAATCTCCACCTCCTGGGTTCAAGCGAGTCTCCTGCCTCAGTCTCCTGAGTAGCTGGGATTACAGGTGTGTGCCACCATGCCTGGCTAATTTTTGTATTTTTAGTGGAGACAGGGTTTCACTATATTGGCCAGGCTAGTCTCGAACTCCTGACCCCACA
Organism: Homo sapiens; assembly: GCF_000001405.40. NCBI lineage: Eukaryota > Metazoa > Chordata > Mammalia > Primates > Hominidae > Homo > Homo sapiens. The sequence continues at coordinate 133,505,840 of NC_000008.11, forward strand.
ATCCACCCACCTCGGCCTCCCAAAGTGCTGGAATTACAGGCGTGAGCCACTGCACTCACCTGCTATTTCTAATTAAACTTATATTTTAAATTTAAAATACAAGTCCTCAGTTGCACTCATTAATTAACTAATTAATGCCACTAATTAAATTAACTGAATTAAAATAGAATAAAATTTAAAGAACAGTTCCTCCGTTGCACCAGCTCAATTTCAAGTGCTTAACAGTCTCATGTGGCTAGCAGCTACTGACCTGGGCAGTACCGACATAGAGCATTTCCATCATCAGGAAAGTTCTATTGGAGAGTGCTGACCGAGAAGTAGAGAGCACAGGTTCTGGGCCAGACTGACTTGCATTAACCCTTGTTCTATTCCTCACTGGCTTTGAGACTTTGAATAGGTTATTATACCTCACTGAGTTCCAATTTTTCATCTGTAAGATGAGAACAACAGGACTGACCTGATGGGGTCCTTGTGAGGCTCACACAAGACAACACGTACAAAGCGATCTGCCCAGCTTGGGCATGTGGCAAGGGCTCCCTAAATAAGAGCAAATATTTTTAGGTATTAAGCAAATAAATGGCAGATCTCCTTTGTATTACAGTGGGAGATGGTGATGGGCAACCTTGAAAGATAGGATTGGTTGGAAGAAACTTGGCAAACTGCGGCTGGGCACGGTGGCTCACGCCTGTAATCCCAACACTTTGGGAGGCAGAGGTGGGCAGATCACCAGAGGTCAGGAGTTCGAGACCAGCCTGGCCAACATGGTGAAACCCCGTTTCTACTTAAAATACAAAAATTAGCCGGGCGTGGTGGTACGCACCTGTAATCCCAGCTACTCAGGAGGCTGAGGCAGGAGAATTGCTTGAATCTGGGAGGCGGAGGTTGCAGTAAGCCGAGATCGTGCCATTGCACTCCAGCTTGGGGGACAAGAGTGAGACTTTGTCCCAAAAAAAAGAAAAAAAAAGCTGGGCTGGGTGTGGTGGCTCACGCCTACAATCCCAACACTTTGGGAGGCCGAGGTGGGTGGATCACAAGGTCAGGAGATGGAGACCATCCTGGCGAACACGGTGAAACCCTGTCTCTACTAAAAAATAAATATATAAATAAATAAATAAATAATAAATAAAAATAAAAATAAAGAAACTTGGCAAACTGCAGAGGGACCTCAAAACCCAGGCCTACAAGTTAGTCCTTGACCCAGAGACATTTGGGAGCCTCAGAAGATTATAGGCAGCAGGAAGGAAAGACAGAAATCCAAGAATTCCACATAAGAAACGTGTTCTAGACTCTGGAGTCCAAGTAATTTGGTGTTTGAATCAGATGCCAGGTGACAGTAGGGAAGAGAAATGAGTGTGCTACCATGCTGTTGGGGAAAGATGGACATTCTCAACTCCACCACTCATCAGTAGAGGAAACCACAGGATAAGGTTCCTTGACTTCCCTCTTTGCTCTCTGAAGTCCTGCAGTGCCTTCTGGGTCTGCCTGGAGAAAGAGAAAGAACAGGAAGGCACAGTCTTGTGATGCATCTTCCCCACAACCCACGCCCATGGCGATGGTAGGGAAGAGCATAGGCTTTGGCCCAGGAGGGTTGGCTTCGAGTCCTGGCACTGCCATTCCTAGCTGTGAAGGTATTCCCAGGAAGGTATTTCACCTCTGCCAGCCACGGCTTCCACCTTGCAGGCACGGGCATTACCAGGCCCATTTCTCGGGGTTGCTGGGAAAGTTAGATGAGATAATATAGGCCAAGTCTCTTGGAGAGTTCCTGGCACATTGTAGGGACATGAAGAAAAGAAGACGTATTGTTTCTTTCTTCTCCAGGCCAGCCCAAAGGACGAGCAGGAAACCTGAGCAGCATGGAGGGCAGGGGATGGTAATCAAGAACCACTGGACTTTCCTTAGGTAGCAAATTACGCCCGGTGACCCTCGGAGCCACTTCACCTGGAAAGGCAGGTTTCAGGTTTTCATTTCCTTAGCTGGGGTCAGGCTACCTGGAAGGTGCTGGGTCCCTGCAGAGTAGATGCTGCTGGCACTCTGCCCAGAGGCCTCTTCTGGCTGGGCCACCACCCCTCAGCTGCTGTGACTATTGGCTGCTGACAGCTCACAGCTGTCCCTTGATCCAGAGAACTGCCTCTGGCCACAGAGGAGCTGCCTCCCCTGGGAGGTGCCCACCCTCTCACCCCCCACACCCTAGGCAGCCCACAGACAATGACAGAGGGACATGGGGTTACACAGGGTTGGCCTCCTTTACCTTTTCCTTCAGTTTCCCCCACTGATGGTAAGTACTAGAGTTGAAAAAAAGGCATCTTTCCCCAACAGCGTGGAGGCACACTCATTTCTCTTCCCTACTGCCACCTGGAGTCTGATTCAAACACCAAACTACCTGGACTCCAGAGTCCAGAACACGTTTCTTATGTGGAATTATCGGATTCCTGTCTTTCCTTTCTGCTGCCTATAATCTTCTGAGGCTCCCAAATGTCCCTGAGTCCAGGCCAAATTTTCAGGTTTGTGGGACAGCCTCATGGTACAGTTTGTGCTCTGGGGTTGGCCGTGGGATCAGGCTGAAGGTTGACTCTAGCTGGGAGCACATCCCTGCTCAGCAGCTCCCCTGCGTAGCCCTGTGTCCCCCACCCTTTCCCTGGAACACTTCCTCTGCAATCTACGTGCACGGAGTCCCAGACTCAGGTTCTACAGGGAGGAAACTGAGATCCCTGTTTGAGGCTGATCTCTGCAGCGACTGTAAGGAAGAGACAATCTCAGAAGCAGGGCACTCGCTCAAATTCAGAGACCTTTCTCAAGAGCTGGGAGGATCCTCTATAACCACCGAGTCCAGACTCTTGGCTTTTGTGAGGAACCAGAGCCATTGGTCATTTAGTAAAGACTCGTTGGGTCCCAAGAATGTGCCAGGCTCTCTTTGGGATACTGGAGATACAATGAGGAGTGAAATATATAGTCCCTCTCTGAAAGCTTGTGCATCATACAAAACAGTGCAGATAATGGTAAATGCTTTTGCACAAAACCCCATAAGACTTAGAGGCAAGCAGAAATGACGCAAGTATGAAACTCAAGCTGGCTGCCCGCTGTGCTTTGAGTAATGAAGTCCCTTGTCTCTGATCCAGGAAGCTCCTGTCTTCTGCCAGCATCTGTCAGCAGGCTAATTTGTCAGCTTGCAAATAGGGAGACATCTCAGGCTTGTCACAGTTCTTTACAGTTACTAGCCTCATGTGGCTATTTCCAATTAAAATTAAATTTTAAGTTTAAAATGCAGTTCCTCAGATGCACTCATTAATTAACTAATTAGTGTTCCTAACTAAATTAGCTAATAAATTAAAATAATTAGCTAATTAACTAAAACTGAATGAAATTTAAAGCACAGTTCCTCAGTGTCACCAGCCAAATTTCAAGTGCTTAGTAGCCTCATGCAGTGAGCGGCTACTGAACAGGACAGTACAGATATTGAATATTTCCATCACTGGGAAAGTTCTATCGGAGAACACTGGTTGTGCAGTTGAGGCACAGGGTCTAGGGCCAGACAGACGTGGGTTCCACCCTTGTGTTTCACTTGACGGGAGACTCTGAGTTAGCTATGGAGCCTCTCTAAGGTTCATCTGTAAAATGAGAATAGGACTTCACAAGCCTCCTGTGAGGATCACAGAACATCACTGCAAATGACAGGGCGTGGGGCACCAGGGGGACCATGAGACTGAGCTCCTGAGTGAGCCGCTTGCAAACACCATGTGAGGAGAGCGGAGCTCAGGCGGAGGGACATGCCAGTGGGAGATCACAGGGTGGAAAGTAGCTGGTGGTATTCAGCCGGTGTGGGACAGGTGTGCTGAGTAAAAGGGATAATTTTACAGGACGAGGTCAGTGAGGGAAGCAGAGCTGATCATGTCCCTCTGGAGGGCAGTGAATGTAACCCAGCAAAAATTAGTGAAGGAGGACCAGGCACCGTGGCTAACGCCTGTAATCCCAGTCCTTTGGGAGGCCAAGGCGGGTGGATCAACTGAGGTCTGGAGTTCGAGACCAGCCTGGCCAAAATGGTGACACCCCATCTCTACTAAAAATACAAAAAATCAGCTGGGCTTGGTGGCACACGCCTGTATTCCCAGCTACTCGGGTGGCTGAGGCAGGAGAATTGCTTGAACCCAGAAGGCAGAGGTTGCAGTGAGCCAAGATCACACCATTGCACTCCAGCCTGGGCAACAAGAGTGAAACTCTGTCTCAAAAAAAAAAAAAAAAAAAATAGCAATGGAGAATGGCTCTTCACACTTCTCTCTGGAAACTTCCCCTGGTTTCCCGCTGTCCCTACTGCATCACACACCTGTTTTCAGGGGACTTCCCAGGTTAAGCCTTTCAAAAAATAGATTTCAACAACTGAAGATGAATCCTGGGGAATAAGCCAATTAGTGGCCTTTTGAACACCAGCTCCACTTCCCAAAGTGCTTCTCTGGGCACAATGTGCAGGCAACTATCAGATACGAGGCCAATAAATATACCATCACCCCTTCACCTCACATCATGTGAAACACAGGCTACTGGAAGCTTGGTGAATACCTGCTGCACATCGTTAGAGAGGAACTGAGGCAGAGTGAGCTTTCAGAGATAGTCTGCACCTATCTGAAGAGAGCGGGTCCACTATGTACATGCCGGGCAATTCTAAACCTGTGCTAAAGCATTTGGACCCTCAGACTTCTCCTCTGTAAAATGGGAATGCAAGTAAAAATGAGAGTGGATTGAAAATTTCAGTTTAAAATGCAGTTTTTCAATTGCATTAATTAACTAATTAGTGCCACTAATTAATTAGCTAATTAATTAAAATAATTAGCTAATAATTAAAATGGAATAAAATTTAAAGCACCGTTCCTCAGTTGCACCAGCCCAATTTCAAGTGGATTTACAAACTCCATGCACTCTGAGCAGTGTCTGGTTTTCTCATCATTACTGACAGCGTCATGTTGCCTGGACCCAGTGGTCCTCCTGTACCCCATGGTGGCCACCATAAGCTGAGAACAGCAGAGACTCGGAGCAAACTCCATCACAGGGGAAGGACAGGGAATGAAGCAGGTGACTGCGGCGGCCAATCTTTGGCTCTTTTTTCCTAAGTCCTCACACTGTATGATTCACGCAAATAACCAGTGACCTTTTCAAATAGGATTTTAAATGATAAACAGAAGTGCTTGTAGCCATAGCAGATAGAGGGCAAAGAAATGAAAACCTCGTCATTTTCCTTCTTTAAATCTCCAGCATTATTATCTAGTGCCTGAATTAAATCCTTGTGATACACTTGCACATTTTGGCAGTAAATACTCATCTTAGGGGTTTTAAAAGATCAACAAACACATTTTAAAAATTCTTGTCCAGCCAGAGCTTGCTAAGGACAGGAAAGCAAGGTTATCTGGGCTTGGGGACTTTAATTAACAGTACTTATGGGGAGGTAGATAGGCATTAAATCTGTGGTTCTTGCAAAAGTAGCAAAAGTTAGTGTAATGGAATTGTTCCAGCACATCTAATAACAGAAGGGTGGTTGTATTTATTGAACACCTAGTATGTGACTGGCCCTTGGCCTACAATGGCTAACATTTCCCAGCTATGTAGATGTGCACTGTTTCAGACACTTGATGTGGATTAAGCCATTCAATCTTCCAAACAATCTATTAGTAGGTGACTTATCATCTCTCCATATTTACACAAGCACAAAGAGGTGAAGTCACTTGTTCCAGGGCACACAGCTAGTAGGCAGCAAAGTCAGTCACCCAAACTTAGGTCACCAGGCTCCGGAGTGATGCCAACGTGCCACACCAACAGATACTACCTAAGTTGTCTCACTGCACCTTCACTAGAGACCTTTCGAGTCACATACTATTAGTCAGGGTTCTCTAGAGGGACAGGACTAATAGGATAGATGTATATATAAAGGGGAGTTTATTAAGGAGAAGGCCAGGCACGGTGGCTCATGCCTGTAATCCCAGCACTTTGGGAGGCCGAGGCGGGCAGATCATGAGGTCAAGAGATTGAGATCATTCTGGCCAACGTGGTGAAACCCCATCTCTACTAAAAATACAAAAAATTAGCTGGGCATGGTGGCATGCACCTGTAGTCCCAGCTATTTGGTAGGCTGAGGCAGGAGGATCGCTTGAACCCGGGAGGCAGAGGTTGCAGTGAGCTGAGAATGAGCCACTGCACTACAGCCTGGCAACAGAGCGAGACTCTGTCTCAAAACAAAACAAAACAAAAATATTAAGAAGAATTGACTCACACCATCACAAGGTAAAGTCCCATGATAGGCCGTCTGCAAGTTGAAAATCAAGGAAACCAGTGGTGGATCAGTATGAGACCCAGAACTTCAAAAGGATGGAAGCCAACAGCACAGCCTTCAGTCTGTGGTCAAAGGCCCAAGAGCCCCTGGCAAATCACTGGTGTAAGTCCAAGAGTCCAAAAGCTGAAGAACTTGGAGTCCGATGTTCGAGGGCAGGAAGCATCCAGCACAGGAGAAAGATGGAGGCCGGAAGACTCAGCCAGTCTACCAGTCTAGTCCTTCCACGTTCCTCTGCCTGCTTTTATCCTAGCCATGCTGGCAGCTGATTAGATGGTGCCCATTCAGATTGAGGGTGGGTCTGCCTCTCCCAGTCCACTGACTCAAAGGTTAATCTCCTTTAGTAACACTCTCAAAGACACCCAAGAACAATACCTTTTATCATTCAATCAAACGAGTTGACAGTCAATATTAAGCATCACACATACCATCATCTCGGAGGCCATTGAAAGGTGAAGGGCCTGTCCCAGGTCCTATGGCCAGCTGTGAGTCTGAGTCCGCACAGGGTTGGTCCAGGCCCGAGCCTGTTTCTCCAGTACGTCATGAGACCAACCAAACTGAGGGTCGGGAGGAGACAGGGAGAACACCCATCTGACCCTCTCACACTCAGAAAACCCTTTGCAAAACCAGCTGGGTTTTTTAGTTTATCATTCAAAGTTATAGGATAGGAAAGTTATATCTTGAATACAGCACTGGGTTTAAGAACATCTTTGAAACAACATTAAAAGAAAAGGGTAGAGGAGCTAAGAGTAAAATTCACATGTGATTCCTTAAGATCAAACCTGACAATCCAGTCTCTGGGAGGGTCCGGATTAGAGGGGAGGAAGGGGCCTGATGGCTTCCATAGAAGGAAGCTGGAGGGTCTCACCTGGGGTCTCACTGGGACTGACGAAGACCAGGTGGTTGGCTGAACATGTCTCTCAAGACACAATGGGCCCAGTGTCCTCAGAGAACACGGTCATCAATGTCAGTGGAAAGAATAAAGATCAGAGGAGAGGCACAGGATGAGGGGACACCCCTCTGGAGTGCTACCCCCACCCCAGCCCTGCTGAAGAGCTCCCCCAGGCCCAGATGCCTCGGCCTTCACTCGTGACTTTGCCCCTGTCTGCAGCAGCGCCCACTCTCGCCTCTTCTCCTGAGAACTAAAGACCTACCGAGATCCAAGGAGATTCCAGTACATCTTCTGTGAGCACTCATCACTGCTGGGGCATTACACTTACATCACTTTTCAGGACTTTTCCTCTTCTCTAGTTTTTTGTTTTTCTTTCATTTAATTTTGGAGTACGGAAGGCCTCCCATATTTATATAGAAGAAAAGACTGAACACATAAGAAATGTGAACGTCTGTGTACACAGTGTCCACGGCTACTTTCGTGCTCCAATGGCACAAACAGATGGTACTGAGATGGCACGGCTCTCAAAGCCTAAAATATTTATTATCTGATTCTTTCTAGAAAAAGGTTTTGGCTGGGCGTAATGGCTCACACCTGTAATCCCAATACTTTGGGAGGCTGAGGCGGGCGGATCACAAGGTCAGGAGTTCAAGACCAGTCTAGCCAACATGGTGAAACCCCATCTCTACTAAAAATACAAAAATAAAAATAGCCAGGCGTGGTGACTTGCGCCTATAATCCCAGCTACTTGGGGGGCTGAGGGAGGAGAATTGCTTGAACCCAGGAGGTGGAGGTTGCAGTGAGCTGAGATTACGCCATTGCACTCCAGCCTGGGTAACAGAGCAAGACTCTGTCTGGAAAAAAAAAAAAAGAAAAGAAAAAATTTTGATCCCTGTGCTAAGAGACTAAATGCCCTGAATGACAGTGCAAACTAAATGGCAAACCAGGAAGCGTATTTTCAGCCCATGTCGGGCACCTGGCTAATATCCATAATAAACACAAAGAGCTCTTGCAAAAACGATCATCACAAATGCACACAACACAAATTTTTTAAAATAGTAGATAAAAGGCAAATCAATATTGAAGAAATGCACACAACCAATAGGCTACAAAGAGTAGTTTTACTTCACTAATAATCAAAGTGACACAGACAACAAAGGTATGTCCTTTCTTACTCATGGGGATCTAAGATTAACACCAATGACCCATCCCTAGTTCATTCTTCATAGGACCATTTCCCACCCAGTACAGCAAGCTCCCTGGCCACAGGCATTGGGTACTATTCATTTTGGCTTTAGGATCACTGCAGGAGCTCAGAATGGACCAGTGTCACAGCTATTTGCTCCCCGTCATATCTCCAGCAAGGAGCCTGGGGTGAGGGCTCCTTCCATGCCATGGAAGAGAATGGAACAGGCAGGAATCAAGAGGGTGAGGGTGGGCTGGGGTTGCCCTGCTCCCAAAGGATCCTGTGCTCCCATCTTACAGCCGCCAGTCCTTTCCTGGGGAGCACCTCTCCTCCACCGCATGCTCTCCTAGTGGGATGGTAAATGCACAGGCTGCCCTCCCACGACAGAAGCAAGGGCTCCCTAGAAGCTCCTCGTACTCCTGCATTCTCAGGCAATGAGATTCCATCCTGGGCCTTGACTTCTGAGCAAATGAGCAAGGCTACAAGGAAGGAGGTGTTCTGCAATCCTGGGGCACTAGGTGGGGAGGGTCAGGGTTCAGACATCACATGGGTCTGCCCGCTAAGACCCTCGAGATCTCCTGGGTTCCTGGTTTTTCCCATCCAGGGTTCTAGGCCTTCAATTCAATCCTGTGGGGGTACTCACAGCTTCCAAGGCAGGAGGGAAGCAACACCACACATTGCCATGTGCCGTCCTCCGATGGCCCCCCGCTCCCCCAGCAGATGCCAAGCCCTCTGGGAAGTCCATCTCCCTCTTGCTGCCCAGACAAACCCTACTCATATTTCACAGCCCAGATGACCTGCCCCTCCCTTCCTGATGATGTCTTTGGGGTGATCCAACTCCCCCACCCTCTGCCAGCTTCTTCATTTTCTGGACCTCTCTGCTCTCCCATCATGGTCCTGGCCTTAGTGGAAAGGCCTGCCTCCGAGGACGAGGTCCTCACTGCCATCTTGCAAGAGAGCTCGCTCCCATGCCACGCCAGGCAGCAGGCCTCCTGGGCCCACACCCTGCTCCTGGCAAGACTTCAGCCCCCTTCTGCTTTGTCCTACTGCTTTCTCCCTTACTCTGTTTCAGTCATGTCAGCTCCTGATATAGTCTGGATATTTGTCCCCTCCAAATCTCACCTTAAAATGTGATCCCCAGTGTTGGAAGTGGGGCCCTGTGGGAGGCATCTGGGTCATGGGGAGCAAATCTCTCATGAACGGCTTGATGTTGTCCTCCGGGTAATGAGTGAGTGCTCACTCTACTAGTTCTCAAGGGTTCTCATTGTTTAAAAGAGCCCCTACGAATGAGGTTTTGACCCAGTAGGCTCTGGCCACCTCCCCTTTTCCATAAAGTTTTTTCTAGAAGTCATGACATTTCTCCTCTTTGATGGAGAAATCTTCTTACTATTACCCTTACCATGAGTTTTCCAGACAAGCAACCTAAAATTAATAATTAGCACAGCTCTCATACTAATTATTATTTTAATCCTAGGCCTAGCCTATGAGTAAGCCCAAAAGAGGTTAGAATGAATTGGTACTCAGTTAAACCAAAACAAATGATTTCAACTCAGTAGATTGTGATAAATCATAATTACCAAATGCCCTCTATTTATATAAATATTATGTTAGCTTTTATTATGTCTATTTTTTTGGTAGGAGGGGACGGTGTCTTGCTCTGTCACCCAGGCTGGAGTGCAGTGCAGTGGTGCGATCTCGGCTCACTGCAACCTCCACCTCCAGGTTTAAGTGATTCTCTTGCCTCAGCCTCCCAGGTAGCTGGGACTACAGGTGCCTATCACCATGCCTGGCTAATTTTTGTACTTTTAATAGAGACAGAGTTTCTACTAAACCCACCAGGCTGGTCTTGAACTCCTGACCTCAGGTGATCCACCCACCTCGGCCTCCCAAAGTGCTGGGATTATAGGCATGAGCCATTGCACTGGTCCTTATTATGCCTTTAATGGGGGTAAGTCTACTGATCCTCCCTGCTATGCCTAGAAGGTATAATTTTATCAATATTTATTATGAGCACTCTCCCCTCTCTCTTGTTCCCTCTCCCTCCATGGGGCATGCCAGCTCCCCTTCTTCTTCTGCCACAACTTGAAGCTTCCTGAGGTCCTCACAAAAAGCAGATGCCAGTGCTATGCTTTTTGTACAGCCTGCAGAATTGTGAGCCAAATAAACTTCACTTCTTTATAAATTACTCACCCTCATGCATTCCTTTACAGCAATGCAGAGAACAGACTAATACACTCCCCATCCATTCTTGGGGAATCAAGCTCATTCCTGCCCCTGGGCCTTTGCACTTGCTGAATTTTCTGGCTCCCTCCTATCATTCCTGTCCCAGCTCAAATGTCATCCTTCAAGGAGGAGGAATATAAGGCCAAAACCAGTTTACATTTCTTTAGCTGTTTTCTTGGCAATTTAGATCCATCCATTCAACCAGAGTCTCACAATAGCTCTGTGAGGCTGGCAGGGCAGCAATTATAAAAGTGGCCAGCCCAATGTCACAGCTAAAACACTGCAAGCTGGAACTGCTTACAACCCTCATAACTCTAAGCCCAGGTTTGTTTCCTAAGTCATGTGCCCGATCACAAAGAAGAATCAACATCCCTCACTGATTATGAGATTTGATAGGCAGGCTCTCTAAGAACACCAGGTCAAGGGCAAAAGGAATGTCGTCAAATCAGACTCCAGGCATCCAGCTGGAGGGACCCTCCAGAAAGAGATAGAGTTGATCTCTGTACCTTCAGGGTGAACATATTAGTTCAGCAAATACACAAACCACTTTCTCTGAGCAGAAGTGACACCTTGGCAGCTTCCTGCCCACTGGCATAAGAGCTGTTTTCCTGCTGATTGGCAGCAGGCTAGAATTTGCCCTGTGCCAAGTTCCTGGTTAGGACTTTATTGAAACCATTATGGGGACGTTTTCAGTAACACAGTGGCTGGACAGTCCCATGGATGAGGGCCAGCAAGCCCCAGTCCTTCTCTGGATTCTGCTGTTCCAAGCTATGTGACCTTGAGCAAGTCCCTGTCCCTTTACTCCTCTAAGCTTTAGTCCCTGCCTTGAATAAAGGTGCTGGGGAAGAGCCCACCAAACTGGTGGATAACTCACCCAGTCTTGCACTTTTTTATTTTTTTATTTTATTATTTTTTTTGAGACAGAGTCTCACTCTCTCACCCAGGCTGGAGTGCAGTGGTGCAATCTCAGTTCACTGCAACCTCTGCCTCCCGGGTTCAAGCGATTCTCCTGCCTCAGCCTCCCAAGTAGCTGGGACTACAGGCGCGTGCCAACCCACTTTGGCTAATTTTGTATTTTTAGTAAAGACAGGGTTTCACCATATTGGTCAGGCTGGTCTTGAACTCCTGACCTCAAGTGATCTGCCTGCTTTGGCCTTCCCAAGTGCTGGGATTACAGGCATGAGCCAACGCGCCCGGCCCAGACTTGGGCACTTTGTGTCCATCATGGTCACTAACTCCCTGGGGACTTCTGGAAAGTCCTTAACTGCTGAGCCTCAGTTTCCCAACCTGTCAAATACTGGGCTAAATCAGAGGTATGAAAACAATTGCCCCACAGGCATGTTTTGTCTGCACTGTAGAGCACAACAAAACTTTGAATTAGGTGCAACAATAATCAGAAAGTTTTACATAAAAATCTAGAGTTCTGGCTACCTTTGAAAAAGGTGGGGAAGATCCAGGAACCCTGAGCTCACATTATCCATAGGACGATCTCACAGAGCTGAGTGGCAGCCATCTCCTTTGGTTGGCACCTAGTCAGTTTTACAATTCACTGCAGACCCCACTGCTCTCTACTGTCTTGCCCAGATGTTTCAACCCATTTGTGTTACCCACGTGGCCCCTGGGGATATATGAAACTGACTCCTGGGCTGAGTGTTCCAACGGTCACCTCTGCTCCTACTGTCCATGACTTGTCTGATATTCACATGCCAACAGATGCTGCCTGCCATCCCCTGGGGCAGTCAGTGGAGGGCTGACCAGCTTGAGGGTGGGTCCTGCAGGGCTGCCTTCCACTGTACTGCTAAGGGAGAGGCCCTGCCTCTGCCAGGATTCCAATCCCCCAGTCAGAACAAAGATGACAGCCTCCAAAATGCACCAATCAGCCACCAGCCATGTGAAGCTCTCTGCTGCAGCTGCAGCCTCCTGTAATTACCTGCCCCGTGTAATAAAGTCCCCATTTAGAAATCTTAGAAAAGATCCTGCAAGGAGAACTTTTTCCTTGATAATTTCCTGATCAGAGAATTTCAGGGTTGGAAAAGACTTTTAAAAGGGCATCTAGAGCAACCCTTCATTTGATGCTTAAATCTTATCCAGCGAGACTGACACATACCAATTAGTCAAGGACTTCAGGTTTGCCCAGCACTGCTGGAAGCTGGGAATACAAAAATGCAGCAAACACAGCCCCACCCAGGAGGACTCCCTAGGCTTGGAGGCTGGTCAGGTAAACATAGTGACAAGCAAGGACTGCAAGGACTCTAAAACCCAAAAGCTACATTTGCTCAGCAGTACTATGCGCCAAACACTTTGAATAAATTATCCCACCTAATTCTCAAGAAAAGTCTTCTAGGAGGTGCTATTTTTAATCCCCAGCTTGCAAGTAAGGATCTGAGGCTCAGAGAGATTAAGGCCCTTGGTTAAGGCCACAGAGCCTGTAGGTGCTGGAGCAGACTCTGATCCCAGCAGTGCAAGGCTCTGGAGGAGAATCTGTAAACACGACCTCAGGCTGCTATTGACAAGGGCAGCCCGTGGAGGGAAGAGAGGAGGCCTGAGATTAGAGCCCCTCGGAGGTGCAAACGTCTGTCTATGTTAAATTCTGAAGGGTAAGCAGAAGAGACATGGAGGTCAGGGTAGGGTAGGGAAAGGGAGGACAGAGGGGCCTGGTGAGGGCAGGCAGGGCAGGCATGAAGGTCTAGGGCCTCATTAGCAATCAGAAATGCAAATAAAAACAGAATAAGACATCTTTGACACCTACTAGCCTGGCAAAAATTAGAAGACACTGTGATGCCAAGAAGGCACAGTGATGCCAAGTGTTAGCAGGCATGTGCAGACACTCATGCCTCATGCCCTGTGAGTGAAAGTGTGGACTCATTAGCCACACTAGCTAATGGAGGTACAGGTGCAAGGACGTACCTGGAGGTACAGAGGCAGGTTACACACAGGCACACCCTAGGCCCCAGCAATTCCATTCCTGGGTAAATACTAGAGCTGTGCAAGCTACTGAGCAAATTCCAGAATGTTCTTATGTATGTTAAAGGAAGATAAATTATGGCTCACAAAGAATTTAAAATAGCATGGGGGAAATGCTTTATTATAATGTCAAGCTGGCATGAGTCAGGAAATAAATGGGATGACAGTAGTCACCTTATCCATAACAGAATTACCTGGGAAGTGTCCGAGAGATACATGCCAGGCACACATTAAGAACTCAGTAAAGGAGGCCGGGCTCGGGAGCGCACGCCTGTAATCCCAGCACTTTGGGAGGCTGAGGTGGGTGGATCACTTGAAGTCAGGAGTTTGAGACCAACCTGGCCAACATAGTGAAACCCCATGTCTACTAAAAAAAAATACAAACATTAGCGGGGCATGATAGCACTTGTCTGTAATCCTAGCTACTTGGGAGGCTGAGGCATAAGAATTGCTTGAACCTGGGAGGCAGAAGCTGCAATGAGCTGAGATTGCACCACTGTGCTCCAGCCTGAGTGAAAGAGTGAGACTCTGTCTCAAAAACAAAACAAAATAAACAAAAAGAACCCAGTAAAGGAATGCGGGCAAGGATTCTTACTTACAAGCATCATATTTTGGGACCTCTGTGCAGGTCTTTACAATCTTCCCCACTCATCATTCTTTCAGCCCACGCATATTTACTGAGCAGCTGCAATGGGCCAGGTAACGTTTGTGGGGGCTAAGTCTACAGCAGGGAACAAAACAGATGAAGGGAGCTGAAATTCTAGGGGAGGCAGAGACTATGCAAAGAAATGAGTGTGTAGAGGTCAGCTGATAGGGAGGAACATAGAGAGGCTGGAGCCGGGGACAACTCGCAGCGGGGTGTGGTGTGCACAACACCTGCCCACACGCTGCTTGGTATATATTCCGTGGTGAATTCCATCTTGCTGGAGGCAGCCCCCTCTTCTGGCACCACAGAAGTTTCTGCGTCTTGACACTTCTGCCTTCAAAATGCTCCTAGTTGTTCCACTTTCAACTGAAACAATTTAGATCATCAGGACTCCTAGAGCTTCTCACAAGTCACTGTGAAAAGCTGTTGGGTATGGGCCCACCTAGGACCTTTCCTGAGCCAGGAGCTCATGGGTTTGGACCCCTGTTCAGCAGAAACATGAATCCCCTGCAGGGAAGCAGGGTCTCTGGCAGCCCACCCCACCATAGCCTCCAGTCTAGAACAAAAGGACATTTGCTTGAGGTATCAAAAGCCTCAAAAAGTGCTCTTTCCTTCTACTGCATACGTAATTCCCCTTTTCGGAGTCTATTCCAGGAAATGGCTCAATGTGCAGTTTTGTGCCCAAAGATGTTTATCATGTTATTTTTTGTGGGTTTTTTTTTTTTTTTTTTGACAGAGTCTCACTTTGTCGTCCAGGCTAAAGTGCTATGGTGCGATTCCAGCTCACTGCAACCTCTGCCTCCCAGGTTCAGGCAATTCTTGTGCCTCAGCCTCCTGAGTAGCTGGGATTACAGGTGTGCACCACCACACCCAGCTAATTTTTGTTTTTGTGGGTTGTTTTTTTTTTTTTTTGAGACAGTCTTGCTCTGTTGCCCAGGCTAGAGTGCAGTGGTGCAATCTTGGCTCACTGCAACCTCCGCTTCCTGGGTTCAAGCAATTTTCCTGCCTCAGCCTCCCAAGTAGCTGGGATTACAGGTGTGCACCACCACACCCAGCTAATTTTTGTTTTTGTGGGTTGTTTTTTTTTTTTTTTGAGACAGTCTTGCTCTGTTGCCCAGGCTAGAGTGCAGTGGTGCAATCTTGGCTCACTGCAACCTCCGCTTCCTGGGTTCAAGCAATTTTCCTGCCTCAGCCTCCCAAGTAGCTGGGATTACAGGTGTGTGCCACCACACCCAGCTAATTTTTGGGGGTTTTTTGAGACGGAATCTTGCTCTATTGCCCAGGCTAGAGTGCAGTGGCGTGATCTCCGCTCACTGTAACCTCCATCTCTTGGGTTCAAGCAATTCTCCTGCCTCAGCCTCCTGAGTAGCTGGGATTACAGGCGCCTGCCACCGTGCCCAGCTAATTTTTGTATTTTTATTAGAGACGGGGTTTCATTATCTTGGCCAGGCTCGTCTCAAACTCCTGACCTCGTGATCCACCCACCTCGGCCTCCCAAAGTGCTGGAATTACAGGCGTGAAACACCGCCCCCAGGCCTATCATGTTATTTTTAATAGCAAAATGTAGAGAGCTCCTCCTGCATGCTCCACATTAAGGAAATTATTAATTAAACCATGATATGTTAAAATATCTGTTACAGGACAGAAGTTTTCAATCATTAATAATGATCATGAAGAATTTTAAATAACACGGAGGAATATCTACTACACTGTTAAATTGGAAACGAAAAGAGAAAAGCATTTCAGAATTATAATTCCAATTTTAGTATATGTTAACCTAGAGGAACCAAAATGCCGTGAAAGAAAACAGTATGAACTACTAAGATAGGTACTTTCTGGGAGAGTGGTTTCTGTAGGATTTTCTGTTTCTGTTTTGAGCTTTTATACTTTTCTCTGTTTTCAGGATTTGTTTCAGTGGTCATGGGTTACTTTTCTGAATGAAACTTCCAAACTTCCAAACAAAACAAAACAAAAACCTTAAAAATGGTGGTGCCTTTATAATCTTCTCCAGCAGCCCAACTCTGGGCAGAAAGCCTCCCAGAAGTCTTTGACGTGAGCACTCCCAAGAGCTATATAGAATGGGGAAGCCATCTAAGATTTAAAATTCTATTCCTAGAAGCTTATACCCAAAGCAGAGAAAAAGTAGGAAGCAATATAGAAAGCTAGCAGGAAGGAAAGTTCAGAGGATGTGGAAAAACGCAGACCCAGCAACATTTTTTAAAAATCTAAAAAAAATTGCAAATGGCTTCCCTGGAATGGTGGCTCAGGACACTGCCCCTAGATGCTGAGGCTCTCCAGGCACAGAAGGTTCCCTGCTTTAATTCAAAGCCCCATCACAGGCACAGTGTGGTTTGATCTCTACCCCTCTGGAAATGTGTTGCAATTCCAAGTCATAGCTGAGGGTCTGAGGCTCAGAGAGGTCAACTGACTTGCCTGAGGCCACACAGCCTGTGTGGGGCAGAGCAGTAAGTGGGACCTTAAGCCTTCTGATCTGACTCTCAGAGTACTTTACCCTGTACCCCAGCTGGTCCAGGGTGCTGAGGCGCTGGCACAGAAAAGCCTACGTTCATATCCAGCAGAGTCACCTGGTGGCCGCAGGGTCTTGCTAGTTAACCCCTGAGAGCCTGGGTTTCATCCAAAAACTGAAGACAAACATAACACTGGCCTAAGGGGCACAGTGTTAAGCACGTGACACTCCACAAGCACACACTAAATGGACACACTAATTACTGTCGTTATTTTGCCACCACTATCCTCCCTGGAGTACAATCCTTCTCTGGCCTCCTGGTGTGCTCCCAACACCCTCACCAGGCGAGGGAAGGGGCTCATCTCACTGTCTCTGTCCCTAGAGCCTAGGGCAGAGAAGGTGCTAAGAAAATGAGCACTGTGGGGAAGAGACAGGGATGAAATCTCTCAAGAAGAGACAGCCTTGCTGGGGGAGACATTCAGCACGGTGTTTCTAAACTTCATGGAGTTTCTGGACAACTGTGCTCAATTCACTTCTAATTTCAAACAGATGGGGCTGCGCTCTGTCACTCCCACCTGGCCCAGGGCCCTGGCGAGCAGCAAGGGGCCTCTCCCTTCTGCCCTGCTGAGAGGGGAGTTGCGTGGCTTCTGGGAGCAGGGGAAGTGGGTCCTAACTCTTCTGTGGGGGGTTGCTAATCTCCCAAACACCACAGAGAACATGGGAGACTGGAGGGTCCAGGTCTCAATTCACAGACACTGCCACACCCCCATGCACACCTCTGTCCTAGCACAAGTCACAAAGGTGTGCAGCTGTTGCTTTCTCCACCCTTAGAAGCAGTACAGAGATTCCACAGCCAAACCACCTGAGCCTCAATCTGGCTCTGCCCACTTTGCTGGGCACCCTCAGGCAAGTAACTCAACCTCCCTGTGCCTTCATTTCCTCCTCTGTAAAGTGAAGATGGTGATGCTTAAAGTGGCAGCTACTTCAAAGGGGCACTGGAAGGATGCATCAGGAGTTCCTGCAGAGCATTTAGAAGGGTCTTATTGCAGATGGAATGGCCACTTGTCCTGCTCTGTGACAAAGCAAAGTCGACTCTCATGGGACTCTCAGGACCTCCCTGGAGGCCTGCAAGAGGTCAGCACCATTCCTAGGTACCAGATTTATGACCAATTGACAAATGTCTGTTGAGCTTCTTGCTGGAGAACAAGTACAAACGGACTGGCAGAAGGCTGGGTATGGGAGCCACAAGGGTCTCTATCCCTCGTCCTCGTCTCTCGAAGTGGGAGTGTATTTTTTCACCCACTGGATGTTGTGACACGCTTTAGCCAATGGAATGTGGGAAGAAGTGTCAAGATGCCAGTTCAGAACCATAATCATAAGAGCTTTGTGTCCTTCGGGGAGCTTCTGACCTCCATTATGAGAAAAACATGCTTCAGGCAGCCTGTGACCCTCCAGTCAGGGCCAACTCAACTCAAAGACTAAGCCAGAACCACCACATGTGACCCACAGACCTATGAAATCTGAATGAATGCTCTTATGCCATTTCATGGTTTTGTTACACAGCAAAAACTGACTGATACACTCTCTCTGCTCAATTGCTCCTATACCTTGACTCTCGCTGGCCCTCTCAGCTCAAGCAAAGCCTGGAACAATAATTAAAAAACCTACCTCTTAAGCTTTTAATGAAGACTGAATGAGCTATTATTACCCCAATTTTTCAGATGAAAATGTGAAACACAAAGGAGTTAAGAACTTGTGCAAGGTCTCCCAGCTAGAAAGTGGTAGAGCCAGGACACAAACCCAGGCATTGTCCCCTAGAGACAGAGCTCTCAACAACCAGGCAACACTACAGCCCCAGGTGAGACCAGCATTTTGCAGGTGAGCAGATCCTGATGTCACAGGATCCTTGGGTGTCACTTTGCCAGCCAGACACCTCTGTGGCCAGCAGCGCCTTCTACCTGAGTATTGCTCATGCCTGCTGGGCTCATGTCACCCACTTGGCCCAACAGGTTGTGCTCAGCTTATGCTACCAGCCTAGATCACACACCTGCTAAGGGCAAGCCAGGCGTGAAGCAGCAAGGGGTGTGTGGGTGAGCTAGCACAGGGTCCAGCCACTGTGCACAGCCAGGTACGCTGGTTGCTGCGACAGGATGGACAGCTCCGGGCACTGGCACAGGTGCCAGCTCCATGTGAGTCTGTGGCTGGACCAGATGTACCACACATGGCTTCTGCTGCAGGCACCCATTTCTGGACCCATGTCTGGATGAAGAAGCAAGACAGCTGCCACATTCCTAAGTAACACATCTAGAAATGTTCTAGGAGAACACGGTGGCACCCGGAAGCTTGGAGACACCAGGAACTGTGCAGTCCCAAAGAAGGTGTCACAGCCCTGGCTTGGGGAGCCCCTAGATCTGGGCTTCCCAACGGGCCACAGCTCTTCTCTCCTTCTTGTCACCTGCAACGTGGTGAATGGAGGGAGGAGGGTGTGTTTCAGCCCTGTTTGTGTTACAGCTCTTTCAGTCCCACCATTCAGCGGGTCCTGAGTTCTTGTACCATGTCCAGGAAGAATGAGGTATGCAGACAACTGGAGGGTGAGCAAGGCAGAGAGGAGCCTCACTGAGTGACAGAACAGCTTTCAGGAGACCTGCAGTGGGTAGCTCGTTTCCACAGGCAGGTCGTCCCAGTGAATGTCAAGCTTTCAGCAGAGAAGACACATAGTGGGTAGCTCCTTTCTGCAGTTAGGTCATCCCAAAGAGTCAAGGAGACCCAGAGTGGGTAGCTCCTTCCTGCAGCTGGTAGTCCTGACACCTACATGTCTGGCTGAGTCCAGGGTTTTTATGGGCTCAGAAGGGAGGAAGTGTGTGCTGATTGGTCCATGGATGGCCATGGATGGGCTTGGATAAAGCACCATAAGTTCTTCCTCTAGGCCATGGACTCCCCCTGGAACTGGCAGCCTGGCCCCCAGGCTTCAGGCTGTCCCTGGGTTGAAGGTGGTGTTTCACCTGGGACCTGCCCCTTTCTGCCCAGGAGCCTGTCTGCCTCCTGCTACCATCAACATGGCATCCACAGCACCCAGGCTGTGCATGCTGAGGGACGCCTGCAGGCCTGCACTGAGCTGCCCTCAGTCTCCTCTTGGCTTCCCTCCTGTGCCTGTCGGTGACCAAAGTCTGGAGGGGGCCAAGATGACAGGGGTCTGGCATGTCAACACCACCCAGAGTACATACACACCCAGCTGGGTTGCGACAGCACCCAGGCTCAGTTTCAACTTTGCTCCAAAAATCAGAGTGGACACTGGGAGTGGTGAGATGCCAGGGAGCGGGAGCAGGCAATTACAAGCCTGCATGACAGGGGGGCTTCCTGGGTCCCCAAGAGCAGAGGGATGCCTGGGTCCAGAGCTGTGGCTAGGTAGCTGCAGCTGTGCCTGGGAGCTCAGGGCTCCTGCCCTGCCAACTTGATAGAAGGCAGGGTTCCCACCTGTTCCTGGTCCCTGCCAGCTCTGTGGAGCATGCAGCCCCAGCTATGCCTCCCCTGCTGCAGCTGGCATCCCCACAGCAGCTGCTCCAGATAGGCCACTGCTGCCATCACTGACAATTCTTTCAGCTCACAAAGGTAGCCATGAATTAGGAAAGTTGGGTCAGGCTCCAGGCAGCCTGCGTTCAGGCAAGCTCAAGAGCTGAGGATGCCCACCTTTGCAAACATGGCAACTCTACCCATCCCTGTGTCTCCTAGACACTAGAGCCCCCACCCTCTGCTATTATTCTACCATACTCATTCCCCAGCCAGAGTCTGGGACCTGGGCTCCTGCAGATAATTCTACATCAAAAACAGGGGAAGTAGAAAAGTTCATGAAGGCTCCTAAGTCTCTCCAACCACCCAGGGCCACAAAATCCATGTAGAGGCCTCATGAAGGGTTTTGTCTAATCAAATAGTTTGCTCCAACCAGCCAGCATCTTTCTTTTGATCTAGATGTCTGTCTCCATAGAAAAGGACATCTATTGAGGGTCAGGGACCTAATGGCTTGTGGGTTCCTGAGATACAATTATGTGTTACGGAGAAACAAAGAAAATTTTGAGACTTTTAGGCAACAGAGAAACCACTGCAAAACCCTGTAATTACAGGGCAAGAAGAAAAAAGTGAGCTGCCACAGTGCCTGGGGTAGAAATAGCCTGACGTTGCTTCCTGGATGGACCTAGAATGTTGCACAAGGTGACGTCAGAGTGGTTGCTTAGAAGAGAGGTCATTGGATGCAGTTTTCCAGCTGAGTACAGTGGGTGGGGTGCACTGTTGTTCCTGGGGCAGAGTGGGCGAGGGAGCTGTGGGGAGAGATGAGGAAGCAGGACAGGAAACCACATTTGCTGAAGGCCAAGGGCTGTGACAGGCAGACACTGAGACATATCGCTGCACTCAGTTCTCAGAACAACTCAGCGAAGTCAGGCCTTGTACCCCTAGTCACTAGACAAGAAAACAGAGGGTCAGAGAGGTGAGGAGACTTGCCCAAGCTCACCTGATCCCTGACCTGACTGATTGAAGGCCCAGGGCACCCATCCATGCTAACTAAGGTGCAAGTTCGTACTGTCACTTCTTTGTGAAGGGGCTGCTCTTTAACAAAGGATAAAATGAGAGGTTGTTCTACTCTGAGGGGAGGGGAGGCAGAGAGAAAGAGGGGAGAGACTTGCCTCTGTTTGCCTACAGGTGCCAAGCCAAAAGAGGGGCTTGAGCTTGTGGAGAAAGCATTGAGTTGGAAATCGAATCACCCAGCTTCAAATTCTGCCTCTACTAATGCCATGTGGTCTGGGGCCAATTACTTTAGTTCTCTGTGCAACAGTGTCGGCATCGGGAGTAAAGGGGTTGAGGTGGTGGGGTGAGAAGTGTCCACTCTTGGTCCCTGCAAGTCTGAATCCTTTACACTGCATGTCAGCTTAGAATAATGACGGTTATGAGCAAGGAGCCTGGAATCAGATTGCCAGGTTCAAATCCCAACTTTGCCCTAAGCTACAGTGTGACGTCAGGCAAGCCACAGATCTGTGACTCAGTTTACCCTGTGTAAAATGAGGATAATGATAATATTCACAACCTAGGTTGTCATGACAATTAAATGACATCATGTGCGTGCAACCAAAATAGCATTTGGCTCATCCTAGGCACGGGAGAACTATATGCCAGGACTCAGCCCATGGCTCACGCAGAGCTGGAGAAGATCTGGGGGAAGGAAAAACAGCTTGCTTGCTGGGCGGTCCCAGACTGCAAGGTCTCCACCTACCCCAGCTCGCATCATAACTCCTTGAAGTCAATCCAGATGGGCTCTGGCCACCCCAGGGGACTGAGCCCATTCCCATCGAGAGCTCATTAAAATTACCCAGAAATGGGCTGGGCGTGGTGGCTCACGCCTATAATCCCACCACTTTGGGAGGCCAAAGTGGGCAGATCGAAGTCAAGAGATTGAGAGTATCCTGGCCAACATGGTGAAACCTCATCTCTACTGAAAAAAAAAAAAAAAATTAGCTGGGTGTGGTGGCGCACACCTGTAGTAGCAGCTACTTGGGAGGCTGAAGCAGAAGAATTGCTTGAACCCGGGAGGCGGAGGTTGCAGTAAGCCAAGGTCACACCACTGCACTCCAGCCTGGTGACAGAGCGAGACTCTGTCTCAAATAAAAGAAAAAAAAAATTACCCAGAAATGATGCACTTGGAGAAACCTATTTAGTTTCACTCCTAGGGCCCCCAGAGACCACACCAAGCCCCTTGCCAGCATTTTGTGCCTGCAGGGAAGGAGCAGGACCTAGCCTAGATTGCTAAGCTCAGTACCTACAGAATTTCCATTCACTTGCTCATTGATTTATTCACATATCCTGCATGCCTGTCCTGTGTCAGGCACTGTGCTAGGCATTGAGGGCACAATCCTGACTGCAGGACAGTCTGTGCCCTGGAAGAGTCTCTGTCCAGTGATGGGAACACTAGTAATTAGCAATTAACAAGTACATTGAGCTATACAAGCTGTTTCCCTCTACAGCCTACACTGAGTCAAGACCAGGGGTCATCGAATGACAGCCCACGGGCCAAACCTGGCCTTCCCACCTATTTTTGTAAATGAAGTTTTGTGGAACACAAATACATTCATTCATTTATGTTTTGTCTATGGCTGCTTTGTGCTACAACAGCAAATGTGAATAGTCATGAGAGATATGATTTGGCCCACAAAACCTAAAATAGTTACTGCCTGGCCCTTTACAGAAAACATTTGCTGCCCCTGGAGCTAGGGTATTAGGGCTCCAAGGGTAGGACCACATTTCCCCTCTCCACCCCAGGGCTTTGCATTCGCAGTCCAATGTGACCAGATGAAAACGTGTCACAAGACGGGGCATCAGCTTCCCAATGGAGATGGTCCTTCCCATGAGTTAGCAAGGGTCAGTAAATACACTTGCTGGATGAATAAACAGAAAAAATGGCATTTCTGGTAGAGGAATCAGCCTGTGCTAAGACACATGGGGCTCTGCAACTAACAAGCTAGTAGAGAAACACAGCACAGGTGGGACAAAGCGAACCAGTGGTGACCGAGCAGAGCATACACAGATTTGCAGACAGCTGGGCAGGGCCAGGCATACGGGGCTCGCGGGCCAACCCCTGTGGTGATGGGTCCTCCCACCAATGGGACCGGCTTTCTAGCCCTCTTGCCACAGTGCTTAAGGTGACGCAGATGGAGAACGACTAGGTCCTCGCCCTGTGGAATTTGGCATCTACTGGAGGAATATGTCAGGCAAATGCCAGACAGAAAGCGGGCCAGAGAGGATGCGGCAGTTCTGATGAAGAAGAGAGATGGGCCTTGGGAGCTTATAGGTCGAAGGTGCTGCTACCGAGCAAATGTACAAGGTCGTAAAACTCAGGACCTGCTGGCTGTCCCTTATGGTGGGATGGAAAATTGAGAGGCCCAGCTAACAGGGGAGGCAGACAGGCAGACAGATGAACTCCCACCTGAAGGTGAGGACGCCAGGCGAGAGCTAACATGGAATATCAAGGGACCCAGAGGAGGGGCTCCGGGCCCCATGGTGGGCTCTAGGGTAGATGGCCAGAGAAGCCTAGGAAGTCAGCAACAGGAAGTCACTGCAGTCCAGCAAGGGGCAGTTTTACCTTGGAGGCATGTCATGTCACCAAAGGTCAACAAGAACCCCTCTGGTCTGGCCACCCCCTTCTCATCTCATTTGCCCACTAGCCCCTCATGCACTGCCCAGGTTCCCAGACTCTCAGTTCCCTGACTCACCAGGCATAGCTTTGTAACCCCCATTTGAGGGCTGTCCCCCAGACACCCACGTGGACAAGGTTCTTGCCTTCCTCAAGTCTCTGCTCATCTTTCTCTTCTCAGTGTTGCTGACCCCGGGCCCCTCTGCTGCCAGCACTCCCCAGCCCCCTGCCCGCTCCTTTCTAGCACCTGTTCTCCTACACATCATGAAATCTCTTATTTGTTAACTTTGTTATTTATTAGAAGTCTCCTTGACTGAACTGTAGGTTTCGCAAGGAACGTTTGCTTGTGAGTTTATGGAAGTGTCCCCAGGGCTCTGAACCCTGCCCCGCCCTTGAAGGCATTCCACTGACATTTGATAATTGAATTAATGAATAAACTAGAGCAGGGGGGGTGACATGGTGGGTCTTGTCCTATTCAGAATGCCTTCCAGGTGAGCATCACGCTGAGGACCTGGACGCACAGCAGGCACTCAGAGGACAAGGAGCCAGTGTCCTGAGGCCTTCTTTTTTTTTTCTTTATTTTTATTTTTTTTTTTTGAGACAGAGTTTTGCTCTTGTGGCCCAGGCTAAAGTGCAATGACACCATCTCGGCTCACTGCAACCTCTGTCTCCCAAGTACAAGCAATTCTCCTGTCTCAGCCTCCCAAGTAGTTTGGATTAAAGGCATGTGCCACCACGCTGAGTTAATATTTTTTGTATTTAGTAGAGATGGGGTTTAACCATGTTTGTCAGGCTGGTTGTGAACTCCTGACCTCAGGTGATCCACTCGCCTCGGCCTCCCAAAGTGCTGGGATTACAGACATGTGCCACCGTGCCCAGTCCCTGATGCCTTCTTAGCATACTCCAATGCTGTGCTCAGATCACTGACACCAAGGCTTTTGTTGTTGTTGTTCTTGAACCTATGAGAGTTTTCAAAGGCTAAGGGAATGCACATGCCTTTGTAAAGCTCATATGGAGAGCTTCCAGACAAAAAGCATTTCGGGAAAAGCATCCTGTGTGACAGGAGGAGCAGCCTGGGGTTTCTGGGGACTTCCTGGGGCCAGCATCGTGGGTTCCTTCTTTGATTTCTGTGGTGCCTGGAGGCAGATGTTCTCCATCAGGCAGCTAAATGAAGACAGTTGCTTCATCAGCAAAGGGAGGGAAAGAAGATGAGGAGTGTGGTCAGGAGTTGTCAGAAAGCCCTTAATCCGGAGCTCCGGTGACACAAAGAGGTGAGGGCAGGGGTCCGCAGACTCCTGGAGCCCTAACAGCTGACCTGTATCTGGACTCCCACATTTATGATTATGCTCTGCAGCACCCCAAACACAGCAGTGGCTGTCCCCCGCTCTTAGTAGGGGATAGAAAAGCTGCCTTAAGAAATAGCTCTTACACATTCATATTTTTAGAAATAATGTGAAATGGGTGACTTTTGCTATAGTAACATTTGTGATTTTTCAATTGGTTTTAGTATATGTAATATATATATAGCATAAATATACATGACTATATAGTACACACACATATATACTCACACATATAGTATATATACATTATGTATGTGTACATATAAACACATGTATGTATATAGTATGTATGTGATATGTGTGTGTAGCTATAGATACATAACCTGTATAGCGTTTAATATGTACCTGGCTGTTCTAAGAGCTTTAAAATATTAACTAATGTAACTCTTACAATAATCCTACGAGTAGCTACTATTATCCCACTTTACAGAGGAAGTGAGGTGCAGGGAAGTGAAATCTCTTGTCTATGGTAACCCAGTGGGCTGCAAGTGGATCCAGGATGCAGTTCCTCCCTGCCACCTCCCTGACCCCAGGCAGCCTGCTTAAAAAGCCATGTTCTTCTCCAGTGAAAACACATGGACACAGGGAGGGGAACAACACACACCAGGGCCAGTCAGGGGGTGAGGGGAGGGAGAGCATTAGGACAAATAGCTAATGCCTGCTTAAAACCTAGATGATGGGTTGACAGGTGCAGCAAACCACCATGGCACATGTATACCTATGGAACACACCCACACGTTCTGCACTTGTATCCCGAAACTTAAAAACAGAAAAAAAAAAAAAAAAAAAAAAAAGCCATGTTCTTAACCACTGTACTGCGGTTCGTAAAACTACGTTTCAGGGATCTCTGAGTCATTAAGATACTTCTGGGGAATCCATGATATCAAAGCCATTTTCATAATGAGACGAAGGCTTCATTTACTCTTTCACACTCATTCTGTCCTGCATGTACAGTAGAGCTCCCCAGAGACAAATGACATCTGATTTCACGAAAGACTGAATACAGAGGCAGAGATGAAAACCCAGCTGTTTTCCTTTAAGCCAGATAGTAAAGGGATCTGTAAAATAATACCACTCTTCTAATTTTGTTGTTGTTGTTGTTTGTTTGGGTAAGTAGTTATTTTTTCATGAAAATGTCATTTATGGGATGGGCACAGTGGCTTACACCTGTAATCCCAGAATTCTGGGAGGCTGCGGCGGGTGGATCACCTGAGGTCAGGAGTTCGAGACCAGCCTGGCCAACATGGTGAAACCCCATCTCTACTAAAAATACAAAAATTAGCCGGGTGCAGTGGCATGCACCTGTAATCCCAGCTATGGCAGGAGAATCGCTTGTATCTGGGAGGCGGAGGTTGCAGTGAGCCGAGATTGCACCACTGCACTCCAGCCTGGGTAACAGAGCGAGACTCTGTCTCAAAAAAAAAAGTCATTTATGTTACCATATGATAGATTCTTTATTGTGATTTTTCAAATGAAGTACTAAATAAATATTGAAATAATTCCTCAATTTTAATATAGAATATGATACATATTAACAGATAAAAGCCATGACATCAAAAGCTACTTGGGACCAATCAATAGTAATAGAGTGAAAGGCTCATCCTCGAGAGCAAAAACTTTGGGGCGGCTCGTGTGATGCCATACTCTGCTGTTCCTCAGTACCGAATGTCCAGTGGTGTTCTGAGGAGGACACGTTTAGCAATTTGCCAGAACTGTTCTTCCTGCCCTTGTGCAGGATCTATAGCATCCTTAGCCCTCACCTACAAAATGCCAGAAGAGTCCGCAGGTGCTGGGACAGCCACATGCTCCTCCCCAGCGTGGAGGGGGTGATAGTTTGGGGACGAGAAGCATAGCTTTGGAGGGCTAACTTCTGCTTCACTCCTTCTCTCACTCTTTCCCATATTCATTCGTTGAAACCACTAAGGTACTAATTAAGTGCCGGGCTGGAGCTGAAGGAGTAGGTATAAATTAATTAGTCTTTCTTGACTACGTTTCCTTCAGAGGAATTACTCAGGGGCCATGGTTCTCTGAATTTCCGCTGGATGCTGGAATTCCTGGAATCCCTGGATTTCCATGGAATGTGGGCCTTCTAGTCCCCCAGCGCCCCCGCAGTCCAATGGCACTCTGAATTCCGTGGAGACCCATAGAATTCCAAACCTCAGAGTTGTGTAAAATTCCTTAAGTCTGTGGTACCCTGGGGACCAGAGAGAATGACGTGCAGGTGTTGCAGACACCCAGGATCTCATGATCCTTGTCTGTGCTATTTTTCCCCGTGAATTACCAACACCCTAATTTTTCAAATGGACTTGAGGTGAGTCATGGGCTCTAGTGCAGGCATGGGCTCTCGAGCAGCCTACACACAGGTGTGAGAGCTCACCCCGCTCCCCACCAACTCACCGCACATTAGTCCCCAAGAAATGAGAGCCATGAGAATGGGCTTTCTCTCCTATCAGGAGCGAGTTCCTCTGTCTGAACTTCCTGTCTTTTCATCCGTGTGTCCATCCCTCCCAGCTCCCCATTCCTCCCTGACTTGCACTCTGTGCCCCATTGGAGGCAGATCCACTTGCCCGTCAAACAATCCCACTGTGGCTGTATCCTGACCTTTGTACTGCTCCCTGTCCCAGCCTCAATAGGGATCCCCTTCCAGCTCTTGTTCCCCCATCTCCATCTCCCTTCCACTCCTAATTTCACAGCAAAGTCACAATGGGTAACAGGTGGCAAGAACCTTCAAAGCGTTTTCAGTATCTCTCTCCTGGGAACTTATCGAAAGGACATAGTTCAAATGACAGAAAATGCTAAAGGCAACACGGTGGTGTTTGTGATAATGATGATGATGACATACGTTAATATGCAAATAAGCAGCAACAGGGAGAGATGAGTACTTAAGTATGGCACTTCCTCTTGATGAAATATTAACACAATACAACCATATAGCATAATTGTTTGGGGCAATTCCAGAACACTCCCTGAGTGACCTCTCCTCCACCAAAGTACTGGGGATTCAATGGGGAAAAAAACGGGCCCAACCCCCAAGGAGGTTCCAGTTAGATGACTGACCATCTGTCGAGATTGCAAAGTGCAGAAAGCCAATTCCATTCTATTCAACCAACAGAATAAGCAAATCATCTCCCCAGACCCAAAGGCCTTCCCTTCGTCCTCTTCTTCTGACACCCAATCCTCCAGCACAAAGGATATTTTTAGAGACTGAGAAAGTGTTTACATGAATGCCATTTCTTCATTGCCATTGAGCAAAATGGTGAAGTGACTTCCCCACACAGGCATTGGACATATATTATATAATATTATATGTTATAATATATATATGGACATATATATATTATAGGACATGGCACAAATGCTTGCCAAATGGATTTCAGACACACTGGCTTTGGGTTCACTCGTGTCTCCTTCCTCCTTCACCCCATGCCATCCGTATCAGAAAGGGCCGTGGGATATTTTGGCAGGGTGTGTTTGCCTAAGTTAATTGGAGGCAGACAGGGCTGCAAACAGCAGGTATTCTGTATTCTGGCCTGCATGGAACGCAGATAAGGCGTGGATAGCAAAGTGAAAGGACCAGGAGCCCACAGACATGGGGTCCGCCCATTTCCAGTTCTCCAAAGGCTGGAGGCAAGTCGGAGGAGCTAAAGAAGAGAGAATTAATCCCCAAGGGGGCCCAGGCATGTGTCCAGGCCAGTAGCAAGGCCAGCTAGCCAGATATCATGTCTATCAAACCAGCAGCTGGGCTGGCTCTGTGCGGCTGACACAAATGGACACACTGCAACAGCCTTCAGAGCACCAGTCTCGGTGCTGGTGAGGGAAAGGCATGCCTGGCCCACAGGGTGCTCTGTGAGTCCAATGAAGAATAAAGCATAGGCTACCACCGCTCAAGGGGCTCCCAGTGCAGCAGGGGAAAAGGAAAGGTACATGAGCCCTTCCTCACAAGACAGTGTGGTCAGTGAAAGGAAGGCAGACACAGGCAGGGGTTTGAGGGCTGACGAGGGAGAAGCCCTGCAGCTGAGGATGGAGTGGAAAGCGGGAGGAGGAGTCCCGGAAGAGACAACGCTAAAGCTGAGGGCTCCCCAGGAAAGCAAGAGAAGGGCATTCCAGGTAGAGAAGAGCACATGCAAACCTCACAGACCAAGTCCTGCAGACATGGCAGGTACTACATTTGGGGTGATGAGCCCAGGCTAGAGCTACATTATATCTATATCTATATCCATAGCCACATCTTTAGCTTCATATTCTCTATAGATCTATAGAATACTGGCTGTTAGAGACTGCTGTGTCTAGCAGGGTTCTAAGCACTTTCACATACATAGGCATATTCACTTAATCAGACTTCACAGGTGCTGCATTATTTTTTTGTTGTTATTGTCTTTACTAATCGTGGCAACCTTGTGTTGGGCAAGTCTATTGGTGCCATTTTTCCAACAGTATGTGCTCATTCCATTGGCATTTTTTAGCAAGAAAGTATTTTTTAATTTTTTTTTTTAGAAACAAGGTCTCGCTCTGTCAAGTTCTGTTCATAGCTCCCTGCAGCCTTGAACTTCTGGCCTCAGTTTCCCAAGTGACTAGGACTATAGATGCACATGCACCATTCCCGGCTAATGTTTTCACTTTTTTTGGTAGGGGGTGAATCTCGCTATGTTGCCCAAGCTGGTTTGGAACTCCTGGCCTCAAGCAATCTGCCCGCCCCAGCCTCCCAAAGTGCTAGGAGCATAAGCCAGCATGGCTTTAATTAAAAAATACAAAAAAGTATTTTTTAATTAAGATATGTACATTGTTGTTTTAGACATAATGCTACTGCACACTTCATAGACTACAGTACAGTATAGTATAAATACAACTTTTGTGTGCACTGGGAAACCAAAATAATTTGTATGACTTGCTCTACTGCAATCCTCACTTTATTGCAGTGGCCTGGAACCAAGCCTGAAATATCTCCACATCTGTATTAACTCATTCAATCCTGGAGTTTGGTGCTGTTGTTATCCGTTATGTCCATTTTGCAGATGAGGAAACTGAGATCAAGAGAAGATACTGTATCCAAGGTGGCAAAAGAAGCAGAAGTGTGATTTGAACCCGGGTCATCTGTATTCAGGGTTCACACTGTGAAGATGACTCTGTGATTAGCAGAAGGTGGGGTGGGGTGGGACAGGGAGAGCACACATGAGGCTGGGGGTCTTGATGGGGCCCTGAACGTGGTGAGCCTTGTCCTTTCTGCAATGTGGACTCTGTTCCAGGATAGTAAGGGTCATGGGCATTAAAAGGAGGAAGGACATATTCGGATGCCCTTCAGGAACAAAGATTATCTGTAAATGCCCAAATGCTTATAGCTGGGCATGACTAGAATAAAAATTAGTCTTTTGAGAAGGGATCAATCTGTAGGTTGATTTCTGGAAGCACATAGAAAATTTCCATCCTTCTGATGGCCCCTCTCTTCTTGGGACATTGGCATTGTAAAGGCCTCTGGGCCTGGCCACAGTGGTTCACCATGGAAAGCCCCTTCTTTCTGGGAAGAATGTCTCTGCTGCAGCCAGACGGTCTTCCAAGCCGGCAAGGTGGGAGGCCTGGCTCCTGTTCCTGCAGCTCACTCATGTCCTGCCACAGGCCCATTTATCACGGGCTCAGTGAGGAACCACAGGGATAAATGCACCTGTCAATTACTCAGCCTTTACGATGGGCCAGACACCGTACCCAGCTTTTTGAGTCCTCGTGTCATTTGAGTCCTCACAGAACTCTCCCAAGTGGGTACTATTACTACTTCCTTTTTTACAGATGGGGAAACCAAGTCTCAGAAAGTGTTATTCCCACCTATTTCCTAAAATCTCTGAAACCCTGCCTATCCTCTGCTCTCACACCCGAACGGTCAACACAGAAGACTTCTGTGCCCACACACCATGCACCAGCTGGGTGTCCTCCAATTTAATTCTGACACCATCTACCTGGAGACAGGGTCAGTTCCCACAGGTTGAGAGATCAGTGCCCCAGACTGCCCCCAACTCCTACCCCAAACACAAGCCTCAAGTCCGGGTCTCTGCAACTTCTGACCAACTGGCTTCAAATTGGGTTCCCATGACCCCCTTTCTGGGCTCAATTAATTTGCTGGAAGGGCTCACAGAACTCAGGAAAACATATTTACTGGTGCAAAGGATACAGATAGAGAGATGCGTGGGGGGAGGTATGGGGGAAGGGGCATGCTACCCTCCAGGAACCTCCAGTGCTCAGCTATCTGGAAGCTCTTCCAACCCAGTCTTCTGGGGTTTTATGGAAGCTTCCTGACATCAGCATTCCTTCTCCCAGGGTACAGGGTAGGACCCTCTCTGGGGAGGATCTCAAGACCCACAGTCAGAAAGTCAGGGAAAGATTAGAGTCCTGTGTTAGGGCAGGGGAAGGAAGGCAGGAGAAAGTTGGAGACATCCTGTGTCCTGAGGCCTGCCACACCCAATATTATCACAAAAGGCTGTAACAAGGGCTACAAAAGAATGAGCCAGGAACTGTGGAGGAAATCCAATAATCATCCTAACACTACACTGCCTAAGCTCCAAGGGCTGGAGAAAAGCATCCAGGAGGGGTGCCAGGCTTGCAGAACGCCAGGCCCATTCTCTGGAACCCTCTACAGCTTGCACATCCCTGCAGCATCCATCTCCCCTGGGGGCCGGGATTGGCCCCACTGAATCAAGAAAACAAGGCCCTGCATGAATGAAGGTCACGAGGCTGGCAAGCAGCAGAGGCATCTGGAATCTTGTTCCTACAAACACAGGGCCCGGCTGTCTTGGATCTTTGAGCACCCAGGGAGGGCACTTCCTGTTGCCGGCTGCCATGGTTTCAGCTGTCCGGTGCCTGACCTTTCTAGAAGATGGTAATGATGAGAGTTGTGACTGCAAAGCCTCTAGCCAACAACTGAGAAGAGCTACACTCTGAGGTCTGGAAGGTCTGTGCGTCTTCTGCTCCATTTTACACATGAGACAATAGGGGCAGGGAGGGGCTGCATTTGAGGGCACTGCGGAACCATGGAGGGCTTCCGAAAGATCTCTCTAGTGAAAGCTGGAGGAAGAAAGTATAGGCAGAAGGAGCAAACAGCAGGCCAGACTAAGTTCCATGACAGCAGAAACCATGTTTTTGTTTTTTGCTGCTGTATCCGAAGTACCCAGCATGTCAAAGGCATTGAATTAAAACCTACTGAATGGCCGGGCATGGTGGCTCATGTCTGTAATCCCATCACTTTGGGAGGCCAAGGTGGGGGGATCACCTGAGGTCAGGAGTTCGAGATCGGCCTGGCCAACATGGCGAAACCCCATCTCTACTACAAATATAAAAATTAGCCAGGTGTGGTGGTGGGAGCCTGTAATCCCAACTACTTGGGAGGCTGAGGCAGGAGAATCACTTGAACCCAGAAGGCGGAGGTTGCAGTGAGCTGAGATTGCACCATTGCTCTCCAGCCTGGGCGACAGAGCGAGACTCCATCTCAAAAAATAAATAAATAAATAAATAAAACCTATTGAATGCATGTGTGAGTGAGTCTGTTACAGCTGCCCAGGAGAGGATGCAAAAGGCTGAGGGAATCCAAGCACTGTTAGCACTTGGCATTCCTTTCTCTGTGCATATGTAATTAGACATCCCACCTTCACACCAAAAATTAGAGCATTCCACCATGCTGGTTAAAAACTCCTTGTGTGGCTCAAATGCATATTATTCCATTCTGCGGCTGTACTGGATGTAGCTCATCTCCTAATCTTGACATTGCAGGTATTTCCAGCATATTGCTTAAAAGCAGTAGGCAGTGAGGATGATGGGGAGGCAGCAAGGGGACTGGGCTCTGGAGACGCTGTAAGCCTTCACAGCGCAGCCCCCCAACTTATTAGCTGTGTGACTGTTAAGTTACTTAACCAGTCTGTGCCTGGGTTTCATCATCCGTAAAAAAGGGAAATGACAGCAGCTGGCTGCCAGGGAGGCTGTGGGGTGAAATCTATGTGTGTGGGGTTGTTACAAAGGCGTAAGGGCCACAGCCAGCCCTGCGAGAGTGCTCACAAACACTCCCCCAGCCCCAGGACTCCTGAGCTCAGCTGATTCCTGAGAATGCAGTCCCTGATGTGGGATCACAGGTCAGCCCGCAGAACTTCAAGGAAAGTGCCTTCGAAAATCCCAGCAGAACCAAGAAGAACGAAGTTCTTTCGCCCTGTTCCCTGAGCCCAAGCACAAGGACTCAGAGGATCCAGAAGGCAAGTAAATTCACTGTACCATGGAGCACCAGGATTCCCACCGCCAACTCCCCTTGTGGCCAGCTCACCCGGCAGGCAGCAGGTAAGAGAAGGCACTCTCGCTGACACTGCAGCTCACAAAGCGGGCAAAGAACCAGAGCACGTCCAGGAAGCTGACGCTCCAGCCCCTGGGCTGCACCCCACTTATCTAGGGCTTGCATTTTATTTCAAAGTCATAACTTTGCATTATTTTTCCTTAAAGAAAACTCCCAAATTGTATAAGCTTCAGGACCCAAAGAACCAGAACTGCACCTAAACATACCACCGATTTATTAATTGATCTTTTTCTCCCATTAAATTATTATCATCGGCCAGTTATGGTGGCTCATACCTGAAATCCCAACGCTTTAGGAGGCTGAGGCTGGGGAATTGCTTGAGCCCAGTAGTTCCAGACCAGCCTGAGTGGCACAGCAAAACACCATCTCTATAAAAAATATAAAAATTAGCCAGGCATGGTGGCGCACGCTCGTATTCCAGCAACTCAGGAGGCTGAGGCAGGAGGATCGCTTGAGCCTGGAAGGTCAAGGCTGCAGTGAGTTGTGATGGCACAACTGCACTCCAGCCTGGGCACCAGAGTGAGACTCTGTCTCAAAATAAATAAGTAAATAAAACAAGGAAACAAATAAGTTATTAACATCTTGAGGACATAGCTCTCATCTTATTCTGTTTTACCTCCAGTGCTCAGCCAAGTGCCAGTGAGCTGGAAGGCACTCAGTAAGTATTTACTAAATGACTGAATGAACAAGAAGAAAGGAAAAACAGCCTGAATGAGAAGCTCCCCCGCTCTTCATTTCACTCACGCCACTTGGATCCATCCTCAAAATCACCCTCTACACATTAATCCGCTAATCCTTCTCTCCCCATCAGCCTTTCAGATACTCCAGAGTGCTCCCAAGTCTCCTCTCCCCTCCCACCCCAAACAACCCCTGTTTCTGCCACTGCTGCTCTTAAAGGTTATCAGCAACGGAAATTCCAACAGCTCCTCGCTGCTGCCCATCGGAATATTGAACGACTGCCAGGTTGTCCTCTTATCTAGTCAGAGTGCCCTGGCCTGCATTCGGTCTCTGGGCCAGCTGATAACACATTTTTGTTGTTGGAGGAAATGCTTTAGCTCCAACGGGGAGTGTCCACCCATGTGACACTGCCCAGAAGGAAAACAGGCCTGGTTCTCTGAGGGGAAATGACAGCAGCCACAGCCCCCTGAAGAAGACTGAATCAGTCCCTGTGTATCCTTTGATCAACAGCCCCTGCTCTCCTTCTCACCTCCCTATTTGCTCTTTCCTGTCCGTCATGTGACTTTGTTCTAGAAACATTTCCTGGAAGAGACACTCCTTGACCACCACACCCATGCTATGCCCTGCCCTGGGACCCCCTGCCCCTGCCCACACCATATATATATATACAGACATATATATATATAGACATATATATATATATAGACATATATATATATATAGACATATATATATAGAGACATATATATATATAGACATATATATAGAGAGACATATATATATAGACATATATATAGAGAGACATATATATAGAGACATATATATAGAGACATATATATAGAGACATATATATAGACATATATATAGACATATATATAGACATATATATATAGACATATATAGACATATATATAGACATATATATAGACATATATATGCAGACATATATATAGACATATATATATAGACATATATATGCAGACATATATATAGACATATATAGACATATATATAGACATATATATATAGACATATATATAGACATATATATATAAACATATATATATATATATATATATATAGAGAGAGAGAGAGAGAGAGAGAGAGAGAGAGACTGTGTGTCTCTCCCTCTTTCTCACCCCTAGCTAGGATCTTTGTCTGATTAGAGCAGTGCCTGGCACAGAAGAAGCTCAGAAATGTTTGTCAATGCCTGCCTGAAACCAACATTTATCTGGTGCACATTCTGCATGTTTGCTGGGAGCTGGAGACACAAATGTGTTTAAGTTAAGGCCTCCACACTGAAGCAGCTCTCCCAGGAAAGCACTCTGCAAGAGAACAAATGCTCCCTCTGCAGAGACGCCTGGTTCTGTAATCACACCCTCAACCTGATCAAGGTCTTCACAAGGACAGGACAGCAGTCCTGCATCCCCCACAGAAACTCTCACTCCCACATGCAACTCATACACCACCACGTGCGTCTACACACACCTCCTAACAGGACTCCATCTGAGAGATGCAGACCATATACACGGTCCACATGTTTTGGCTGGCCTACACTGTGACGGCCAGACACTGCTGTCAGCAGGGACAAATGCTTCCCCAGTCTTCTGCTCTAGTTTCTGTCCTGAGAGAGGTTTCTCCCTAGGCCTTTTGATCAAAAGCCGAGGGACAAACAGGTGCTTGCTATAAGCTTGCTGCTTTACCAGCTGTATAATCTGCACAAGTTAATTAGCTTTTCAGAGTCTTGGTTTGCTCATCTGTACTTGGGCCACCGAGTTGATGTCAGAAGTAACAGCAAGGGAAAGGGTCTGAAACTGGGCCTGAACACGGTTTAATAAATGCAGTTGGTGGCGGCGTTGATAGTGAGAGTAGAATGACTGTTCAGCATCATTCAGATAGACATGAATTTCCAGAATGTCCTAGCATAATTAGTATGAACCTATGGTGATTTTAATAGATAGATAGGTCAATTTGAAAATGATCTGAATGATGTGTGGATATACATGTGGATGTGATTATGTATGTATATAAATGTGGGTATCTGTGTGATACACCACACACACACACACACACCCACGCACACACAGACACACACATCCCAGTTATGTCTGCTCAGAGGGCCTAGAGGCAATGCTACCCCAGAAACAGTGAGCACACCTAGTGGCCAGATCTTGGTTTCTAAACACCATTTTCCATGGAAAGGAACCAGGGCTCCTATGTTGATTCCACCACTGAGGTGAGGAGAGTAGAAGATGAGGCTAGAATACCTTGCTATGACAACAAGGCAGCAAGTGCTCAAATGACGATGGAGAAATGTTAGAGACACAGGAGCCAGGCCCTAGTGGACAGATTTGGGGCAACGTAAATGTCAAAATAACTAATGATCACAAAAGACTGCAACCTATTGAATAAAGTTAAAATCTGTGAGTCCACACTGATATAAAGAAAGGAAGGGCTGGGCATGGTGGCTTACGCCTGTATTCCCAGAACTTTGGGAGGCCAAGGCAGGCAGATCACTTGAGGTCAAGAGCTGGAGACCAGCCTGGCCAACATGATGAAACCCCATCTCTACTAAAAGTACAAAAATTAGCTGGGCATGGTCGTACATGCCCATAATCCCAGATACTCAGGAGGCTGAGGCAGGAAAACTGCTTGAACCTGGGAGACAGAGGTTGCAGTGGGCAAAGATCAAGATTGCACCACTGCATTCCAGCCTGGGTGAAAGTAACTCCTCCATCTCAAAAAAAAAAAAAAAAAAAAAAGATGAACAGAGGAAGAAAATTTCTTCTTTATAGTAGGAAACCAACTAATAAATGAAAAAGAACCAGCAAAATTTAAAAAATCACCATTTGGCAACTATGATAATAATAAATCTATTCAGGCAAGAATCATCAAAAGATGCTAAAACTAATGACTGATAGACTGAGGACTAATCAGAAATCTACACAATCCCGGAAGTTCTCCCCATGAGATGCTTATTAATTGCAAAGGTGAAACAATAACTTTGCAGTGGAGACACCTGGAAGACACCACCTTAACTGAGAGCTCCAAGCTAACATCACCAGTAATGGGAGACAGCCACACCAGTGCCTCTTGATACAATGCACTGAAAAGGACACATCAGCTCTGGGCTAGTCCTGCCAACCTAATCAGGAGGAAACATCAGAAAAGCCAAAATTGAGTGCATTCTATCAAATAACTGGCCTGAACTTGTCAAAAAGGTTAACGTGCTGAAATACAAGATTAAGAAAGTTTTCCAAGAAAGACACATGCCAACTGGCTTTTCTTTTGCCTTGAAGGAATTTAGCAGGGGCAAGTGATGAAATCTGAATGAGAAATCAGAAGGTTAGATAATAGTCAAATTAATGTTAAGTTTCTGACTTAGAAAGTTGTGTTCTAAGATGCAAGTTTCTGATTTCAGGAAAAAATATAGAGAAAAAAGAAAAAATGAACATAATAAAATGCGAACATTTGAAAACCTGGACGAAGGAGGTCCAGGAATTTGTTGGCTGTTCTTATAACTTTTCTATAAATTTGCATTTATATAAAAATAAAATAATTGAAAAAAATTAAAAATGGAAACGAATGCTCTGGTTTCATGAGATTGAGAAAAAAATCAATATATTACTTAGTGCATTGTATGTGCCAATAATTTAAAGCTATAATAATTATTAGTAGTAATAATAATTATCAGTAGAACATGCACCTGGCACATAATAAGCTGGGAATGGACAAAAAATATTATCACTGTTAACATCATCATCATCATCATCATCATCATCATTCTGGATATGCTTGATTGTAAGAAAGAACTAAAAATTTAATACTACTATTTGTGTTACTTATAATTACTTCATATCTGCGTTAAACTCCATTGTTTGAAGGTTTGTTATAGAAATGCCTGCTTAAAATGCATACAGCACTCCTCTGTAATGGTGAGGTGCTTGAAGACCAACCAAAAGAAAGAGGCAGGAGGCCATTTTCAAATCTAGATGTGCAGAATACATATCAATTGGATCTTTTCTCATCAGTGGAGTCTCTGCTTTGTTCTTGCTTGTGCTTGGGTAACCCAACGATAAGAAAGCCCAACTTCTAAATGCCAAACCTGGGGCCTTTGCCCAGACCTGTAGGCCATCTAGAGTCTCTTCTCTGTTCCTTCTTGGGTCCCTTCCATACAAACTGTGCATCTCAATGATCAGCCCTTGTTATTCCCACTTGCACTGGCTTATGCACCAAGCAGAACCTCCTGCCATGCCCCCAGTCTTGTCCCATAAGATGGTGAGCTAGCTCCAGGTCCAAGGCTCTTCCCAACCTGTCTATCGTATAGAACTGGCTGTGTTCAGCACAATTCTGAGATGTGGTATGTTCCCAAGCATCATTACTTTGTTCAACATGTTCTTTCAAAGTAAACCTATGACCATAACCAGGAATCACATGGTCTTTTGTCTCCATTCTTCCTCATTCTTCTAAGACTCACACATGCCACATCTTCAGCTCATTTTCTTCCTCTCCTTGTTTCTTATCGCTCTTGCCCATATATCTACCCCTTGGGAACACAGAAGCGATTGCTTCTTCCCCTTTAGAGGAGGCCTCACACGGCCCCTGACCTACCTGTGACACCAGAAGGGCTCAAGCTCACATCCATATCTACTTGCATAAATAAAACTAATAAACCCCATGGCCCAAGTGGATTTGTTTTACATGGAGTCACATACAGAGACCACAAGATGGCTCCCAAAGAAATTTTAAAAGTTACTCCATTCTTATACTAGAGGGAGAGAGTGAGACAGTGTGCACGACAGAGAGAGAGTCCTTGCCAATAATCATATAAAAAACAGCTATACACACTCACAGACATCAGCCTTCCTTCTTCTTCTGCAGTGATGGCAATCATGCCCAAGCTGGGTTAGAGACCAGCAGAGTGAAGTGACATATCCAGGGTGATCTCAATTTTTCCCAAGCTAACTCTGCGCTGATAAAAATGTCCTCTCTCTGCACTATCCATGGGTACCCATAAGCAACATGTGGCTACTAAGCACATGAACTGTGATGTGACTGAGGCCTGAATTTTTCGTATTATTTCATTTTAATTAAAATTTCATTATCCCCATAAGAAGTGGTTCTGTGTGGACAGCTCAGCTGTAGACCAGAGGTTGCAACACCTTTTCTGTTAAGGACCAGGGAACAAATATGTCAGGCTTTGCAGCCACACGGTCTCTATGGTAATGACTCAACTGGGCTGCTGCAGTGTGAAAACAGCCATACATGACACCTGAACAAATGAGCATGGTGGGGCGCCAGCAAAGCTTTATTTACAAAGGCAGACTGGGCCAGGCTTGTCCTGTAGGCCACAGTTTGCTGATGCTTGCTCTAGGACACACCAGAGTGTCATGCCAGGCCTTCGTCAGGATGACAGGCCCTTGTCATCAAAAGATGTTCTGAATCCAGGTTTTTACTTACCAGTGTTCATGAGAGCTCAGAAAGCTCTCCATTTAAGAAAAAGAAAAGCTGCTAGACACTAACAGTCTGCATATTTCTCCTGAGGGACACTGTATTCCCCTTCCATGGGAACTCCTCTTAATGGCACGTTTCTGGGCAAGCAGGACATGTTTCAGAGACCAAGAAATAGGAGAATATCTTCCACATCCTCCATGGAACATAATCAATGGAAAACAAAACAAAACAGAAAAGACAGCACATCTCACTTGTGCTGCGGACAGATTAGTCACTTTACCTCCATAGGCTGAGTGACCGTCCATCTCTGGTCCCCAAATGGAATTGTCCTGACCCAAGCTCAATGCATTTGCTCACTGCAGCTCTTGGGGGTGTTAATTTCCTCTCATTGACATTTCCAGTTTAGGAAGATGAAATCTGAAAATGGTACCAACTGAAAGAGAAGAGGAGAAAAGTTTAAGTCAGTTTTGACAATTAGTCCATCCTCTGCCTTTTTAGGATGACTCAAGATAATGAAAAGATATTCACCCACTTATTCCACTCACTCACCCAATTATTTATACAGCACTATCTGTTAAACAAACACCTATTCTGTTCCCGGCACAGAGCCACACACCAGAACAGGAAGGTGAGTAACTCACAACTCCTCTCCGCAGGGAGTTCAGACTGGGAGAAAACAGAAAAATACACAAACAATTCAGGACAATGTAATACAGGCGGCTTGGGCGCCTGTAATCCCAGCACTTTGGGAGACCAAGGCAGGCAGATCGCTTGAGGTCAGGAGTTCATCACCAGCCTGACCAACGTGGTGAAACCCCATCTGTACTAAAAATACAGAAATTAGCTGGGCATGGTGGCGCACACCTGTAGTCTCAGCTACTTGGGAGGCTGAGGCAGGAGAATTGCTTGAACCTGGGAGGTGAAGGTTACAGTGAGCCCAGATCGTGCCACTGCACTCCAGCCAGGGACAGAGAGAGACTCCGTCAAAAAAAAAAAAAAAAAAAGGACAAATGACCAACTCCATCTAGAAGAAGAATTTGAACAGGAGATGATATTTTTAGCTGCTCCCTAAACAAAGCACTAATGAGGTGCTGTTTAGTAAAAACACAAAACATGGGGAAAGGAAAAATAAATATGTAAGATATGAATGTGAAAGTGTGACATCGGGGTTAGGATAAATCAGGCTGAGGCCAGATAGGAAAGGGTTTCTGAAGACTTCATCTGGCAGGGTGCGGTGGCTCATGCCTGTAATCCCAGCACTTTGGGAGGCCAAGGTGGGCGGATCACTTGAGGTCAGGAGTTCAAAACCAGCCTGGCCAACATGGTGAAATCTCATCTCTACTAAAAACACAAAAGTTAGCCAGGTGTGGTGGCACATGGCGCATGCCTATAGTCCCAGAGACTCAGGAGTCTGAGGCAGGAGAATTGCTTGAACCTGAGAGACGAGGTTGCAGTGAGCTGAGATCACACCACTGCCCTCCAGCCTGGGCGACAGCGAGACTCCATCTCAGGAAAAAAAAAAAAAAAGACTTCATCTGACAGGAAGAATAGCACAGAAACCCTCAACTCTTAACCACTGCTGTCGAAATGGCCCCAATTTGTTCAGGCCACCTGCACGCACACTCTGCAGTGTGGCTTTGCCTCCCCTCCCAGCATGAGGGAGAATCGAAGTTTGGCCACGAGACTTGCTTTAGCCAATGGCACCATAGCAAAGGTGACATAAATAAAGGCTTTAAAAGTGCTTATACCTAAAAGTTCCTCTCTCTTGCTGCTGAGAATCATTCTTTTTTTTTTTGAGATGGGTCTCACTCAGTTTTCCAGGCTGGAGGGGCCGTGGCATGACTACCACTCACTGCAGCCTTGACCTCCAGGGTCAAGCGATCCTCCCTCTAAGCCTCCTGAGTAGCTGGAACTACAGGTTCGTGCTATCACACCAGGCTAATTATTTTTATTTTTTGTAGGGTCTTGCTATGTTGCCATGGCTGGTCTTGAGCTCCTGGGCATGAGCCACCATGCCCAGCTGCTGCTGGAAATCATTCTGCTGCCACATTAGCAAGCCTGAGGTAGCCCCCTGGAGGATAATAGACAATGTGTGGAGAGAGGCTGAGGCACCCCAGCTCAGCCCCCAGATGTGTGGATGGGCCAGCACAGGCAATCAGCCTAACACAAACTGTGCAGACCAGATCATCAACCCACAGAAATCATAAATGTCTGTTTGTAGGCACTGGGGTTTGGGGCTGTTTGTTATACAGAGAAAGCTGACTGATACAACCACTGAGGTTTCTTTATACCGCTGGCAATGGTGATACATGAGGATAAACTTGTGTGTTAGGAAGAAAGTTCAGCCCCTGTTGAGTTGGTGATTATGAAGAGATAATGAGGGCCAGAAGGCAGGGCCCTGGGCAAAAGCAGGAGTGGGAGATTCAAGAGCTCTTTTAGAGGGAGAGACAACAGCATTTAGTGACTGTCTAAGCCCAGAGTTGTCTAAAGGCATTTGCCTGGTTCTGGAAACCATGTGTGGTGTTGACTATAAACAGATTCTATTTGGCACCTGCTGATGGGGGCAGGATGTTTACTTAGAAGATACATGAACATGACCAGAGTCAGCACAGTTAGGAGTCAGGGTCCAGGAAAGCTATAGGAACGAAACTCTTTCTTTTCAGAAATGAGAATTAAGGCACGATGCTCACTGCCACAGCCTCCTAGCCAGTCTTAAAATAGCCATCGCCTCTAATGCCAACTCCCTCTCTTGGCAGCAGCCAGGGGGATCCTTGTAAATTGTAACTCAGGCCTCCCTCCCTTGCATCACTGGCTCACACCTTCCCCATTCCCTCTGTACTTTCTACTCACCCTTCACATTTCAGTGTAAACACCACTTCACAGAGACATCTTCGCTGACTCTGGGGACAAGGCTGGGCACTGCCCCTCGA
Source organism: Homo sapiens (assembly GCF_000001405.40). Classification (NCBI taxonomy): domain Eukaryota; kingdom Metazoa; phylum Chordata; class Mammalia; order Primates; family Hominidae; genus Homo; species Homo sapiens. The sequence goes on from NC_000008.11 coordinate 133,548,424, forward strand.
TATTTTCAGTGTTCCCTGCATTCCTACAAAGCATTACCGCCAACACGTTAACTCCATAAGGGCAAGGGCATGTCTGCCCTACATACCACTGTGCCCTCACCACCCAGCACACCACTTGGCATGTGGGAGAAGGCCTATTCCTATTTCTTGAATGAGAGGGTGACCAAAACAATACAGGTACCACACTTCTAAGATGTTTTCTTGGACACACCACCTTCCAAACTCGAAGCTGGATTAGGGCCTTACCTGGGAGCACCCTGGGAGCACACATTCATGTGTTTCTTCATTCATTCTCTCATTTAGCAAGAATTTACTAAGCACCGGGCATCACCTCAATCCCACTGTTGGTTGCTCTCACTAGACTGAGACTTCAGAGGTGAGGAAGGGAGCTATATTTTACTTGTCACTAGATTTCCCCACTCTTACCCCACTGGCTATCATATGGGTGTAGGAGGCACTAAATAATGACCAGTGAATCCATGAATAAATGGGTGAACAGCCAGATCAATCTCAGAGAATCCATCAGGATGTGGCTGATTTATAACTCCGCAGAAGCTCATTACTGAGTTTGGGCCTTATGTATGTTACATCTTACTAAATAGTTGAGAATCCTTGTAATATAAAAACCTGCATGTATATATGCCTATATCAGGATATATACTGCAACTGTTCTATGCCATAAGATATAAGGCAGTAGCGGGGCGTGGTGGCTCACGCCTGTAATCCCAGCACTTTGGGAGGCCGAGGTGGGTGGATCACCTGAGGTTGGGAGATTGAGACCAGCCTGACCAACATGGAGAAACCCTGTCTCTACTAAAAATGCAAAAAATTAGCCAGGCGTGGTGGCACACGCCTGTAATCCCAGCTACTCGGGAGGCTGAGGCAGGAGAATCACTAGAACCCAGGAGGTGGAGGTTGTGGTGAGCCAGGATTGCACCATTGCACTCCAGCCTGGGCAATAAGAGTGAAACTCTGTCTCCAAAAAAAAAAAAAGATATAAGGCGGTAATCTATGAATCAGATTAAACATGGAGCCCTGCTCTGAATGAAGCCTCTGACTCCACAGCCTGGCACCTGTGGCCGACTGTGATCTTCAATTAAAGCCTAAGACTCTTCATGAAGCAACGCATAACATCTTGAACCAATTCTTTCATTGGTCTTAAGTTGGCTTTGAAAAAAATAAGTTGGCAATGGCATTGGATTCCAAATTCCAACTGACAAGTTTGCAACCTGGAGGCTTATCTTAAAAACTAGAACTCGCCAGGCGTGGTGGCTCACGCCTGTAATCCTAACACTTTGGGAGGCCGAGGTGGGCAAATCACCTGAGGTCGGAGGTTCGAGACCAACCTGACCAACGTGGAGAAACCCTGTCTCTACTAAAAATACAAAATTAGCCAGGCATGGTGGTGCATGCCTGTAATCCCAGCTACTCAGGAGGCTGAGGCAGGAGAATCGCTTGAACCTGGGAGGCAGAGGTTGTGGTGAGCCAAGATCGTACCATTGCGCTCCAGCTTGGGGAACAAGAGTGAAACTCTGTCTCAAAAAACAAAACAAACAAACAAACAAACAAAACTAGAACTGCACCCCATGTGGGGCTCACCTTTTGCAGCCTCAGTTTCTCAGCTTCTCTAATACAGCACTGGGGTGTTAAATGCAGAGAAAAGGCAATTATTCCACTGTCTTTCTGCCCCAGATCCCAGGAACAGCCTGATGAGCTCCTTAGACTTTCCTTGCCTTTTGGTTTTAACAGGAGCCCTGGAAATCTTTTCTAAAAGCCATGTCCCAGTTCTCTTCTCACTCGTGCTCTGCTGTCATGCCTCTTTCTATATTGAGTCCCTATTTCCCCACCCTTCCAAGATTGCTTCCAATTAAGAGCAACAACTAAACTCTTACCGCTGAAACATCTGTGAAGCATGTTCATACACACGAGCCATACAAGAAAGACAAATCAGAAAGTGTCCCCATTTTTGGAGAGGTTCAGAAAAGCTCATGTGACTCTCCAAGACCACAAATGAGGAAACCAAGGCCCAGAGAAGTGGCTCCTCCATGACACAGCTGGAGAGCTGTGCAGCTGGACAGTGGGCAGAGGGCCTTAGACCCGGGGTTCAGTGTTCTTCCTAATACCAGGCGAATTACTATCATCCTGTTCCAGCCCATTCATCCCTTTCATTTCCATCCATCCAACTGGTAGCCACTAGCACCAATCTAGGAGCCAAGCAGGGAACTGCTGGGCTTAAACCAAGAGACTCGGAAGCAAGAAAAATGTCTACCTTCTCCAGCTAGAGCACAGATTAGGACAAATTCCACTCAAACAAATCATGGTTATGTTCTCATTCCTCCTGTTCTGAACCCATAAATCATTATTTCTTGGCCCATATTCACGCTTCCACCATCCACAGCCCCCTCATGCCACCTGAGGCTCCTTTCTACTGTACAATATAATACAATAACTCTCATAAGAGAGTGTATTCTCCAATTTTGTGTCTTCTTGAAGTATAGCAGCAAACTAGAAGTAAAGCTGGATACCACTCCTGGAGGAGCAGGGCAAGTTTGCTTAATAAATCATAGCTTTTCCTCTCCATGCAAACAATCATCTGGATAACTGTTACCACTGGGTCTGGCTGAATACTATTGCTGCATTTTTAAATTATAGGGATCTTTTCTGAGGCCTGTGGGCATGACATGTTCCATCCAAAAAGTGTGGCCTGCTTCTAGGTGTGCCCCTAGGGGACACTGGTCAAGTCAAGCTGTGTGATATTAGAAAAACAGCCTTTTGGTGACTCACATCTGTAATCCCAACACTTTGGGAGACCGAGGCAGGTGGATCACGAGGTCAAGAGATCAAGATTATCCTGGCCAACATGGTGAAGCCCCGTCTCTACTAAAAATACAAAAATTAGCTAGGTGTGATGGTGTGCACCTGTAGTCCCAGCTACTGAGGAGGCTGAGGCAGGAGAATCACTTGAACCCAGGAGGCAGAGGTTGCAGTGAGCTGAGATCACACCACTGCACTCCAGCCTGGCAACAGAGTGAGGAAAAGAAAGAGAGAGAGAGAGAAAGAAAGAAAGAGAAAGAAAGAGACAGAAAGACAGAAAGAAAGAAAGAGAAAGAAAGAGAAGGAAAGAAAGAAAGAAAGAAAGAAAGAAAGAAAGAAAGAAAGAAAGAAAGAAAGAAAGAAAGAAAGAAAGAAAGAAAGAGCGAGCAAGCCTTTCTCTGAGTTTTACTTTACTCATTGGTAAAATGGAACTGTCTCTGCTTCAACTACTTTGCAGGGCTCTGATAAGAAGTAAGTGAATACAAAACAACATGAAATCACTTTGATACTGGTAGTAGCAATAACAGATAACACTTAAACTAGCATAACAGATAACATTTTTTAAGTACTTACAGGTACTTGCTAAACTAAGCCCTTTATACTCAAAAGCTCAGTTAATCTTCACAATGGTCCTTGGATGTGTATACTATGATTTTCATCATTTTGAAGGTGAGTAAATGGAGGCTTGAGGAGATTAAGTAATTTGCTCAAGGTCATATGACTGATAAAGGCTGGAGCCTGAATGATTAACTAATTCCTAACTCTACTCTATTGTAAAGTCTGGGACTAACACAGTTTACTTGCCATCAGTATTTACTGAGCCTTGCACTGGGCTGGGCCAAGCACTGTGTTCTGCCCTGCTGGGGACAACAGTACACTTTTGAGCTCTGCCCTAGAAAAGCCCACTGCAGGGGGAGAGAGAACACAGGTCCATCAGCAAGGAACCACACCACTCTGTGTCCAGGGCAGGCTCATGAATGTGCAAGTAGGTGGTTTCTTAATCTAGATTCCCATCCGGGACATGACACTGACGGAGAAGGAGATCAAGACTGAGACAGTCTAGCCAGATCAGTTCGCAAATGGGACAAGTTGCCCCGGAAGTAGGAAAGTGCAAGAGCAGACACAGAAGCTGAGTGAGGAATGGTGAGAGGACCTAGAAACATCTGGTGTGAGTGCTGGAAGGCCCTCAGCAGAGCCGTTGGCTGGGCTGCATGTCGAGAACCAGGTTTATGGGCAGAAATTCTGGGTGTGTGAACCAGGAATGACATGGTTCATGCCAGCGTTTGAGCAAACTGAGCAGGGAAGCTCAGAGAGTGGGTCCCCTTTGGGTGCGGTGGCATCTCCCTCTGTGGAGACCCAGGGACTCCAGAGGCCAACTTGGCTGATCTGAAAGTAAAAGTGAGAAGAACTTTGGGCAGGAAGCACATGCACCTGTTAGACTAGGAAAGCTGTTCTCACTTATAACCTCTCTCTCTGAAATGGGCTCAACACATGGGATCTCTCATAATGAAGTGCCTTTCTGAATTTGAAGGCTAACCACTGAGGTCTGGCTGCTTCGCTGGAAGAGCTATTATCATCAACAATAGCAACCATAGGTTAAGTACAGACAATGAGGCCAACAGCACGCAAAGCATCTCATGTGCATGATTTCATTCCAGCTTCACAGCAGTCCTCTGGGGCTGGTAGTTTTACTCCCATTTCACAGATGTGGAAATTAAGATTCTGAAAGAGTATAATTTGCCCAGGGCCACACAGCTAGAAATTGGCAGAGATGAGACTCAAAGTCAGGTCTGTCTTCAACACAATATCCCTTTGTGCTCAAAGGGATACTGAGTTCAAATGTAGAGACGGCGCCAGGGCTGACATGACCTTGAGGCACACACTATCCAACCCCCTGTGCACCCCACTGTTTGCATAAAAAGCCCTCCCTGCTCCACTCTGCTTTGCTGTTAACAGCTCTTAGTACCACATGGGCCATGAGCAGATTCATTGTGGCCAGAACGTAAGCAGAACTGAGACAATCAACTTCCAGCTCTCTCCACCTTCAACCCCAGGATGAGTTCCTGTACCCCAGCATCCAAACCCCTAGATCCCAGCTCCTGTTTCACCAGCCTTGCCCGTGTGCCTCTGGAAGCCTCAGTTTCCTCATCTGTAATGTGGAAATGCTGATGATGATGGTCATGAAGAAGACAGATGAGGAAAAGCCTCACTTTACCTGCTGTTCAAAAGGGACAAACACAATAATGACTTGGCCAATGGCTATGCCATCAACTGACCAGGGTCTTGGACAAGTTATCTCATCACTCAGTACCTGTGTCTCCTCTTTTGGTGATGGGGATAATAAAAGTCCCTGACCTCATAGGGTTATGAGAATGAATTAGAAAATGTACACAGGAGCTCAGAACACTGCCTGGTATGCTTGTTGAGAAGTGGTAGCGAGTATCTTTCTGTTATCATCATTTGAGGGCACTTAGTAAAGCATAGAGCACCAGAAAACATCAGCTGTGATTAGGATCATGCAGTGAAAAGGTCCACAGGCAACCTGTGCCACCTTTGGGAATCTATCTTAGGACTAAATTAGAGATGGCCAACAGCCTGGATACCAGGTTCCTAGAACAAAGTTTGCAACATAGGTTGCGGCAATCTAAGAGGCCTCACAGTGAGGGTCCAGAAGGATCCAGTGAGCAGGGTGCTAAGGGGGCCAGGAGGAAGAGACACAAGGGAGAAGAGTACAGGGAGGTGTCCGGGGCCTTATTGCTTCTGCAGACTCCATGCACTGAGCCCCTGGAACTGGGACCCTTCGACAAGATCCACCCAATCAGGGCTGTATAGCGGTTTCTGATTCTCATCAAAGGTGGAGGATTTCTGTCTTTAGGGAATAGGACCGCTCCTCATTGTTGAGCTCCTACTAGGTACCAGGCACTTTTCCAAAAGTTAATTTCACAACCATGAGCATGAGTCAAATTCTAGACCCATTTTTCAGAGTCTGCAATCACCTGCCCAAAGTCACCAGGCTACTCTGGAAGACACCTGAATGCACATGACCATCTGCTGCTCTCCGGCTGCCCCAACCCTATGCTCCCTTGCAGCGAATGACATGAATGAGCCACGTTTACACTGCAGCGGTGGGGGTGGATCCATTCCACTGACCCTCTGACAATGGTGTTCCAAAATCCTACACTCGACAGTGGGATGTAGGGGTGTAGGCAGATGAAGGGCTGAAGGCTGGAGAGTGAGAACTATGAATCAAAGGAGATGGGCCCTTTCTGAAAGGACTAAGGATGTCAAGAAGGCTAGGATTGCGCTGACTGCCCATGACCAGGTCAGCATGAGTGAGAGAGGGTACCTTCTCCTGGGCCACCACCTCCTCCTCTTCACATCTGCTACTGCCTGTCTGATTCAGATTGGAGAAACTTTAACTGAACACCTGCTTTCCTCCTAAGTGCTGGTCCAGCCATCTACTTGGGGTTTTTTTATTTCTTTATTTCTTTTCTTTTTTTTTTTTTTTGAGTCGGAGTCTTGCTCTGTCGCCAGGGTGGAGTGCAGTGGCGCGATCTCGGCTCACTGCAACCTCCGCCTCCTGGATTCAAGCGATTCTCGTGCCTCAGCCTCCTGAGCACCTGGAATTACAGGCACACATCACCACACTCAGCTAATATTTTTGTATTTTTAGTAGAGGTGGGGTTTCACCATGTTGGCCAGGATGGTCTCGAGCTCCTGACCTCGTGATCTGCCAGCCACGGCCTCCCAAAGTGCTGGAATTACAGGTGTGAGCCACCGCGCCCAGCCTACTTGGGTTTTTCTACTTCACTCTGAGGGCTGGGGAGACAAGGGAATGGGAAGGGATTTCCCGGCTGGTGTCTGTGCGGCCTGGGGAGGAAGCAGGCCACCCCCGCGGGGGACTGCTCAGCCTTTCCAGAATTGAACTGAGCTTCACTCCTCTGCCTTTGCTTTTTCTTCACCCGTCTCAGCCTGGCCGGGCTTTAGTTCATCTTCCTCATCTCAGATCCAATGGGTCTGTAATGGGAGGAACAGCACGCTTCCCTGGTGTGGATTTCTGTTGCTCCCCCTGCCGTTGTCATCCCTGGCTCCCCAGTCCTCTCAGCCACCAGGCTCGTAATCTCCAAGTCACTTTCCATGTGTCGTTTCTCAGCACCGTAGTGCAATCTGTTCTCAAACCCCAGAGATAAAGTCACCAATTCTCACATTGGAGCAAACACTCCAAATGTGGCTCACAGTGACTCCCACCCGCACCATTGATGGGACATTCGTCCTGCCCTCCCATCCACTGTGAACCTGGGCCACATGGTTTTCCTAAAAAAAAAGAAAGGAGGGGGAGTCTGATGAAATCCCATTCTGCAGGAAGGAAAAGAAACCTTGCTTGCACCTCATTACCGAAAGGATCAAGCCATTTAGGACCCACCTGATTGGGACCTCCCTGTTTCCTTTTTTTCCACCTCTTCCCTCCAATCACAGGAGTCGGCGGGTGCCTGGCTTGGGCAGTGGATTCCTCCATGGGGTGCCCTCTCCACCCCTCACTGCTGCTGTTGGAACGGCTCACCATCTTTCCAGTCCCAGCTTGAAGGCCATCTCTTCTCTGGGGCTGTTCCCAACCTACCCATTTTTTTTGTTGTTGTTGTTGTTTGTTTGTTTTGTTTTGCTTTGTTTTGTTTTGAGACAGAATTTCACTTTGGTGCCCAGGCTGGAGTGGAGTGGCACGGTCTCGGCTCACTGCAACCTCCGCCTCCCAAGTTCAAGCAATTCTCGTGCCTCAGCCTCCCGCGTAGCTGGGATTACAGGCACCTGCCACCACGCCTGGCTGATTTTTTTTGTATTTTAGTAGAGACGGGGTTTCATCATGTTGCCCAGGCTGATCTCGAACTCCTGAGCTCAGGCAATCCACCCATCTCGGCCTCCCAAAGTGCTAGGATTGCAGGCATGAGCCACCATGCCCAGCTTGTTTTTTCTTTTTGAATCTCCACTCTCACCCAGGAAGATGAGTTGGTGTCACCCCCAGAGCACAAGGGGTAACACTAAGCTCGGACGTGGAAGTCACTTGCCCCAGATCTCACCACTGATCAACAGCAGGCCTGGTGACTCCAGAGCCTGTCTTCTCCCCCTGGCCTTGGCCTCCTGGACAGGAGACAACCCCTTGGCCTTGCTCTTGGATGGACTGAATTTGCTTTCAGAGGAGTGAGATGCTGGCAGGCTGTACAGCTGTCCTCTGGGCCCAGCATATATTGTTCTGTCCGCTCAGAGTCACGTTCCTTTCTCAGATCTGGGAGGAATTGTGAAACATGGACCTGTTTGTCTTCTAAGCAACCTCAGCTAATGAAGGCTGCATAACTATGTACTTTCGAACAAGATTTTTAGGATGAAGAAACGAAAGAAGAAAGGGAGGGAGAAAAAGAAGGAACGAAAATGGGAAGGAAGAGAAGGGAGAAAGAAAACTATTAGCCATGGAAACCTTGCACCCAAGGACACGGCTGACATCATATAAAGTCTGTCCCTGGCAAATGTGACCCAGAATGCCACCACTAACAGTCCTATTTATAGCCCTTTGAAATATGGTGTGGTGGAGGGGGGACATTTTGTTCTTTTGGCCTCTTAGATGATAAAACTAAGTGGAGGGAAGTGGGAGGGAGGTTGGCAGCGGTGCTATTAATGCAGGCAGGGAGACCAGATATACTGGGTCTCGAGCCTTTTATGATGTGCATGCATGTGTTAGAAGGAAACATTGTGACATGGTGGAAAGGGGTATGTGACAACCCCCCAACCTGACCCTCCCAACCTGGGAGACCTTCAGGCAATGGCCAACCTCAGCGAGCCAGCCTTCTCAGCTGTAAAACACTGATAGCACTAGCAAGCTCAAAGCCTGATTAGACAGTGAATGGGCCTAGAATGACCAGTATGTGGTATTTCCTGGGCAGAACCTCAGGAAGAAAAAGAGGGGAGGCAGATGCCAGAATTCACAAAAGACAATACAAGCTTGCTCACCGGGAGGTCTAAAGGAAGTGAGGAGACTGTGCAGTGTAAACACAGTGGAAGTCATCCAGTCAACCAACGCGTGGCACAATGGGGTCCTCATAGGATATGTGGTACCCATGGTCCAGGCTGCTCTTCCTGCCTGCTCTAGTGCAGGAGGGCACAGAAGGCATGTTCTCTAGGGCACCCTGAGCAGCCCAAGATGAGAGGATAACTGAGTGGTAATGCAGGCCTTGGCAGTATCACCCCACGGGCTGGCCTCCTATCCAGGTTCTGCCTGATGATGGGTTGAGCTGTCGCACCAGCCAGGCCCTGTCTGTGCTGTCCTCTCGGCTGTAAAATAAAGAGGCCGTGGTCTGACTCACACCTGTAATCCCAGCACTTTGGGAGGCCAAGGCAGGCAGATCATGAGGTCAAGAGTTTGAGACTAGCCTGACCAACATGGTGAAACCCTGTCTCTACTAAAAATACAAAAATTAGCCAGGCGTGGTGGCGCGTGCCTGTAATCCCAGCTACTTAGGAGGCTGAGGCGGAAGAATTGCTTGAATCCAGAAGGTGGAGGTTGCAGTGAGCTCAGGAGGCTGAGGCAGGAGAATTGCTTGAATCTGGGAGGCGGAGGTTGCAGTGAGCTGAGATCATGCCACTGCACTCCAGCCTGGGCAACAGAGTGAGACTCCGTCTCAAAAAAAAAAAAAAAAAAAAGAGGCCAGTGTCTTGAGGTCCCCCTCATGGCTAAAATCTTAGGTATGTCTCTTGTGCCTCTGATGTCCAGTGATGATACCCTAGCTTCACAGCCCAGACAACTTTCCCATCCTTAAATTCAGATAGCTCCTAAGAGCACCATTCTGCCATCTGCTCCAGGAAGCGCTCTCTGGTTGGAAGCTTTGAATGAGAAAGAGCCTTCTAAACCGCAAAGCTGCCCAGAGGTCAAAACACCACTGTGTGGGGCACAGAGCTCCCTACCACAGGTAGTGAAAAATGCAGCTCAAGGAGGCGGAACAAGAATGTAATTGATGATGATGTGTTGCCACAGCATATCTTTAACAAGGACTCTTCTGAGCACGGTCCAAGTGTTAACTCATTGAATGCTTATTTATTACCTCCTGGGAGGTAGGTACCATTGTTATCCAGATTTTATGGATGAGGAAAGGGAAGTACAGAGAGGTTCAGCAACTTGCTGAAGGACACGCAGTTAGGCAGTGGCAGAGCTAATACTTTTATGAGTAAATCAAGGAATCAATGAAAGACTCAGTAGATAGAAGAAGGTTGAACAAGGTTACTGCAAAGGCTCTTTGCAAATGCTAAGATTTTATAATTCTTTGACACTATTTAAGTGTGCAACCTCTGTAACTAATTATTCAACCAACATACCATGCCCCCGTCCTCCCGCAAGTAATGGTGACTAAAGTTTATGACACCATGGCTCAGAGAAAAAGAGAAAACCTCCTTTACTCCATCCGGGGCAGGTTCCTGACAATGCAGAAGTATTCTGATATTCAAAACTGTCTCCACAGCCAGTATATTTTTTTCTCCTTGTTTGGATTTCTGACATTGCATAAATGTCAGTTTAATGTATAAAATCCTATGCCGCAGGTCTTCCAATAATGCTGTTTCATTCAACAGCATTTCATTATAACATTGATGAGAAGAATACGGATTCCCGGCCGGGACCACTGTGTGTGTGGAGTTTGCAAGTTTTCCTCATGTCCTCGTGGGTCTTCTCCAGGCACTCCAGTTTCCCACACCCCAAAAAGCTGTGCATATCAGGTGAACTGCTGTGTTTATGTGGTCCCAGGGCGATAGAGTGTGGTTTTGTGTGTGTGTGTGTGTGTGTGTGTGCATGTGTGCACGTCCTAAGCCACTGGGACAGGCTGTGGCCACCTGCGATGCTGTTTGGGGCCTTCATTTAGAAGTTTGGTGATATTTTTATGAACAGAAATACATCAGAGATACTTAACTCTTGTTTATATCAGTTACCCTATGGTGAAATCAGTTTTTTATGTCGTTTCCCTTAAACTCACAATTTCCAAGGACCTATCGATGTCATTAAATGAGGACTTACTGTGGTCCAAGGATCATGTTTGCTGAGCTCAGTTTGTTCCAGGTCGCAGGGAGAAACAGAAAATAGCAGCAGACCTTAGGTTGGAACCAGTTCTTCAACCCATTCTGAAAGGTGTGTTTTCCATTTGAAGCTTCTATCAGGTGGTGAAAGAAAGAACGATGGTACTGTCTGCCTAATCTCTCCCTTTCATTTTAATTTCCTTTTTTTGCCAAAAGACTGAATTTTAAAACATAAGATTATGTTTTAGAAACAACCAGTAATACACCTCACAAAGACATTCCTATTCGTGGCAGCTAACATGTTTCCTGAGCAACGGTCTTTATTCATCAAACTCTCCACCAGGTGGTAGGATTAACAGTGTTTTCAAGTAAGAAGAAGAACAACAAACCTTTCTCTCCATTGTGAAGATGTTATTAAAAGGGAATTTTCCAAGGTTGCAACAGCGACGCTGACGATTCCTTTTACGTGAAGCAGGTTGCCTCCAAGAGGCTCCCATCTAGCTAGGGAGCTGGCTAAGTTTACACGCCTGATTGCAAACTTTGCACTCAGCCTTCCTGCTCAGTCCTTTCTCCAAACCCCCCGGCAGGCTCAAAGTGGCTCACCGCCTCCCTCAATCCCCAGGCACCTTGGGGCTCTTCGAATTCAATTTATAACAACAAGCCACAAAGATGAGTTCTTGCAAGCAGCCATGCAGGGACGGATGTGGAGCAGTTAAAGGAAACAAAATTACAGATAGGAGGAATAGGTTCTAGTGTTCTGTGGCACTGCAGGGTGGCTATAGTAAACAAGGATTTATAATATATTTTCATATTTTCAAATAGCTAGAAGAGAGGATTTTGAATGTTCCCAACACAAATGATGAATGTTTGAGGTGACAGATATGCAAATTACCCTGATTTGATCACTCTACATTGCATGTATGAAAACTCACTACGTACCCCATAAATATGTACAATTACTATGTGTCAGTTTTACTAAAAAAAAAAACACACTGAAATACCATCACTTCCATCAGCATGACAACTTATAACAGAAAAAGTATTTGCATTTCGTGTGTATTATCTATTGCTGTGTAATAAATTATGATGAATTTAGCAGCTTAGAAGAAAATAAAGCCAGAATGTAACAGGCTAAATAAACCCACGGACTCACCCAGTGATGGTGAATCGGGGAGAAGACTCAGAGCCCCAGGCTTTGGGAGAATGAAGCTGCTGGTGTGAGACCTGGAAAGCACCAGGTGGAGAAAAGTCAGGAACTCCTGCCCAAAAGGATGTTACAGAGCATGGGTTCATGGTCACCAGAGGGCCCAGGTGGTCACAGCACGTCTCGTGGGCTGGGCTGGGGGCCAGGCACCTGGTGTGACTAGTTTCCTATCTGAACCTTAGAGAAGCTGCCCTTCCCTTCCAGAGTCCCCACTTAGCCAGGGATATAGGATGACTTGGGAATTACGTTGCATGGGGCCTGAGGTCTCAGGCTTCAGACAGAAATGGTGCACTTATAAATCCTGGTTCTGCCACTTTCGAGCTAAGTGACCTCGGTTAAGTGACTTAACCTCTCTGAACCTTGGTTTCCACATCTATAAAATGGGATTAAGAAAAAAGTGGAAACATACACTTTACAGAGAGTCACTGTAAAGACTAGGCTCCCATAGTAAACGAATGAGAAATTCTAATGAGGGGAAGTAGGCAATGCAGCCCAGCCCAGGTGGAGGGCAGACAGCCTGTCACGTAGAGTGCACAGTTAAACTCTTAAAGTTTTCTAGAAAATGCAATCAACTGAAATTATTTTCTGTGAAGCCTTACTCAAGGTTTGCCCAGAGCCATCTTTTTTTTTTTTTTTTTTTTTGCTTGCTGCCAGTTAATCAGTTTGCCCCAAAAAATTTCAAGCAAGATCCCCTGTTCCCAAACCGTCTGCAAGATTTTCCTCCCCTCTGGCCTCTGTTGCTTGACTTTGACTCCATCTCCTTAGAAGCTGATTTCCACCTCTGCAAGAAAAGGATTTACATGCACAATAACTAAACAATGGGCAAACCACCCAACTACATGTCTCCGAGTGCCATGAATTCCTTGAGCTTTCTGGAGGTTCCACTGAGACACACATACCTGGGTCTCACCATCAGAACCCTCCACTGCCTCCCCTCAGTCTCACAGGTGGCAGCTGAGCTCTCTGACATCCTAATGCTAAAGCTGGTTCTTGGCCAAGTCAGCTTGTGGTTCCGGTTCACTCCTATTTCACATGAACTGTAAATGGTGGTCGTGGTGGTTGTGTTATGTTATGTTACGTTATATTGTTGTGATGATAATTTGGGCACCATCAGCTGACTCTAGGATCTAATGAGGATGTAGAGACTTAGATTTATGTTGTTTTTTTTGCCACTGTTCTCACGCTCAGCCAAGGAGGGAGCACGGGGGTGAGGTGGAGGCAGTAAGGTACTGGGGTGCTGGGAATGAAGCGAGGTAGCTCTACCAGGGCTCAAGGCCTAGATCTGCCATTTCCCAGACACTCGACCAGATGTTGATCAAGTCAACTCACTGTGCTGTGTACCTCTCTACAGTTCAGAGTGGGAAGGGTGATTGATGGGGACTCTAAAGGAATAAACTAAGGACGACTGTGATAGAACTGCAAGGTTGGTGAAGGTCTGGGCTTATCCCTTCACCAAGAGTGATCCACAATGGCGTATACCTGTAGTCCCAGCTACTCAGGAGGCTGAGGTGGGAGCTCAGCAGGCAGAAGTTGCAGTGAGCCAAGATCATATACTGCACTCCAGCCCAGGCAACAGAGCAAGACCCTGTCTCCAAAAATAAAAATAAAAAAAAAGAGAGACCTACCAAGTAGAAATGATAATTTCAGACACACAGAAGATCTGGAGGCAGAGGCCCATGTGACCTTGGCCAGTAAGTCACTTCTCCCCTGTGAATCCACATCTTTTTTTTTTTTTTTTTTTGAGACAGAGTCTCATTCTGTCACCAGGCTGGAGTGCAGTGGCAGGATCTCAGCTCACTGCAACCTCCGCCTCCTGGGTTCAAGTGATTCTCCTACCTCAGCCTCCCGAGTAGCTGGGACTACAGGCACACACCATCATGTCCAGATAATTTTTGTATTTTTAGTAGAGATGGGGTTTCGCCATGTTGGCCAGGATGGTCTCGATCTCTTGATCTCGTGATCTGGCCACCTCAGCCTCCCAAAGTGCTGGGATTACAGGTATGAGCCACAGGGCCTGGCCTGAATCCACATCTTTATCTGCAAAATCAGGAGGACCGTCAGAAGAGTTGAACTGAGGGCCAACTCGGGTCAGGGCTGTAGTTGCTGGTGTCTGTGAATGTCGCTGGGTTGTTCCGGGTGTTTGAGCTCTTGACCACTGGCAGTTCTTTGCCCTTGTTAGGGCTCCAGCACACTAAAGGCAGGGAAGGAGAATAGAGTCCTTTAATACTTGGCCAATTCAGGGGATTTATTTTGGGCTCCAGTCGAGTCTTCTAAGGATCTAAGAAAAGGGTTTCTTTCTTTCTTTCTTTCCTTCCTTCCTTCCTTCCTTCCTTCCTTCCTTCCTTCCTTCCTTCCTTTCTTTCTTTTTTTTTTTTTTTTTCCCACTGGGCCTTTTATTTCCAAAAAGGTAAATGTCCAATTAGATAGATTTTTGTTTTTTTATGTGGAGTTGTTTTAGGCTTTTTGAGCTTGAAACAATATTTTGGAGTCATTCCACCCTCTCAGCTAGAGAAGTAGCTGGATTTGCTTTGGTTGGGGTTTATTGGTTGGGTCTTTCTCAAGAGCTCTCTGCTAAGTAAATATGCATGAAGGGACTTTTTAGCCACTCTGGTGTTTTAGTTCACTGTGTATTCAAATGGATTTTTTTTAATGTAGCAAAATCTATTACAGTGCTATCTATTGCATTTGATCTTTTCTTTTTTTAATGTAGCTAATGAAATTCAGAGAAAGTACTTTATTTGTACACCCCAATGTGTACTTTCCAAAAGTCACTTGTAACCCTCTTTTTAATTCTGCCAAATAATTTGGAGCTAATGTTCTTTTCTTCTCAACTTTTCTGAATTATTGCAAGTAATTTTTAAGTCATATTTTATACTCCATTAAGGGCTTTAGAATCATACATGATTACATAGGATTTGTTTAATAAAAATTATAGAAGGCCATTGTTTTGGACTAAGTTTCCGCACTAGGCCCCAACAGGGCCGGCTGAGAATCAAAATGGAGTTACCCACGCTAAAGTTCCAGGTCCCCAAATCCAAACTGAGGCGGGATAGGTAGTCAAAAAGGGAGCCATGTCCTCGAGATGTGGCAACCGTGGCATGGCGACCACAGGGTCAACACGATAAGCGCCAGCATTCACACTGTAGTCCAGTTCACTCAAGCCAAACTAGCTCCAGTAAGGAATTTCCCCCGTAAGAGGGTGCACATTTTGATTTTACCTGTCCTCAGACTGAACCTTTGCTCATTATAATAGTAAAAAACACACTCCCGGGTGGAGATTTCAGATGTTAATGAGACATGTAACATACAAGCAAGCAGGTACAGCTGCTGCACATGTGCACCCCGAAGACCACCCAGAACATGCTTACTGCTAGCGCCTCTTCCTGCCTCCTTATGAATAACCGTGTAAGGCTGTCATCAAGGGAGTCTCCCCAGTAAGTCAATGCTGTCCCATCCTCACGAGCAGCCCGCCCTGAATCCTGTCTCAGAGTGTACTGTCTATTCTGCACGTCACTTTCAGAATATCCTGCCTCTTTTGCAACAAATCGCTCCATGCTGCATCTCCTTTGCTGTGTGTCTCTTGTTTAATTTCTTTTAAACTAAGGAGACAAGAACCGAGGTTTTACAACAGCCATCGACAAAACTAAGTTGTCATCTGACTTCCTGAGAAATCAAGAGAGAGTCAATTTCTCAAATAAGCAGGATTAAATTGTCAACTGGTATGATCATGAAGTTCTCTCGGCTTTAATCCTTAGCACAAAAAAAGGCAGCCTAAAGTAACCGGATGTTAACTAATCAGTTATTTTTCTAGTGTTCTCTCTAAATGTAATGAGTACACACTTTGTTGCTTCTGGTTTCTTCAGTCCTGTTTATAAAGCCAACCTCCTCTGCTCAGCTCACTGGAAAACCTATTCTGTTTGTTTTGTGGAACGAAGTGTTGCTCAATTCTAGAATCACAATAAAGCCAATTTAGGTCTTTAAATTTCTTGTCATTCTCTCCTTTGGCACTTTCATGTGTTTTAAAGAGAAAATACACACACACACACACACACACACACACACACACAGAGTCAGAAGAAATGAAACAAACATCGTCAGAATAACTGGAAGAAAGAAACTTTTAACCTACAAATATTCAAACCATATTATTTGAATGCTGAATAGGTTAAAAGGCCATGTTGAAGTACCACTCACACCCACACCGCCCTGTCTAAATCTTGACCTTCTCAGGAATCAAAACTAACATTTGTTGAGAGACCTTTACTGAATAAACTTGTTTAGTTTTCACATCAACTGTACAAAGTGTGCCTTCATGATAGAAGAGGAAGCTGAGACATAGAAAAGGTCAGTAATTTGATCACTAAGTAATAAACCTCCAATTGAAACCCAGGCAAACCTTAACACTTAAACTATTCTGCTTCTCATTAAGATGCTACTGATAACAATTGAAGGTCTTCATAATGTCTTACAATGGATCTTCTTACTTTACTAGGGCTGATAAGACACAATGGGTTAAAATGTGGGCTCCCACCAGCTGTGTGGCCTTAGGCAAGGGGGTTACCCTCCAGTTCCTGGGCATCTTACCTGCCAACTGGTAATCTTGTGACTACTCCTCCCCACCCCCAGCTGTTGCAGATTCAAATGAGATAACAGCTCTGTGTGCCTGTGTGTGTGTGTGTGTGTGTGTGTGTGTGTGTGTGTGTGTGTCTCCTCCAGGCCTGCTCCTAATCCACCTCCACCTTGTCCTGCCCTGGGGGGCTCCATCAGGGAGCTCCCTGCCTTTGGCTGCTGGGTGGGCTCAGCTCTTGGTGCCACAGAGTTGCAGAGGGCAGGACAGAGGAGAGCAAGGTTGCAGGGTTGATCCGCCTGGCTCCTCTCCTGCCAAGTTGAGGAGGGGGCCTTGTGGTCTCTCTCTTCCAGAGGCTTCTGGCAACTATTGCGATGCTCTCCTGGTTCCCCTAGCCCTTCCCCTACCGTGCCACTTCTTCTGGGGGTGGTAAATGGGCCCAGGTGCTACAGCATCCCCTGCTGACTTCTCTGAATGTGGGCACCATCTCTGGAAGCACATCTTTATTCAGACCCTCCATTCAATGCTTCCTGCTGAACCCCAGAATGATAAGATGTTCAAAATACTTGGCACTACTGGGTGTACATTAAACTATAAAAAGTAGATGCTACTAAAATTCTTATCAATAAGGCAGGTTCCTGTGCTTCATTTTGTGGGGTCCTCCTAACTCTCCTGTAACAGAGGGAGTGGGAATTTATACTACCATCTCCCAGGTGAGGAAACGAAGGGTCAAAGAGGTTAAACAACGTGCCCAAGGTCCCCGGCCCGGAGCAGATGGGCCAGGGCCAGGGCCAGGGCCCAGGAGTTCTGTGTCCTTGGCCAGTGGTTTCCCTGCAGGGATTCCCCTGACTCTGTAGAAAACACCTCAACTCCAGAGCCCTCTCTAACAGTTGTCCCAGGTGGGAACCACAATAGCGTCCACTGCAGGTGCCTTGAACTTTGACACAAATCCCATCCCTGCTGGCCAGCCAGGCCACATAGGAAGGGCTCCCTCCAGGTGGCTTATGATGCTGGGCACCCCGACCATCTTATGCTGCCCCCCACCTCCCCTGTGTGTCTCTGCTCCTGGTAACAGTGCTTTGGGTGGCTTCTTAGGCCAGGGTTCTGGCTAACTAGTAATGCTGTGTCCTGCCCTAGGGACAAAGAAGCCAAAAGTTTGACACAACCCATAGGAATGAGAGGAGCATGCTCCCCCAACACAGTCATTAGGCCTTACTGCTTCCAGGCGGATCATTCACAAACCATTTTACCTTAAAATCAGCCTCCTCCTACTTCAAGTGCTTTTCCAGGAGTTTTCCAAAACTTCCTGCCTTCAGTCAACTCCTCTGTCTCCCGTAGGCTCTGTCTTGAGGAATGCGATCACTTTCTCTTATAAACAGACTTAATGCAACTGGAATCAAGGAGGCTCTGGGACTCCCGCATGCACAACTCTCCCAAGAATCCTCTCCCTTAATCCTCCTGGGGGCCCTGCATCCCCCGCATTGCAGGGGGTGATCACCCACATGCACCTCAAACCTGGCTCACGGAAATGCAGGGACTTGCTCCAGCTCACTCAGCCGGCCTGGATAGTAGCGTCCCCCTGAAAACCTGGGCGCTTTCTCCTACCTGCCACCTGCCATGCCACCCTCCCAAATCAGCTATGAAAATCTGAGATAAAGTATACGGATGAGCATTAAAAATAAAGCACTAAGTTTTATTTTATTTTTTTAAAAAGGCAAATGCAAAGCAGCCACTCTCTGTTTTATACACGGGCATTCCAATGCTTGGAGGCTCTCATGGTGTAGGAACTTGCAGGCTGGCTGCAAGGCAACCATTCCTCTCACACAAACAAACCAGAGATCAGGACCTAAGGAGGGAAATGGGGCCAAAGCACTGAACCTCTAAAATTCCCAATTCCCTTACCTCTTCAGAACCATGTGGAACAGGCTTACAGCCAATCTTTTATTTTACTTTATTATTATGATTATTATTATTTTGCACACACAGGGCACATGATGCTTTGATATTGAATGTATTCAGGAAGATATCTTTGCTCTCTTGCAGTCTGACTCATCCATCTCTAGAACACCCTTCTGTGGGTCTCTCAAGGTGGAGGGAACCTTTCCCTTCTCCGTTCCCATTTTGCTTAGCACCTGTGTATTTATATACGCAGCCTGACAGGGTATGTCCTTGTCCCCCTCCCCACAGCACTGTGACCTCTGGGACAGCAAGGAACAAGGACCGAGTAGTCTTTCCTCTCTGCATCTCCGCACTTTGCATGGTGCTCCTGGAAGGTAATAAGTTCCCAGTAAATGTTGGCTCAACTGAAATCAAAACAACCCAACCACCACCAATAACAAGACCAAATAAACAATAAAACCCCAGATTTTACAGTCCAGTGACTTCCCCTCTGAGCCTCAATATTTTTACATTAAAGTGAAAGGGCTGACCAAAGTGATTTCTAAGGTCATGTTCAGCTTGTGGATGGGAAGCAAAACAGGCCCTGGTGAGATCACTGGGGTTCCTTCTGCAATATGTACCATTTGGGAGTCCCCACAGATGGCACCCTGGCTCTGTCAGGTTTCAGACCTCAGAGTCTGAAACTTCTGGGACTGCTTTCAAAATCTAGCGTTGAGAACTGCTAGAAAATGACTTTGCCAAGCGGGTGTGGGCTCCGAATGGTCCTGGCCACTCTTTGAGAGGGGAGATGCCCTTGGCATGGGGTAGTAGACAGTCCAGCTGCCCCAAGCCAGGGTTGTCTGTGATACCGGGAGGGTTTTGAGGATGATGCTGGCTGAAGCAAACATAAATCAGGTGGTGGCTGTCTTCACAAAGAGAAGCTTTTAATGGACCCTCAGTGACGGGCAGCAGAACTCTAAAGCCTTGCTCTCTTTTTTTTTTTTTTTTGAGACAGTCTCACTCTGTCGCCGAGACTGGAGTGCCATGGCACGATCTCAGCTCACTGCAATCTCCACCTCCCGGGTCCAAGTGATTCTCCTGCCTCAGCCTCCTGAGTAGCTGGGTACTACAGGAGCCCACCACTATGCCCGGCTAATTTTTGTATTTTCAGTAGAGGCAGGGTTTCACCACATTGGCCAGCTGGTCTCAAACTCCTGACCTCAAATGATCCACCCACCTCGGCCTCCCAAAGTGCTGGGATTACAGGCCTGAGCCACTGTGCCCAGCCAAGCCTCTTATTTTGAGAGTGAAACTGAGACCCAGAGCCTGGAATAGTTTGGGAGCCAAGTTGCAAAGTAACTGAGCGCTGCCACTGGGACTCAAATGCAGGCTCTCACAGGGCCCCGGTCTGGGCTCCTGTGACCAAATTAGAGCAGAAGAGAGCTCTCAGCTCCTCAGGTGTGCCAGCAGGGATGCTGAAGTTTCCACAAAGTCTACACAACGGAACGAAGCTGCATCTAAGTCTTATTCTAGAATTCTTTGTGACCGGGCCAGCTCTTCCATCAGCCTGTGGAGTGTATGCACACAGGCATGCAGAACTCACTGGAAAGCTTTTACAAGATGGCTGGTGGATTTTATTTTTTGCTTTCCTGGTCGCTTTTGGTGGTGTGGGAGGGGCCTAGAGTGAGGGTTAATGTTTAGATCCCTGGCCAAAGCTCTACCCAAATATAAACCCTTTGAGTCAGCAACCTTCTACACAGGAACTGACTCAAGCAAGGTTACCTGACCAGAAGCCTCAGAGTCACACATGGGAGAGGGCCCTTCCTTGGGTAATGTCAACTGCCTGCCTTTGGGTGGTGTCCTGGCTCGGGGGCTGCTTGGTGGGGAGGGGAGACAGAGATCTACCTCACCCCCAAAGACCCAGGACCTAGAAGGACTCCTTCCTGTCAAGCTCACAGACGACTTCATCCCCATAAGAAGGGCTTCCAGATCAGCGACAGCCAATGCTGTGAGCGCCACCAGGGAAGGGGGGCAGTACAGCCCTGATTACAATCAGCAAGAAGGCTGCTCAGAAGGCAGTTTCCGCCTGCTGCTGCAGAGCTTCGAGGAACAGACTCCACACTCCCTAAGAAACCCTCCTCTGCCATCACTTCTAGCAACGCTTCCTGTTTTTCTCTCTCACCCTGGGTGGGGTGCTGTGGCCTCCCAGCCAGGGAGGTAGGCAACAAAGGCCCTGCTCAAGCCCAGGTCCTGGCCTTGTCCAATCAGACTCTAAACAGCAAATGCCGGCCCAGAAAAATGCAGGGAAAGCAAACTTCAGGGTTTGTGGGATTTTGAAAAGGCAAGAGGAGAAGGAGCCCTCTATTCATTCTTTATTTAGCAAAAAGTGTACGATGGAACTTTTTTCCCTAGACCTGAAGTCAAGGTATACACATACACACATGTAGAGTATGAACTACCTATACATACACACATTCACTTAATTATATGTATTATCGCCACTCGCAATTATGCAGAACGTATTTTGGAGAATGTATTATTGGCCTCATTTTGCAGATATAGAAACTGAGACGCCGAGAGGTTAAGTCTGGCGACCAAAGAGAGACAGAGACAGAGAGACGGGAGACTAGAAGAGGCCCCACGCTGTACCCAGATATTGGCAGAGGCTGAGGGGCACGGAGTGGTGAACTCTAGTCAGTCATTTCAGCCAACCATGGGATTTCAGAAAACAGCCGGCAGGGGTCCTAATGTTTGGGGCAGGAAGGGGAGGTGCGGGAAGGCACTGAGGGACCCCCGCACTGGGCGCCCCTTCCCCACCGCAGAGACAAGCGGCAGTTTCCACAGCAGCCGGCAGGGGGCAGTGCACCTTGCCTTTTCGAAGCCTCTGGGCGCTTGGGCAGCGCGGGGTAAAGAAAATCAGGAGGCTCCGCCCGCAGCTTCTACGAACAGGCCAGGAGTAGAGCCCCCGCACGTAGTAGGTGCTCCAGGCACGTCTAGAAGCCTAAAGGGCTTGGTCGATACATTTGAACTCCATTTTAGAGACTGGAAGGGAAGAAGGGGGCGTCCGGGCCCCTGCCAGCACCTTCCACCTTGGGGCCTTGTCAATGAACACTGCGTTAGCACCTACGACGTGCCAGGCGCCCTGGCGACTATTGGAAAACCCGGCTCCCCTCTCACCCCGTTTTCCTCGTTGGCGAGTCGGCCTCGCCTCCTCCTCCCGTCTCTTCCTCTCACCACACACACCCAGCCGCAGAGCGGGGGTGGGCGCTCGCTGTCTCCCTGGAGAACCAGCTCGTCGCAAACTTGCGGGGCTTGGGGACCCGCGAGGGGGAGAAGTCGGGAGAGGCCAGGGGTGCCCGGAAACAATCACGAGAAAGCCGGGCGAATGCCTGATGCAGGGACGCGGCGAGCCAGTCACTGCCCTCAGGGTCACGGCTGACTCCCTCTGCGGGACTCGCCCAGCCCGCGAGACGCAGTGACCTGCCCAACCCCCACCCCCTTGCGCGCTTCTGGGTGCGCACGTGTCCCCTCGCCCAACACACCACCGAGCCCCGCGCATGGTACGGCCGCCGAGGACCCTAGCGTAGGAGGGAGGAGCGAGTCAGGGCTCCAGCTGACGAGCAGAGCCAGACGATCCCCACACGCTTCCTGGGAGACCCGGCTGCAAGGCCAGGCTAATGCGCGCTCCGACGTCTCTGTGCCAAGCCGGGGCGCAAGCTCAACCCCCATCTCAAGTTCAGCCGCGCTTCCTCCCGCAAGGTCACGCTTAAACACTCGCGCAGAGAAAGGAGGAGCGGAAAGTTGCGCCACCGTCCCGATTCCAAACTAACTGTACCCTCACCAGAGCGCCTCGCCCCAGGGTCACCGCTGTCCGTCCCCGTGCGCTCCCAGAAGGGGTGGCCCTGCCCCCACGCAGGTCACACACACGAGAGACACAGGCAAGTTGCTAACTTTTGTCAGATTATTTCTTGGGAGCTGCGACGCCTCACGGGGTTGGGGCGGATTCAGAGTTTCGAGTTGCCACTAACACGACTCCGGCCGTGCTCTCCTTGGCCCACCCGCGTCCCCCACTGTCCGCCACGCCGCGTTCAGCTCTCTTGTCCCGGGTGTCAACTTCACCCCCAGATCCGGAGCAGCGCGCTCTGACGGCGTCCCCGGGGCCGATAGCCACCTCCCGGATCTGCGCCTGCTTGCAGCGGATTGGGGGACTCGATCCGGATACTGTCCCACGGCCGCTCGTCCAGAACACTGGCGGCCTCCGCGGTGTCCCAGCCTGTGACCCCAAATCCGCTCGAGAGCGCCTGAGCCCGGCCACCCAGCGAGGTCTCCTCCCACGGGCGGCCCCAGCGGAGGAGATCCCAGCCCGGCGCCGGGTGCAATGTCACTGGGGCTGCTTTCGGGAACCGCTGCCCGGGACTTGGCGTAGGTTCCCCACAGAGCTCCAGGCAGCTCCTCCAGTGTCGGCCGAAGACCCCTAAGCCCGAACCTCCACCCCGACCTTCTTCCTCTCCCAAAGCCCTGGGTGGTCGCCGCTGCCAAGGAAGGGGTCTCCCTTCGAATGTCTTCCACTAGAATCCCGGGGTCTTCAGTCCCAGCTCCACTGTCACACCCTCCTAGTCCCCTCCCCACCCCTTCAGTTCCCGGGTCCAGACAATCAACCTTCCACTCCGAGAATCCACAGGAAACTGCCCGAGCCCCAACTCAGGCGGACGCAGCCCCCGCGCACCCCGAGCAGGGTTCGCCTCCGCGCGCGCACTCACCACGGCTGGAGACACGCTGGAGTTTCCGGGATTTGGGCATGAAGGGGTTCGGAGGAGAATACAGGGGTGTGGGTGTCCCGGACACTTGCCCCCTTCCCAGCTCACATCGCCTCTTCCTTCTCTCTCCGCTCTTCTTCCTCCTCCTCCTCCCTCCGGTCTAGGGCTCTTTGTCTTTGCAAAGTGTCGAAACTGTCTGGCATAGTGGGCTCCGCCGGCGGAGGCTGGAGCCGAGGAAGCGAGGAGGCGGGATGAGGGTGGGAGAGGGCTCGGGAACACCTTCCCCCGGGTGTAACGGGAGTGAAAGGCGGGGCGACCGAGGAGGGGCCGCCTTCCCTGGCCGGCCGGGGCCGGGTGCCAGGGCGCGCCAGAGCCCAGCCACCGCCTCCCCTGCGCGCGGCCCTCCCCTTCCTCCGCCCAGTGCCCGCCCCTCCCGACTCTGCGCCTCCGTTCGGCCCCGCCCACCCCAACTTGGCTCGGCTTTCCCTTGGCTCCGGGCTTCCTGCAAGCCGAATTTAGCTCTGCCAAGCCACGTGGACCGCAGCGGGCTCGGCAGAGGCCGAGCCTGGGAGACGCCGGAGGCGGCGGCTGCGGCGCGGGGACCTGATCGGCGCCCCGAGAGGAGCTCCCCGCTCTCTGGACGCGGCCCTCAAGCTGGCGGGGCTAAGGAAGAGCGCCCGGGAGGCCCGGGAGCCACTGGGGTCCGTTTCAGCAGGAAGACGGGCACGCACCGAGAGGATGGCAGTGCCCAGAAGAACTCGAGTCGGGGGCACGGTGGGGAGAAGGGGCCGATCCCCTGCTGGCGACCGGGCAGAGCCACCCACTTCCTCTAAGGGCGCGGGACTCGAGGTGGGATTTAGGGAGGGGGAAGGGAGGAGCGTGGGCTGGACGACTCTTGCGGCCAGAACCGCGTTCAGAGCCACAGAGCCGGGCACTGCGGCCGGCCCTGGTCCCGGCCCCGGCCCTGGCCCAGCCCTTGCCCTGGCTCGCCTGCCGCCGCTTTTTCCTTCCAGATGCGGAGGCTGCGGCTGGAGCTTGGGGTTTGCGGATTAGGCTTGCAGTTATTCAGCCCTCCCTCTTTTACAGGGAAGCGGGGGCGGTGGAGACTTCTTTTGCTGAAAGGCAGAGTGCAGCGCTTTGATGCTAAATGCAGTACACAAGTCATGTAAATCTGGTTTTACGGTTCTTAACCCCTTACTGAGACTACCTCTTTCGCAACTTTTCGGAGGAATGTTAGAGGAAAGAGGCACAGTTTGCCTTTGGGGTCATTGCATCCTTCCAGCGCCCCTTGCTCCAGCTGGAGAGAGATCAACCTTTTGCAGTGGAAGGGGAGAGTCCCCCAGCCTTTGTTTCATCAGACGGCTGCTGTAGTACAGGGATTCAGGCCAGGGCCCGCATGGCCGGACTTCTTGGTTCAAATCCTGCACTGCCACTCAACGGATGTGTGAGCTTGGGCTAGTGACTGAACCTCCCAGCCTAGGTGACTCTGTGCCTCGGTGTCCTCATCTGTGAGAACCGACCTAAGAAGTGTCTGTCTGATAAAGCTGTTGTGATGAGTTAGTGAATTCGTACACATAGAACCTTTAGAACTGTCTTTGACATGTAGTAAGTCAGCTGTGTAGATGGTGGGTTTCTCCAGTGTCAGGTCCCTGCCCACAGCAGGAAGATGACCTGTGCTAGAAGATGGGGGCTAGGGTGTTGGGGAAGACTTCAGGGACTTGGGAGAGAAAAGGAGAAATATTCAGAGATGAGAAAAGTAGAAGAAAAACCAGCTTTTAAAAGGGGGAGGAGAGAGAATGAGAAAAATAACTACTAGAAAGGGAAGGAAAAGATGAATAGCCTTTTAGGTACTTCGGGACCTGCTCTGAGACCTCTTGCCTGACGCCCTTGGTTTTTGATAGAATTCTAGAGAAGGGGTGAGCCCTTTTGTCTGCCTGGACACATCCTGTGGGCTTTCCTCTTTCTGAAACTCAGGTCAAGGTGTTCACTGCATCTCCAGATTGCTTGTGTGCATGGGAGGAGGGGGGCAGAGAGTTCTGCTTACATCGGCTACTGTCCCCTCCACCAGCAGCGTCTTCCAGCAAAGAAGAGCTTCTAACATGCACCAGACTTTTAGCTTTGGCTGGGAATATCGTCTGGGCCAATAAAGAGTTTTTGGATGAAATAACAAAAGTGTTGTTTATTGTATGGATCAAATAATGTATGGGAACATATTCGAAAAATAGAAAATGCTATACTCATATAAGACTATGCTACTATATCCTAGTAGATTCTGTGGAAAGAGGATCAGATTTGGCAAGTAAGGAGCCCCAGGTCATCCAGCTGTTGCACTTTGCAGCCAAGAACCAAAAGCAGCTCAGTTTTAGCTGAGTTCTTACTGTATGTATTCCACGTGCAATACTGGCAGTGCAGTAGTTTTGTTTATACCAGCATCACCACAAACATGTGAGTAATGCATTGAGTTGATGTTCTGATCACTAGGCACAGGAGTTTTTCAGCTACATTAATATATTGTGAGACCACTGTCTTACATGCATGTGGTCCATCATTGACCAAAATGTTATCCAATGCATGACTATATATGTGAATAGTGTAGATTGTATGGGTTCTGCCAAACAGTTCTGCTAACGCAAATCCCACCAAGATTCTCAGGGTTGGAGGGAGGCTTCAGGACCATGTCTTGGAAGTTCCCCTGGATGACTCCATAGTGAGATGGAAATTCCTTATTAATTGACATTGTGGTGAAACACACATAAATCACCACCTTATTTGAATAAAACATTGTACATCAGATGCATCTTTAGTTCATCTCTGAAGGGTTAACCTGGGCAAGGCCTTTTCTGAAAGCCCCACTTTCTTTCTGTTAAGTTTCTTCCCAGGTAACAGGGACAGCCTCTCCCTCTCCCTTTTTTTCCAGAGTTTTGACATTCCATGCAAGTAGCTCTCTTAACACCCCCTTTTAGGACCCTTGCCAGGGGCTGTGTGTCAGAAGTGTGTGCATGCATTCCTCTTTGTCACCCTGAGTGTATGTCCCATCACATCCTGCCAGAGAACAAGGATCATAGTCATTACTGGGAGTGTCTTCACAGTGGGTCTCCAGGGAGCGCTGACATTGATTTACTGCATGCTGCCACCTCCTACCTTTTGGAGCACCAGCAAAGCTCTCAGTAATGATGGTTAAGGAAATTGATTTCATCCTTTCCCTACCCCCGTTTCTTGGCACAGCAGAGTGGAAAGATCCTAATGGGTTCTGGTCCCATTTGGGTGATTGTGCAGAAAAGAAAAGGGCTGCACCACTTGTCAGAGATGAGTTCAGAGGTGCTGGGCACAGCACATGGTGTTTTGTGTTTTAGACAGTGTTTTCCTTAGGGCTCTTGGGACTGTGAGGAACTCACTCAAGTTTCTTTAGAAAAAAGAGTTTTAATGTAGAGATGTGCAGACTGAAGCTGAAAACAAGCTGCAAGGAGAGAGAGCCCATCTCTGTGTTTCTGTCTCCCTCCCGACCCCCACCGCTGCCCCCCCTCCCCCTCTCCGCTCTGTTCTCTCTCTGCCCACAGGCTTTCTCTGTTAAATCCTGGGGTCTGTTCTAAAGTTTTCTGCATGTTTATGGCCTCAGCCTTTCTGCATCCTGGCAATTGTGGAAATAATCTTTTCAGCTTCACTTCCCACTGTGGTTCCACCAGGTGTTTTAGTTTTTCCAGGAGAGGAATCTGACTGACAGGCCTCATCTACAGAGTCATGAATCACCAATCCAATACTGGATGGACTGCCCAGGCAGCCTGAGCTCATCCCATGAATGACTGTGCAGAAGGACAGTCCTCCAGGAGATGATGCATTAGAGGGAGTGTAGGAGACATGGTCCTGACTCTGAGAATCTTGGCAGGCATTTGAGTTAGTAAACTATTTGGCAGAACCCAGCCACACTTCTCACATGTACAGTCGTTCACTGAGTAATGACGTTTTGGTCAAAAAAGGAATGCGTATATGAGAGTGGTCCCCTCTGATGACACTGATAAATTCCTGTCACCTAGTGGTGTAGCTGGCATAACATCAACTCCGTGCATTACTCATGTGTTTGTGGCGATGCTGGTATAAACAAACTTACTGCACTACCAGTATGGCACATACAATATGTACAGTATATAATACTTGATAATGATAATAAACAGCTATGTAACAGGCTTATATATTTACTGTACTATACTTTAAATCATTTTAGAGTGTGCTTCTTCTGCTTATAAAACCAAGAGTTTACTGTAAAACAGTATTCTGTGTCATACCGGCAGTAGCCTCATTCATCTCATTTTTTTCGATTGCATCATTTTCTCTTGTGCTTGATTTAATCTCATGCTGTTTTGTTCCTCACGGTCCCTAAGCGTACAGAATCCATGGCTAATGTTGCCAAAGAGAAGCCACATTGAGTGATTGTATTAGTCCATGATCACACTGCTAAGAAAGACATGCCTGAGACTGGGTAGTTTACAAAGGAAAGAGGTTTAATGGACTCACAGTTCAGCATGGCTTGGGAGGCCTCAGGAAACATACAGTCACCACCAAAGGGGAAGTAAACACATCCTTCTTAACAAGGCAGCAGGGCCGGGCGCGGTGGCTCACACCTATAATCCCAGCACTTTGGGAGGCCGAGGCGGGTGGATCAGGAGGTCAGGAGATCGAGACCATCCGGGCTAACACGGTGAAACCCCGTCTCTACTAAAAAATACAAAAAATTAGCTGGGCGCAGTGGCAGGCGCCTGTAGTCCCAGCTATTCGGGAGGCTGAGGCAGGAGAATGGTGTGAACCCGGGAGGCGGAGCTTGCAGTGAGCCGAGATCGCGCCACTGCACTCCAACCTGGGTGACAGAGTGAGACTCCATCTCAAAAAAACAAAAAACAAAAAAAAAAAACAAAAAAAAAAAACAAAAAAAAAAAAACAAGGCAGCAGGAGAGAGAAGAATGAGTGCCCAGTGAAGGGAGAAGCCCCTTATAAAACCATCAGATCTTGTGAGAACTCACTATCATGAGAATAGGATGGAGGAAACTGCCCCCATGATTCAATTATCTCCACCTGGTCCTTCCCACGACACATGGGGATTATGGGAACTACAAGTCAAGATGAGATTTGGGTGGGGACACAACCAAACCATATCAGTGATTGAGCTGGAAATGAAATTAAAAGTGATTAAAGACCACGGAGGTGGAAAATTGGTGATGGTTATTGCTCCCCAGGCAGGTAGGTCGCATTCGATCATAGCTACAATCTTGGGGAAGAAGAACAAAGTGACAGAAGTTGAAACTATCTGCATCATTGGAGGCAATGAGACTATCAACAATTTAAGAAGGGTCTATACCAGATACAGAGAAATTTCTTATGACCCGGATTGAAGACTAGACTGACACACACATGTATTCCACCCAGCCCCACGATGATCCCAGCCAAAACAGAAAGTTTGTGATGCTGAAAGAAAAGGCTGGATTTGACTAGGATGTTGAATTTACTGCTAGCTCTGCGTGGTTTAAAGGACTCAGGAATCGTTCTTTATTATGTAATATGAAAGTGAGTGGTAAGTCTGTGAGTGCTGATGTGAAGGCAGCTGAAGAATTTTTGGAAACTGTAGATAAGCTGACTGTGGAGGAAATTTACTTGCCGGAGCAAATCTTCAATATGGATGAAATCTCCTTATTCTGGAAATGGATGCCTGGAATGACTTTTATCTATAAGGAAGCCAAGTCAATGTCAGGTTTCAAGGCTTTGATGGACAGGGTAACAGTCTTGCTTGAGGGAAATGGTACAGGCTACTAGTTGAAATCCTTCGTGATCTGGCCCAGTGAGAACCCGAGGGTCTTCAAGCACAGCACTGAGCACATACTGCCAGTGGGCTACAGGAGTAGTGAGAAGTCATAACAGATGCAGCTTCTTTTCCAGGATGCTCTCCTGCAATGCTGTACCACTGAAAGGAAAAGCACTGTTTGGAGAATGATCCACCTTTCAAGATTTTACTTATTGTTGATAATGCTCCCACATGTCCTCTTTTTTACGGGTGATCTTCATTCCTAATATCAAAGTGATATTTCTTCCTCCAGGCACCACCTCTTTGATCCACACAATGGATCAAGGAGTTATAGCAGCTTTTAAGTTCTACTACCTGAGAAGGGAGGACTTTTGCCCAGTCCCATACTGCAGTGGAGGAAGACACTGAGAAGACTCTGATGAAATTCTGAACAGCATCAAGAACCTTGTTTAGGCTTGGATTATGTCGCTAAGGACTGTAGGAATGGCACCTGGAAGAAGACACGCAAGAGGTTTGTCAATAACTTCAAAGGATTTGCCAAGGATGAGGAAGTTGCAAAAATCAAGAAGGCTGTGGTTGAGATGGCAAACTACTTTAACCTGGGTGTGGATGTGGATGACATTGAGTAATTCCTAGAGGGGGTTCCTGAGGAATTGACTAATGGGTTGCTGTTGGAACTGGAATAGGAGTGCATAGCTGAAGAAGAGGTAAAGAAAAAGAAAGTGCAGGAGAAGGGAAAAAAGAACTCCCAAGAATACTCACAGTGATGGGTTTAGCAGAAGCTTCTTCAGTCTCCAACAAGCTCCTTAAGAAGTCTGAAAACATGGACCCCAAAACTGAAAGGTTTTCACTAATAGAGAGGAAAGTTCATGGTGCATTATCTGCCTACAAGCAAAACCAGGATTCAAAAAACCCTTTGAGCTGGAGCTTCAAAGCACAAAAAAAAAAAAAAAAAAAAAAAAAAGAAAAAGAAAAAAGAAACAAATGAAGCAAACCACCATGGACATAGTTATGAGTCTATTAGTGATGGGGATACGTTCTGAGGAATGTGTTGTTAGGCAATTTCATCCCTGTGCCAGCATCATAGTGTACTTATGCGAATATAGATGGTAAAACCTACTGCACACCTGGGCTATATGGTTTAGCCTATTCCTCTTAGGCTGCAAACCTGTACAGCATGTTATTGTACTGAATACTGTAGGCAATCGTCACTCCATGGTAGGTATGTATGTATGTATCTAAACATATCTAGACATAGAAAAGGTACTATAGAAAAACAGTATAAAAGATAAAAACGGTATGCCTGTATAGGCCACTTACCATAAGTGGAGCATGCGTTACTGGAAGTTGCTCTAGGTTGAGTCAGTGAGTGAGTGGTGAGTGAATGTGAAAGCCTAGGACATTACCGTATACTATTGTAGACTTTATGAACACTACACTTGGGCTACACTGAATTTATAAAAATGTGTTTTTCTTCAATAATAAATTAACCCTAGCTTGTTGTTACTTTTCTTACTTTATACACTTTTTAAACTTTTTTGACTTTTTTGTAATAAAACTTAGCTTAAAATACAAACACATTGAACAGCTGCACTAAAAATATTTTCATTTTCTTTTCTTTTTTTTTTTTTTTTGGTATTGGAGTTTCACTCTTTTGCCCAGGCTGGATGGCAGTGGCATCATCTTGGCTCACTGCAACCTCCGCTCCCCGGGTTCAAGCGATTCTCCTGCCTCAGCCTCCCGAGTAGCTGGCATTATAGGTGCACACCACCAGGCCAGGCTAATTTTTGTATTTTTAGTAAAGTCGAGGTTTCGCCATGTTGGCCAGGCTGGCCTTGAACTCTTGACCTCAGGTGATCCACCCACCTCAGCCTCCCAAAGTGCTAGGATTACAGGCATGAACCACTGCACCCAGCCTAAAAATATTTTCTTTATATCCCTATTTCACAAGTTTTTTCTATTTACAAATTATTTATTCATTTACTTTTCCAACTTTTTTGGTAAAATTAAGACACAAACACTCACATCAGCTTGGGCCCACACAGCGTCAGTCATCAATATCACTGTCTTTCACTGCATATCTTGAAACACAGGAAGGTCTTTAAGGGCAATAACCTGCATGGAGTTGCCATCCCCTAAGGTAACAGTGCCTTTCCCTGGAACACATCCTGAAGGTCCTGCCTGAGGCTGTATTACAGTGAACTCTGTGAGGTTTGCATAGCCATTAAATTGCCTAATGACGCTTTTCTTGGAATGTGTCTCTGTCATTAAGCCACTCCTGATGGTCTTAGACCCGAAATCTATGCTAAGCCATCTGGTTAGTCTCAGTCCATCCTGCCCACCCTAATCTCTTTGTCAAAAATCAGCTCATGAATGAATAGCTTTAATCCCTACTTGGACCACCAAGATAAAGAGATAAATATATTGAGTCTTCTAGGAAAAAAGTTTCTAAGAGTAAGCCCTGAATATAGCTTATTTCTAACTGGACATGAACAAAAGAGCATTTTTAACACAGTTGCTCTGGGAGGCATCTTTGTGCCCATGAAGAAAGCCAAATAAAGACATTAGGTTCAGAGTCGTAATCACACTAATGCATGAAGTCTGTTCTGGACTTTCTGTTTCATGAGTCAATAAAATTCTTTTGCTTACTCCACTTTAGGTCATAGTTCTGTTACTTGCAACAAAACCCTTGATAACGACAGTTAGATTGATTGTCCCGAAGCCCCTCTCCTTCCCTCAAGTCATTTCCAAGCTCTAACCCTTTAAAACATTTGTGGCTTCCCATTGCCTAGGGGTGTAAGTCCAGATTTCTGAGTCTAGCAGTTAAGACCCTCGGTGTGGTCCCAACGTGTGTTTCTCACTTGTTTCCTTCTAATACTCCTCTTTACAAACCCTCTACTAGCAGGCATAGCTTGGCCCAGAAGCTCTGGTTAACTTATATGTTATGTTCTTAAAATCAACATAGATCTCTATCTTGCTGGGCTGGTGAAGCCCCCAAGATATACAGAAGTCCAGAGGGCTAATGCAGGGCCTGGTGTGAGGAAACTCTGACTCCTGGCAATCCTCACTGCTTCTGCAGAGCCTCCCACTGTCCTGGGCTGCGAGATCCATAAGGATCATGGTTCCTAAGCTTCCTTGCCATAAGGTCCAGCTGGCCCAGATATATGCATTTCCTAGGATAGCCATAACCAACTACTACAAACTGTGTGGCCAGAAACAGCAGAAATTTATTTTCTCACAGTTCAGGAGGCTGCAATGAAGGTGTTGCAAAAGTTAGTTCCTGCTGGAGACTCAGAGAGAAACTGTCCCGTGCCTTTCTATATGACCTCATCTCAACTTGTTTAACCAATTACATTTGCAAATACCCTATTTCCAAATAAGGTCAAATTCTGAGGATCCTGGTAAGCATGAACATTTCAGGAACATTATTCAACCCACTAAACCAGGGACACCAACATCTCCATGCCCACCTCTGGAGCAGATGGCTTCCATTCTCTGTAGCTCCAGCTGACGGGCAGCCCTGGAAACCCTTTTCATCCTTTTCTTTATGGTGTTCTCAGAAGCAGACTCCTGTCCCCTTTTTTCATGTAAATGGATTTAAGTTTGATTTCCAAAAAGCTAGACCTTCAGCAACTTCTAATTTTCCCTAAGGTAGCTAGTCCTTGAGGCAAGGAAACATTAAGGGCCTGACTTCAGGCTTGAAATGGGGGAAATGGGAATCTATAAGGGATGAAAACCACAAATGAATATTTGAAGTGTCCTGCCATACCTATTGCACCTGCATTCCACACACATCAGTTAATGGAATACCCATCGTTCCTTCTAGAAGAGCCACCACCTGGCTTTGCGTATGAACCATGAGTTCCCTGGAAGGCTCTCCACCACCTGAATCCCCTCCTGTCTAATGTGCACAGCTCTTCCTGAGGCAGCGGGGGCAG
This sequence comes from Homo sapiens, assembly GCF_000001405.40. Taxonomy (NCBI): domain Eukaryota; kingdom Metazoa; phylum Chordata; class Mammalia; order Primates; family Hominidae; genus Homo; species Homo sapiens. Next base: position 133,581,416 of record NC_000008.11, read on the forward strand.
TGGGGGTGGGTAGTGGAAGGGCTGCCCCCACATGAGGCCTTTGCTATTGGCCCTGTACAGTCCTCATCCCTTCCGCTTATCCCTACTGGGTCTCCCTTAAAATCCATCACCACTTTGCACCTTTGCAGTTACGGGCTTATTAGGCTCTATTTCCTGTTCAATGGACAGATCCTGAAGGAGAGGTGCAATCCTCCCTTCTTTCATTCATTCATTCATTCATTCATTCAGCAGAAATTTTTTGAGCATCTACTGTGCGCCAGACACTGTGCTAAGTGCTGAAGACGTGCAGGTGGACATGACGTAGTTCCTTGCCTCAGGGAATCCACAGTTTGGTGGGGGCCTGACTAATTTCCAGTTATTTCTCCACATTTGGGCAGAAGTGGGTGTAGTGAGACCTCCTCTGGGGTCAGGTTCCCTGGGCTTTCGCCGAGAACTGAGTGTGCAAGCCGAGTGTGTGTGGTGCCGCCCTAAGCCAGCAGAACTCTGTGAGCCAGAGTCTGGCTCTGTTTTGAGAGCAGTCAGAAGCTCTCAGAGAATTTTACATGGTGAGCGTTGGCAGATTTGCATGCTAGGCAGACACCTCAGGCAGCCTTGTGGCCATATGTCCAGACAAGAAGCAATGAGACCATGATTTCAATCATCTAAGCGCTGCCAGGGTTCTGACCTAAGGAAGTGGCAGAAGCCTAAAAAGAGGTAGATGAGTTTCAAAGAAGGTGAAATAGATAGATCACAACAATTTTGGTCAGGGGCAGGAGGAGAAGGAAAAAGCTTGTATTTCTGTTTTCCATGAGAGCAAGCAGTGGCATTGCTAATTACACTGCCCCCTAGCATCCATCTCTTACTTCTTTCTGGCAACAGAATTATTTTTGTTTTGTTTTTGTTTTGTTTTAAACACGCATGTGGTATCTGGAGAGGTAGCATCCATCTAGTAGGGCAAGACCAGCGTGAGAAATATGGGGTAAAAGATAGAAAGCTCTTTGATCCCTGAAGGCATTCTTGAGCATTGGAATCGATGCCAGCAGTATCCTATCTGGGGATCTTTTCTTTGTTTTATGAAAGAAAATATGCAACAATGGCTGGGCTGGGTGGCTCATGCCTGTAATCCCAGCACTTTGGGAGGCCAAAGGCGGGTGGATCACTTGAGGTCAGGAGTTCAAGACCAGCCAGAGATGGCGAAACCCCATCTCTGCTAAAAATACAAAAATTAGCCAGGCATGGTGGCAGATGCCTGTAACCCCTGCTACTTGGGAGGCTGAGGCAGGAGATTTGCTTGAACCTAGGAGGTGGAGGTTACAATGAGCTGAGATCACGCCACTGCACTCCAGCTTGGGTGATACAGCAAGACTCTTTCTCAAACAAAAAAAAAAAAAGAAAGAAAGGAAGAAAAAAAAATGCAACAATACTCAGCCCTAGTCCTAGTCCTTCAAGATAGCATATGGAGGTTTCTTGTTACTTGCAACCCAAGTACAACCCTCACCGACACTCAGTGGATGGTGACAATCTGCAGAATGGGGCATCTGCCAAGACGGAGGAGAGGAGGCAGTGTCGTTTTTATTTGTCACGGTACTTTCTGTGCACCATTTAGTTGCTGCTGGTTCTAGTTAATAATCCTGCCTGACAAACCATCCCAAAATTTAGAGACATAAAACTGATATTTCATTATGGTCATGGAATCTGTGGGTCATAAGTTTGGATGATACTCAGCAGGGATAACATGTCTCTGCCCCACCGTGTCTGGGAAGACTTGAAACTGAGGGTAACTCACAGGAGTCACCTAGAGGCTTCTTCACTCATGTACGTAGGATAAGGAATGAGCTGACTTGAGGGCTGGATGCAGCAGGGACTGCCCACTGGAGCACATCCATGTGGCCTCTCCACATGCCTTGGGCTTTTTGCAGCAAGGGGGCTAGATCGTGAGAGTGAGATTTCCCGGGGAACTGGGGGAAGCCACGTGCCTCTTGTGGTCTAGCTCCAGAAGTAAGGTAGCTTTACTTCTTTGAACTGTATTCTTTTTGATGGGGGAGAAAGGCAAAGAGTCTGTGGCCATGTTTTAGAAAGTCATGCAGCCACAGGCAGCTGCATTTTCAGGAGCTGGGGGCCAGACTCAATTCACAGCCAACAGAGGGAGGTGAAGCCAGATGTGGAGGAGATTGCCTGGGAATATTGCAGAAAATGAAAAGAGGGCCAAGGATGGGGCCCTGCCGACATGGTGATTCACAGGAAAGGCTAATGGAATGAATAACTCATTCAATAACATGACTTTGTATAGCTAATTCTCCAGGTCAGTGATTGTTTAGTCAGGCCCAAGTAAGAGGTTCTCAGTTGGCTGAGCCTCTAGTGACCTTTTGGGGTCAGACAGGGAACCTTAGAATTCTGCTTCTCAAACCTTAATGTGCACAAGAACCACTTCAGGAGGCTTATTCTAAATATAAACTCCTGAACCCCTTTTCCAAGAAATTCTCATTCAGTAGACGTTGAGATCTGAATGTTTTCGTCCCACTCCAATTCATATGTTTAGACCTAATTCCCAGTGCAATAATATTAATGTGGAGCTTTTAGGAGTTGAGGAAATCGTGAAGGCGGAATGGAATTACTTCCCTTATAAATGAGGCCCAAGGAAGTTCATTTACCCCTTCCCGGTGTGAGGACACAGCTAGAAGGTGCCATCTATGAAGCAGAGAACAGGTATTCACCAGACACCAAATAAGTTGGCCTCTTGACCTGGGACTTCCCAGCCTCCAGAACTGTTGGCAGTACATTTCTGTTGTTTAGAAATTACCCAGTCTAAGGTATTTTGTTAGAGAAGCACAAACAGACTGAAACAGTAGACCTGCAGTGCAGTCCAGGAATCTGCCTGTTTAAAACAAGTCCCTCCTATCATGACTGTAGAGGCTGGGCCGACCACACTCACAGACAGTCCCGTCCTCAGCCACCCATGCATAAATCCCAAAGAGACAAGGCAGTCTTTTTGCTAAGATGTTCTGGCTTCAGGTCCTTGCTCTGCTGCTTTGCAGCCACCTGACTTCTGACGGTTTCCCTCTCTGACATCAATGTTCTCATCAGTACAATGAGAAAGTTGAGTTACAGCAGTATTTTCCAACTAGCCTCTATGGAACCTGAGGGGTTCCACGTTGGACACCTATCTGCATCAATCAATTTAGCTCATATTCATTGAATGTTTGCTGGATGTCAGTCCCTGGACTAGGTGGTGGGCATGAAGTGGCATACCAGATGGGCACTGTGTGTTCTTCAGAGGGCTGACGTTGTAGGAGAAAAGGCCAGGAATTACAAAATCAATGAATAATTATCATTATGGGGCTGGGTGCAGTGGCACATGCCTGTAATCCTAGCACTTTGGGAGGCTGAGGCAGGTGGATCGCCTGAGGTCAGGAGTTCGAGACCAGCCTGGTCAACATGGTGAAACCCCATCGTTACAAAATACAAACATTAGCCAGGCACAGTGGCAGGCATCTCTAATCCCAGCTACTCAGGAGGCTGTGGCAGGAGAATTGCTTGAACCTGGGAGGCAGAGGGGGCAGTGAGCTAAGATTGTGCCACTGCACTCCAGCCTGGGTGACTCTGTCTCAAAATAATAATAATCATCATCATTATGAAAGATGCTTCAAAGGAGAAGCACTAGGTGCTGTGAGAAAAGGTAAGAAAGGTAAGAGACAACGAATGTCTTCATTCATTTCTGCTGCTATAACGAAAGTATCCTAGACTGGGTCATTTATAAACAACATAAATTTATTTTTCACAGTTCTGGAGGCTGCAAAGTACAAGATCAAGGCAATGACAAACTCATTGTCTGGCAAGGGCCTGCTTTCTGGATCATGGATGGTGTCATATAGGTGTCCTCACATGGTGGAAGAGATGAGACAGACTCTGTGTCCTCATACGGTGTAAGGGACATAGGGACACACTCACTCCCTAAAGTCCTTTTGTAAGGGCATTGATCCCATCCAGGAGGTGCCATCTTCACAGCCTATTCACCTCCCAGAGACCCTACCTTATAATACCATCACCTTGGGTTTCAAGTTCCGACACATGAAATTTACTGGGACACACACAGCACAAAGCACAGCAGCAAAGATAGCTGAAATTGTGTGTCTGTGTGTGTGTGTGTGTGTGTGTGTGTGTGCTTCTGCTTGGGTTGCCATTTGGACAAACTGTTCTCAGGATGGAAAACACTGGCTTAGGTGCTCTCTAAGGGCCCTTGCAACTGGAAACCTTGCAACTGGTAAAATCATAGAAGGACATTATAGTCCTATGATTTTACCTGTAAGTACAGTCATTTAGTCAGAATGCAATTACTGGATTTTACATCTGTCTAAGACCCCAAGGTTACCACCTTCATTCTTGAAAATAAATTATGGGGCTCTTTAGGGATCAAAAATGTTCTATATCATACTTTGATGGCATTCAAAACTTAGCACTTTAACCTGAGAGATTGAGTGAGAGATCAGAAAAGGAAAACTGAAATGCAGCCCTGCTTGGCACCGGAAGCTGCAGAGCACAGAGGATGGGGATGAGGACTCTGGGCTCAGACATGTGTTGTTGAGCAGCTCACCAGATGTGCTGGCCAAGTGATTTACATTTCTTTTTTTTTTTGAGATGGAGTCTCCCACTGTTACCCAGGCTGGAGGGCAGTGGCATGATCTCGGCTCACTGAAACCTCTCCCTCCTGGGTTCAAGCAATTCTCCTGCCTCAGCCTCCTGAGTAGCTAGAATTACAGGCATGCACCATCATGCCTGGCTAATTTTTGTATTTTTAGTAGAGATAGGGTTTCACCATGTTGGTCAGGCTGGTCTCAAACTCCTGACCTCAGATGATCCAGCTGCCTCGGTCTCCCAAAGTGCTGGGATTATAGGCATGAACCACCATGCCCCGCCAACTGATTTACATTTCTTTCTTTTTTTTTTTTTTTTTGAGATAGAGTTTCACTCTGTCACCCAGGCTGGAGTGCAGTGGTCTAATCTTGGCTCACTGCAACTTCTGCCTCCTGGACTCAGTTGATTCTCCCGCCCCAGCCTCATGAGTAGCTGGGATTACAGGCATGCTCCACCACGCTCAGTTAATTTGTGTATTTTTAGTGGAGATGGGGTTTCACCATGTTGTCCAGGCTGGTCTGGAGCTCCTGACCTCAAGTGATCTACCCACCTAAGCCTCCCAAAATGCTGGTATTACAGGCGTGAGTCACCGTGTCCAGCGGTGATTTATATTTCTGAGTCTTCAGATTTACAACTGCAGAATGGGCATCTGGTACTGGCCTCAGTCATTTTAAGAAAGATTACATAGAAAAAGTTACTAGCTCAGTGCCAGATAGTAAGCACTCAATAAGTGATGGTTATTACTAATTTTAGCATCTTTCTTACATGTGCTATGCTTGTCAGCATATCTGCAAATGTTTTATAAAGGAGAATGGAAAATTACATCGTTTGAGAGTTGCCCAGTATCAGAAATCTGTCAGGCCAACTGCATCTCTCTGGGGAAGAAAGCCCTGTAATTCTTTTTAACAATATGTGCCCAGCCGGATGCCATGGCCCATGCCTGTAATCCCAGCACTTTGGGAGGCCGAGGTGGGTGGATCACGAGATCAGGAGATCGAGACCATCCTGGCTAACACGGTGAAATCCTGTCTCTACTAAAAATACAAAAATTAGCTGGGCATGGTGGTGCACACCTGTAGTCCCAGCTACTCGGGAGGCTGAGGCAGGAGAATCATTGAACCCGGGAGGTGGAGGTTGCAGTGAGCTGAGATCACGCTACTGCACTCCAGCCTGGTGACAGAGTGAGACTCCATTTCCAAAAAAAAAAAAAAAAAAAAAAAAAAAACCACAAAAAACAAAAAACAGAACAAAACAAAAAAACCAATATGTGCCCATGGTGATAGCCTTAAAATTTTGAGCTTGTTCCCTCCCTTTATTTTTTGCAAGGGAGAGCAGGTTATTTTTTCCCAGTTGAAACCAAGCATGAGTATCCAAATTTGGGATATAAGATTTCCATGCTCAAAAAGAATGAAGTTGACACCCATATATGTTGTTGAAACATAAAAGGGGGTCAGGCGCAGTGGCTCACACCTGTAATCCCAGCACTGTGGAAGGCTGAGGTGGGCAGATCACTTGAGGCCAGGAGTTTAAGACTAGCCTGGCCAACATGGTAAAACCCTGTCTCTACTAAAAATACAAAAATGAGCCGGGCATGGTGGTGCGGGCCTGTAGTCTCAGCTATTCAGGAGGCTGAGGCAGTAGAATTGCTTGAACCTGGGAGGTGGAGGTTGCAGCGAGCCAAGGTCACGCCACTGCACTCCAACCTAGGTGACAGAGTGAGACCCCGTCTTAAGAAAAAAAAAAAAGAAAAAGAAAAGAGGTCTGGAAAAAATTTTATGTGGATATCTTGCAGTTTAATAGGTTAACTTTCTTTGAGACTAAACCTTCAAATCTTTTCCTTTTCCTTTTTTTTTTTTTTTTTTTTGATAATTAAAACCATACAGAGAACGTCCAAGCTAAGGAGTACTTCTATCACTTAATGGTTTGTGGAATGAAGCTGCCTGTAGGAACTTGGGCGAGATGTTTAGCCTTAGCTTTCTTTTTTTCTTTTTTTTGAGATGGAGTTTTGCTCTTTTTGCCCAGGCTGGAGTGCAATGGCACCATCTCGGCTCACTGCAACCTCTGCCTTCCGGGTTCAAGCGATTCTCCTGCCTCAGCCTCCCAAGTAGCTGGAATTACAGGTGCCCACTGCCACACCCAACTAATTGTGTATTTTTATTAGAGACGGGGTTTCACTATGTTGGCCAGGCTGTTCTCAAACTCCTGACCTCAGGTTATCTGCCTGCCTCAGCCTCCCAGAGTGCTGGGATTATAGGTGTGAGACACCGCGCATGGCCTGCCTTAGCTTTCTTGTCTTTAAAATGGGAATGATGCTAGAATGAATCTTCTAAGACTGTTGCAAAATTCAGTAAGGTGATGTATTAAATGAGCCAGATGCAAAGTAAGTGCTCAGTAAGTTAGCCAACTTACTAAAAATAGCTATTACTATTTTTTGGTGTATGATTTACCAAATATTCTGGTGTTGACTTACAAATTTTGAACTGCAAACTCATACAAAATATAAAATAATGTTAGCTTCTTGCCTTGAATGATCTGCATTTAATGATTCTGGAGGCAGCTAAATCGACCTTGAAGTTACCTTGGGAGCTATGTTCCCAGTTTTAGGAGATGTGATATCCTGCCACTGATTTTGGATACCAATAAGGTAAAACCGTTTAAGTCATTAAGGTGCCTTAGGACTGTGTTCTATGGCCAGACATGGGGAGAAGGCTGAATTGTATCAAGCAGTCAAACAGCTCACTAGTGAACAATCCTGTGGGGAGTGGGAGAATTTCATCTCTACAAATCATGTGATAGTGTCTGCAGCCATTAGGATTAAGTTTTGCTGCAGAAAATTCAAAATAAGAGTGTCTTAATTAGATAGAAGTTAATTTATTCCTTTTATAAGTCTTGGTAAACAAGGCTGGTATGGCATTCTACAGTTCCAGGGACTCAGGGTTCATCCACCTTGTTGTTTTGCAATAGTAAATAATAAATACTATTCATCCCCAAGTTTACCTCATAGTCCAAAGTTGGCTGCTGTAGCTCCAGCAATCAAATCTTTATTCCAGGCAGAAAGAGAGAGAAGAACATGATCTTTACCTTTCATGGCATTTTTTACAGATTGCTCACAACACTACTTCTTACATTTCACCCCTCAGTCTTCTCCTAGTTGCCTAGTTGCAAGCAATGCTGGTATATCTAGCCTTTATCCCAGGAACATATGTGCCGAGGAGTACTGGCATTTAGGGGACAATTAGCAGTCTGTGCTTCAGGGTAAAAGGGGTTAGATTACTAAACTTAGATCAGGGCCAATGGTGCAAAAACTAGTTTCATCTATAATGTGTGGACTTGGAGTTTCTTGTTGCCTTAGTAACTAGAAGTAACTAGAGAGAAGACTGAATATGCCCAACTGTGATGAAGAAAAAGTTGTTCTTACACCTTAGACCTTGTATTCTAGCAGAAAATCTCAGCCTGATAGATCATGAGTTCAGAATGAAACTTTCTTGTGATATTAAACACAGCTTGTTTATCTTTTCACGCCGGAAAAGTTTAGGATTAATTATATAGAGAGATTAGAAAGTAAATCACAGAAATAACACTGTGCAGGAAATCAGCTTATGTTTGGTATTTGAGTTCTGTATAATTTTTTTAGAAAAGTTTTTGACATATTAGAGACAAATTAATCTTACAGTGGCCATTTAAAATGTAACTGAGTAGTAATTTGATTTAGACATGCTTTTTCATTGAAAAAAATTCAGGAAAATGTTAGAAAAATTACTATGTTTGTTTAAAAGAACTCAAGAGTCCTTCTACCTGTAAGCTTAGTTATTACTTTACCAGATTTTCACCGGGCGCACGCATGCCTGTAATCCCAGCACTTTGGGAGTCTGACGCGGGCGGATCATCTGAGGTCAGGAGTTCGAGATCAGCCTGGTCAACATGGTGGAACCCCGTCTCTACTAAATATACAAAAATTAGGCAGGCATGGTGGCTTGCATCCGTAGCTACTCAGGAGGCTGAGGCACGATAATTGCTTGGACCCAGGAGGCAGAGGTTGCAGTGAGCCGAGATTGTGCCACTGCACTCCAGCCTGGGTGAGAGAGTGAGATTTTGTCTCACTCTGTCTGCCAGGCTGGAGTGCAGTGGTGCAAACAAGGCTCACCAAAGCCTTGAACTCCTGGGCTCAAGTGATCCTCCCACCTCAGCCTCCTGAGTAACTGGGATCACAGGTGAGTGCCATTGTGCCCAGCTAATTTTGTAGAATTTTTTGTAGATGTGGGTCTTACCAAGTTGCCCAGACTGGTCTTGAACTCATGGGCTCAAGCATTCCTCCCACCTCAACCTCCTAAAGTGCTGGAATTATAGGCATGAGCCACTGTGCCTATCTGCTGTACCAGATGTTTTGGCTACCTTTGCTTGTTACATCATTTTAAACGTTGGGGGCAATTTAATGAATTTAGTTGTTACCTGAACTCACCGCGTAAAGTTTATTTCAACATTGACCAAGAGACCTCTTGCAAGTAATGGTTAAAGCATCATCTATGTTTAAATGAATTTGCAAATTGAAGTTAAAACCTGAGGAAAAGTGGATTTCATGTTAATACATTTTTAGAAACCAACCTTAAATATTTTTTCTGTGTGTAAAAGCTGCCCTCATAGATAATAACATATTTAAACTCACACTGACAACTTCACTTTTATCTTTATTTGTTTATAAACAAACTAAAAGGGCTCTGGGGATAATTTCTTTATTGTCTATTAGGGGAACTCTTATTTGTTTATTTGTTTGTTGTTCCAAGATAAATCTAGGCTGGCTCACACCTGTAATCCCAGCACTTTGGGAGGCCGAGGCAGGTGGATCATCTGAGGTCAGGAGTTCGAGACCCACCTGGCCAACATGGTGAAACCCCATCTGTACTAAAAATACAAAAATTAGCCGGGAGTAGTGGCGAGTGCTTGTAGTCTCAGCTACTCAGGAGGCTGAGGCAGGAGAATCACTTTAACCTAGGTAGTGGAGGTTGCAGTGAGCCAAGATTGCACCACTGCACTCCATTCTGGGCAACAGAGCAAGACTGCATCTCAAAAAATTAAATAAATAAGGTAAATCTAATGTGAAATCTTGCGTTTGGCCTTTGTTTTGAGAAGTGACCCTCCCCCATTCCAAGTCATTTGGGAAACCTGTCAGGCAAGAGACTCCCCTTCCTCAGTTGCAGGGTGGCAGGTGTCCCCAGCCAGGTATATCCTCCGTGCCACTTCCTTGAAGAGCCTGTGCTTTATTTCCTTCTACCTAGATCACTAGCCTTTACCTTCTTGCTTCCAGTTTTTAGCATAGTAGTAAGAAGTATTGATTCAGAAACCAGATTCTGTGTGTTCAAATCACATCTCTGATGCTTCTTCACTGTGTGACCTTGGGTTTGTTACTTAACTTCTCTGAGTCTCAGTTTTCTCATCTATAAAATCAGGATCATAATAGTATCCTCTGTCTAGTATTTTTGTAAGAGTAAGTTAATACATGTAAAACTCTTAGAATAACAACTGCTACACAGGAGATGTATTATTATTATTATTGTTATTATTATTGTTATTATTATTTATCATTACCATTTTTATTATTAAGACCTAGTTGCTGAGGTTTTCTTTCAATTTTGTAAATGTCTTTTTGCCTCTTTTTTAAACTAGGGTTGGTTTCTTTTCCTTGTAAGCAAAGTCTTCTGGGTGTAGCAAGCCTAGTGTAAAAGAAGGTGTCCTCAGTGCAGGAAGAGAAAGCCCTGGCCTCACCTCATTGACCTCCCTTTACCTGCTGCAGTTTAAGATCACGGATCAGGGGCCACCAACTAACACAGTTCAAGACCCACTGCCTTCAATTATGATAAGAGATCCTTCTTGGTTTAGAGGCTCTGACTTCTTTCTCCAGTTACCTCTGTGGGCCTGGGCCACAGGGTCATGTGCAGAAGAGTGACTTCGCACTTTGGACAAATAGCCAAGGAGGACCTATGATGTTCACAAGAATCGCTGATTAAAACAAGGAACTAAACTCGTAATTTTACAATACATTCAACAAGGCCAATTTAAAATGAAGGAAGGGGGAGAGAAGGAGAACAGCACCAGCACCATCACCTCCTCCTCCGGACTACCTAGCTGTGACGCAATCACAGCTCATTGCAGCCTCAACCTCCCAGGATGAAACGATCCTCCCACCTTAGCCTCCCCAGTAGCTGGGACCACAGCTAGGTGTTGTAGTTTAACATGTTCTTCTATGACCCCTCTCATCTGTGGACTGAAGGTGACAACTCCTCAGCAGGATGCTCACAGACCTCCACGGACTGCCCTTGCCACCTCTCCACTTCAAATCTTTCTCCTCTTCTCTCCTCCCATCAGATTTCATGTTCCAGCAACACCAGCCTCCTACTACATCCTATCGATTCCATGTTCTCTCATGCCTCCATACCTTATGCATTTCCTTTCCTTCTTGCTCTCTTGGCCATTTGGCAATACCTACTTCTCCTCAAGCCTCAGCTTCCATGCTATTTTTCCTGGAAACTGTCCCCAACTTCCCCAGGCCTGCCATTGAATTGCTTCCTCTACAGCCCATTTGCACCTGGTACATAACTCCGTTTTTACAAGCAGTAGAAGTGACCTCCTTGAGAACAGACTGTCAACCTAGTCCCTGACACAGACCCAGTGGTCTTGAATATTTCCCAAATGTAATCTTCCCCAGACCACACTGTTCCTCTCTGACATGCTTTTCTTTCCTGGGCCTGGCTGGTAGATCATTATTCTAGCTGGGTTGGTTATTGGTGTAAGTATTGGTTTGATTTCTGCATCTCCTCTTAAAGGGATGCTCCATGAGGACACAGCCTGTCTTATTTATTTTTTTTAATAGCTGGTTCCCCGGTGCCTAACGTGAGTGACTTAAGAAGATGCTCAAATGAAGCTGATTTAAATAGAATAACAAATTTATCCACTCACATATTTGCATATCTCTGTAAATGCAGGCCCACTGTGGCCTTAAATAAAAAGGCAATCTCAGCCAAATAGATGGGCTGTCATGTTCTGCTCGCCCCAACGTGAGGGACTGTCTGAGCTTTCCCTGGAAGCAGAAGCCTGTTACTTGAAATCTGTAGATGCCAGGGTTTGGTGTCAAGGTGAAATGATTCTGATACCCGTGAGCAATGTATCTGGTACTGTGATACCAAGGTGAAAAGAAAGCTTGTCAATGTCACCCTGGGGACAGTGTGACAGTGTCAAAACAAAATCATGGCAAATGCCGTTAGCTTGGACTGAAGGAACATGATAGGATGCGCACAGAAACGGGACCCAAGACAGAGAGACGACATTATGGGTGCGCGGCTCTCTTGCTCAGTCCCTGCACCCATGACCTCTCAGCATCTTCCCCTTCTAAACCGACAGACGAAGTCAAAGGCTCTGAAATTCTCCAATGGCGGTTCTTCTATGAAGGTGACAAAAGAAACCATAGATTGTTTATTTTATGCAATTGTTTCTTTAATAAAATATGAAGTGTTTTATGATAACAGACAGCATCTTGCAAAAAAAAAAAAACTAATTAAAAAATTCACTTCTTTATCCAAAATTGTTAGGGAAGCTGCAACAGCCACATGGGGTCCTGGGCTGGGTACCCACAATGTGCCAGATTTAACACGCAGCCTGGCAGGCAGGGAAACAAGCAAGTGGATTCTAATCCAAATAGCATTTTCTTTTTTCTTGAGACAGGGTCTTGCTCTGTCATGTGGGCAGATATGCAGTGGTTCAGTCATGACTACAGCCTCCAACTGCTGGGCTCAGGCAATCTTCCTGCCTCGGCCTCCTGAGTAGCTGGGACCACAGGCATTGCCACCATGCCCAGCTCATTTTTGTGCTTGATGTAGAGATGAGTTCTCCCTATGTTGTCCATGTATTGGTTGGTCTCAAACTTCTGGCCTCAAGGGATCCTCCTGTCTCAGCATCCCAAAGTGCTGATCTTACAGCCATGAGCCACTACACCTAGCCTGTGTGTTATTCTTTATTCAGACCTTTATAATGCAGCACAAGTATGAATCCATCTCATTTCACACATCTGCCCCAGACCATTTGTGTTTTTATAATTGTGATTTGTCAAATATGCAGAAGGATACCCCTTCCATAATCTAAAAATTGCCAAGAATGCAACCAGCCTTGCTATTTACATCTTCAACACCAAAGCTTAGGTATCTCCAGTCTTACTTAATCAGTGGGTTCTGTACTGCAAAGAAGGGCTTTTGACTCAACCAGATCCAAGTTTATATCCTAACCCTTCAGTTCACTCTGCACCATGGACAAGCCACTTCACCTCTCTGATCCTCCTTTTTCTCATCTGTAAATTACAGGAGAACGCACCACAATGTCACAGAGCTCTTGCGAGGATTAATTATAGTATAATATTTCCAACATTGAGACCATATATATAAGCTCTTCAGAATATTCCTGTGCCACAAAGGGGCCGAATTCATGTTAGTGCCTGGGTTATCCTTAGAATATCAAGGGTCAGAACTGCCAGATACTTGAACATTACTAATTCAGATCTGTCATTTTATTGCTGAAGAAACTGTGGCCCAGAGAAACTCACTGACTTCCTCAGAGTCCTGCCTATAAATTCAAGGGAGTTGTTTGTTGATTTGTACATTTAATGAAGACGTAGATAATACTTACAGTGTATCAGACAGTGTTCTAGGTGCTTTACAGATATTAGCACTTTTTAAATGCACAAAACCCCTATGACATTTAGGGTTATTATTGACACCTTGCTGATGAGGAAACTGAAGGTTAAGTAACTTGCTCAATTACAGGTTTGTAATTATTAAGAGGGATGCAAACCCAGGCAGTTGGTTCCAAATTCCGTGCGTTGAACTGGTTTCCACTCCTGTAATACTCACCATACCTCTTCAATATCCATCGACAGCCAAAGGCTCTCTTTTTCTCTCTCCTTCACCTTTCTTCCCTTCCTCTCTCTCTTTAGCCATCCCAATTAATGAGAGTAGAAATTACTTTGTTTTAGAATCTGTCTCAGCCTGGCTTTCCCAGAAAGCTGAGGCTAATGAAAACCTGACATGCTGCTACTTTACCAGAGAGAATGATCCCAGAGAAGCTGGAGAGAGAGAGAGAAGGAGGTAGGCAGGGAAGGAAGGGGACAAATGAGAGGTCGTGTTACCAAGCTGGCCACATTTGGTGCCAAGTGCACTGAGTGTTCTATCTCCTGGACTGTCTTCCAGGATGCTTAGGGACTACAGCACCTCGGAACAGACTGTGAAGGTGGGAGGAGGGAGGGAGCAGAATGTCTGTACTATTTCCCATCAGCCCTACTTCCCATCAGCCCACGGTTCTCCCCATGGACATTACCTTTCCTGCCCTGTCCAGGGTACTGGTGCACAGCCATGGCTGGGGGATGGGTGTCTCCCACTTCAGCAACCACAGAGAGATGGACCCCTTGAGAAGACTGTCATGGTAGTGGTGGGGGCGGGGGCCTGAGCCCATGCAGAGTTGGGGTGGAACAGCAACAGCTGGGGTGGCCAGGGTAGCGAGACAGGAGAAGCTGTGAGGAGCTGAGGGGACTCCTGGGGGAAGAGGGGGTCTGTTCCACCTGCCCTGTAGAGTGCAGAATCCTCTCGACATTCAGATCTGGCCAGGAGTTTTCAGTCCAGTGTATTCTCCTCATTCCAGTCATATCCTTAGGCTAATTGTCTGTAATTTGAGATGCATCTCTTAATTTCTATCACTTTTCCATTTATTACATGAAACAGTAAAAAGATCCAGTAAGAACATGAATTGGAAAGGGACATGTCCAAGATTACACAACTGGTGGTAGAGCCAAAAGAAAAATCTAGCTGTTCCAGGGACCTGAGATAGTTTTCAAGCAGCATTTCAGAGTAAGAAACTTTTGACTGTCTCCAAGCCCACAGCTGAAGGAGCCCACAGGACAAACCACATGAGCCCATTTGCAAACAGACATTCACTCCCTCACATCCCTCCTGCACATCTGGAAGTACAAGCTCACAGTGAGTCAAGAAAATGACTTTTCTTTGTTCTCTAACATCTGAGCTGTCAAAAAAGGTTTTATACATTTATTTATTTATTTATTTATTTATTTGGACACAGTCTCACTCTGTTGCCCAGGCTGGTGTGCAGTGACACAATCACAGCTCACTGCAGCCTCAACCTCCCTGAAACAATCCTCCCACTTTAGCTTCTTCAATAACTGGGACCACAGGTGTGCACCACCACGCTGATATTTTTTTATAGAGATGGGGTCTCCCTGTGTTGTCCAGGCTGATCTTAAGCTCCTGGTCTCAAGCTATCCTCCTGCCTTGGTCTCCCTACATGCTGGGATTATAAGCATAAGCCACCTCACCTGGCCATGCACTCAATTTATAACCCAATGTCCCTGCTTGAAGATGGGATCAGTGGATAATAAACACACCCCTGCTTTGCCTTACTGTGAAAGAGGTTAACTAATTATTCAATATATTTGGTAATTTTTGATAAAATGTATTATAAGAATAATAGTCGTTTTTTAAGTGCTTCTTAGTTCCCAGAGACCGTGCTGTATATCCATCAGAATGGTTAGCAATTTTTATGCAATTCTTATATTCCAAGCATTTCTCAATGTGGGGCGACATGTATGACCCATGCAACCTTCCAGACAGTCCTGGGAGACAGATTTGGTCGTGAATATCTCTATTTTACAGAGGAGGTAAATGAGGACAGAGAAGTTCAGTAACTTGCCCCACATCACACGACTGGTGGGAGGTGGAACTGTGATTACAGACCAGGCATTTATTCTAGAATTTACCTTCTATACTTCTCCTCATTGCTTTTTAAGGCTCATGAGGATCCAAATTTGGCCCCTGTGCTGCCAAGTTGCAATCTTGCCTGAAGGACAAAGTGCAAACTCTTTGTAGAATATACTACCCAGCCAGCCTCCCCAACCCCACCACCCCGTTTACCCTCTGCTCCCCCTGCCTGTGTCAGGAAAAGTACAATCCAACTCCTGAACCTGCTACATTCTAAGTCCATGACCCTGAACAGTCATTTTCACCTCTCTGAGGCTCCGTCTCCTTATCTGCAGAAGGAGGAAAATCCCTTTCTTTAAGAGGGTCTTTCGAAGAGCGACAGGCATTGTGTGGATAACCCCTAACTCAGTTCCAGGAACACAGAGGCGTTTAGCCAATACCTGTTTTCTTCCCTTTCCTCTTCTGAACTTCTGAACTTGCAGTGAGATTACTTTGTTGTAACGTATCTGCCTTCCAAATGCCCCCAGCCAAAATGCTTCTCTGCACTTTGCACATGCCAGGAGAGTCAGCACACTCTTATATTTATCAGGTCGTGTGTCCGTCCTTTTCTAGGGTTATTTAAGGTGAGGCTTCTGGTTTTACCCCTTTGTGACTGACTGCCCCATACCCAACATAGTTTCCGATAGATACAGAACTTAATAGCTAATGCCTGTTGAATGAAGTAGGAAACAACTGAAGACAATATGTTCTGGTCCATAATAGCAGCTCAGTAATTACTTGGTGGCTGGGATTTGACTCGATTAGATGTGAGCATGCCTGGATTGATCTCTAGGAGAACACAGTTGAGATGGATTGTTTTTTAGCTTTTCCTTGCTCAGTTCAACAAACATGGTATTACCAACCACAATGAGGCTGAAGCCGGCACAGGCAGGGGCTGATGAAAGACACGCAGCCCTGCCCTAATTTCTACACTTATTGTACCAGTTCTTCCAAACCCCTGCACAAATTAGCCACTTGAGGAGCATTTTAAATGAATACACATTTGTCCATGTCCTTTGACCAGACTAACAGCTCAGCAGAAAAAACAACCAGGCAGTCTCTAAGATAAAAGGGATTTGGGGACGGGCGCAGTGGCTCACGCCTGTAATCCCAACACTTTGGCAGGCCAAGGCAGGCGGATTACCTGAGGTCGGGAGTTTGAGACCAGCCTGATCAACATGAAGAAACACTGTCTCTACTAAAAATACAAAATTAGCTGGGCGTGGTGGCCCATGCCTATAATCCCAGCTACTCAGGAGGCTGAGGCAGGAGAATTGCTTGAACCCGGGAGGTGGAGGTTGCAGTGAGTGGAGATCACGCCATTGCACTCTAGCCTGGGCAACAAGAGCAAAACTCCGTCCCCCCGCCCCCCAAAAAAGGGATTTGGGGTGTTTACTTTCTGCATTAACCTCTCTCTCTCCTCTCTCTCTTTCTCTCCTTTCTCTCTCTCTCTCTCTCTCTCACACACGACACACACACACAACACACACAGTGGTTTTCCAGGTTTAAGAGTGAATGATCTCATTTTCTCTCTCTCTCTCTCACACACGCACACATACACACACACATAACACACACAGTGGTTTTCCAGGTTTAACAGTGAATGATCTCATTTTAAGTAGCATGGAAACAGTAGGCCTGCCTCGGCCTTCCACCTAAGGTTTTTAAACAGTTTTATGACAGCTTAACAAAGGTGTGCAATGGAGTATTTTACACTAAGCAGGAAGAAGGGGCCATGCCCGTCCTTCCATGATGTGTTCAAGCAGCTGGCACAAGGAGAAGTGAGACATGAAGACTCTTTAGATGGAGTGCACCTTCTTGTTCCAACAGCCAGCCTGTCATCCCACTCATGAGCAGACAAAGGCATCCACATCAATTAGCATGATGAGCAAGTGTGGCAGGGAGGGGGAGGAAGGTGACAGAGGCTGATGTGCCCCCTCCATTGTGACCAATGGTGGACAGATGATTCCATGGAATCGAACTTAACTTGAATCACTTTCAGGTAAAGAAGTAGACTTTCCAGCAGACTGTCTGAGCTTGTGTGTTCAAGTGGCAGAACTGAGTCCCCTCCTCTATGAAGCTGTCAATCATTCCACACAGGAGTGCATGGCGATGGGAACAGACAATGCATGAAATGGCCTATGGTAGAAAGGTACATGGCAGGGACCTTTCTCCTTTGCATGACTGATACAGCATGCACAAATCTTCAGTGGAGAGCTCAATGCATTTTAACACGTGTCTGTATCTACATAAAGAAATGTCACCTCAATCACATTATGCAACATTCCCAGCACCCTACACTGCTCCACTCTAGCAGTTCTGAGCTCAAGTGATCCACCTCGGCCTCCCAAAGTGCTGGGATTACAGATGTGAGTCACTGCACCCAGACACTCTTGGAATTCTTAATGTAAGTGACCCTCTCTTTTTTCCCTTTCCGTCCTCTCGCCAATAAACATTACCCCCGTCACTTATACTCTCTTTTTCTAACTCCTCACTTACAGGGATACAAAAGACCTTAACATGTAGCACTATATTAGAAAATAGAAGTTGACTAGAAAATTACCGCAATGTATTGCTACTCTTGCGGCTATTGTTATTTTCACCAGGCCTGTGTTGAATATAGTCATGAATACGATGATTGCTGTTTATAAAGAACTTGGAACTCTTCCGACCCCAAGGAATTTGAGTTTCCAAGGAGTCATAAAGACATGACACCATCTTGTGGCCCAGTCATTGTTTGTGACGCTGAGGACTGAGCCCTGGAGTCAGCTCTCCCTGTCCTATTTCCTGCATTTCTAGGAACCCCCTCAGAGGCTGCAGGGCTGGGAGGGAGGACTGCCACAAGTAAGGGTTCTTTGAGTGGTGCCACTAAAAAACCGTGGGGCCTTGAACAGGTTGGTTTGCCTCCTGGAGCCTCAGCCTTCTCATCTGTAAAACAGAGGGAGCAATGTTTGCTTTGCTTTTATTGGTGTGCTTTAAAGGTAAGATGCCGTATTGCTCCAGACCCTTTAGGCTTGGCTCCCTCTAAATCCTCAGTCAGAGAGTCTGAGCATCGCTGGCTTACATAAATTCTTCAGGCATTTAGGAAAAGGTGCATCTGCTGGGCAGTGCTCAACTTGGGATGCGGTGGCTACTTTTGGAGAAAAAAAGTCCCACTTGCTTTGGGCAGGTGTAGCGCTGCACCCACCAGGGCACACAATTTGATCACAAGAGGGTGGGCTGGGTTTTGCCCTTACTCATTGTCCCCTTTGTGTGGTGAGCAACCTGCAGAACTGTTTGCAATGGTCCTGCACAGAGTTGGCTGTTGCCTCGGTATATTTGCATTTTTTGAGTCCTTGCTCTGACTGTGCCACTTTAAGATCCAGATCAGATGGAACCCTGTTGGTAAAGTCTTCTTGACTGTGCCTGGCAAGCTCTGTTGGAGGGCCTCCCCATCTGCCGGCCCCTCCAGCTTCCCTGATGGCTGCACATGCCTCTGCCCTGCTGTGGTGGACTTCTGCTCCATGCTTCTCCTCATCATCTCACCAGCTTGTGAGGATGAAGAATGTGCCTGCTGCTTCTTTATGTTTCCTTTTATACCAAGCACAGCACCTGGCTTTTGATCATGCTCAGAAAATATCAGAGAGATGAAGGAAGGAAGGAAGGGAGGGAGGGAGACAGGGAGAAAAGGAGGAGGGAAGGAAAGAAGGGATAGAGGGAGAGAGAAAAGAGAAAAAAGAGACCCCAGTGGACTCGCCCATGCTTCTTCTATCACATTTGAGCTGTAGGGTGTGATGCATGGGCCTGATCTCTGCAGCCTGTTCTCCACCCACTAGCTTGACCTTGAAGGGCAGGGAGTAGATCTTCCTCATCTTTGCATTCTCTTAGCACTTGGGACCACACCTAGCATGTGCATGGGGCCCCACCACTGATAAATTGAGTTGAGATCAATGGGGTTGAGGAAGTAAGCTGCAAAGCCTACTCTCCATACCCTATTTGTCTTCCAGCATCCCAACACGCGCCCCAGACAGCATCGGGGCAGCCCACACTGGCAGCAGACCCCAGTTCTCTCCCTGCTCTTAGCTCCTGCCTTGACCCAGACAGACCATTTTCACTTTGGACCTGCCTGACCTCAGCCTCCCTGACAAGGCCACAGGCTTGGATCTCCTTCCGTGTGTAAAGTGGTCCCTTGGCATTTGTGGATATTCCTTTGTAGGTTTTGACTCTTTGTAGAGTCATTTCAGAAGACCTACAATAAGGTAATTTGTTTACCGCACTGGTACTCAATCCAGGCTCAGCAGGTCCTTAGTTTTGTGACCCTGGTCAAGTTATTTATACTTCCTAGTGCTCAGTGTTTCTCATCTGCTGTAAAATGGGATGATAATGGGTATCTTATGGGATTAGTGTGAAGACTAAACGTTATCCATAAAGGCTCCCAACATGTGTGCCTGTGATATGGATGGGTCCTTCTTATGTTTATTCTGTAATTTGGAGTCAGCAATAATTTTCCGCAAAGGAAAGATAGTAATTTCGCCTTCGTTGCCCACATATGGTCTCTGCTGAATATATATATATGTATTCGTACATAAACAAATCTTTAGCCATGTAAAATTCATGTGGATCATTAAAATAGACATCTATGGCATGGGTCAATTTGGTTAGTGCACTGCTATTTGCCAACACTGCATATGTCATGTGTTAGAAATTGCATCAAGTGTTTAAAGGAGTCATTTATCTTTTTATTTTTTCAGTCGTCCTTTGTTGAATTTTATGCTGGAAGCACACTAACATTTTTTTAATTGTTTTGTTTTTAAAAGTTGAGAGATTCGTGGTATTTGTTGACACGATCCCTCAACGATTTACTGTCTAATGAAAATGCATGCTCCTCTTATTTAATATCTGTATGTGACAGACATTGACTTAGGTTGGGTGCTATAACAGAAACATCATAGATGGGGTGGCTTAAACAACAAACATTTATTTCTCACAGTTCTACAGGCTGTGAAGTCCAAGATGAAGATGCTGGCACATTTGGTGTCTGATGAGGGACTACGTCCTGGTTCATATGTCTTCTTTGCCCCTGTGTCCTTACGAGATGGAAAGCGCAGGAAAGCTCTCTGGGATCTCTTCTTATAAATGCACTAATGTCATTAATGAGGGCTCCACCCTCATGACCTAATCACCTCCCAAAGGCCCCACTATTTAATACCATTACTTTGGAGATTAGGATTTCAACATAAGAATTTGGGGGCAGGGCGTGAACATACAGTCCTTAACAGGCATAGTGTCCAGTATTTTACTTGCATTACCTAATTTAACCCTCAGAAGTTGGGATCATATCCTCATTTTATAGATGAGGCCAGAAAGGCTCAGAGAGAATGAGTAATTTACCCAATGTCACCTAATAAGAGGCAGAGCTGATCCCATGGTTGGTTCTGACCTACCAGCTGGCCCACCCTATTCCCCATCTAGATATGGGAGGAAGATGCTGTTCAGTATTTCCTGCTTAGATTCTGAGCCAGGCACCTCTTCTCTCTATGAGTCTCTAAGACCTGCAAAGCTGAGAACGAGAGTCTGAAAAGGAGCTTCATCAAGTCCAGAAAATCCTCAAAGAATAGAAGGCATCAAGGATTAAGCCAGTGCTGGATCCTAAAGTTGCCTAGAGAATCAGAGGCTGCACACAGCTGTCATGCCTGTGGGATGAGGGCAGGGAGCCAAGGCCACTGCAGGGGGCAGAGAGGACTTTGGAGGAGATGCCATTTGGGTTGTTGCATAAGATTCCATGTGGTTTAGGGTGAATGTAAGAGAAATTCAAATAAACCAGTGATAGCAGAAAGAAGAGGGGCATTTTATGTAATACATGTCAGAAATAATAACTAAATAAATACAGTACCAGAAGTGTAATATTGATCTCGTTGGGAGAGCAGAACATTTTGTCTTGCCAGAGGTACTGAGATCAGCCATTGGTTGATAAGCAAAGCACTTTATAAGCTCTTCTCTTCAGATGATATTTTTGAAAGTCTGGAGTAGTCTGTGGATGGATCAGGATGCTAAGCTCAATTATGATGATCACTGTTATTATTATCTTTATTTCTAAAAACAAAAGTTCTTAAAAGTCTAAAATGACACCCCATAGATGCATGCTTCCTAAAATGTGTGTGCACACAGATCACCCAGGGATCCTGTTAAATGCAGTTGCTTATTCAGTTGGCCTAGCGTGGACCTGATTCTGCATTTCTAACCAGCACCCAGGGCACACAAGGCAGCCGGTCCACAGATCACACTTTGAGTAATAAGGCTTTCTTTTTTTTTCTTTTTGAGATGGAGTCATGCTCTGTCGCCTGGGTTGGAGTGCAGTGGCACAATCTTGGCTCACTGCAACCTCCACCTCCCAGGTTCAAGCAATTTTCCTGCCTCAGCCTCCCGAGTAGCTGGGATACCAGGCGTGCACCACCACACCTGGCTAATTTTTTGTGTTTTTAGTAAAGATGGGGTTTCACCATGTTGGCTAGGCTGGTCTCAAACTCCTGACCTCAGGTAATCTGCCTGCCTGGGCCTCCAAAAGTGCTGGGATTTCAGGCTTGAGTCACCACACCTGGCCTGAGTAACAAGACTTTCTAAGCCAATTGTACGTGGAGGTTGCCCCTGCTTTTAAGTAACCTCTAGGATTCACTGAGGGTCACTGTTGATTTGTCTGTGGCTCTGTTGTAGCAGAAATAATCCAAGGCTATGGGTCAGAGGAGTCCAAATCTTGGTCTGAATCTGTCCCTGATTTATAATAGGGCCTTTGGCAAGTTATTTCAGCTCTCAGAGTCTCAGTTCACCCACCTGTGAAGTACAGGAGACAAATACTTATTCCACAGGGAATAAGCCAGACAGGTTAAATGAGATGATGTATGTGGAGACACCTGGCACCTGGTAGATGATCCAGACGTGCCCTTTATCCCTATATCTGAGCCTGCAGCCGCTCAAGGCAAGCCCTCACTCCACATGTCTCCAGGGCACCCTGGGGGTCACAGGCTGGAGCCCCAAGCTGCCCGTGCTCCGTTATTTCTCCCAGATAGGCCTTTGAGTTTGTGCTTGAGTGTTGGGAAAAGCAGTTATTTTTCCAACATCTGTTCTAGTCCCTTCCTCAGCCCAAGACATTCCTCTCTTTCTTCCCCACCTTGTCCCTTCCCTCCTCTATCTTGCTGTCACCTGCATCCCACATGATTGCCCCTAGTTCCCTGCCTCAAAGGTTCTGTTTGGAGATTTGCCCTCTTTTAAGAGCAGTACCTTTCCAAGCCCCTCCTGTGCAGTGCCATAGAAGCATCTAGAATGGGGACCACCCCACTTCTCATCCTCCAGCTGAGAGGGAAGAAACAGCTGTGGGAGCCCCAATCCCTCACCTGGGACTGTCTGTTCACCCAGTCTCTGGCCCCAGAACCCCCAGACCTCATGACCCACTGCTTAGTGTTCATCAGGCACAAGCTCCCCTCGTGTCCCCATCAGTGGCTGCTGGGTTATACCAGGAATGACCTCGATCTGCTGCCAGAGGGCCAGGGTTCAAATATCAGCCCTGAGGACACCAAAGGCACATGAGCAACTAAGGAGACATAGACATAGTGGACTTCAAGATCATCAAAAAACACTATCAAGAAAGTAAAAAGACAACCCCCAGAAGGGGGGGTAATATTTGCAAATCATCTTTCTGGTAGGTATCTAGTATCCCAAATATGTAAAGAATCTTTACCATTCAACAACAAAAAAGGACAAACAATCATTTTTAAAAATGGGCAGAGGTCTTTAACTGACGTTTCTCCAAAGCGGGTGTGCAAATGGTCAATAAGCACATGAAAAGATGCTCAACATCATTAGGCATTAGGGAAATGCAAGTTAAAACCACAATGACAACCTACTTCCCTTCCGATAGTATGAACACACACACACACACACACACACACACTCTCACACACACACACACTCTCTCGTACACTCACACACTCACACACACTCACACACACACCCCACACACTGTCACACACTCACACACACTCTCACACACTCACACACACACTCACACACACACACTCTCATTCACACACAATAGCAAGTGTTGGTGTGAATGTGGAGAAATTGGAACCCTCATATGCTGCTGGTGGAAATGTAAAAGGGTGCAGCCAGTGTGGAAAACTGGCAATTCCTCAAAAAATTAAACATAGGATTTTCATATGACCCAGCAATTCCGCTCCAAATATATACTCAAAAGAACCAAAAACAGGTATTCAAACAGACCCATGCACACCAATGCTCATGACAGCATAATTCACAATCCACAGAGGCAGAACACAGATTGCTGGTTGTCAGGGGCTACAGGAGGAGGGAAGAGGGGGTCGCTGCTTAGTGGGTATGAGGTTTTATTTTGGGAGTGATGAAGGTGTTTGGAACTAGATAGAGGTGGTGGTTGTACAACATTGTGAGTGTACTAAATACCATTTTCAAATGGTTAATTTTATATTAACCAACTGTATACTTTCAAATGGTTAATTTTATATTAATCAATTGTACTATACTTTCTTTTTTGTTTTGTTTTGTTTTGTTTTTTTGAGACAGAGTTTCGCTCTGTCCCCCAGGCTGGAGTGCAGTGGCGCAATCTCAGCTCACTGCAAGCTCCGCCTCTCGGGTTCACGCCATTCTCCTGCCTCAGCCTCCCGAGTAGCTGGGACTACAGGCGCCCGCCACCATGCCCGGCTAATTTTTTGTATTTTCAGTAGAGACGGGGCTTCACCATGTTAACCAGGGTGGTCTTGATCTCCTGACCTCGTGATCCACTCTCCTCGGCCTCCCAAAGTGCTGGGATTACAGGCGTGAGCCACCACACCCGGCCTATACTTTCAAATGGTTATTTTTTTTTTCCTTTTCTATTTTTCTTTTTCTTTTTGTTGTCTTTTTTTTTTTTTTTTTTTTTTTTTTTTGAGATGGAGTCTCGCTCTGTCACCCAGGCTGGAGTGCAGTGGCGTGATCTTGGCTCACTGCAACCTCTGCCTCCTGGATTCAAGCAATTCTCCTGCCTCGGCCTTCCCAGTAGCTGGGACTACAGGCATGTGCCACCACGCTCGGCTAATTTTTTGGTATTTTTAGTAGAGACAGGGTTCCACCATGTTGGCCAGGCTGGTCTCAAACTCCCTACCTCAGATGATCCACCCACCTTGGCCCCCCTAAGTGCTGGGATCATAGGTGTGAGCCACCATGCCCGGCTGATAATTTTATATTATATGAATTTCATCTTAATGGAAAAAAATGTATCCCAAGAACTAAAAGACACCCACAAATGCTCTTTCATCATTAAAAAAACCCTGAAAGTGTCTGACTGTGTGGTCTGGGGTGAGTCCCTTGGTTCCTCTGAGTCATGTGCCTTGTTGTGTAAGATGGAAATGCTTTTCCCATGCCTAGCTGAACTGCTTTGACGATTAGATAAGGGAGCACCTGATATCAGACCCTAAAGCTAAATTTTTAATAAGAAAGTAAAAAGATGTCAAATGCCCACTAATATCAGTTGGAATTCAGCCCCTTCTCCTTTCTTTTAAAATATATTTTAAAATATACCCCCCTTCTCCTTTCTTTTAAAATATATTTTACTCAATCTCATATATATCATCACTTAATTATACCTTCCCTGCTACTTGTCCTTTAAGCATTCATCCCTAACTATAAATCTCTGCTCTTTATCATAAATCCCACAAAGAGAGAGATCATCCTCATATCCTCCCTCCAAGCCTCTTGGTGCCTAACCCAGCACCAACCACACAATCATAATGGTACTGCCTTTTTTGTGTGTTTTAGTGTGCTGAGTCCCACGCTAAGCACTTTATCCACACTGTATTTTATTACATTCTTGCAATCATCTATGAGGTAGGTATTATCATGCCCAGTATACCGATAGGAAAACAAGGTCAGAAGGCAAGGGGCTCCTCCTGAGTCCTGCAGCTGGTGGATGACAGAGCCAGGATCCACGTTAACATCTGCCTGATTCCAAAGCCAGAGAGCTTAATCCCTGGATCACATCACAAGGACTTTAAAAAATCAGGATTAAGAAATTTGTTTCCACAATTGGATATGAGCTTTGAGAGAATCTTGGTGGAAAGGAAAGCCAGCAGGATGACATAGAAAGACACTTGTCTGTTGGAAAATAAAATGTAGATTATTATTATTATTTTTGAGTCAGGGGGTCTCACTCTGTTACTCAAGCCGAGTGCTGTGGCACAATCACCGCTCACTGCAGCCTTGACTTCCTGGGCTCAGGCAATTCTCCTGCTTTAGCCTCCTGGGTAGCTGGGACTACAGGTACACACCACCACACCCAGCTAATTTTTGGTTATTTGTAGAGACAGGGTCTCACTATGTTGCCCAGGCTGGTCTCAAGCTTCTGGACTCAAGCAATCCTCCCACATCAGCCTCCCAAAGTGCTGGGATTACAGGCATGAGCAACAGCTCCTGGTCCCAGAAAATGTAGATTCTGATCCACAACTACCATTTTCTTTTTTGGGCTTCAGTTTTCCCATGAGTTTAAAGGGAGGCTGAATTGGTTGCTGTGATGGTGTGAGGACCTGAAGGAGACTCATTACCTAAGAGTGACAATTTCAAGCTTCCCTGTCTTTTTTTTTTTTTTTTTTTTTTCAGGGATTGAGAGGGATTCTCAACTTTTTTTTCAAGGGGAAACTATAGAAAGTGTCAGGCCTCTGAGCCCAAGCCAAGCCATCACATCCCCTGTGACTTGCACGTATACATCCAGATGGCCTGAAGTAACTGAAGATCCACAAAAGAAGTAAAAAATAGCCTTAACTGATGACATTCCACCATTGTGATTTGTTCCTGCCCCACCCTAACTAATCAATGTACTTTGTAACCTCCCCCACCCTTAAGAAGGTTCTTTGTAATTCTCCCCACCCTTGAGAATGTACTTTGTGAGATCCACCCCTGCCGGCAAAACATTGCTCTTAACTTCACCGCCTATCCCAAACCCTATAAGAACTAATAATAATCCACCACTCTTTGCTGACTCTCTTTTCGGACTCAGCCCGCCTGCACCCAGGTGAAATAAACAGCCATGTTGCTCACACAAAGCCTGTTTGGTGGTCTCTTCACATGGACGCGTATGAAAGAAAGTCATTCCAGTGTTTGAGAAATGGCCCCACACCCATACAGTCACCTAACTTGTTGTCAGACAAGAATTATGACAAGATCTCCTCAATTCACAGTGGCTGGGTCTTTGGGGAGGTCCACATTTGTGCTTCACCCAGCAGGCTTGTAGTGGGTGTGGTGGGCTGCCCAGGGCCCCTTCAGGAACACTCTTGGCCCTCAGTTGCTGAGAGAGTTGTCAGCCATAAACTCAGAGCTGAATCCTCCCGACCAGGAATTGCTGGTAGTTGAAGGGAGCTGCCTCCCCTCAGGCCATGCTTCTGTCCCCAGGCTGTCTGAATCCAATGACTGGTCTGAGTAGGGGCACAGAGCCAGGGCCTCTGACCCCAAATCAGCCCAACCCTGCAGGACCATTCATACCCAGAGCTCCCTGAGGAGTCAACTTCGCAGCCCAGCTCCTCCTCCTACCCAACCTGACTTTCTCCCTTCCTACAAACGCTGATGGGGTCCACTCCCTCATACCCCTTCTCAACCCACATCTCTCCCCAGGCTTGCTTCCCAGGGAACCTGAGGTTGAACAGTGGTGTTCTGGTTCCTTCTGTATTTTGGATGAAGAAAGAGGGACCACACAGTGATTTAACTTGCCTCAGGTTACAGGTTTGTAAATACCCCTTCCCTGAGGGGTGTGGTTGCCCCCTAGTTTAGCGGGAAGACAGGTGTTGAAGTCCATCACCATGCTTACCTACCCTTTATCAGACAGCCAGGGCACCCCTTCCTCATGATGTAGGAGCCCCTACCTTGTTGCTATCGATGTCTTCACAATGTGTTAATATTGTCAGTTTATGGAACGGTCTCCCCAGTCTGTGAGCACAGGGACTGAGTTTTGTTCGGTCTAACCCATGCTCAGCACATCTGGAACAACCTTCCAACACCTTCCCATGACACACAGGGCCGTCTACGTCCTAGCTCTTGACCTCTCTCGAGCCTCGTTTCCTGACATTCCCTCTGCCGAGTCCGACCCACAGACCCTAGCCTAATGAGGGATGAACAAATGCACTCAGACACAGGTATTCAGTGAAAGAGTGGGCTAGGGAACCGGGCCACTCACAGACACCGAGGAGGGTGCTGTAAAGAGTTAGCAGCTGTGGCCCTGACAAGCCAGCGCTGCAGGCATTTATTCAGTATAGATTTAATGACAAAGACTTTGAGTTAACACACTTGTGGGCAATTCACATGGTTACCTCCATCACCGCCCCCTCCGCCCCCTTCCGAGAGAGTAATCCTGCACTCAGATGATTAAAGGGCAGGTTCCAAGGACTAAGTAAACCAACTTATCTAGATCAGTTTCTTTACATCCGCTTGTTATCTAACCTAAGCTTTCAGGCACTGGATAAGAGAATCTGGCTGCCTCCAGCCAAATCTTTTCCCAAAGCTTTTGTAAAACCTTCCAGCCTTCCAAGAAGGTTTGCATCTTTCTATACTTTTTCCCACACGCTGACTGATCTCCTACACCTCTGCTTTAGTCCCTGACCTCCACATTTGCACTACACAGAGTGACTTCCGTTGATGCCACCAACAACATGTAACTACTGAGCCTCAATCACTGATCTTGGAGCAGAGGATGACCTAGGTCTTGTCCCAGGGCAGCTCACCATAGAAGGAGAGGTAGACACACGAACAGACAATTACTCCAAACTGGTAGTGGATTCCATGGTGCTAGCAGGCATGGGGTGCTAGGAAAACATAAAGGGGGTCATTTCATTCCATGTTATGGGTCATTCTTGCCCTCGCAGAACTTACACTACACAGGTGGAGCCCACTCACAAGGAAGTAGGTTAAGTCAAACAGAAGATTTGCCTTAAGGTAGGTAGAGAAGGAACATGGTGCTCCAAGGGTAACCCCAGGCTTCTGAGTTGCAGCATCCTTTCCAGCCCTGTTGCTTTGCATATACTGTTCCCCTCACCTTAAGACTCTTTGCCCTTGACTTGGTGAACTCCTACTGACCTCTCAAGACCAATCAAAGTCATCTCCCATGTTGATCCTTCTCTGGGCCTCCCAGAAAGCGTCTACCGCTCCTCTCTGTGTGACCCTTCATCTTGTTATAGAAACCTCTGGATTAAAGGCCTGGGGGTATTGCATTTGCCATTTCATTTTCTGTGAACTTCTCCAAGGGAAACTGGTCATCTCTGTTTCCCAAGCACTGAGCATATGTCCTAGTGCAGGGTTGAACTATGGGCCACATCTGGCCCTTCATCCGTTTTTATAAATGAAGCCTCATTGGAACATGGACACACCCTTATTGTCTGTGGCTGCTTTCATGCTTAAACAGCAATGTTGAGCACTTACAACAGAGACCCTGTGACCTACAAAACCTAAAATATTGGCCGGGTGCAGTGTCTCACGCCTGTAATCCCAGCACTTTGGGAGGTTGAGGTGGGTCGATCATGAGGTCAAGAGATCAAGACCATCCTGGCCAATATGGTGAAACCCCATTTCTACTAAAAATTCAAAAATTAGCCAGGTGTGGTGGCACACACCTGTAGTCCCAGCTACTTGGGAGGCTGAGGCAGGAGAATCACTTGAACCTGGGAGGCAGAGGTTGCAGTGAGCCGAGATTGAGTCACTGCACTCCAGCCTGGTGACAGAGCGAGACTCTGTCTCAAAAAAACAAAAAACAAAAAACAAAACAAAACAAAAAACCACAAACAAAAAAAACCCTAAAATATTTGCTATCTGGTCCTATTTTAGAATAGTTTGCCAACCCCCACCTTAGAATATTATAAATGGTCAGCTGATGCTCACTCAAATAAACACATAGGAATGGAGAGATGAATAACAGAGACTACTGTTTTCCTGAATCAGATCAGTGCATTCAAATGAAGAAGTGGAGATGGTCAGGCAGTGGGTGGAAAATCAGATACAATCCTGCCAACTCTAGGGGAAAAAGTGCCTAACATCCTTCACCATCTCCTTCCCTATCTTCCTCATCTTCTGTTCAGCCTTCTTGAAGTAATACCAAGTTCTAAGGCACGGGTGGTGATTTTAATCTATAAAGCAGATCTAGCTTGGCTTAGAGTTTCTCGAAAGCACCTTTCCTTCCTTAGGCTTCAGGCCAGAGGCAGAGATTGAGGGGTTGTTGATAGTTGCTATTATAGCTAAGCATGGGCAAGGGAAGGACAGTGGCATTTCCTGAGCACCTGTCACACACCTGGGATATTACATATGTCATTGCACATGGTCACAGTATTCCCAGGTGGCAGAAATGATAACTTCATATGAAAGCTGAGGCAGCTGAGGCTCAGAGGAGCAAGATGACTTTCCAAATACTATATTGCTAAACAGACCTAGATTTTCCTGAATTCAAAACCCTGCTTTTTGCACTGTAGTACTTTACAGTTGAACAGGTATAGCCCCAAGTATGTCCGGGGGTGCAGTTAGAGTGCATAGTTTGGAGCATGAGGGCGGCCTTCCCTGCACCTCACCTTTCTGCTACCTGGGTATAATAGAGCCCTGCTTCCTTGGCTCCTAAGAGGCTGCCTCCGCTCTGGTTGAGAACAAGTTCAACTGCTGCTCAGTTCATTGATATTTTGGCTGAGATGTAGACCCCACTGTTGGGTCACATTTATGACCATGGACTAGGCAGCACAATCTGAGTAGAAGAAAGGAGGTGGGCCGGGCGCGGTGGCTCACGCCTGTAATCCTAGCACTTTGGGAGGCTGAGGCAGGTGGATAACCTGAGGTCAGGAGTTCAAGACCAGCCTGACCAACGTGGTGAAGCCCCATCTCTACTAAAAATACAAAAAGTAGCCAAGTGTGGTGGCACACACCTGTAATGCCAGCTACTTGGGAGGCTGAGACAGGAGAATCGCTTGAACCTAGGAGGGGGAGGTTGCAGTGAGCCAAGATCACTCCATTGCACTCCAGCCTGGGCAACCAGAGTGAAAACTACATCTAAAAAAAATAATAATAATAAATTAAAAAAAATGAGGTAGCACATGAGCTGTCAGAGTATGAGGAGCAGGGGGGAGATTTGGATCTCAACTGAAAATCTATGACACAGAGCAGGTACTGGATTTCCCTTGTTTGGAAGAGCTCTGCCTCCCACTGTACTGCAGTCCCTCCCAGGTAGGGGCTAGGGAGGCTCTGGGAATGGGATGGAGTAGGCAGCTCAGTGGCACAGGAAGCTGGCCATGTGCATTTCCACACAAAATGTGATCTGACTGGGACTTCTATTTGTTCAGCAAAAGTGTAAAAATAACAAATTGTGTTTGTAAAAAGTGACAATAAACAGAGAGAACAAGTGAGTGCCTATGATAGAGATATGCACCACCTCTGGGATGGCTGACCACACCTCCCCAGCTCCATAGTAGTCGCATTCTGACTCTGTCCATGCTGTGCGGGACACTGGGCTGGAAAGCACACGCTTGCATGTTATCTAGGGAGCGGTTCTTAAACTTGTCTATGCATTAAAGTTACTTGGAAGGAGGGAAGAATCTAAACATGTTCATCCCCAGGCCATACCTTAGATCAATTCAGCCCACATCTCAGGGCATGAGTTTTTTGTTTGATTTCCATGTGAGTCTACCATGCAGCTGAACTTTGAGAATGAGTGGTATTATGTCAATTGGCTTTCATAACAATCCTGAGATGGTTATTTTTATGTATCAACTTGACTAGGCCAAGGGGTCCCCAGATTAAACATTATTTCTTGTGTGTCAGTGAGGGTGTTTCAGATGAGATCAGCATTTGGATTGGATTCTGTAAAGTAAATTTCCCTCCCTAATGTGGGCTTCATCCAATCTGTTGAGGGCCTGAGGAATTAAAGGTGAAGAAAGGAGGTACTTGCCTCTTTTTCCAGCCTCATTGCCTGAATTGGATCATCTCTTTCATCATCATCTGCCCTCAGACTGGCATATGCACCATAAACTCCATTGGTTCTCCTGCCTTCAGACTTGGCCTGAATAACACCACTGTCTTTCTTGGGTCTCTACCTTGCAGATGGCAGACAGTGGGACTTCTCAGCCACCATAATTGTGTGAGTCAATTCTTTATAACACATCTCCACATATTCTATTGGTTCTGTGTTTCTGGACAGCTGTGACTAACACACCCTCTAAGAACAGGTTTTCTTCTAATCTGGGAAGCTTGGCTGGATCCAGCCCTTGTAGCCTTATTGCCCAGCTTGCCTCTGAAGTTGGGTTGAGGACATGGTGAGGACACTAGGAGACACTGATACAGTGTCAGAGTGGCTTGGGATGGTGATGTTGTGGTGTCATGTGAGTAAGCATGTCTCACTCTGTAGGGTACAGCTGTGGCATGCTCAAGGCAGTAGGATGGGGATAATTCAGATTTCATAGGATGAAATAGGTCATGCATGTAAAGTGCCTAGGGTATTACCTGGCAAGTAGTAATAAAACAACAGTCATGAGAAGGACCACTACCACCATCGCCACCACCACAGCAACATCTACTATTTTTCTCTGCTTACCACCTGGCTTTGTACTTTACCTGGATATTTTCATTTAATCCTCCCACCACCTTTAATCCTTCCACAACCCTAACAGTGCTCCAGTTAGGCAACATTAGTCTTATTTTAGAGACGAAGAAGTGGAAGTGCAGAGGCCACCTGGTGCAGCTCCACTCCAGGGCTGTGCTGTGTGCCAAACCCTGACTCCCCAGGGAGCTACAAACCTGGGTCCAGTGGAAGCAGCTGAGGCTGGACAATAAGTGGAATCCATGAGAGAGTCAGGATCCCAAGTCTCCAGGATTGCTATCTCCTTTTCCTAGTAAGACTGAAAAAGGGAGAATAACATTCTCTGTTTGTTTTGGAGGGGACTCTCAGATGATTCTATCCTGCAAGGAACATTTTAATATGAAGGACCAAACAGAGTCTTGAAGCAAGATCAAATGATGGAGGAAAATGAGAGGATGAGGTTTAAAGAGACAGCTGAAGGTCTGGCACATCTCCTTAACTGGAAGACAAGCAGGAGAGATTTAATTTCAAAAATGTTACAATCGCCATGTATGTTGGCTCAAGCCTGCAATCCCAGCACTCTGGGAGGCCGAGGTGGGGGTATTGCTGGAACTCAAGAGTTGGAGATTAGTCTGGGCAGGATAGTGAGACCTTGTCTCTACAAAATTTCGGTTAAAAAAAATTAGCTGGGCATAGTGGTGCATGCCTGGAGTCCTAGATACTCAGGAGGCTGAGGCGGAAGGATTGCTTGAGCCAGGAGTTTTAGGATGCAGTGAGCAATGATCACACCACTGCACTCTAGCCTGGGTGAAAGAGATGACCCTCTCTCAAAAGAAAGATTACAATCCTCTGTCCTGATAGATATTAGAATGAGAAAGCTGAGAAGGCCTTTCAGAGGATGAGATCTGGAGCAGTGGAGATGGCTGAGGACTGCAGAGGGGCTGGGGTGTGCAGAAGGGTGGATTTTCAGGGACCTTTCACTTTTTTACTGGGGTGTGATCCTGTGCCAATACCTTGGTCTCCCTCAGTATCAGCATCCTCATCTGGAGAGGAGGATGAGGTGAGATCACACACATCACCCTTGTGGCACATAAATAAATGTCTATCAAATCTGAGTCCTCAGTTATAGCTGACAGGATGGACTTAGCAGAGGAAAGGAGTAACTGAAAGAATTCACTTGCAGAGTTGAGGATCTGCCAGGGTTGTCCTTTTGGGCATTTATTCTGTGTTAAGCATCTTTTGGAGTGTCATCTAATTCTCTTAACTTCTTGGATGAAAATTCCATTTGTATTGCAACTGGACTTAAATACAATCAGTGCATATACGTGGGCGCCCAAATTGCTAGAGCCATGGTGGGGTATGGAGGTGAGAATTAGAGGTAAATCCATTGAAACTACCCCATTTTATTGATGGGGAAATGAAGCCTGGAGAAGAGAGGGTTCCAGAGTGCCCCCATAGAAGGATTAGGATTTAGGCTTTGTGATGCCTTTGTGTTGGCTAAGAGAAAGGGAAAAAAGGGAGGCAGAATGCTTGGTTCAGATCCATCCTACCCTTTCCTGGCTTTGTAACCTCAGGCAAGTTACTGAACCTCTCCGTGCCTCAGCTTTCTCATCCAATTAATGGAGAATAACAGTACCAAATTAATGGAATCATTGTAAGTTTAACCCTTGTACTTAGTTATTCAGAGACAGACACTGCAGATCCATAGGTAAGTATAGAATGCATCTAACAATCGAAGCGTATCAGACTGTACACCAACTATACATCATGGTCATATACATTTTAGATGAAATGGTTAGGAATGGAGTCCTTGGAGTCAAAGTGGCAAAGGTGCAAGCCCCAGCTGTGTAAACTTGAATAAAGATCTTCCTGTTTCTGACCTGCAGTTTCCTCAACTGTGGACTTCCTGATTGGTAGAGTCCCAGCACAGGGCCTTATGGGTTGGCAGTATGTGTTAGACAGCACTTGCTGCACTGACATGACTCAGCAGAGAAGTCATTGCTTGTCATGGCGATTCTGAGGGGGGCACATGCTTCTTTCTTGCATGTAAGGGAGGGGATAGGCAGCTCTGTTACACCAGCACCATTTGTGTTTATTTGTTTGGTTTTAGCATTTTGCATTTTGAATCAACAGAGTTTTTAATTGCACAAAACATTACAAGTATTGCTTTATACAGTCACTACTTACTTATATTTATCCTCCCCAACGTTCTTTTATCACACTCTTATTTTCATGTTTCTCCCTGGGATTGTTTTCCTCTTGTGTGATGAACACTCTATTTTTTGTCTCTTTCTGTTTCAGTTTGCCTGAAAATATTTTGTCTTCTTCATTTTCAAAGGATAACTTTACTACCTATATAAGATTCTAGTTGGCAGTTATTTCCTTTTTTGCAACTGAAAGATGTTATTCCATTGTCTTCCAGTTCATATTGTTTCTGTTAAAAAGTAAGCTATCAGTCCTATTGATATTCCTTTGAAGGGAATCTCTCTGTTCATCTTCCTTTTCCCCTCTCCCTCTCTCAGGTTCACAGTTCACTGGCCCTTCTTTCCCTCCCTCCCTCCCTTCCTCTCTTTCTTCTTCCCTCCCTTCCTCCCTTCCTTTCTTTCTCTCTCTGTCTTTAAATAAAAGTAAAGTGTAATATACATACAGAAAAGTGCACCTAACCTAAGTATATAAATAGCTTAATGAACTTTCACAAGCTGAACACACTCATGAAATCAGCAGACCAATAAAGATACAGACGGTGACCCATGCCTCAAGACACTCACTTCCAACACCATCACTATATATTTGTTTTTTTCTTTTTCTGTACTTTATATGTATTGAATCAGGTAGACTCTTGTGTTGGCTTCTTTTGCCACACATTATGTTTGTGAGGTTTCTTCATAAACCTGATGTGTGTAGTTGCTGGGCTGTGTCCTCAGTGCTCTGTAATATTCCATGATGTGAAGGGTCCACAATTGATCCATTTGTCCAGTCTACAGTGAATGGGCATTTGGGTATTTCCACCAGAAGCTGTGTTGGTATGAGTACCTTAGTGCATGTCTTGGATAAACATAGCTAGGAGCAGAATTGCTGGTCAAAGTTTATGTGTGTATTCGACCTTTGTAGGTACTGCCAAACAGTTGCATAAAGGGGTTATGGTTTCCATCTTCAGTGACTAGCAGATCCATCTGTTTCATACCTCCCTGAGACTAGGTAACTTTGTAGTTTATATTTAAATCATTCTGGAGGGTGCAGCAAGCTTTTTTGAGCTTAGCACAGACACCCTTATTGGACTGGAAACCACAAGTTCACAGGCCATTGCAGACCAGAAACCAGAGATGTGAGGCAGGAAGCAGAGGCAGGAAGAGGGCACCTGACAGCTATAGACCCTGAGGCCAGATAAAGCATTATGATTTCCACTTTACAGATGAAGAAAGAGAGGCCTAGAGAGCTGGAGTGACATGCCCAAGGCCACAGTATTGCTAGGAGACAGGATCTGGATTAGACTATATTTTTACCAGAAGTAAAGCCCCAGTCATACCTCACTGAACACTCACCTGCCTCTTTGACTTCTGGTGCACACTCTGCTTCCTGCTCCTTCTGAACTCCTCTGCCTGTTTTGAAGATCTAGGCTCCTGGTTTTTTTTTTTTTTTTTTTTTTTGAGACAACGTCTCACTCTGTCACCCAGGCTGGAGTGCAGTGGCTCGATCTCAGCTCACTGCCACCTCTGCTGCCCTGGTTTAAGCGATTCTCCTGCCTCAGGCTCCCAAGTAGCTGGGATTACAGGCTCCTGCCACCGTGCCTGGTTAATTTTTGTATTTTTAGTAGAGACAGGGTTTCACCATCTTGGCCAGGCTGCTCTTGAACTCCTGACCTTGTGATCCACCCACCTCAGCCTCCCAAAGTGCCGGGATTACAGGCGTGAGCCACCACGCCTGGCTGCTCCTGGCCTCTTTGTACAAAAAAAATAAAAAAATAAAAAAATAAAAATCAGTGACAGCAAGTAGGTAAAATGTGGTTGTCTATTTTATTCCTACACTGATTTACATGTGAGAAGACTGAGGCTCAAAGAGGTGAAGTGATTTGCTTATGTTAATGTAGCTAGTGGGTGGCCAAGCAGACTCCAGGCCTATTGAGCTCCCTGCCACCTTGCCTGTTTACCTCAGTGGCTTCCAGGGCAGTTCTGAGAAAAGCAGAAAGCAGATTTCTGTTTTATTTTCTTGGCATGAATTAATGTTTGTCTTGAGCCATAATGTGAGGACTGTTTCCAAATGGGTATACGTGCATACATACATGTGTTTGTGTATGTGTGTGTGCATGTGTGTGTGTAAAGACAGCATTGTTGAAGTGGTCCCAGCATGTCAGACACAACTATTCATCTTTATTTTGATTTCTAAATCTTCACCAAAGTAGGTTTTGACTACAGGACTCTGTTCCATGTTTTGCAAATGAACTGGTGATGGATATAAATGAATGTGTGTGTATGGGGCGGGGAGGGGGAGCGGGACGCACACACAAACACTCATGCAGGCTTTACCCATAGCCCTGTCTTGAGCATGAATAGGTTAAGAATAAAAGCATTCATTGCTCAGGGTGCTGCCTGAAATTCTGGAATGTTAGGAAATATGTTTACAGTTTACTCCTAGGTCCTGGATAGAACCCAGAAATAGGGCAGGCAAAGGAACCCAGCTTATGGTGAATGTCTTTCCACTCACCCACCCATCCATCCCCCAAACATTCACTGAGTACTCATATTCACCATACACTGAGCTGGGTGCTGGGGTATGAAGATAAGCCATACATAGTGCTGGTCTTTGCAGAGATTTGGAGCGATGAATATCAATACATCTGTGTGAGAAGTGCCCTGACTGTGTACAGGCACAATGGAAACTCCATGAGGACAGGCAGGGGCCTTCCCTTTCCAGCTCACCTCTGTGTCTCTCATAACTGGTATAGTCCTGGGGACACAGAAGGCCCTCATAAGTATGCTGTATGGTGAGTGTGAGGGTGGCGCTGTGTTGACTTAGGGAATCAGGGAGTGGAGGGAAGTTAGCTAATACAGAAGCCTATGAGCTAATAAGCTTAGCTAATAAGAAGCTGGGTACCCATTCATTCATCCGTCCATCCATTCATTCACTCTTCATACCCTCAGGTGTTAACTGAGCCATTTGCTCTTGTGGTGCTCCTCATCCAGCAGGGAGAATCAGTGATGACTAAATTGCAACACAACTTGGAAAATGCCGCACCAAGGTCAGTGTGAGATGTGGAACTCCAGAGGAAGCAGGGCCAGAAGTCCAAGGGAGGGTGTGAGGCTCCCCAGAGCGGGTGGCATTTGAGCTGGCCTTTGAGCACCACGGCAGTTTGCAGGTTTTCAAAGGGAGTGGTGTGAAGATGTCAGCGAGACTGGGGCACCATGGAAGGGGAGCTTTCTGAACCCTGAAGACCCCAAGTTTGGTGAAACTGACAGCACATCCCAACACTGCCATATGTGTGGATGAGCTTTACAAACTGTGAAGCACCCTGTGAATAATCAGTGCAGGCTAAGCAGAGTAATACTCATTTGAATGCCTGTAAATGTTGGCACCACAAGGTGTTGGCTCTGAGAGGAGGCATCACCACTCTTGACACTGCAGCCAGACACAGAGCTTGATGTCAGGCAGTGGGAATGGGGCTGAAGTGCTGGGTAGGAGTGGGTGATTCATTGGATTTCAGTGGGAAGAAGGTGGCGTGAGGCAGACCTTGAGGTCTCTTACTGGGTGACTGTGGGAAGCATGGAGCCATGCCCTGAGAGACAGAGAGGGTGGGAGAAGGCTCATGGTGATGTGTCCTTCCTGCCCTCCCAAGCCCCTCCTGACTTGCACGGAAACACTGAAATTAATTTCCCACAAAGTCAGGCTTAATGCTTGTCATCTTTATTTATTCATTTATTTTTTCTTTGAGACAGAGTCTTGCTCTGTTGCCCAGGCTGGGGTGCAATGGCGCGATTTTGGCTCACCTGCAATCTTCGCCTCCCAGGTTCAAGCAATTCTCCTGCCTCAGCCTCCTGAGTAGCTGGGATTACAGGCACACGCCACCATGCCTGGCTAATTTTTGTATTTTTAGTAGAGATGGGGTTTTACCACGTTGGTCAGGCTGGTCTCGAACTCCCGACTTCAGGTGATCTGCCCGCCTTGGCCTCCCAAAGTGCTGGGGTTACAGGCGTGAGCCACTGTGCCTGGCCCTCATGTCTTCTTTAAAAGGCAAAACATAACTGCGGTTAATGTTTCAGGGACTAACTCCAACTTCACTTGGAAGCATCAGCTCCTAATATGTCAGAGTTGACCCTCACAGAGCATCCTAACGAAAGACCATCCAAAAGAGGGCGTCCACGTGTTCAACGTTGGCTCCTGAAGGGCTTGCCCTCGAAATTGTTTCTGCCACCTCTTTTCCTGTGACAGTAGGCTGGCTACTTCATCTCTCCTTCCATATCTTGATGTGGAAAATGGGGAGGCTCACCCCAGTCTGCAGGTTTGTGGTAAGGATTTGACGAGATGGTGACTGTCATGTGTTTTAATAACATGGTCA
The DNA here is from genome assembly GCF_000001405.40 of Homo sapiens. Lineage (NCBI taxonomy): Eukaryota > Metazoa > Chordata > Mammalia > Primates > Hominidae > Homo > Homo sapiens. The sequence continues at coordinate 133,619,931 of NC_000008.11, forward strand.
GCTCCTCTCGGCTCAGAAAAATATTTCTTCTTCTAATTAATTATTGTGGTGGGTATTAGATTTCTAACCCATCCCTTCCCCCTCCTGAAGAGACCCAGAGGGAAAATAGAGTGGCTTTTCAAAGGTAAGCAGCCTCTTAGTGGAAGAGTAAGGTTTTGGTCTCAGGCCACTCTGTTCCCAGCCCTAAGTTCCTACTTCTCAGGTGCCCCCTTGGGTCTCCTTCTTAGCAGCTGCTTCCTTCTTCCAACTATATCCTTCCTACAGAGGATCAAAGGCTCAAAAGAAGCCCCTGGAGAAGGAAACAGTCTCCAGGTGGCCTTCAGGATTTCTGCAGCAGGTTTCTTTGTGGAATTTCAGAGCAGGAGAAGTAAACAGCAACAACACAACCAGCTTGACCAAGAGGCTGTTGAGGCCAGTGCAAGGACTCGTTTCACAAGGTCCTTCTACAAACACTACCAGTCAACAAAAGAAAAAAAAATTTAACTATTTATTTACCCAGTAAAAACAGTCACTTTAAAAAGTCTCCCTCAGCCGGTGCAGAGGCTCATGCCTGTAATCCCAGCACTTTGGGAGACTAAGGCAGGTGGATCACCTGAGGTCAGGAGTTCGAGACCAGCCTGGCCAACATGGTGAAACCCCATCTCTACCAAAAATACAAAAAGTTATCTGGGCGTGGTGGTGCACGCCTATAATCCCAGCTACTCAGGAGGCTGAGACAGGAGAATTGCTTGAACCTGGGAGGCAGAGGCTGCAGTGCAGTGAACCGAGATCATGCCACTGCACTCCAGCCTGGGCTACAGAGCGAGACTACATCAAAAAAATAAAAAGGTCTCCCTTTATTAACTAACAAACTTAAGTGGTTCCATTCAATTCAGCCAGTACATTTCACTAGTGTTTTTTGTGCACCTACTATGAGCAGATGATGTGTTGGGCATGTTTACACATTCGTCCTTACTGAGTCCTCACTGCCACCATTTCACAGCTGGGGAAGCAGAGGTACAGAGCTGAGCAAGGCCAGAGTGGGAAGCCAGGTCCTCCCACCCTGGGTCTAGCATCCTTTCCACAACAGTAAACTCCCTGGTCACGACAGAACTGACCGGTTCTTCAGGCCATATTGACTGAATCCCAGCTCAGCAATCTTTTCCATCAATACAGGTCCTCTGCAGTCATTTCCTGATTAACAGTGGATCCATTTAGTTGAATTGTGGTCAGACTGGTTGTGTCTGTGGACATAGAAATACCGATGACCTGATTTCCCCCAGGAGTCTTTCAGCTTCGGGACAGGACATGGCAGAAGTTGAGTGACAATGTGAGTCCTGCTCCCATCTGAGCCCTCAGGGACATAGTAAGTGGGCTTCTCTTGGAGGAGAAGAGAGGAAAATGATGACAAGATGAGCCTTTAACAGATGCAAAGTCCTGGATAAAGGTTCAGAGAGTTGAGTGGAGCTGAGCAGGATCAGGACCCCTCTTCTGGCTCTTTTAAATGGATAAACTCTGACGTTAGTGGTGGTTTAGTATCTCTAAGGCTTTATTTCCAGGCCTAAGAGTGGGGCTACGAAGAGCAAGCTTTTAGGGATTGTAGTGAGCATTAAAAAGAACACCTCAGACTGGGCATCGTGGCTCATTCTTGTAATCCCAGCACTTTGGGAGGCTGAGACAGGTGGATCACTTGAGGTCAGGAGTTCGAGACCAGCCTGGCCAACATGGCGAGACTTTGTATTTACTAAAAATACAAACAAACAAACAAACAAACAAACAATTAGCTGGGCATGGTGGTGCATGCCTGTAGTCCCAGCTACTCGGGAGGCTGAGGGCAGGAGAGTTGCTTGAACCTGGGAGGTGGAGGTTGAGGTGAGCAGAGATCATGCCATTGTACTCCAGCCTGGACGACAGAGCGAGACTCTGTCTAAAAAAAAAAAAAAAAAAAGGGAACACAAATTGCATTCACATCCAAGTCTCAACCCTCAGACAACAAGCATAGGGCTGGGTACACCCACATTCACCCCCATTTGTGGTACAGGGAAGTAGCGAAGACTGTAGCTTCCTGAGCCAGACAGCCTGGGGTCAAGTCTCGACAGTGACCTTGAAGCAGTTGACTCAGTCTAGATTTCAATGTCCTAACCTGAAGATAGGGACTTCATAGGTTATTCTGAGAATTAAATCAATGAAAATCACGGCTCTTAGGCTGACAGTAGAAGCCAGGAAGCAAGTAGAAGGACGTGCTGGATTAGGTCACCCAGGATTTTAAGATAAAGATCAAATCCTATTCACCAAAACACCAAAGTGATGCAGATCTGGCCCAATTCCTACTGCACAGAGTTGCTGCCAGGGCAAGAAGTTGTGCACAAGAATGCACTTTGCTAAGAGTAAAATGCTCTACAAATCCCGAAATAAGGTCAGAGCTTGTGCTTGTGACCATTTTTATGGAGTTGTTCTTATTATCCTGGAGGGCTGTGTTTCTGGTTCACGTTTTCTGGTTTCCAGGACCATCCTGGCTTCTAGCAGAAACCCAGTTTACCCCCAGGGCTTGGCCCAGTTTGTGGCATATTGATGAAGTTCCCCAAGAGTTTGCTGAATTTCATGTGTCTGCTGGGTGGGACTAGATTTTCTAGGACTCTGGGCCCTTCACACTCTATGTGGGGTGGAACTCCACTATATTAGCTGCTACTGTTTCTGCTAATGATACACATATGTGCACAGTGCGTTGCCAACTTCAGTATTTTGTGAATATTCACTAATATTATTATCTGCCAAGGGGATCCCAAATGTCATCTACCCTTTCTAGGGAAAGAAGATAGATAGTTATCTGCTTGCAATATTCTTCATCTAGCATTTTAAACACGCAGCTTGCCATGTTTTTGGAAAGAAATGCAAATGAAACCATCTCCAGGAATAATTTTCTCTCTCTAAATTTCCACATTTGCACGATGTCCTTCAATTAAACCTGAAATCAAATTATGTTCCCCTTGAGTGGTCATTTTAATATTTGCAGGTTTCCTGGGATGGGAGATTAGGAGGCGCAATTGATTCTGTGAGCCCTCTTCTGCCTCCAGAGACTCTCTTGAACGCCAGCACAGTTCCGTCAGGGGCCTGGAGCAAAGCGTAGCTGCACACTTTGTCCCTCTCCTTCCTGTGTCTCCTCCTGGCAACCCTGACCCAGACGCAGTCTCTTTCTTTAAATATTGTAGCCCAAACAGCGGCTGGCTCCTAGAACGCACTGTGTCTTTAATCTCTCTGTCCTTGTTCCCTGCCATTCCCTGTATCAAGGCCACTCTCTCCTCACCTGTCCGTTCATGCTCCTCTTGGACCCTGAGCAAGGCACCTCTGTCTCATCTCCCCAGGATCCATCCTTGGGTCTCTGGTCAGAGAATCTTAATTTTCCTCTGGGGTGCCACCTCTCTCACACTTTCTAAGGTGCCACATGCTCTGGCCCCACCTTCCCACCCCCGTTTGACCTGCTCTTCTCCCTGTCACTCGCTTGGGTCAAGCTAGGGGACTCTTTGCTGCTCCTGAAAACTGTCAGGCCCTTGCTCTCTCAGGACCTTAAAAATGGATCTTCCTGGCCAGGCGCCGTGGCTTACACCTGTCATCCCAGCACCTTGGGAGGCCGAGGTGGGTGGATCATCTGAGGTCAGGAGTTTGAGACCAGCCTGGTCAACATGGTGAAATTCTGTCTCTACTAAAAATATAAAAATTAGCTGGGCATGGTGGCGGGCGCCTTTAGTCCCAGCTACTTGGGAGGCTGAGGCAGGAGAATTGCTTGAACCTGGGAGGCGGAGGTTGTGGTGAGCTGAGGTGGCGCCACTGCACTCCAGCCTTGGCCGCAAGAGCAAAACTCCATCTAAAAAAAAAAAATCTTCCCCCCTCTGTTAAATTTTCTCTTATCCCAGGCAGTCACTTGGCTCAGGCCTCAGCCCCTTCAGCTTCTGTACGAATGGTGTCTCCTTCTCAGTGAGACCCTCAACTCCCCTTGTTAATACAGCAGCCTAGACCCCTCTCCCAGCACTGCACCCTCATTGCTTGGTTTATTTCCCCGAGTGCTTGCACTTCCTGAATCTGCCCCACTGTGTCTTTTACTCGTTTGTAAACTCCCCCAGGGCAGGGAATTCTGTTCTTTCTGTCCTGGTGCCCCCTCTTGTCTCACGGCAGTGGTTGGCTCACAATATTCCTTAATGAATGTTTGGGAATAAATGTCACTAGGAAAGGTTGGCACAACTTCTTCCCCATTCCTCTGACTGTAAGGATGGGCACATGGCCCAGGCCTACCCCAGGCAACACCTCCTACCCCTGCATGAAAGGAAAATGTCTTGGGCCCCTAAAATCACTAAGGAAAACTCAAGCTGGAAACTGCTTAGGGCAAACCTGCCTCTCATTCTGTTCAAAGTCACTCCTTTGCTCACTTAGATAGATGCATATCTGATTTGCCTCCTTTGGAAAGGCTAATCAGAAGCTCAAAGAATGCAACAGTTTGTGTCTCACCTATCTGTGACCTGGAAGCTCCCTCCCACTGTGAGTCTTCCTGCTTTCCTTTCAAGTTGTCCCGCCTTTCCAGACTGAACCAATATGCTTCTTACATGTATAGATTGATGTCTCCTGTCTCCCTAAGATGTATAAAACCAAGCTGTACCCTGACCACCTTGGGCACATGTCACCAGGACTTCCTGAGGCTGTGTCATGGGTGCGTCTTCAGCCTTGGCAAAAATAAACTTTTTAAATTAACTGAGACCTGTCTCAGATTTTCTGGGTTCACACCTGCTAGCAGCAGGGATTGGCCCAGGGAGATACAAAACCTAAGCCAGGGCCGGGCGCGGTGGCTCACGCCTGTAATCCCAGCACTTTGGGAGGCTGAGGCGGGCGGATCACGAGGTCAGGAGATCGAGACCATCCTGGCTAACACAGTGAAACCCAGTCTCTACTAAAAACAGAAAAAAATTAGCCGGGCATGGTGGCGGGCGCCTGTAGTCCCAGCTACTCAGGAGGCTGAGGCAGGAGAATGGCGTGAACCCAGGAGGCAGAGCTTGCAGTGAGCTGAGATCGCGCCACTGCACTCCAGCCCGGGCGACAGAGCCAGACTACGTCTCAAAAACATAAAATAAAAAAAAAAACAAACAACAACAAAAAAAACAAGACCTAAGTCAGGCCAAAGACGGTCGGCCCAGGACTACTCCTGGAGCTACTGGGAAATACGCTCTTTTCTTCTCAGGAGTTGCTGGAGGCTCTGGGGGCTGCTTGATCACTACTTAGGGAAATGTGCCCAAGGCTGAAGCTTGCTGAGAGCGGAAAGCCAAGCCAGGAGGTGGAGAGAGAGCTGCTGTGGGGCCTGCAAACAGGCCTTTCCTTTGGCCAGATTCCTTGGGTCCATCCATGCCTGAGGCTCTACCTCTAGACTTGTTTACTTGGGCCAATAAATTCCCTTTTTTCGTTTAAGCCAAGTTGAGTCCGGATAAATTTTCGTTTAAGCCAAGTTGAGTCCGGATAAGTCCCCGGCAACAGAAAGGGTCTTGAGTAGGCCGGGCGCGGTGGCTCACGCCTGTAATCCCAGCACTTTGGGAAGCTGAGGCGGGCGGATCACGAGGTCAGGAGATCGAGACCATCCTGGCTAACACGGTGAAACCCCATCTCTACTAAAGATACAAAAAAAATTAGCCGGGCGCGGTGGCGGGCGCCTGTAGTCCCAGCTACTCGGGAGGCTGAGGCAGGAGAATGGCTTGAACCCAGGAGGCGGCGCCTGCAGTGAGCCGAGATCAGGCCACTACACTCCAGCCTGGGCGACAGAGCGAGACTCTGTCTCACAAAAAAAAAAAAAGAAAAAGAAAAAGAAAGGGTCTTGAGTAGTTTCAGGTAAAATGCTTCCTTCCTGGGGGAAGCTCTTCTCTCTTCCTCTTCTTTGCCTTCCCGCTGTGTATCTCTCCTTGAGTGCGCTCATCATTGTGTTGTAGTTTATAATTGGCTCATTGTGTTGCAGGATATGATTGGCCTATCTGATTCCCCACTAGTTGGGGTGTTCCTTGAGGGCTGGAACCATATGGGAGTCATTTCTAGACGTTCCATGCCTGAGACAGTGACTGTCTCATAGACAGACAAGCTCATAGACGAAGCCCAATAAATATTTGTTGAACAAACAGTTGAGTGAATGAAATCGACTTGTTCCATTCCTCGGGCCAAGCTTTGTTCAGGTGTTCATCCATTTTCAAACATATCCGACCCAAACACCTTCTTGGTGATGAGCCTCAGACTCCTCCAATCTTGATGTGTTCCCAAGTGTGTAGCCTCTTAAAGAGCTGATCAGAGCCAGCTGAGATAGCTGCTTAATTCTCTACCAGATGCCAGCCCATGTCCTATAGAAAAGCGGCATTTCACACAGATTAAGTTCAGCAAGCTGAGCCCTGCAGTAAGTTAGAAATTTCTTTTGATTAAAAAGTACCTTTTATTACAAACACATAGAGGCCAGGAGTGAGTTTACGTTTTTAATAAGCTGTTCCATGTTCTGAATCTGATTTTATTTCTCCAAGTGGAATGAAAGGAAAACTGGGGATTGGGAAATAATTTATTAATATTTGTCCACGTGGCCAGAGGGGAGTAGGTGGGGTGAGAGTGGGTAATGTTTGGTGGTTCGGCGGGTACGGCATGTCCCCTAAATCATAGACCAGTGAGCCAGCAGCGGGAAGGGGGTTGCTGTCTTGTTTTGAACGATGGAGCAATGGGCAGCTTCCGGACTGGAGGCTGCCTGTGGCTTCTCCATTCTCCCATCTTCCATTTTTCTTTAGTCACTAGAGTGCTTTGTGCAAATTCTGAACTTCATCACTTAATAATTGCCTGGTCCCACAGTCGATCCAGCCCTATGTGTTTAATGTGGCCTGTATGGCCCTGACCACCTCTATAGCCTCACGTTGCGCATCCTCTCCGGGTGCCGGCCCTGTGCCTGAGCATCCCCTGCTCCCTTCCACCTTAGGGTCTTAGCTCCATCTGAAGATTTTCTCACTCCATTGGCTAACACCTGTTCATCTTTGGATTTCCTCTCAAATGTCTCTTTTGCAGAGAACGCTTCTGTCCTAGAATCATGAAACAGTTTTCTTTCCATAGCATTTGTAGAGTTACTACAGCTGCTCATATACATTTGTGTGTACAGTTGGTTGATTATTATCAATCTCCCTCACTATGGGGATAGGGGGAGTGTCTGATGAATTATTGTCCTTGCTGTTTCTCTGCTGTTGTCTGTCCCAGTGTTTATCACAGAACATGACACGCAATAGGTCCTGCCAAGTATTTGCCATGTGATGAGTGGATGCAGCATGGAGCTCTGGGTCTGGGGCAGGGGTGGCCCACACCTGGATGGAGAATGGTCCGTGGGTCCTCTCTGCTGGTGCACAGCGGCACAGGGATGGGATGAGCTGATGATGGTGAGGAAAATTCCCTCAATTGTTGACAAATACACAGACAATGAGGGTGAGAGTAGGGATAGGGCTGAGGTGGGGGTATCAAGCTGATTTTCACTTTTCTTTTCTGTCCTGTTCTTTCCTTTTTTTTTAAATTTTTTTTTAATTTTTGAGGCAGATTGTCACTCTGTTGTTCAGGCTGCAGTACAGTGGCACAATCTTGGCTCACTGCAGCCTCAGACTCCCTGGGTTCCAGCGAGCTACTACCTCAGCCACCTGAGTAGCTGGGATTATAGGCACCCACCACCATGCCTGGCTAATTTTTTTTTTTTTTTTTTTGGAGTCTTGCTCTGTCTCCCAGGCTGGAGTGCAGTGGCGTGATCTCGGCTCACTGCAGCCTCCGCCTCCCAAGTTCCAGCAATTCTCCTGCCTCAGCCTCCCGGGTAACTGGGATTACAGGCTTGTGCCCCCATGCCTGGCTAATTTTTGTATTTTTAGTAGAGACAGGGTTTCACTATTTTGGCCAGGCTAGTCTTGAACTCCTGACCTCAGATGATCTGCCTGCCTCGGTCTCCCAAAGTGCTAGGATTACAAGCATGAGCCACCGCGACCGGGCTCATTTTTATATTTTTAGTAGAGATGGCAGTTTCATCATGTTGGCCTGGCTGGGTCTTGAACTCCTGACCTCAAGTGATCCGCCAGCCTCGGCCTCCCAAAGTGCTGGGATAACAGGTGTGAGCCACCATGCTTGGCCAATTTTCACCTTTCTTTTTCTTTTTTTCGGGGGGTGGTGGGGGGAGGGTGGAGTTTCATTCTTGTCGCCCAGGCTGGAGTGCAATGGCTCGATCTCGGCTCACTGCAACCTCCGTCTCCTGGTTTCAAGGGATTCTCCTGCCTCAGCCTACCAAGTAGCTGGGATTACAGGCGTGCACCACCACGCCTGGCTGATTTGTGTATTTAATTTGTGTATTTTTAGTAGAAACGGTTTCACCATGTTGGCCAGGCTGGTCTCAAACTCCTGACCTCAGGTGAGCCACCTGTCTTGGACTCCCAAAGTACTGGGATTACAGGTGTGAGCCACTGCACCCGGCCAATTTTCACCTTTCTTAAGGACCCACATTCCAGAACCCGCTACATTACTGTGAGGAATCACACATGCACATAACTTAGAGTCAAATCTTTTTTTTTGAGACGGAGTTTCGCTCTTGTCTCCCAGACTGGAGTGCAATGGCATGAACTCGGCTCACTGCAACTTCCGCCTCCCGGGTTCAAGCAATTCTCCTGTCTCAGTCTCCCGAGTGGCTGGGATTACAGACGCCTGCCACCACGCCCGGCTAATTTTTGTACTTTTTAGTAGAGACGGGTTTCGCCATGTTGGCCAGGCTGGTCCTGAACTCCTGACCTCAGGTGATCCACCCACCTAGGCCTCCCAACGTGCTGAGATTACAGGCGGGAGCCACAGCGCCCGGCCGAGTCAAATCATTTGTATCCACTCACTCTAAATATATAGGTAGAAATAATGCATATATGCATGCTTCTATAATTTATTTCTACTAACTAGACATGGACAGTATTTGCATCTGTTGAAAATAGGTAAATTATTTGTTTTCTTAAATTATAGGTGGCATATTTATGACAAGCACATATAAATTGTGAGTGCACATTATAAATATATAATCCTGTTTGCAGACATTTATGGGCTGTATGCTGTGTGCCAAGCTTTGTGCTGAGCACTTTACAGTCATTATTTCATTTTATCTTCATTGCTGTCCCGTGGAGAAGATAAAATGCACTGGCTTTCAACTTTCTCTTTGTAAAATAGAACCTATTTTAAAAATAAAATATAGCACAGAAACTTCAACATACAGAAGAGACAGAAGCTTTGCAGCATCCTGGAGATGCTCTTAGCATTCCTGCCTCCATCTCTACCCTACCCTCCAAGGCAAAGAGGCAGAGGCAAGAGGACTGGATTCCCAGGCTAAGATGCTCACCCCTTCCCAGCTGTGTAACCTGGGGCAAGTTGCTTAAATCTCTGAGCCCCAGTTTCCTTACCTTTAAAAATCCCCAAACATTAATTATGAGAATACAATGAGATAATGTATTAAAAATAAGAAAAACATTATAACTCAGTGACTGGCACTTAGCGGGTACAAAATACCTGTTATCTGAATTTCCTTCTGCCTTAGGTTGGCTTCCCCAGAAGCAGATCCTGAAATAATGAATGTGAAAGTGGTGCATTAGGAAGTGTGCACCTGAAAACACTGGTGTGGTTTTGGGGCAGTGGGCTTGCGTAGGGGAGGAGACCAAGCAAGGCTGTGATGTCAAGCAAAGGCCTGCGGAGGTTGACTTTGGCTCAACTCCACAGAGGAGCTCAGGAAACGGTGTAGGTCATACTTCGGAGCTGCCCTAGGCAGGGGCCAGGGAGCTGCAGCACTGATAACCTATACCCATCAACCCAAGGCTGTTCCCAGGGACTCTGTCTGTTGCATTGACCCCCAGAGTGGGTTCCAGCTGCCGCAGGGCAGCCTTTTATCAAAGTGAGGGAGCGATGTGGGTTCTGTTGAGAGTTAAATGCACTAGGAGCCGCATGCCTTGGATGGTCAGAGTTCCCTGGGTGAGGTGGGCAGAGTTCTGGCTAATGACCCCCACAGAGTCCTAATATGTGATGGTCTGCAGAAGGCTCTGGAACCATTTAGAAGAAGGGCTTTCTTCATCATCTCTGCCTTTACTGGACCAAGTCCAAGTGCCAAGTACAATCAGAGCCCTCCTTACTGTGGATTCACCCCTTGGTGTCTAGCAGCTCCTTCTCATTGGAGGCTTGCCTGGCAACACAGTGAAAGACCCAGTATCTCTGGGTACCAGGGTGCCTCTGCATAAAGTACCAGTCCTAGGGCACTGGAGATACATCTGTGCTTTTTGCTGTAGATTAGAATCAGGAGGGTGCATTTCTCCAAAGGTACCTGGAGGACAGTGACCAGACACACTCCAGGACTGTGCACATGGAGACAGCCCTTTCCCGAGGGCTCACTTCATGCCTTTTCCTTGGATATCACTCAGTCCTCTCATTTCACACTAACTCCAGGAGGCATTTTGCTGTTTTCATTCCCATTTTCCAGATGGAGATACTGAGGCTCTGAGAGGCTCTGCAACTTTAAGGTCTTGGAGTTAGTTACTGCCAGAACAAGAATTTCAGCCCCAATCTTTCAGACTTCCTCTCACCACTCTGCCCTTCAGTTAACCTAAGAGATTTGGGAGCCAGGAGGAAGATTCTGACATTGCTAATTAGAGAGACACTACAGGGATTATAACAAATCTGGAGAATGAACTCTAAGATCACCAGGTGGTGCCCCTGGAACTTGTCCAGCTGCCCAAATATGGAAGAGAATGAGACTTCAAGGAAGGATGGTCTCTTTTGTCTATGGAATTAACCTATGTTAATTTATTTCCTACTAAATTTCAAGCTACAGTGTAGAAGCTTTAATTAACACTCAGAACCAAGGATGGGTCCAGTGGGACTGTCCCGAGAACGTGTGCACACAAGCTCATCTCTAAACTCATCCCTAATACTAATTAGCCCCACAAGTTCTCCAAGGGCCTTGTCTGCTAATTTGGAACCTGGCGATGAGCTCTATCTCTGCCTAGCCTTGGAGAACAAGGACACAAATCTCTTCATCTCCATTATCAATGTCATGCCAACGGCCCAGGGGGACTATGGAATCATTAATGACTCCTCATTGGTTGGCAGAGCAACTTGAAGCCCTTCACAAAGTGACTCTGCCTGGTTTGCTCCTCCACATCCAACTGTGACATAATGGGGTTAGTTCAGTGGACAACACTGCTGCATTCTGGTGAGGACATTGGCCTCACCCCCTACCATGCTGACCTTGGATGGAAATGTACATTCTCGAGGCTTTGAACACAAAGATGAACACAAGAACACTTCAGAGGAGTGTGGGGCTGGCAGTTGGGAAGCCCAAGACCTCTTCCCCGCAGCACCAGTTTTTTCTCCCGTGGAGTTCGTTTTTACTTCTCTGTATCCCAGTTGCCTTAGCTGTAAAAGGGGGCTTTAATTCTTACAAAACCCTTGTCCCAGGATGATCATGAGAATTCCATGAGTTAAAGCATCTGCAACATGTAGAAAAGTGGCAGACACATCGTAAGCATAAAAAATAAAAATAAAAAAAAATAAAGTTAACCCTTGATGTTATGATTCTTCCATCTTGGCCTCTGAGTTCCCCCCCAACTAGGCTTCCTGCAGGGACAATGACCAATGTCTGTGCACCAGGACATGCCATGTCAAGTCTCCCAGACCCCAGGGACCAATGCTTCAGAGGTCTGCTCTATCATCTCTTGCCACCTGCCTCTCAAACTACATTGTGATGTCTTTCAAAAATCAATCTAATAATGCCACTCTCATTACTTGGAAGTTTATCCCAGGTCCCGGTCTACCTATAAGACCCAGCCTAGCCTAACCTGTGACTGCCTCTCGCCTCATTTCTCTTTCTCTTTTTTTTTTTTTTTTTTGGAGATGGAGTCTTGCTCTGTCACCCAGGCTGGAGTACAATGGTGCAATCTGGGCTCACTGCAACCTCAACCTCCTGGGTTCAAGAAATTCTCCTGCTTCAGCCTCTGGAGTAGCTGGGATTACAGGCGCTTACCACCATACCCGGCTAATGTTTTTGTATTTTTATTAGAGATGGGGTTTTACCAGTTTGGCCATGCTGGTCTCGAACTCCTGATCTTAGGTGATCCGCCTACCTCCGAAAGTGCTGGGATTACAGGCGTGAGCCACCATGCCTGGCCCTCTCACCTCATTTCTGACTGCACTCTGCTCGGCTCATGCTTCTGTTGCGGCACTGTGCTCCTTGCTGTTCTAGGAGCTGTGAGCATGCCTCTGCCTCAGGGTCTTGCCTCTGCCTTCCCCTCCTCCTGGAACCTTCTCACAGTTATAGTGTTGCTCATTCAGTTCTTTCATCTCTCAGTTTAAAGCTGATTTCATTTGAGAGGCCACCTGAAATACATTCACAAGACAGGACAGGATGAACAGGAGTTTCAAAGTCATGGCTTAAAATAGCAGTTGAAGGGCTGGGTACGGTGGCTCAACCTGTAATTGCAGCACTTTAAGAGGCCAAGGCGGGTGGATCGCGAGGTCAAGAGATCGAGACCCTGTTGGCTAGCATGGTGAATCCCTGTCTCTACTAAAAATACAAAAGATAAGCCAGGTGTGGTGGCACGCAACTGTAGTCCCAGCTACTCGGGAGGCTGAGGCAGGAGAATCGCTTGAACCCAGGAGGCGGAGGTTGCAGTGAGCCGAGATTGCGCCACTGAACTCCATCCTGGGTGACAGAGGGAGACACTGTTTCAAAAAACCCCCAAAAAACAAAAACAAAAACAAAAACAAAACAAAACAAAACAAAAAAACAGTTGAAGAACAAGGGCAGTTTAGCCCAGGGAAGAGGCACCTGGTAGTTGGGGGACAGGACTGAGTTGGAATTATCATGCTTCTTAGGGACTATCGTGGAAAGACAGCAGGCTTGCTGTGTGAGGAAATTTGGGGAGAACAAGGATGAAGAGCTAGACACCACAGGGAGATAGCCACATCTTTAAGGTAACACTAGGAGGGAATATTCTCCCCATCAGACCTGTCCAGAGCTGAGTTGAGCAGCCTCAGGATACTTGAAAGTGGAGGCTGAAGAACCACCGGGCAAGATAATCCAGCTATTCCAGTTGGAGGATGGAGTGTTTGTACGTGGACGTAGGTACTGAATTTGGTAAAATTCCAAACTGGAGCTTCTGGGCTTCTTCACTGTTTTCCTAGGCATTTTGTCTCTGGAAGCCCTCGATGAGACTGTCAATGACCCCAGGATGGGGCAAGTTTCTTGGCCAGGATCAGACCTTTGAACTTCACTTGCTGCTGAGACTGGGGAAGCGAGTGCAACCTCCTTTATTCTCTAAGACAATGGTCCTTCTACACTTATTAAAAAGAATCAAAATATTTTGTTTCAGGGTTTCTCAAACATTTCAAAGACAGGAAAACCTGTGATCTAAGGCACTGCACTGCCCCAGTCTCTCTCCCATGACCTTCCACAGCATTTTGCTTTGAGGTCTATCTCAGGAATTGTTACAATGTACTGTAAGGATGTATTTGACCCCTTCAAAAAATGAGTCAATGAGTTTTTTTTTATTTTTTAATTTTTTTAATTTTTTTTTTGAGATGGAGTCTCACTCTGTCGCCCAGGCTGTAGTGCAGTGGTGTGATCTCGGCTCACTGCAACCTCAGCCTCCTGGGTTCAAGCGATTCTCCTGCCTCAGTCTCCTGAATAGCTGGGATTACAGGTACATGCCACCACACCCGGCTTATTTTTTGTATTTTTAGTAGAGCTGGGGTTTAACCACATTGGTCAGGCTGGTCTCAAACTCCTGACCTCAGGTGATCCACCCACATCGGCCTTCCAAAGTGCAGGTATTGGGATTACAGGCATGAGCCATCGTGCCCAGCCCCCCAAATGAGTTTTTTATGTGTAGAGTTTATGTCTTATTTATTACTGTATCCCCAGTTGAGTTCAATGTGTGTGTGCGTGTGTGTGTGTGTGTGTGTGTGTGTGTGTGAGAGAGAGAGAGAGAGAGAGAAAAGCAGAAAGAGAGAGACAGAAAGAGAGAGTTGGGGGGTGAGGGGGTGGTTTATTCAATCTGTGTGCAGATTGCATAAGCCAGATGACATTTGAATGATAATCAAGATGCAACTTTTCAACCTTAGGCAGTTTTGGTTCCTGTCCTCTGACTGGGGATGAAAACGATAGGCTAATAATTTCTTTTTACTCACAGGAAAATTAGCAGACATTCCCTGCGTTGCTTTAGGTTTTCACTTCGAAATCTGAGACTTTGAAATGTGAGAGTTGTGGTAATTCCAGTCCCACATATTCACCAGAACTCCCAGATGCCTTGGTGCTAAATCTCTTTTCTCATAGCTTGGGTTGGCTTTGGGGTGCAGCCTGCAGTGGCAAATGGGGGTGTGGCTGGCTTCTGCTTCTGTTCCATCTCTCTACCTGGTCTGCTCTTTTCGTTCTCTATGACTGGTTTTGATGTGCCATAGAAAATGCAAACAGACCTTCCGAAAAAGTCTCCCTAGAGCTGTCCTAGTTATAAACCAGCTTTGTCCCCTTGGGCCTGGATGTTGGTCCAAAAAAAGAGCTTTTCCTCCTGTGGGCTCTGGACGGCCCTCTAGGGCCTCCCTGCACCCCTCTGACCCAGGGAGGTGGCCTCCTGAATCCCCTTCTTCGGCCACCAGGTGCTCACCTGCAGCTTCTTGTTCCTCCTCTTCCCACCCTCCACTGAGAAGGATCTGAGGCTGTTCTAAGCTGCCTGCCATAGCCCACGTTTTGCAGAGTCACCGTCTGACCACAGCATGCACTTACACCCCTGCCCATCTATGAGCGAACATACTCCAATGAAGCAGTGCACTCATGGCCCCCAGGGCAGCTGCTCATCTTCTTTAATCACTTAGGCAGAAGTCAGACCTAGTTTATCCTGTTCCAGAGGGTAGAATAGAACAGGTCCTTGCAAGCCCCGTTGAAGCCCCTCTTTCTGGAGCTGGGATGGAAGGTAGCATCCTGTCCAGATGATGGGATAGGGGCTCTCACCTTATGGACTCACATCACTCTCTCCAGAGGTTTCTCCACTACTGTCTTTTCAGTTTCTTTCTCACCTTGTTGTTTCCCACTGAGGGATCCAAAGAGCAGTAGAACAGGCTTTCCTTCATTCTTTTTGTAAATTTTGCAGCTGCCTGTGTTGGTGTGGGCTTTTCCCCATATCCCCTTTGGGATTCTGTTGGCCTTGTCCAGGCATGGTGTTTAAATTGAGGCGGGAAGAGTACCACTGGAACAGCCTGTTGCTTGTATGATCCACCATGTGTCAGGCTCTGGGGAGTGAACAGGGCTGAAAAGGGGAATGAGGCCAGGCTTGTGGTCTAGAGGAGTGCTTAATCTGGTGGGTGGAGGGAGGGAGAGGGACAGAGAGAGACAGAGACAGAGTGCTTCCGTCAGCCCGTATTTACTGAGTGCCTACAGACGTCAGGTATGATGCTAGGTTCTAAACATGCACAGGTGAAGAAAATGGGCATGGTCCCTGGCATTAAATATAACATTGTAAGGTCCAGAGGGCATGCAAGGGAGAGCAGTAAAGCTGAGGGCAGAGAGGTGAGGGGGCTGGGGAGCAGAGCACTTATGTTCTTGTGGGTGATTGTCAAGGACTTTGGCTTTAACAATGATAGGGAGCCATTGGAGGGTCGAAAGGTGTATCATGATCTGATCTATGTTTCAGAGGGGTCATTGTGGCTGCTCTGCCCTTATAGGGGCACAGGGCAGAAGCAGTGAGACCAGTTTGGGGGCTAATGGAGCAATGCTGTTGAGCAATGTGTGAGTGATAGGAATGATGAGAAACGGTCAGCTACGGGGTTTATTTGAAAGTACAGCCAACATTTGCTATGGATTCCATGTAAAGGGTGACTTCAGGTCTTTCCAAGCTCCAAAAGAATGAAATTACCATTAACTAGGATGAAGACAATTGTGGGAGGAGGAAGTTGGAAGAAGGGTGGGAAATCAGAAATTTTTGGACAGATAAAGTTTGAGATGCTTTTTATGCAATCCAGTGGAGATATTTGGGTGCAAGAGAGATATCAGACCTCTCCACAATAAAACTGGGGGAGTCATCAAAGAATAGATGATATTTAGGTCATTATCTTGAGGTGCTGACCTCAAAGGTGCATGTAGAAAGAGAAGAGGTCTGGGGAGTAAGGCTTGGGTCATTCCAGTGTTTGTTAGTGGCTGACATGGGGAAGAACTGGCAAGCAAGAAGTCAATGGAGGAGGAGGACAGTCCAGAGCCATGTCCTAGAAGCCAACTGAAGAAAGGGTTTCAAAAGGAAGCAGTGATTAACTTATCAAACATGGCTGGTACAGTGAAATATAACAAGACTGAGGCATAACTGTTGGATATAGCAATGTGCAGGCTATTGGAGTCCTTGACAATGGTTCTTTTGTTGGATTAGTGGAGACAGAATTAGGGTTGGTTGGAGTTAAATAGAGAATGAAAAAATGGTGAATGTAGACAATTCATTCCAAGAGGGGGAAGGGAGATGCATGGACAAGAGAGAATATTTGAATTAATATTCAATATTAATTCAATATTAAAATATTAAAATAATGATGCAAAAGAGAAAGATGAGAATGGTAAGAAGATGGGATGTAGGGGAACTAGCTTTATATAGGAGCATAGACAGTCTGTAGCATTTGAAAGGAAGGCAGAGGTTGGGAGTACAGGTGCAGGGAGGTACATGAGGTAGTGGCACTATGTGGAATTTATCTTCTAATTGCCTAACTTGCTCAGCAAAGTAGCGAGAAAAGGGTAAAAGTGGAGAGAACTTTTGGAAGTCTGAGAAGAGAGTAGACATGGAGTAGTCTAAAATAGTAGGAGATTGGATTGATGCGGGAAAGGCGGCAAGATAGCTGGGTAGCCTTAAAGACTCACTTGAGGTTGGTGGTCAGGTTGTCATTAATTTAAAATCAACATTGCTTTGGGTTGTCTTCCAGTGAAAGACAGTTGTTTGGGTTCAGGCAGAGAGTGTGAGCAGTGAGGATTTAACAAGAATTGTAGTTTTTCCAGGCAAGTACAATGACAAAGAAAAGGGCAGTGGAGATAAAGGTGTATGAAAGAGATGATTATAATGGTGCTCTGTGACATCTATGCTAGGCTGCAGGGAAGCGGCCACGTGAGTGGGGTAGGGGACAACAAAACTGTGGTAGGGTCAATGGATTATAGGGTTGTGTTGAGGCCAAGGACTTGTTAGAGTTAACGTAGTATATAGCAGATGGACTGCAAATAAGAGAGGTGGTGGTCTGAGAGAGAGATGCTTGAGGTTGGAATTCTGGAGGGGCTAAAGTCACTGTAATGACAAGGTCTAGGAGTGAGTAGGAGGCAGTAGAGGAAGTCAAGTTCAAAGGCCATGGCCATTGCCTAGGCAAACCATGGTGGTGGCTTGAGTTGAAATGGCAAAAAAGAAGATGGAGAAAAGCATATGGTGATGAACATTCCAATATGATCACGGAAATCCATGCAGCATAGCATTTTCAAGAACTCCAGAGTGTGATCGCTCGGGTTCTCTTCCTGGCTCAATCATGTACAAGCTCTGTGATCTCGGGTAAATTATCTTCAAATGTGATGTGGGTGGACAATAGCACCTACTTCATACCTTTGTCATGAGGATTAAATAAATTTGTACAGGCAAAGCACTTGGCATGTAGTAAAATATCAATAGCTGATAATAATCTGTAACTCCTAGGCCTGGCCCCCTATTGTGGATCCCCATGGACTGGCCTACAGCAGAGGTTCTACAGGAGCACTACCTGTTCCCCTGGGGACTTATATCCTAAGAACAACTGGTATTTTAAACAAAAAAATGACATGGGGTGAGTTAGGTTTTATAAAGATTACTCTATTTACTGCAAGGAGAATGGTTTATTTCAAATTTCAGATGAAAAAAGGGCTTGGGACTTTGATGTTCATTGAAGTGGGACAAGCATTGTAATGCGTGTAGAAATGGGCCTATAGGTAGGAGAAGGTGCTCCTTGTTATGTTACTCAAGGTCCTTCAGAGTTGCCACCCTGCTTTTCCTGGTAGCTGGATCTCCAGCCACTGCCTCTGCTCAGCATTAGGCACAATTCCCCCAGCCAAACTCACACCTTGGTTTATGGGAGACCTCTCAACCCTTTCACTGGCCACACTCTTATTCATCCTTCAAAACTCAGTTCTCAGATCATCTGTGTAGACTTCCCTAGTGTCCAAAGCTTGAATGGTTCCCACTTGGTCTCTTCATTAGGATGTCCAAACTGGTTATATTTGCTGTATTCATAAAGGGATGTATCATAAGACTTAAGATTTTTAGGCCGGGCATGGTGGCTTACCCCTGTAATCCCAGCACTTTGGGAGGGCAAGGTGGGCGGATCACAAGGTCAAGAGATCAAGACCATCCTGGCTCATATGGTGAAACCCCATCTCTACTAAAAAAAAAAAATGCAAAAAATTAGCTGGGCGTGGTGGCAGGTGCCTGTAGTCCCAGCTACTCAGGAGGCTGAGGCAGGAGAATGGTGTGAACCTGGGAGGCAGAGCTTGCAGTAAGCCGATATCTCGCCACTGCACTCCAGCATGGGGAACAGAGCAAGACTCCACCTCAAAAAAAAGAAAGAAAAAAAAAAGACTTAAGATATTCCTCTTTTAGGAATAAAGTTGACCCCTAAAACTCATTGGCCATTTTACTCTTTAGCCTTGGAGGAGTCAAGCTTCCATGTTTGTTCAGGGAACACAATGGTTGATTCTTGTGAGTGCACATACCCCATGGTCTTTTCGAGATCATGGCAGAAAATATTGACTCTCTTTTTGTTTCAGGGTTTTTCTCAGTCTCTGGAGGATTGAAGACAGTTGGTAGTCCAATGGCAGGGCTCTTATCTGGAAGCCTCTATCAGATTTCCCACTGAGGCCTAAGGCTGAGAACCTTTTATTTTCTCTTTCACGCTTCAAGTTGGGAGTGATTTGTGTCTGCTGTCTATAGTTCTCAAAGACCTGTGGGTACTGTTTCTCAAAAAATAAGAAAAATCACATTATTTCAACAGGGAGATCATGCAGAGCTGGTGCAGATTCAGTGAGATCGTCCTCGAAATCTTATGCCAACCTGCTGTTGGTGTTTCCAAGAGAGAGTGGGGGAGTGGCCTGAGACCCTCTTCCCAGGAATATATTGCGGTTATGGTCAGACTTCAGGTCCCAGCTGCAGAAGCCCTGGGTAGCAAATGTCCAGTTGTAGATAAAACCCTAAGGGTCTTTCCTCCTTCAAGTAGAGGTGGCGGAGGAGCAGTGGTGGCTTGAGATTTACTGGGACTTTTGAAACCAACGAACTTCCCTAAGCAGAGGGCTGGATCCTGAGGGTGATGTTTGAGTGCTGTCTAGAGAGAATAGAGGGGCTGCAGGAGAACCTTCTGGGGACTGCTTATGGCTTTTTTTTTTTTTTTTCCAGATGGAGCTTCACTCTTATTGCCCAGGCTGGAGTGCAATGGCACAATCTCAGCTCACCACAACCTCCACCTCCCAGGTTCAAGCAATTCTCCTGCCTCAGCCTCCCAAGTAGCTGGGATTACAGGCATGCACCATCACGCCCGGCAAAGTTTTGTATTTTTAGTAGAGACGAGGTTTTACCATGTTGGTCAGTCTGGTCTCGAACTCCCAACCTCAGGTGATCCACCCGCCTTGGCCTCCCAAAGTGCTGGGATTACAGGCATGAGCCACTGCACCAGGCACCTCATGGCTCTTTCTGCTTTATTCTTTATTTGTTAAATGCTAACATTTTAAAAACTGTGGTAAAATCCACATAATGCAAAATTTACCATCTTAACCATCTTTAAGTATCCAGTTCAGTGGTATTAAGTGCATCCACATTACTGGGCAACTGTCACCACCACCTCGTATAAATGGAATCACATAATATTTGTCCTTTTGTGACTGGCTGATTCCACTTAGCATGACGTCCTCAAGGTTCATGCACGTTGTAGCAGGTGTCTGAACTTCCTTTTTGAAGGCTGAATGATATTCCGTGGTATATACATCCCACATTTTGTTTATTCATTCATCCATCCATGGACACTTGGGCTATTTTCACATTTTGGCTATTGTGAATAGTGCTGCTATGAATACAGGTATATTTTACTCTTTATTATAAAAGAATAAAAATTAGGCCTATTCCTAGTGGAGAGATACATCTGACTTTGCCAAGTGTGTAAAACTGGCCTCTGAGAAGGACTCAACATGGAGGGTTGGGTATGGTTCTCATCCTAGAGCCTTCCAGCCCCAACCCAAGAGTGACCTTGGAAAAAATGGCTCCCTGCATGGTGTATGGGTGTCGGGGAGAGTTCTGGAAAGCTGGACCATGAGGGCTACAACATGCAGTGAACTGTCCATGACCAAGCACAGTAACCTGGAGAGAAGAACCCGTGACCATCTCAGTGCACTCCAGTAGCCCCCTGGGGACTATGTGCTCCCTGTAGAGTGGCAGAGGAGGGTACTGGGCAGTGGCCAGATGGAAGACGGGGGTGTAGCCAGGCAGCCTGTGTTGGTGTTCTGGCTATGCTGTCTGCTGCCACCAGGACAGCTTGCCCACATGTTTAGCTCTCGGTTTCCTCATTTGTAAACAGGGATGATGATCACAGTGCCCAGCTCACCGGGTGGTTGTTAGGATGAAATGTGACAACATATGTAAGGTAATTAGCATAACGTCTGGGCCAGAGGACAATCTCGGTAAATATTCACTGTTTTTGTCATTATTATTTCCCTCTTCTTTGAGGCTGGAGACTCCAGGATCCACTGTGCCCTTTGGACAGATTAATCAGCCCTGGCCTGCTGGCCTGTTAGGCATATTCTAGGAGCTGGGGGAATAGACACAGAGTCAAGTGGGTTTTTTCATGAGCAGCTTAGAACTACTGAATGACTAAGTAAACCTTTCTCTGCCAGGCAACGATGGGCATATTAGCGCGTGCTGGTGGTGCTTCATCGTCACTTTTTGCTTGTGTTCTTTTTTTTTGGAAACAGAGTCTCGCTCTTGTCACCCAGGCTGAAGTGCAGTGGTCCAAGCTCTGCTCACTGCAAACTCTGCCTCCCAGGTTCAAGAGATTCTCCTGTCTCAGCCTCCCAAGAAGCTGGGATTACAGATGTTTGCCATCACCCCTGGCTAATTTTTGTATTTTTAGTAGAGACGGGGTTTCACCATGTTGGCCAGGCTAATCTCAATCTCCTGACCTCAAGTGATCTGCCCTCCTAGGCCTCCCAAAGTGCTGGGATTACAGGTGTAAGCCACTGCACCTGGCTGCCTGTGAGTGTTCCCCGCTAGGCCCCCAGACAGTGGTCCCTTGAGGGCAGGACCTGGATTTTATTCATCTTGTGCCCTTTGTGCCCAGGACAGAGCTGGCCACAAAATGGGCAACTTACACTCAAGGACTTCGGGTTTGGCCTTTTGCTTTCTGCGAGTCTTGCCCTTACCTGGATTTGGCCTCTGTGGGAAGAGCAGGCAGGCCTCAGTGAACATCAGCAGTGCTTTTTCCTAGAAGAAGCTCCTCAGCTGCAGGCCTCTCATAAATGAGAGAGGAAGCCTCCACGGGTTTAGAGATTGGGGCCTCGGGGATGATTTTACAAAATTCTGAAATGTTCTGGGGATGGAATCTTCTCAGGATGGTTCATGGGGTCAGGGACACCTGGAACAGGGCCTAGATCTGGACATCCCATTGTGGAAGAGCCTGTTGCACCCTGTCCTGTCTGTGCCCAGGGATTTCTGTGTCCCTCTCCTAGAAGCAGGGCCAGCCCCGGCTACTGTCCAGCGAGGCCACTCCTGACACCTGTTGCGTTTGCTCAGCAGAGTGGGGAGTGACGGGTTTTGTTCTTAGGCAGGCACAAATGGGCCCTGTGTGCAAGGCCAGACTGGCCTGAGGCCCAGGCTAACTTTCCAGCACCATTTCCCCCTCTGTCCACGTGTCTTAGAGTTAGGCCCAACCTGAGTTCAGTTCCCAGCTTTGTTTTTATCACAGGTCAACTAGCCTCTCTAAACCTTATTCTTCACCTGAAAAAAAAAAACAAAAAACAAAAACAAAAAGAGAAAAAGAAAAATCCCAGAGGCTTTTACTACCCTCCCGAGGCTGCTGTGAGGACCAGATGGGAGAAGATGCCCAAAGCACAGACCCCAGGGTCTACACCACAGAGAAAGGGCTGGGTGGTTTCTTTCCCTTTCTCAGCTCCCAGCACAAACTGTGTCTCAGTATACGAGCGGCCCTTGTGCGTCTCCTGCTGGACTCAAGCTGCTCCCTCCCTCCAGGGCCTGCATCTTCCATCTCCCCTAGAGAAACTGTGCTGAGTCTCAAGCTCCAATCCCTCTGTAAAGCCTTCTATGCCCGGCCCAAGCATAACTGATGGCTCCCTTCTTTGTGGCCTGGGCCTTTGGTAGACCCAACAGAAGATTTCCCTCCAGGTCTAAAATCTGGCATTTTCTATATTGCCAGGATTTCCAGAGTTTAGGCATTTTTAACTGAAACCCTGCCCAAGGGTACTAAAAGCTTCTTTAAGCATATGAGGTAGATATTTGCACACCAGTGTATACACACAAATGCAAGTCAATATTTTAAAACATTATTTCCTGTACGGGTCTTATAAATGACAAACATTCACCTCTCCTGGTAAGGAGCACCCATCCGTCGTTATTTGTAGCTCAGCAGAACACACACATTCTTGTGTGTCACTCATCAAAGCAAATTGCCTGTCCTTTCTTTTTTCTGACATTACCAAACTGTGATTTACGATAATAAAATATGCATTTTTCTATTGTGTAAGAATTTGGATGAAATCCCAGCATGGAGAACAAAGATTGATTTGAGCCCTGACATTCAGAAGGGAAGTACAGGCCCCACCTGTGGAAGGCGGAAGGGGCTGGTGCATGGCGGTGCCTTCCTACAGTGCAGGTAGGAGGAGGCCAGTGACTCATGAGGGACATTCCAAGAGGTCAAGAGGTGTTGATTCCTCTTGACCAAGGTGTCATTCCAAGGTGTCAAGAGGAGATCCAGAGTTGGGCTCTGAGAGAACCTCACTAGAGATAGGAGGAGGAGGAGAAAGGCGGCTGAGCACCATCAGGGCGGATGCTTGTGAGCCTCTGTACACCGGGTTGTGAGAGCATGGAGTACTGGAGAACCTGGCATACATGTCCCAGGGTCCTGGGGCAAACATGGAACACAGGCAGGTGGCACCTCTCACCTGGAGAAGGGAGAGGTTGGAGACAAGCGGAGCTGCGAGGAGACAAGGGGAGTGTTGTGTGAGCTGTATGAGGCAAGGATAGATAAATGGGTTTCCTGTGCAGCCTACTCAAAAGGGCTGCCCGCTAGGTGTGTGGAACCCACAAGAAGGTAGCTGCAGGGGGACTGGCCAAGACAGAAGCTGAATGCAGGTCCTCAAGTGTCAGGACATGGTTTGGTGCAGGGATGCTTGTCAGGGTCTCTAGAGAACCAGTTCAAGGGGCAGCAACTGTGAGCCTGACAAGCAGACACCCACTGCCCCAGCTAAGTGGAAAGACTTTTGTCTCTTCTGTCTTTCATCCTCATTCCTCTTAGCTCCTGACCCTGGAGGGCCCAGAGGCAGCAGAGAGAGTGGGAGCCGCAGCTAGGGGAGTGCCCAAACCCACTTGTCCCTGGCCTCTTGCTGCTGGTTCCCAAGGCAGAGGGCGGCCCGACTGACTCGATTTGCATGAGATAGAAGTTTAAATATTACTCTTAAGTAATATTTTTTATTTTTTTAAAGTTAAAGTCAATACATTTTTATTCAAGGAATTCCATGTTGTGATTTCTTCCACTGTCCATCAAAGTCACTTTAGATCCTCTAAAGAGCTGGAGTCAAAAGATTTATCTTCAAGTTAGCCCTTTTTAATGAAACTGAAGCTTATTTTAATCCAGTTGTCCTGTCAGTCCATAGTTCTTTTATTTCGGCTTCTTTCATCTCGTGTTAATATATAAATACTGATGAAGACTTCAAAATTCATCAAGAATCTTTGGGATCTATGTTCTTCAGCCAATTTACTTTAGAGTCATTTTTACTGTAGGTGGTGGATCTTCCTGGTTCTCAATTTGACACCCTCTCTTAACATGAATGAGTTCAAATTATATTCATTCCTAAGCGATCACACTCAAGAATAGTACAGATGTGTGGAATATGCCAATACCTTTAACTCCAGACATCATGTTCTGAAGATAAAAGCCTTTAAAACAAAAAGCCATGTATGTATCAAGTCAACATGAAATTGGAATACAAAATTAATACAGCTGAGGCGTTCCCTCATATCCCATGCTGTTTAACTATCTATTCTATAGTCCTAGAATCAATCTTTTCTTTTTTATTAAGAGACAGGGGCTGTCTGTTACCCAGGCTCCAGTACAGTGGTGCCATCAAAGCTCTGTGCAGCCTCCAACTCCTGGGCTCAATCCTCTTGCCTCAGCCTCCCCTTCCTGAGTAGCTAAAACTATAGGCACATGCCCTAATACTCAGCTAATTTTTAAATTTTTGTGGAGATGAGGTGTTTGTTACTTTCTTGCCCAGGCTATTCTTGAACTCCTGGCTTCAAGCAAAACTCCCACCTTGGTGTGGGGATTGCAGGCATGAGCCACTGTGCCTGTCCTGGAACCAACCTTTATGGCTATCAATACTCCCATCAGCTGTCTCAGGTATCATAATTTCCCTGGCTATATGTATTAAAACTCATACTGAACAATGAGTTCTGGGTTGCAAAAGAGGATTTATTTTTTGTACTTATCCATAAGTCTTTGTCCACAGTTTAAACAAAAACATACATAAGTGCAGAAGTAATATTTAAATATTACTCATCAAAGTACATTTCCTGTCTTTTTTCTCTAAAATTACTAAAATATGATTTACGATAACAAAATACTGTTTTTCTATTGTGTTAGAACTTGAATGAAATCCCAGCATGGAGAACAAAGATTGATCAGAACTCTTAACATTCAGGCTGGGCACAGTGGCTCACGCCTGTAATCCCAGCACTTTGGGAGGCTGAGGCAGTCGAATCACTTGAGGTCAGGAGTTCAAGACCAGCCTGGCCAATATGGTGAAACTCCGTCTCTACTAAAAATACAAAAATTAGCCGGTGTGGTGGACATGCACCTATAATCCCAGCTACTCAGGAGGCTGAGGCAGGAGAATCGTTTGAACTTGGTTCAAACATCCTCCCTCCGATGTTGCGGTGAACCAAGACTATGCCACTGCACTCCAGCCTAGGTGACAGAGTGAGACCCTGTCAAAAAAAAAAAAAAAAAAAAAGGAGCCCTGACATGCTGATATTCAGAAGAAAAGTGCAGGCCCCACCCATGGAAGGTGGAAGGGACTGTTCCCTGGTGGTGTCTTCCTACAGCACAGACAGGAGGAGACCAGTGACTCATGGTGGAGGCTCTGAACTATCAGCCTTAAGTAATACTTAACTTCCACCTCGAGCAAATTGAGCCAAGTCAGTCAGGCTGCCCTCTGACTCAGATGTTGTTCTTGAAGGGGAGCTCGAAGCCATGGTTTCTGCTGGAGCTGTCACTCGTGGGTGGGGTGGGGAGTGATGACAGGCTGCATCTGAAGAAGTCTATTTTGTAATTGTACCTTACCAAATTCAGCCATTCAACAGAGACATTACCAAATGTCGATCATAACAGCATCCACCCTGAATGAGTCTACTCTTTGGATGCTTCCAGCTTTAGGCTCTGGGATATTCAAACATGTCTATTATAGCATGTATCCATTTACAAAGTATGCATTTTTTTCATGCCCTCCTGAAACACGACTTTGACGATTCCAGTATGCTATGTGGATGTGAGAATGACAAGTGAGCTGACAAGTGAGGGGGAGATGGGACCTCAAACAGCAGGAAGAGCTCCTGGATGCTGTCAGGGCAGAGGGCTCTGAGTCACATAAGACAGGACCCTAATCAAACCTGGAGCAGTCAGGGGAGGCTTCTTGGAAGAGTAGATTTCTAAGTTGATTTCCCTCCCACAAAAAGGAATTATTCAGGAAGAGAACAGAGCACACGCATAGACTTGGAGGTGAGAAAGCCACCGGGTTTGGGGGAAGTGTCCCACATGGCTGGAACGTGAAGTGAAAGAGTAAAGGAGTGGGAGGGGCAGGAGTGGTGAGCTGGGGATGGGCTCCAGGTCTACCCAGTCCTTCTTCAGCATTCCGCCTCCTGGTGGCCGGTCCCTTCTACTGGAGACAGACTTATGAAGGCGCTTGACAAGGCCAGATTGCATAGCCAAAAGAACACTCCAGCAACAATGGGTGGTGTGGGATGGGAAGCGAAGAGGCAGTGAGGCTAATTCTAGAGGGTGGAAAACAAGATAGGCCACAGCTGCAATAATCCAGGAGGGAGAAACGGCCTGAGCTAAGGAGGCGGTAACAGGCACAAAATAGATGAGGTTGGGAAGTAGGCATTACTTATCCCATTTACAGAGGAGAAAAGTGGTTTTTGGAGAAGATAGGAAACTTATTCACAGTCATAAAATTAAATTAGATAATTTTATTCTTATGCCTATGGTCTTTGGAGAGAAGGACATAGAAAAAAGGGACCAAACAGGCAGAAAAGAACTGAAAGGAAAAATAAATATAATTTCATCAACAGAAGCATGAATTCATCAATGCATCTACAGGTTTATTGAGAGACTTCTGTGTGTGTCATAACAAAATATGGGAGATCAGTGCATGTAAAACTAAATCCGGTCCTTGGCTAATCCCATTTCTGACTCAATCTCCTCAGCTACCTAAGATTTAATTATTATTTTCATGTTGTCACATTTCCATGCTAATAAAGACGGCAACATTGTCTGTGCAAAGAATTTTTCTTTTTTTTTGACCGAGTCTTGCTCTGCCCAGGTTGGAGTGCAGTGGTACAATCTCAGCTCACTGCAACCTCCACCTCTGGGTTCAAGCAATTCTCTTGTCTCAGCCTCCCTAGCAGCTGGGACTACACGAGGCTGCCACCACGCCTGGCTAATTTTTGTACTTACAGTAGAGACAGAATTTCACCTTGTTGGTCAGGCTGATCTAGAACACCTGATCTCAGGTGATCCACCCGCCTCGGCCTCCCAAAGTGCTGGGATTACAAATGTGAGCCACCACACCCGGCCTGTACAAAAGTTTAACATAAATGAGTTTCCTTGTAGAAACAGAACGCCCCTCTCCCCAGAGGTCTTCAAATGATTATGAATTATAAAATTCTGATATTCCGTTGACCCTAGAATTTTTTTTTTTTTTTCCCTAGATAGTAAGGTATTTGGAGATGAGCTTCAGGAGTAGCAAGTTGGGTGTAAGTAGGGAAGCCGTGATTCATTTTGCTAGTCATTACCTTTTAATCTCAATATACTTACACTTCTAATTGGCATCATAAAATGTCTCTGGAGACAGAGAAGCCCAAAACACTTAATAGCTATCATGGTCCTGGATACAAAATAATAAGCTGAAAAAAACTTTAGTTTAAAAAATATGCTTTTCCTTAAATGGTAAAATCCATTAGAATACATGGAAAGGAGCTGTCATTTAATACACAACTTCTATGAGCCAGATGTATTGCATATATTGCTCTGGAAATGATTCTCAAAACAGGATTCTAAGAGAGACAATATTATTCCCGTTTTAAAAGGACAAAATTGAGGCTCAAGAGATTTGAGTGACATACTCAGAGTCAAGCTGTTATAAAGTAGACCAATGTGAGCTCAGAGCAAATGTTCTACTCATGAGACTCTACACATTTCCGATTGGGGCCACTGTCACATGGTAGGTTGCTGGTTTATACGTTCAGCAGCAGTGGAGAAATTTAGGTAGGATTTAAGGAAGGACCTGCTGAGCATTAAATGGTAGAATGGATAGATAAGTTATAGATGGTTGCTATCATTTAGACATTCCTCTGCCAAGCCTCATGTTGAAATTTGATCCCCAACGTTGAAGGTGGGGCCTAAAGGAGGTGTTTGGGTTGTGACGGTGGATCCCTCATGAATGTCTTGGTGCTGTCCTCTTGGTGATAATTTATTGCTCTATTAATTCCTGCAAGAGCTGGTGGTTAAAAAGAGCCTGGTACCTCCCCATTCCTTAACCCTTGCTTCCTCTCTCACCATGTGATTTTTGCACAGCGAGCTCCCCTTCCCCTTCCACCATCAGTGGAAGCAGCTGGAGGCTCTCACCAGAAGCAGATGACAGTGCCATGCTTCTTGTATAACCTGCAGAACTGTGAGCCAAATAAACCTCTTTTCTTTATCAATTATCCAGCCTCAAGTATTCCTTTATAGGAGTGCAAAATGAACTAAGACAATGGCCTTTGCTTATTATTTTGATTATGACTATAGGTGTTTGCCACAGCTATTTCCTTGCTAAAAGTTTTGTACCATTGTGTTGTTTTACTGGTATATCTCTATCCTTATAATAATTAATAATGTGCTAGACATTGTAATATTAACAATTACAAAGATTTTTAATCTGGCAAAGATGGTCTCTTTCTATTGTAACAAACTCTTTGAAACAGGTATTATAGTTTCATCTAGATAATAAGGAACCTGAATCTCAGAGATGCCAACTGACTTGGCTAGGGCCACACCATTTGAATACAACTCTCTATTCTGGGAGCTTATGTCTTTTGCAATGTCAAGAGAAACTGGATATGAACTTTCCTCCCATGATGGCAGGAAGATGAATGAAATAACCCATAAGTTGTCCATTAAGTCTTTGTTCTCTAAAAGTAAGATGGTGGCAGTCCAATGACAGTTTCCAAATCATAAAATTATGTCTAAAGATCAGACATGGACCTGACTTACCAGAGCAGAACCTGAGTGGGATACTGGTGTTGGGAGTGAGGATCCAAGGAAGCAACTTCTTGTAACTTTTCTGCACTCAAAGATACTCTTACAGCCTTCTCATAGAGGGATACCCTCTTCTGCAGGTCAGAAGGGCCTTCACATCCCTCAGTGCTGGCCCAAGGTCCATGGTCAACAAGAAGCCTCCCTTTTCCTGACTCCCCACCTCCTGGGGTGGCCAGTCCTACCAAGTCCAAGTCGAGAGGACTGGATCCAGCCTGCTCTTGCCCCTTGCCCCACCCCGTCACTGCCCTTTTTCAGGTTCATTTTCCTCCTTGAGCCTCTGACACACTAATTTATCTTCCCCATGCTGCCAGACTCATCCTTTTTAATAGAGTGTTTTTAGTCTTATAGTCAATAAATACACATTCATTCTAGAAAATCTGGAAGGTACCCCAAAAATCATTTCAGAGGAAAAAACAAAATCAGATTTTGGATAATTTCCTTCCAATTATTATGACAGGAACATCATTGTGATAGCTAGAATTAAGTTATCAGTTGCTACTAAGGCAGGAGGCCACTGGAGCCCAGGGAGATAGGAGCTCAGAGGAGGAAGGCAAAAGAGAAACCGAGTCATCCTTCCCACCTCCCCCACCCACAAGGAACCAAGATGTGGGGCATTATAGTTAAATGTTTTTTTCTATGTACAGCCAGAGTGTCCCTAAAACCAGGAGGAGGAACTCTCAGTGGAAGACTATTATTTGTTCAAAATATTTTCTTGAATCCATCCATGCAAGAAGACTGTACTTCCCACTGATATAACGTTTGACCATGTGATTTGCTTTGGCCAATCATATTTAAGTGCAATTAATGTATATCATCTCTGGTGGCTGTTTTAAGGTTTTCTCTTTTTCTTCTCACTGTCATGAGGCAGGTTTGTGCTGGATAGGAGCTGCTCCTTAGTCCTGGAATAAAGAGGTGTGGAGCAGAGATGTTGCCCATGTGCATCTTGAGATGAATGTGATTGCAAGCAAGAAATAAATCTTAGTTGCTGCAATCCACCAAGATTCTGGGGGTCATTTGTTCCTTCAGCATAAGCCTAAGCTAACTGATACACCACTGTTGATGGCTGAGCCAGTCATGCAAGGTGGTTACCCTCAGAAGATCTAAAAGCCGAGGACTAGGAGCATCAAAAATAAAACATTAGTATTATACAGTTCAAGCAGACATAGTGGTGGCGGTGGTGATACAGGAGTATGACATTCTGGGAGAGAGCTGCTCTCGTTAAAGTGGTGGTTACTCTAAAGAGGACCAAGAAGATGAGATACACCATTAACAATGTGAGCCACCATTTATATGGTGCTTCCTGTGTGCCAACAGCCCTGCAAAGTGAGATTATAGGCATTATATCATTTGATCCTTCCCCAAGTTCTAGAAGGGGGATATCCATGATTAGCAGCATTTTAAAGCTCAGGAAATTGGAGCTTAGGGAAGTTAGTAACTGACACACTCATGTAGCTCATACACAGTGGAGCAGTAATTCGTGTCCAGGTCTCTCTGATGCCAGCTTCTACCTACTCATAATGGGTGGATTCCTGGCCAGCTTACCTGCAGGGCTGCCCATTAAATGGTAGCTCCTGGCCAGGACCTTGTGGGGAGGGAGGTCTCAGCGAGCAAGGTTTGTTAGAGCAAATTGCTCTACTGGAGTACCCAGAAAGCACGGGTTGTCCATCTTTCGTTCTGAGAGAAATCCCTCAAAGCAAAGTTTGGTGGGTTTGTCGCAGTTGCCGAGGCCTAGATCTGAACTACAGGAAAGGCAAGAGGCTCCAGAAATTTAAATGACATCCACTCATGTTCTCAAGATATTTTTGAGATTGTAAAAGGAAATCAAACCTATGAATTATAATCAGTTGGAGCATGAGTGGAAGGAATCCAACTGGAGGTTGTTTTTGCAAGAGAGAGAGAGTTGCTGGGAAGCTACTGAGGCAGTTCCCAGAACCAGGGACGGGAATATGGCAGTTCTTGGGAACACGAACTTCAGAAGCCAGAGCCTGAAAAACAACGGGATTCTTTCTAACCTACTCTTAGAGCTACCTCTTTGGAAAATAGCTTCTTTCTTTTCTGTTTCAGCCTCACCCAGCTGCCATCAACTCTCAAGCTCTCATACCTCATATTTCAACCACCTGGAAAGGGTCGTCTCAGTTTCTTTTCCAGAAACCCTGTGGAAAAGACTTCGATATGGTGCAATCTGATTCATGGGTCCATATCTAAGTGGTGGACAGTAGCCTGGCGTGTGGTCATGTTGCACACGTGGCAACGTTTATGTTACTGAACTCGTGAAGTGGAAGGTTCCAAATGAACAGCTGAGGATGGGGCGGGCAACTCCATAAAGGTTCAATTGACATGTGCACCAGAGAATATCTGGACCAAACAAAATAATTTGAACCAAACACAAAGAATCCTATCTTCCAGAGGCAACAAACTGGAATATCCTAGTATGTTTCTTTATTATTATTATTATTATTAATATTATTATTTGAGGCTGAGTCTTGCTCTGTCGCCCAGGCTGGAGTGCAGTGGCACAATCTCGGCTCACTGCAACCTCTGCCTCCCAGGTTCAAGCGATCCTGCCTCAGCCTCTTGAGTAGCTGAGATTACAGGTGCCTGCCACCATGCCTTAGCTAATTTTTATATTTTTAGTAGAGATGGGGTTTCACCATGTTGGTCAGGCTGATCTCAAACTCCTGACCTCATGATCCACCTGCCTCAGCCTCCCAAAGTGCTGGGACTACAGGCATGAGCCACTGTTCCTGGACTATTATATTTTTGGAGTACAGAGTTGTACTACATCGTTGAAACTATACGGCATACACTAAGTTAAAGTGTAGTTAGCAGAGACAAATTCTAGGTCTTAGGCTGAAGATGACATGAAGAGGGTTTCACTGTCAGAGGCTATTCAGCACCAAGGGGTTCATCTGTTTTTCCAATGAAAAACTAGACAAAAAGCACAAAGTAAAAACTCAGTACATCAGTGATAAGTTTAAAGTCTCAGTGCATGTGCTTATGCCAAGGGATCACTTTAACACACTGAACTTAACACGCTCTTCCCCTGGCCGATTCTTTGTTGCTCTCAGCTAAAATCCTAACTCCTCGACGCAGCAAACATGGTCTTTTGTCACCTTGCCCTTATGCCCTGCTTCATTCTGAAACTCTAGGCAGATTCATCTGACTGAAGTGTGCTCACTGATTTGTTTACTTACTTATTCATTCATCACACATTTATTAAGTTAGGCAATGCAGATACAGAAAGGAGTAAGACTTCTTTTTGCTTGAGACGCTCACAGCCTAACAGGGAAGGAAAATGAGTAATCAGGAAATATCTACAAGGTGACAAATACCAGGATAGAGGGAAGCCCAGGGTGCTTGCAGCCATGCAAACCCTTGAAGAACTTGCAGGGGTTTTCAATGAGGAAGTGAGGAAGGTGTAATTGTAGCTGCCTCACAGAGCCAATAGCTAGTATATATATCACTGTCTTTTGCTGTTCCAATGTTTCCACAAAACTGGCACCAAGACTTCCGTGCCAACTCCCCTGTGGACTGGCCTTCCTCTTTGCTGTCCATTTCTACAGTGTCCTCAGTCCCCAGTAAAGGAAGTGGCATGGAAGAAAGAGGAGCACCTTTGCTTCATAGTCACTGTCACCCCCTGCTCTCCTGGGCCTGCTCCAGCTCGTGCTGCCCACGGGGTTGGCATCAATCCCGCTGTTTCCTCCAGCCCGCCTCCCCGCAACCCCGCCACCCCATTTTCAATGCCCACCAATATTGCTAGATGTCATGAGTCAGACCTGCCTGCCACACTCCTGGGCTGTTATGCCATTGTCAAAATTGACATCTCACTTTTCCAGTTGTTGAGTTGCCTTCTGCATGTGTAATTGCAAAAAAAGATCTTCCTCCTTTTGGGTTCACTGCTTATTTAATCCTAGAGTCACAATAAGAAAATGCGTCTAGTCAGTGAAATTAATTATGGAGAACATTTAGTGCCTCTGCCGAGGTGTTTGGGCAGAGATCGTTCCGAGTGTAGCAGAGAAAAGAAGCTCCTGATTCTCAGGTGAACAGGAATTGAGTGATTAAGTCTCAGAGTCAGGCAGGTCCCTGGACTTCAGCATTAGGTGGGAGTGTGTGTGCATGGTCTGTCTTTGGATGTGTGCACATCTCTGTGTGTCCATGCATGTGTGTGCAGGTATGCTTACATAGATACTTGGAGGCCTGAGGACTGGCTTACGTGTAGGTGATTCTGCAAGCACAAGGGGTTCAGGAAGGTGAGAATTCATTCACTCATACATTTATTTACCAGCAGCAAAAGTATATTGGATGACTACTCTGTATCGGGTTTTATGTTTAGGTGTTGGGGATTTAAAAATGAGTAACTTGAGATTTCTACCCTCAACCAACAGCTAGTCAAGAGCAGGGTTTCTCCACTTAGCACAATTGACATTTTGGATCAGTGAATCCTTTGTTAGGGACGGAGGTTTGTTTTGGGCACTACAGGATGCTTACCAGCATTCCAACTCTCTACCCACTCAACACAAGTAGGAAAACAACCCCCTACCCTGCAGTTGTGACTATCAGAAATGCCCGTTAGAGATCCCAAATGTCATCTAGGGGGCAAAATCACCCCCAGTTATGAAGCAGTTATAAAAAATGTTGAAGCAGGTAATTTTGATAAGGTAAAGGGAGTCAAATTTAAAGGAGATCTTCACCGATGCTTGGGAGCTAAGAGGAGAGGGGGTAAGAAAGCATAGGAAGGTTGAAAAGGAAGATAATATCATCACAGGTGACTATAGCCAATTGGCAAGCCAAGCTCCAGACACAGGGCTGCTCTGTAGATGGCGGACAGGACAAGATGGGATGGAACAGCGCTGGGCCTGAGTAAAGACAGAGCTCAGTTGCTCGCTTGGTGCAGGGTAGGGCCCGTGTCATGGAAACTCAAATATCAGGTGCTCTCATCCAGGGTGGGGTCTGGGGTGGGGTGTGGGTGCAGGGCACAGGGAGAAGAAGGGAATGAATTCACATTACTGCAATCGTAGGAGAAGGAAAACCAGAGAGGGAAGGGAACCCCGCTGTCCTTCTGAGATGGACTTCAAGTGAGCTCCAAGGGGATGGATAGGTATGATTTTGGCCATCATCTGACAGTGGTGTCACGCACGATACCTGCATGGCCTCCACTGATGAGTGGAAAGCACGTGGCTCTTAGTAGGTGACCATTAAGCCAGAGGAGGGTGATATAGTTTGGATATTTGTCCCTGCCCAAATTTCTTGTTGAATTGTAATCTCCAGTGGTAGAGGTGGATTCTGGTGGGAGGCGTTGGGGTCATGGGGGTGGATCCCTCATGAATGGCTTGGGCCATCCCTTTGGTGATAAGTGAGCTCTTGCTCTGAGTTCAGACAAGATCTGGTTGTTTAAGTCTGTGTCACCTTCCCCTGCACTCTGTCTTGCTTGCTCCTGCTTTTGCCTTGTGACATGCCCGGTTCCCCCTTTGTCTTCCACCATGATTGAAAACTCCATGACGCTTCACCAGAAACTGAATAGATGCCAGCACCATGCTTCCTGTACAGCCTGCAGAGCCATGAACCAATTAAACTTCTTTTCTTTATAAATTACCCAGTTGCAGGTATAGCAATTGAGAACAAACCAATACCGTGGGGCTGAGCAGATTCCAAATCTCCAGTCTGGATGCTGGTGAAGATTTCCACTTCCTTGTGTGAACTGTGAGATAAGGTTGCCTCATGATGGAGGGCTGGAGAGTTGCCATCAAGCCTGCTGTGTATTCATCCTCTGCTTGGGGCCACAAAGTTGCTATTTTAGGTTCTCTGTCTGCCTCCCATCTGTTTCCACCCAGAAGGCTGCAGGGCGACCCTTCCCCATTGCTTCCTGAGAGTTGTTCCTGTTTTCTAAATGCTCTGGCAATGACATCACACCAGGGTGGTTTGATCTCAGCCCGTGAAGGTCACACCAACTAGGGCAGAGGTCACATCAACTGGGGGCCGGGGCAGGTATCACCTGTCACTGGGGGGGAAAGGCAGGTCCCTGGAAGGAGCCCAGCAGGCAGAAGGGACTGGGTTTACTCTGTTTCGATTTTTCTCTTTTTAACATGAAGATGTCTGTGGTTATAAAAAGAAGGTAATGCATGAGTCCTCCTCATGGCCCCCAGTTGTGAATGGGCCCCATTTACTTGAACGCTGCTTTTGATTTTTATTTCATAGATGGGTTAGGATGAGTGCAGGTGGATTCCTCAAGGAGATCCCACAGGCTTAGAGGAAAAGTCCCCTTCCTTATCCCAAAGTCCCAGTGCTCCTGTGGGTGGGTGAGGTAGGTCTAAGGTCCGTGCCGGGGGCTCCATGAGGGTTCTAGTGGGAGGTCGGTTCCAGGGAAACTGCCCCCTTGGAACTGCTGAGAGCTGCACAGTTTACTCTGCTCAGAGTAACAAAGTGGGGGACCCCATAGGCCTGGGAGATACCCACACAGTCTGTGCAGGGCAGAGGGCAATATGGCCCCCATATCTGTCTGCCTACCTGGGACCAAAACTGTTCCTGGCACATAGCAGGTGCTCAGACGACATGACAACATTGCACTAAACAGACCAAACTGATCTAGTCTAATCCAAGTCACTAACCCCTTCTGTAATCTTGGAAGAGCCTCGTTGTTCCCAGCTGTAAAGCAGGCATCTCAATAACATTAACTTTGGACTGTTTTAAAGTTTAAATGAGAAATGGGCATAGACACTCTTTATGAACTTTAACAAAAGATTAGAAAGCTGCCTCTCAGTTACTACTGTGCAACTCTTCCAAATGTTAATTTAGAGTCTGAACATGCCAGTTTCCCCATGGGAATTGCTCAATTCTAATAGTTCTCTATGCTGTACAAACATACATTATCTGCCTAGGGCCCGGTAAAGCTATTTTCATTTTGAATGAAAAAAGTTAGAGCTTGTAAGTATTTTAATTTTTCCTGAAGTAGCTTTTGTGTTAATATAGGTTGTTCTGAATGTGTTAGAATGTCAGTATCTGGAGACAACATATGGAAAGGGAACAAGCTGGTGGGGAGGGAGCAGAATTTGTTCTTTGCAAGTCAGACTGTTTAGTTCCCTGGTATTCTCCTTAGTTATTGGCTAACAACATTTTCAGATCTCCAGTATGTCCCAGCAATACTTGACGGAAACAGGGCTCTAGTTTTAGGCTCTCCTGAGGCTGAAATGCAGGTGGCTAAGGAGGGGGTCAGAGGGTATATTGCAGCTTCCTCTTGCTGCTGTAACAAATGACAATGAACTTAGTAGTTTGAAAGACACAAATTCATCTTTTTACAGTTCTGCAGGGGAAAAGTCTAAAATCAAGCTGTGGGCAGAGCTACATTCCTCCTGGATGCTCTAGGGGCAAATCTGCTTCCTTCCCTTTTCCAGCCTCTAGAGGCAGCCTGTCTTCCTTGGCTCATGGCCACATCACTCTGACCTTGTTTCTGCTTCTTTGACTTCGGCCCTCCTGCTTCCTTCTTATAAGGTCCTTTGTGATGACATTGGGCCTACCCAGATAATCCAGGGTAATATCCTATTTGCAAAGTCCCTTTGTGTTATGTACTGAACGCTTGTGCTCCCTCAATATCCATATGTTGAAGCCCTAACCCTCGATGTGATGGTCTTTGGAGATGGGGCCTTTGGGAGGGTTAGGGTTTACACTGGATCATGAGAGTGGGCCCTCACAATGGGATTAGTGGCCTTGTGACAGTGATCACAGAAAGAAGGCCATGTAAGGATGCAACAAGAGGAGAGCCAGCCATCTGCAAGTCAGGAACAGAGGGCTCTGGTGAGTGGTCAGTTACAGGGAAACCTGCTCTCTTGGAGCTGCTGAGAGATGGACAGTTCACTCTGCTCAGAGCAACAAAGAAGCAGGACCCCATAGGGCTGGGAGATACACACGCAGTCTGTGCAGAGCAGAGAGCCACATGGTCTTTATATCTGTCTCCCTACGTGGGACCAGAACTGTGCCTGGCACATACCAGGTGCCCAGAGAGCATTGCGTTAAATGGAGCCAACCGATCTAGTCTAATCCAAGTCACTAACCCCTTGTGTAATCTTGGAAGAGCCTCACTGTTCCCATCTCTAAAGTGGGCATCTTAATAACATCGACCTTGAACTGTTGCTGCCAGAAACTGAGTCAGCTGGCCCCTTGACCTTGGACTTTCCAGGCTCCAGAACTAAGAAAAAACAAATTTGTTTTTAAGCCACCCGTCCATGGTAGGTTGTTAAGGCAGCCTGAGCAGACTAAGACACCATGGAAGGCCACATAGTCACAGGTTCTGATGAGGGATTAGGACATATACATCTTCAGGTGGCCTTTATTCAGCCTCCCACCGGGCATTGTTTCCAGACAGCCCCAGGGCGAGGTAGGCTTGGGCAGGTAGCCTGGCCCAGAGAAGCTTCTCTCAGCATTAAAGTGGAAGGTCTCAGGCTGATCCGCCTAACGGGGATCTCACTTCCTCACATCTTGCTTCCATCCCTGGCCTCTATGTCTCTGGAATGAGTCTCAGAGACAAAGAAGTCCTTGTTCGTTCTTCTGCTCACTGAGGTGGAAACCCACATGCCTGGGAGATGTTCAGTCTGTGCAGGGCAGGGAGCCACACGGTCTTCATCTCTGTGTCCTCTCCAACCCCAGGACCAAAACTGCACCTGGCACATACCAGGTGCTCAGACTCCCACCAGGTTGGAGTCAGGCACAGGCCATGAGTTGAATCCTCTGAGGGCTCCAATTTAAAACTTGGGGGCTGGGTACTCTCATACTCCACCCCCACCCAGCTCTTGCCATCTTTCCATCATTCACTTATTCATATATTTCTTTGATGTATATCATTGGGTGCCTACTCTGTACTAGGCACTCTTCTAGGGGCTAGAGATACATCAGTGAACAAACCAGGCAAATAATTAATGTCTGTGCAATAAGCACACGTATCAGTGACAGCCCCTACTTAGAAGTTCTTAGTTCCTCTCATCACGAAGAAATGGAGGCCGACAAAAAAGGCACAAAAAAAAAAAGGAAAAAGAAAAAGAAAAAGAAAAGAAAAGAAAAAAGAAAAGAAAGAAAAAATAAAGAGAAAAAAGCCAAACAGTTCTTTGTTTCCCAAGGTCTCCTTGCAACTGGGGCCGCCAATCCTCTTCCATGCAGACCCAGCTTCCTGCACCCTCAGCTCTTCCTGCAGAGAGCTCATTCTAACCCACAAACCTGACCCTGCCAGATCCTTGCTTCAAAGGCTCCCCATCGTGGGCAGCACAGAGTCTGCAGTCTTGGGCGAAGTCAAGGTCGCCGTGGCTTAACCTCTGCTTCCCTCCTGATGCCCCCACTTCTGACTCATTTTTCTGCATCCCCATGGTACCTCATATCTTATCTCTGCTATGGCACCTCTCCCTTCAGCAACACCGGGATTCTGAACTGCTGATACAGAAAGAGCGCTCCAGGACTGTCCTCAACATCTGTATTCACATCCTCTGGCAGGTTTCTCCTACAAAGCTGCTGGCCTGTGGGAGGTTCACCTGATCCCCGTGTTAGAGTCCTGGTTTGCTGCATCACGGACTTCATCAGGGGCTGAGTTTGCTGGTGAGTAGTACTTGATGCCGTGGGGTCTGGAGTCAGCAGGACCTAAAATGTAGACCAGATTCCACTCCTGACTGGCTGAGATGGACAAACCACTTCAACTTCTTCATCTAGGAAGAAGGGATAGTGATCCCCATCTCTAATGAACCTTAGGGACACTGGATCCAACCACGTTTTCTGTTTTTGAGGAAATGAGGTCAATTTCCTCATCTCTGCAATGGGAAGTGTGAAAGGGCTCTTGGGATGAATGGAGCTAATATGAGCACAATGTGTGACACATGGAAGGTGCTCCATAGATGAAAGTTATGATTGCATAATTATGTTTGTTGGTCTCACGGATGTTCTGTATTTTGCCATTCATCTGAGCCTCTACAAGCAAAGTGTTCAATGGCCACAGCAGAAACTACTCTAGTTGTGCCTGAAATAATAAGACAATCTCCCTGTATCTGAGTTAGCACTGGTTATATGCATATTTGCCATTTTAAATTTCTGCAAACTCTGAGTGAAGAGACGGATTTTTTTCTCAGATAGCATCTAAACAACCACCTGGTAGCCAGAATTTGCCCAATTTGAGCTCATCAAACACATTCATTCTCAAGATCCTTTTCCATTTGAATTCAGCTATCATTCACAGACACCCTCCGGTGCTTGGGGCTGTTTGGTAGACTTTTCATGCCACGTGGATTTAATGCTGGTGACCGCTGGTGGGTCAGGTGTTAGTCTCATCATCTGACAGGGGAGGAAATGGAGCCATGGACAGATGCTCATTCCACCAGGCCTGGTCTTCCAGAGATGAGTGAGGGCAGAGACAGGGCCTGGGGAAACTGCAGACAGGCATCGCTGGGTAAAGTCCTTTGCTGCTCTTTGTCTGATGTCAGAAACACAGAGAAGCCTGGATCAGCAGCCAACAAGAGTGCATTTTCCAGGTGGGAGAGTGATTTTGGTCTCCTCACTTCTACAACTGAATAAAATGCATCTGTTTCCTCACCCTGGTGAGCATGGTTTTCATTTCTTCTTTGAAAATGCTTCTGGAGCAATAGCT
Source organism: Homo sapiens (assembly GCF_000001405.40). Taxonomy (NCBI): domain Eukaryota; kingdom Metazoa; phylum Chordata; class Mammalia; order Primates; family Hominidae; genus Homo; species Homo sapiens. Next base: position 133,659,379 of record NC_000008.11, read on the forward strand.
ATTTGATAAGAGTCATTGCTGAAATGAAAACTCCAAGGAGGTGAAATTAGAAAATATCTTCTGGGCTAGAGTGGAGTTTCTTGCAGTAGAGCTGGCCTGCTGCTTGGGCAATGCTGGGGTTTAGTGGATGTGGATGAGGAAGAGGCATGGTGGAGACCCCCAACTCCATTCACAACTGGCATTGGCACAGCGTCCTTGGCCTCCCTGCCACACACACACACACAAACACACACACAATCTTACGAAGGTTGTATTTTCATCTCTTCTCTTCTCAGGCTTTTGTTTTGAGAGATGATAGGAGGCCATAGTTGTACAAAGGTAGCAACTGTCTTGAAACAGAGACACTGTATAATCCTGAGCAGAGAAATTGTGGCTGACCTTTAGAAGAAGGGAAGAGGCATGAGCAGAGAGAAGCCTCTAGAAGTGGATGGGTGGATAGATCAATAGAAATTGAAGGACATAGGCTCTCAAGCTGGACTTGCAGGTTTTGGTCCTGCTCCTCACCTCCCTAGAGGTATGACCTTGGGAAAGGTACTTACCTTTCTGTGTCTCAGTGAACTCATCTGTGAAATGGGGGTAATGATAATAGCACCTGACTCATCACATTACTTAGGACTGAATATGAGAAAGTTTAGAAAAAGGAACCTGTTAAGAGCAATGCCTGGCATATAGCAAGTGTTAAGAAAATGTGAACTCTTATTACAAGTGAATTAACATATCTAAGTAAAGCTGACAAGAGCTAAGAACACTGAGGCCTAGAAGGGTTTGTCATTTGTGTAGTCTCAACATGTCTCCTGAAAGAATATCTATGATGCATCTCCACTTCTGGACAGTCAGAGGGAAGATGTAGGAGGGGGTGTATTATTCTATTTCCATAATGCTGTAAAGAACTGACCATGGCTGGGTAATTTATAAAGAAAAGAGAGGTTTAATTGACTCACAGTTCAGCATGGCTGGGGAGGCCTCAGGAAACTTACAATCATGTTCTAAGGGGAAGGGGAAGCAAGGCACCTTCTTCATAAGGCAGCATGAAGAAGTGCCAAGCAAAGTGGGGAAGGGCCCCTTATACAAACATCAGATCTCATGATAACTCACTCACTATCATGAGAAAAGCATGGGGGAAACCGCCCCCATGATTCTATTACCTCCACCTGGTCTTTCCCTTAACACACGGGAATTATGAGAATTATGGAGGTTATGGGGATTATAATTCAAGATGAGATTTTAGGTGGGGACACAGCCAAACCATATCAAGGGGGGACAGGGAGTCTGCCTCCATGGACTTTGCCTGCATGAGAGGAAGGGTCAAGTGTAGCCCAGGTGGAGAGGATGAGGTGTTGAAGTTTTTTATCATACTCTAGACTGGTATAAAATGGGGCCCAAATCCTGGCATTCATAACAGTATGTTATTTAGAGTGGGAAGGGACCTTTGCCAGCCTTTAATCCAGCCTCTTCTTGTTTTCTATTTTAGAGCTGAGGAGATAGACTCAGAGGTGCTAAGGGACTTGTGCAGAGACACAAAGCCTGTGGGTTGTCACAGGTAGCACGTGGGCCCTGGGTACCTCGTCTCCCAGAGCACATGATTCTTGAGCTGAACCTCGGATTTTTCCTCCTCTTTTACCAACCCCACGGGCTTTAGGGCACCCACACCACAGGGTGCAGAGGCAGTTCCCACAGGGCCTAAGGACCACATGCCTAATGAAGACATGGTGCTTGAAAAGTCAGTGATCTTTCCCTCCCCAACTAATTATGAATATCAGAAAAACTTAAGTGCAGTCCTGGCTAGAAACCATAAATAAACCCATTTTCCTGACGCTCCTTCCCTCTGGGTTATTTTATTATCTAGATGCATTTGGTTACTGAGCAAGAGACAGACAAACAGAAAGACTTTCTTCTTCCACGAAGGCCCTATCTGCTTTAATTCTCAAATTTGGTCGTGAATTCTCAGTGGATGGGTTCTGAGACGGGGCATTGCCGTGATCAGGTTGGAGGGAGACACATGGTTTGGAGTGTGCGTGTTGTGGGTGATCCTGCTTGGCCAGGTGAGGAGGACAAGTCTCTGGGCCATGTTGCAGGATGGATCCTGGGGCTGACATGACCCTCCTGGTCCCCAGGCCAAACCTCAGATTCCTCCTTCACCACCAGCCCCACAGGCTTTGGGGCCCTGGCACCACCGTGTGCAGAGGTGGTCCCCCTGAGGCCTGAGGACCACATTCCTAATTAAGACTCAATCTGTGTGGGAAGGACTAGGGCTGCCTGGAAGCACAGCTCTCCATTTCTGAATGGCCCTTCTGCAGCTGCAATCCCCTGCAAGGCTGCCCCCGTGATCAGCCACCTCACGCGGCAGGGGCGTGGGACAGGTAGGCCCTCTACGCCGTATCATCAGCCCCTGTCCCTCTCTGTCTTCATTTTGACCTTCTTGGTTATTTAATTTTTGTTTCTCTCCCTCTCCTTTTCATGCCTATTTTTGCCCTTAATATGGAGTGCTCCTCTATATCAGGACCGTGGAATTGGTTTCTGTGATGGGGTTCCCCAAGTACCAAAAAAGAGATCATAAAGTTACTAAGAAGAGGCAAATGTGTGATTCTAGAATGTAGGGCTTTATGGGAAAAAAGAACGAGGGTGGCTGAAGTCCTTGAGTGCAAAGATAAATGCCTTCATATATAAATTAAATTACATTAAAAATAATCTTAAAATATATACATTTCTATATAACTAAAATGTGACTATTTTAAAATTCATGTATATATATTAATAAAAATTATTAAGACAATAAAGATAGACTACAGGTAACAAAGTGTGAATAGGATTTGCTGTACCTGAAAATTGCAAGAAAAATAAAAACCAATTACACATGGAATACCCATTTAGCATCCTTTGTGCCCTGAAAGTCCAAGAGCTTCCTCTTCTGAAGCCTGAAGGAGACGTTCACAAATGCGGTTTGTAGTAATTAACATTGTTTTTTACCAAGTATTTCTAGCTCTCAGCCCTCTGGTAAGATTGTATTTTCTTTTCTTTTTTTGAAATAGGGACTCACTTTGTTGCCCAGGCTGGAGGGCAGTGGTGTCATCTTGGCTCACTGCAGCCTTGACCTCCAGGTTCAAGTGATCCTACTGTCTCAGTCCCCCAAGTAGCTGGGACTATAGGTGCATGCCACCACACCCGGCTAATTTTTGTATATTTTGTAGACACGGGGTTTCTCCATGTTGCCCAGGCTGGTCTCCACCTCCTGGGCTCTGCTTGTTGAAAGTAAGTATGGGGAAGTGATCTGCCTGTCTTGGCCTCCCAAAGTGCTGGGATTACAGGCATGAGCCACCATGCCAGGACAGATTGTATTTTCTAACCTTTAGGTGTGGCCATGTGATGGGTGTTTGCCAATGACAAGTAAGCAACAGTGACGTGTGTTACACCTGGGTGGGAACTTTGAGGGCCGGTGAGCAACTTGCCAACTCTTTCCCCTGCAATCATGGTCATGAATCTGACAGGGGCTGCCCTATCGGCCTGGCCCTGGAGGGAAGACAACACGGAGCACAGCCCTTGATGGGCAGCCAACCTAAGAGGGAAGTAAAAGTCGGTGGCTTTAGGTCACTGAGATGTTGCATTATTTCTTACATAACACAACCTCATTTATTCGGACTGATACAAAATACTATGATGTTTGCATAGACACATAACTCTTATTTTGTGTGTCTGGCTCTTGACCATATATTTGTTACGTTTTTGATTTCCCACCACTCTGCCTTCTAGAAAGCAATGCCCGTTCATGGTCTGAAGGCCCTCAACACAAATTTTCCTTCTTTCTGCAGCATTTCAGGGAAAGTAGACCCCAGGATGAGAGTGTGTTTTGCTTCCTTTCCATCCCAAGATCTCACTGCAAAAAATCTCTACTCTGGCTCTGACCCCAATCCCCTCACTGCTATCGTGTCAGTATGTTTTGTGAGTGCCCTCCCCTCTACACACTTGACCCACAGCATTGTTGAAAGTAACTATGGAGAAGTAAAGGTGAATGGATTATAATTTCCCTGGAAGGGAGTTTGAGGTTGTAAAGGGATTACCGTAGTTTCTTTTTTTTCTTTTTTTTTTTTGAGGCGGAGTCTCTCTCTGGCACCCAGGCTGGAGTGCAGTGGCACGATCTCAGCTCACTGCAAGCTCTGCCTCCCGGGTTCACACCATTCTCCTGCCTCAGCCTCCTGCGTAGCTGGGACTACAGGTGCCAGCCACCACGCCTGGCTAATTTTTTGTATTTTCAGTAGAGGCAGGGTTTCACCGTGTTAGCCAGGATGGTCTCAATCTCCTGACCTCGTGATCCACCCACCTCGGTCTCCCAGGATTCCCGTGGCGTCTTAATTTCCTAGAGACATAAATTTTTCGGGGACCTGTTGTTGTTTCCAGAGTCAAGTTTATTCATGCACCTTTTAACGAATCAATGTTGTTCTGGTTGAATCATGGGCATAGAGAGTCAGCAACAACAATTCGGTAGGTGTTGTGCCAACGTTGGGGCACTTTAGTGAGAGGCACCGTGGGTTCCAGAGAAAGTCTTCTAGCTGGGGTCCTCCTGAAATCAGAAGGAGCTTGGATGAAGACTTCTACTAGATGGTTTATTTGGCAGGTTATCAAGGGGTAAGGAAGCAGGTAAGAAGGGAACACCAGTGCCAGGTGTGTTACCAAGGATGCTGCTGTGGACTGTGGAGTGCGGTCTCTCCAGGGCTGTCTGTGAAACACTCAGGATGCTGCTGGGAAGTGACAGCAGGGAGGGAAGGAGGCTTTTGGTTCCCACCTTGCCTTCTTAATTGAGGGCACCCCCAGGGCTGCTCACACCCCTTTATGTCTGATCTATGCTTGTACATATAGCCTGGAGGAACATCATTGTAGGAGCACTGCCCTTCCAAAGGCACAGAAAGCAAGGCCATGCTGTGCGTGTTTGAGGCAAGGTGCTGCTAGCACCAGGGGAACAGAAGTCCCCTGGAAACATCCACACCAGTGGCAGCCATCGTCAAAGGTGAGGAAGAGAATGACAGTCACAGTGACAGTGACAGTCATGTCTGCTTCCATATTATGATGTGATTTGCAATGAAACGTGTGTGCCCAGTAGTATTGAACATGCTTGTGTTCCTGGAAAGGCAAGCTGGTTCTCAGTTCTGTTGCCAATGTGCGTGGATGTGGGTGAGGTGATGTGGGATGTGGGTAGGGTAGCGCATGCTCTCTAGAAGGTAGCAAATCTACCTTACCTTTCATAAGGAAGTCATCAGATCCTGAATGTTTATGACTGGGGAAACTGAGGGAATGCAATAAACTTTCCTGGCACTATGTTCTTGGCACTTACCTGAGGACAACCCTGCTCCCATTTGGCCTGGATTTGGGGTCCCTTCCTCCTCCATGGTCCATTTAGGCCATGTTGTGTGTCAGTACGACCTACACGTGAACTCCAGAGGAAAGGCCTGCCCGGGATGTTGCTGCTGTTCTGATACAGAAACAATTGGATGCCCTTAAACGCACATGCCTTCCCATGTAATGTCTTGGCAAAGTGGAAATGAGCACTCAGAATTGCCGCTGGCAGGAGTGCTGCTGGGTTCGCGTTTCTTTATGCAATGTGCCATCTGTAGGAAAGAAATTGATTTTTTAAAATAAACGGGCTTTGTGTAAAATGTATACATATGTATGGTGCCATAATGGCTTTGCAAATGCCTTTCTCCCACTGAAGAATTGCCAGCGCATGGGGCTCCTCCGCTGATGATACGCAGGCACTCATGACTGGGGTTTGCATGAGGAAGGAGGCAGGAAGTTTGTGACTCCTTTCACAACCTTCTGAACCCATGAGCCTCAGAGAAGGGAGGGCCCTGGGTGACCATCTTACCTGAGAGGTATTTAATGGGGCTTTTCCAAGGCAGAAAAAGAGCAGTAAACGCTGTTCTGCTCTTGGGCAAAGGCAGACATAACCTGAAACATCGATATTGATATGGGCACTGGGCCGGGCACAGTGGCTCATGCCTGTAATCCCAGCAGCTTGGGAGGCTGAGCCAGGAGGATCCCTTGCGGTCAGGGGTTTGAGACCAGCCTGACCAACATGGTGAAACCTCATCTCTACTAAAAATACAAAAATTAGCCTGGCGTGGTGCCACATGCCTGTAATCCCAGCTACTCGGGAGGCTGAGGCAGGAGAATCTCTTGAACCTGGGAGGCAGAGTTTGCAGTGAGCCGAGATCATGCCACTGCACTCCAGCCTCAGCAACAGGAGTGAAACTCTGTCTCAAAAAATATATATATATTGATATGGGCACTTGGGGCATCTGGAATCAAAACAGAAATGATACCCTAACATATTGGGGTCTTCATTGACCGTAACCACAAAATGGGTTATTAGCATGATGTGGCTGCTTACAAAAGTGGAGTAGCAGAATTCTAAGATGATCTCTGTGATGGTGACTTTCATGTGTCCGCTCAGCTAGGCAATAGTACCCAGTCATTTAATTGAAACCTAATCCAGGTGCACTGGGCAGGTATTTTGCAGATGCGGTTGACTTTAAGGAATACAGATTAGCCTCGGTAATGAGGGTGGGCCTCATCGAATTCATTGTAGGCTGTAAGAGCAAACACTGAGGTTTCCCAGAAAGAAAGAAATTCTGCCTCAAGACTGCAGCATCAACTTCTGCCTGAGTTCTAGCCTGCTACCAGGCCCTGTAGACTTCAGATTTGCCAGGCCCACAGTCATGTGAGCCAATTCCTTAAAATAAATCTCTCAACATCTATATATCTATACATAGAAAAATAGAGTATATGTCTCAATAGATATATCTAAATCTATGTCTCTCTATGTAATCCACACTCATTACTTCAAATCACTTCCCCTGAATATTTATTTCCAGCCCAGACATCTATCTGATGCTCTCAATCAGGGGTCAGCACGCTGTGGCTCTCTAGCCAAATTCAGCCTGTCATTACCTTGGTAAATCAGTTTTACTGGAATACAGCCACATCCAATGATTTACACATCATCTGTGACTGCTTTCCAGCTGCAACAGTGGAGGTGAGTAGTTGTAGCAAGGATTGTACAACCCGCAAGACAAAAAACATCCTCTCCTTGGCCATTTTCAGAGTTTGCTGACTTCTGCTCTAGACCCAAATATGCAACTTCTCTGTGCAATTTACATGGCCTTCCCATGAGACCACAGACCTTCTTCTGTATAAGACCAACTACCTTCTTTTTCTTTCTGTGTCTCAGGGACAGCATCTCCCTCCACCATTTGTCCAAACCTGAAGCCCTAGAGTTGTCTTTGACTTTCTCTGCATCTCCCCACAACCCAACACCCAATACTACATCCAGTCCAACAAATCCAGTCTCCTGAGTAGCCCTTGGATATCTTCCCCAGCACCCTGGCACTCTCCCTGGGTCCTCTCTAGCTGCCTGTGACAGCCTTCACAATATCTTCTGGCTCCTTCTCCAGCCTGGTCCCCTCTCGTACTGCCATCAGAGGCTCTTCCTGGAAACAAAACAAAACAAAACAAAACAAAACAAAACAACCAAGAGGATCTTCTTGTCTCATTACAAGATACTTCGATGAGACACAGTTTAGAAGTCTAGCTTCTCATTGTTCTCTCCGAGGCCATCCCTGCCTGGTCTCTCCTCCTTCCTAGGGATTCCCCCCAACCCTGTCCAGCACAGCCCTGTGTTCCAGCTTTGGTCATTGTCTCTTCATTTCCAGGATCTGCCATGTTCCTGCTGAACTCTGAGATTTGCACATCCTACTTCCTCCCTCTGTTCTGCTCTCAGCTCTCACTTTGTGGGGAGACTCCAAGGGAACCTCAGTCCCTCTGGGGACATTGCTTTCTTTCTCTGGGGAACTTCCCATGTTCCTCTAGACTTGGCTCCTGCCTTGGGCTTTTCTTGTCAAAGATTTTATACCCCACGTTGTAACTTCCAGTTCTCTGCCTGTGTCCTCCAATAGTCCACCATCTCCACCAGGGCGGGGTTCATCTGTTTGCTTGCTGTGGTACCCACAGGCATTTTTTGAGTAAACGAAAGGGTGAACGGATGGGGGTTGGTCCAGCCCAGCTTCTCAGAGGCAGAGGGAAGGACCATTTCCATGTCACCAAAGCACAGAGGAGCTCAGTCGTTCTCCACGGGACAAGGTGACAGGACGATAGGGAAATAGACAGAGATGTGGCTTCTGTGCCTGGGGAGAGGCCCAGTAAGATGCGGGAACTCCCTCTTCCTCCTCCTCCCACTCTGGAATCTTCAGGAGCAGAGGCTCCTCTTTCTGGTCATATTGATAATCTCTTTGGTCTCCTCCCCTCCTCTTCCCTCCCCTTCATCTTCTCTTCTTCCCCACTTCTCATTTCCCCTTCTTTCTCTCCACTCCACCTCTCCCTTCTCCCTGTCCTCCTCTGCTTTTCCCATTTCCCATTCCCTTCCCTTTGTTTTTCACCTCTCTTCTTATTTCTTGCCTTCTTCCCCTCTTCCTTTCCCTAGTCTAGTCTCCCTTTCCTCTTCTACCTCTCCCACAGGTGGGCAGTGCTGAAACATGTCACCCCACTACTATGTAACCTTTAGCAGTTTTGTCTGCTTTGAACAATTTTAATCCAAGTTAATAACCTTGTATTACGTTTATGTTGAACCCTTCCATATACAGGCGTGTGCTGACCCATTGACATGCTGACCTGTGTTGCCTAATCACATTCACAGTATTCCTTTGAAGTGGATATTATTATTTATAGATGAGCAAATTGCATCACTTGTGATTCAGTAGGTGCAAGACACTGTAGAGAATGGAAAAAAATGATTTAATACATGGTCTACTGCTCTTAAAGGACACATAGCCCAACAGAGGGCTACAAAAGCCCCCCACAGTCTAAGGCAGATTCTAAGAAGGGGGGCATGCCTTAAGCATGTACCCTGCTGTGCCCCCACCACCTTCTCTGCTGTTTGCTTTTTCCTCACTCACATCATGGATCTTGCAGCTTTGACTGCTAGATTCTCATCAGAAACCTCCAGCCCCAACTTCTACACGAGATACTTTTGGGAATGCTTTTTTTTTTTTTTTTTAATGAGATAGGGCCTCACTCTGTTGCTCAGGCTAAAGTGCAGTGGTGCAATCTTGGCTTACTGCAACCTCTGCCCTGAGCTCAAGCGATCCTCTCTCCTCAGCATCCTAAGTAGCTGGGACCACAGATGTACATCCCCATGCCCAGCTAAGATTTTGTAGTTTTGGTAGACACAAGGGTTCACCATGTTACCCAGGCTACTCTCGAACTCCTGAGCTCAAGCAATCTGCCTACCTCGGCATCCCAAACTGTTGGGATTACAGGCGTGAGCCACCACGCCCAGCTGGGAATTCATATAATTTTCTCTCCAGTTTTGTGGAGTTTCTGTAAGACATTCTCATTCCTTTTCAGAAAAGGGGGTATGATAGAATCAATAAATGAGTAAAACAGTCATTTAGGCACCCAGAGTGCAAGGCATGACGCTGACACTCTGGGCTGAGCTGGAGAGAAGCCCATGCCTGCCGCTTGCCGAAGTGTCAACCTGGTGGTCATTTCCCAGCTCCAAGCCCCATTTCTACAAGTTGCATGGCACTGCTTCTCAGCAGATTGGTCAGAGGATTAAAGACCTGGTCAAGCGCCTGGTGCTATCTGGCATTTGGTTGGTTTTCAGTTAACATTAGTGCCTCTTTAATAATTAGTCTGTTATGGGTTTTCCTTGAGCCTTCTGTTGGGCAATTCCAGCTAATCAAAGGCACTGCTAAAGGTTAAGTTAATGAAACCATGATCATATTGTAGCTTTTTACCTGCTTGCCAACAAACACCTTATTGAAGACAAGCCAACTCTGGGCCATGCTGAGGTACAAAGCAGCCTTGGGTTTACCCAGTGGATTCCCTCGTGACATCAGATAGACTAAAGGAGCAATTAGCATTGGACACCTCCGCACAACGCTGAGGATGGCTTTCAACAAGCCAGCAGCTGCTGCACTCCCATTAGTTAATGTCACCATTCCTGCATTTATTCTGAATGATAATTACAGTATGTACCAATGTGTATTTTTAACTGCTCCTCTTAAAAAAAAATGGAAAAACAGTCATTCTCTTTCTACAGAGGCTCAGCTGCAGCATTGTTGCCCCAGTAAAGGAAAAGAAAGAAAAAAAAAACAACCCGGAACAATCCTGCCCTAGCCAGTGGCCAAGTGAAACCCCAGGCTGTCTTTTCTGAAGGGAAAATAATGTAGCCGTGTGTTTGGAACCAGTCTTAGCAGTGTGCAGTGTGTATGTGTAGGGCATGGTGTTTGTGAGGCCACACACATTCCAAGAATAACTGCTCTAGGTTGTTTTCAGTGAATAGTGGTCTTCACACATATCTTCTTGGACCCCTGTTTTTCATTTTTTTTTTAAATTTTTGTAACGAGTGAGGGAGGCTGGGCACAGTGGCTCATGCCTGTAATCCCAGCACTTTAGAAGGCCAAGGTGGGCAGATCACCTGAGGTCAGGAGTTTGAGACCAGCCTGGCCAACATGGCGAAACCCCGTCTCTACTAAAAGTACAAAAATTAGCCAGGTGTGGTGGCGGGTGCCTGTAATCCCAGCTACTCAGGAGGCTGAGGCAGGAGAATTCCTTACACCTAGGAGGCGGAGGTTGCAGTGAGCAGAGATCGTGCAACTGCACCCCAGCCTGGGCAACAGAGTGAGACTCCATCTCAAAACAAAACAAAACATAAAAGGAGTGAGTGAATTACAAGCTATAAGGAAATGGCCATGAAATGGCAGCTAAAGTTTTGGTGACCTGTTTATTTTTATTTTTATGTTACCTGAAACTGTATCTTGTAGTATTTTTAGATTTATAGCAAAGTTGCAAACATACCCTTTACCTAGCTTACCCTGATGCTAACATTTTACGTAACCATGGTGCAACTATGACAACTAAGAAATTAATACTGGTCTAGTACCCTGAGCTAACAGACTTCATTTTGTTGGTACCTATTATTTCACTGATGTCCTCTTCCTCAACGGGATCCAATTCAATGCAGAATTGCATATTGCATTTAGTTGTCATATGTATGTAGTCTCTTCTGATCCAAGGGCTTCTTAATCTTTTTCTTTGATTCTCTAAAGAATTTTGAAGACTATTAGTCAAGTAGTTTGTAGAATGTCCCCCTGTTTGAGCTTGTCTGATTAGATTGGGGTTATAGATTTTTGAGAAAAATATCATGGAGGTGAAGTGTTCTTCCGGTTGCGTGCTGAGGGGTATGTGATAGCAAGCAAGATAACTTATCACTGGTAGTGGTAACCTTGATCAATGTAGTGTCCACCTGGTTTCTATATTTTCACTTCTATACCTCTTTCTTTGGAAACAAGTTACTAAGTCTAGCCCAGAATCAAGAGGAAAGGAATTGAGCTCTGCCTCATGGATATGTATCTGATACATTATTTGGAATTCTTCTAAAGGAAGATTTGGGGAGCCTGGCCTTAAAGATGGATCTGTCAGTATGTGATTTTGGGCCCATAACTCAACCTCTCTTAGTCTAACTAAGATTTTTCTTCTAAAAAAAGAGAAGTTGCACAAAGATGCATCCCATGGTGTGGCCAGCTTGAATGCCCAGTGCTTAACCTGTTGTTAGGGTGACAGATTCTGAAATTAGAAAGATGAAGCTTTAGGTTTCAGGTCTACCACTTGCACACATGCCTTTAGATAAGTTTCTTAAACTCTATAACATTCAGGTGCCTTGTCTATAAAATGCAGTGAAACTGATACTGAGATATCACCTGTAAGGCATTTAGCACAGAACTTTGTGGGTAGGGACGCACAAGTTCCAGCTGTTATTTTGATCGAATAGCAGCTCAGTTATACACTAGTCAAAAGCAGTGTTTAATGGTATCCGATGACTGTATAGAATTATTTCTCTTCTTATGATATTGAGAAGTATTTTAGGACTTTTTCCAGCCTTGCTGAAACGTGGTGTCTATAGTAGTAGCATCACAACACCAACCTTAGCTTAACTTCTGACTTTTACACAATTACAGTTTTGGCAAAGTCAAAAGAGCCCATCCTGAATGTCAGGTGGAAAACATGGCTTTGGGTCAGCCCAACCACTGAGCAGCAGAACATTTTCGTCTGTGCCTCAGTTTCTTCATCTGTTAAATAAGCATGACTATTGTAGCTCCCAGCGCAGTGGTGTTAGCTGTAGCCTTACCACCTGGTGAAGATTCATTCCTGAGCTCAATAGCTGGCCCACCCATCATAAACTGCTTAATGCAAAACACTAGATGGGCACACAGCCATTAACTCTCAGAAGGCAGTGTTGTGCTGAGCCCCTGTTAGCCTCAGTTGGAAAAGCACCAAGTTCAAGAGGCCAAAGAAAGCACCCAGAGCCAGCAAATGAGACAAGGGGTTTAATTAGGGGCTTACGTACAGGGAGACGGAGTCCAGTGGTGGTGGGCTGGGCAGGAGAACTACCTTGTGTACAGAAAACATCTAGTGGCAGTGGTGGGAAAAGATAACCTCACGGCCCAGTGGTAGTGAGCTCAGCAGGAAAACCACAACTACCCACAAATATTATGCAGTTTATATTTGATTTTCACTTAACATCTGATATGGTTTGGGTCTGTTTCCCCACCCAAATCTCATTTTGAATTGTACTCCCATAATTCCTATGTGTTGTGAGAGGGACCCAGTGGGAGATAATTGAATTATGGGGGCAGTTTCTCCTATATTGTTCTTGTGGTAGGGAATGAGTCTCATGAGAACTGATGGTTTGATAAGGGGAAACCGATTTCGCTTAGCTCTCATTCTCTCTCTTGCCACCACCATATAAGAAGTGCCTTTCGCCTTCCTCCATGATTGTGAGGCCTCTCTAGCCACGTGGAACTGTAAGTCCATTAAACCTCTTTCTTCTGTAAATTGCCCAGTCATGGGTATGTCTTTATCAGCAGTGTGAAAACAGCAGTGTGAAAGCAGCTGAGATTACAGGCACGCACCACCATGCCCAGCTAATTTTTGTATTTTTAGTGGAGATGGGGTTTCACCATGTTGGCCAGGCTGGTCTCAACCTCCTGACCTCAAGTGATCTGCCTGCCTCGGCCTCCCAAAGTGCTGGGATACAGGTGTGAGCCACCATGCCCCTCTGAGGATTACAATTTGACATGAGATTTGGTTGGGGACACAGATCCAAACCACATATCAACCTGCATACCATGCTTGGGACTGTGAAAATACATGAGCATGTAGACAGATTCTACAATGGAATGTGTAGAAGTGAAAGCATCCTTCTGTTAAGACAAATAAAATGTAATTTGGTAAAAGTTAAACAAACCTTTTATTTTAAGTTTCCAAACAAATCTTCCAAGTTAGGAAAAACAGAAATAAATGTGATCCAAATTTCTCACTCTTTTGGAATAAATAGATGTATATTCGTTCTGTACACCTGCTCCACATATTTTCCAAATTTCTCTCTTCCCATATATGCCCCTCAAAGCTCCTCCATAAAATTACTACAGTCAATAGAACTGTTTGTAAAAGACAAAGAGAAACAATTTCAGGACTCTATACAAGAAGGGAAAGATAAAGCTTTTTTGCTTTTTTTCTTTTCATTCTTCAGCAGCTTGTTAGAGTCTCAGAGCCTGTGTTATTGAAACCCCAGGGTGACGAGCATTAAGGTGAATCTATTGCCAAGCTTGAGCCCTTTAATGAGTGCATTGATCAGAAAAGAGAGGCAAGAAAGCAGAGTCCGGTGACACCTGAATGAATGTAAATTTAGCCCCGATTGAAGTTCCTCCACAGTCGGCCTGCTCCACGCTGACAGTGTTATCGAGAGGAGAGAAAAGCAATTTTGGTCTTCAGTCTTGATTCTCTTCATGCTGTTGGCAGTTTTTAAGAAGAACAAGTTATGACTATTTTACTTCTAAAAAGCAGTGGGAACTTGTCAAAGATTTCCTCCCTGGAAGTGACAATTGAGAATGCGTCTACTTGGTGCTGATCTTGAATCTGTAATCAATCCGATGGACTGGAGAAAGAAGTACTTTCAAACCAGTCGAATTGTTGGGAAATTGGTCAGGCTGCCTCAGCAGGAAGTGAGCATCCCGTCATGGGAAGAGTGCAAACAAGAGCAGGCTGGCTAATTGGCAGGATGTTTCAGAGGGGTTCACACATGAAAAGGAGGCCTGCAGAGAGGTGGAGGGCTTGATACTGAGTCACCTTGAAGATGGCGCCAATGTTAGCCTTCTATCATTCTAGACAACCAGCCAGCAAAATGATAAGCATTACAGGTTTTTGGAACTAGACAGATGGATTTTTAGATTGTGGCTTCTCTCTTGTGTGACATTGGGCAACTTACTGTCCCAGTCTTTACATAAAGACTCTGTCTCTTTATAAGCCAAATGGGGATGGAAATATTACCTAACTCATAGGTCTGGAGAGTTTAAATTAGATAATGCCTGAATATAGACTGCTCATGTTAGTGCCTAGAGTATAACCTTTTCTCAGTGAACGTTCTTGTGATTAGGATTGCCCAGTGATTTGTCTTCAGATTCAACTTGGTATATTGAGCCCTTTTTGGATGCTTGACATTTTTGCCCCTGTTATCTTACATAAAATCCGCAACCACCTTGAGAGGTATGGCTGTTTAACTTCACTTTCCAGAAGAAGACACGGAGGTTCAGAGAGGCTCAGAGACACCTTCAAGGCCACACCGCTCACTCAAGTAACTGTTTGTTGTTTTCTGAGTTATCACACCTAAGGTGCCCAGCACAAGTTCTAGCACACAGTAGGAGCTTGATAAAGCGAGGGTCTCCAAGGACTCAACTCCACTCTGCTTGCACAACTCAGCCCCTTTCCACCATCAGCCCCTCCCTTCTACCCTGCCCTGAGATGCTGTCCCTTGCTCATCTGCTTCCCCTGCATTTTCGAGCCCCTGACTCTCCTCTCTTCTCTCCCCTTCGTCTCCCTTCAGACTTTGGCACATCAGCGCCTTTTGATTTCTGTAGCCTCTTCAGAAGTATTTTTGACACAAACAATAGTCCCGGCTTTTGCTTTTCCAAGAGGCATCAGCACAATCGGAGCAGACACTGGTGACTCATTTTGATCATCGCCTTTAAGCAATTCACTCTGTGAGCCTGGACTTGACAGGCCTCACTGTGCCGTGAAATCTAATACTATTTTTATGCCTTTTAATCTATCTTTTAACAGCCTCCTTGTTTAGAACTCTGCGCCCTGGATTCACGGAAAGCACGTTTTTGAGAGTGGTGAGGACAAACTTGGCCCGTCTTAATCAAAGGCTCGGGGAGACCCAATCTGGGGTCCTTACTCAATCCTCAACTCTCCTAATGCCTTCCCCCACTGCTTCCTTTTATAATGGCCTCAGCAGGAACCTTCCTGGCTGCTTGACAGAGCCTCTGGCTGGCTTCTTCTATCTTAATAACCGCTGAGCTCTCCAAACTAGGATCTTGTCAAAATGTTTCTAAAGTGCCAGAGTTGTTCTATTGAGTCACTGTCATTGGAATGTCGTTATGGAAATACATGTTCTGGGTAAATGTCAGGGAAAGGGCTAGTCACTTCATTGTGAAAGCCTTCCTAGATAGCCCCAGGCCAAGTGACAGGCTTCTCTCCTGGGTTCTTTAAGAACTGAGTGCGTATCTTTGTGCTTATATTTTATTTAATGTGACAAGCATTCATGAGGGATTTACATGAAGCATTCTGTTATGTTTGTTTAAATGTCTTTCTTCTGGACTATACAGTGAGCTTCTTTGTCTTATTAGGAATTTAGGGTGGGGACGCAGCATGCTGATCCCAAAACTCACTTCTGCTCTCTGGAGATCCAGACCAAAAGAACTGTACGTACAAGAATGAAAGCCAAGGCTGGGCGCGGTGACTCATGCCTGGAATCCTAGTACTTGGGAGGCCGAGGCAGGTAGATCACAGGGTCAGGAGTTCGAGACAAGCCTGACCAACATAGTAAAACCCTGTCTCTACTAAAAATGCAAAAAATTAGCTGGGCGTGGTGGCAGGCGCCTGTAATCCCAGCTACTCAGGAGGCTGAGGCAGGAGAATCACCTGAACCTGGGAGGCAGAGGTTGCAGTGAGCCAAGATCATGCCACTGCACTCCACCCCGGGCGACGGTGTGAGACTCTGTCTCAAAAACAAAAACAAAAACAAAAACAAAAAAAAGATAGATAGCCATATGGGAAGCAAACACATTTCATTCATAGAATCACTGGGAAAGCAATGTGTATTGTTTACTGCTGAGATTTCTGGGAAAATGGAGCTGGAGAGTGAGATGGAGGGTTGGGTCCTATGGAGATTCTTTGACTTCCCCTGGTACCTAACCCTGGAGCCCACGTGCTCTTGGCCAGGTCCCAAGAGGGATCTCGAGACCCTCAACACCACCATTGAAGTGGATGAAGGTCAAACAAGACCCCATGGGGCAAGCATGGGAGCAGGATATGAAAGAGAATGCGAGGCTCCAGGCCTGGACTTAAGGTTGTAGCCTTTCAGTTGGCATGTTTTTCTGAAAGCATTTAGAAGCTACCAACTGTTTAAATAATGGTCAGCTTTCACTTCCAGCCATAATGAAGTAACAGGGACTGAACTTATCCTCCCACTTTAGATAGCTAATCACATGGACAAAATATATGAAATAACAGTATTCATACACTAGAAAACAGGCAGTACAGGACAGTAATACTTGAGAAAAAAGAACCAATGGGGCAAGTTCTAGGAATATTTCTCTATTTGGCCTGGAGAGAGTTTCCAGGCTGCAGTGCAAGAAGCAGCAGCTCAAACTGAGTCCAGTGGTCTCCCTAAGTTTAGGAGGCAGGACTGAGAATTTAGGGAGGCCAGTGTGGCTGGGATTCTTTCAGTAGTGTTCCTGAAAGGAGCGAGCTTCACAGAAAAAGAGCTTTGGAGTTTTGTGGAAGAGTCCTTTTTGAGTCTTTAGCTGAGTACTAATCAGCACCTGCGCTAAAGAAAACTACCTGAGGCCAGGGAGGAAAAAACAAACAAACAAACAAACAAACAAACAAACAAAACACCCGGAAGGAGTAGATAGAAAAATTTCTGGAGCCATACAGGACTGGGAATAATTCATGTTCCTGACAGCCATTATAAGATACCTCATATGGCGCAGGGCATCAGGTTGAGTATTCAAAAGGGGATTGTCTCATTGATGGGGACAGATTAGTTTGTGTCTCTGCCTAGCAAAGCATAGAAACAGGTCTTGAGAGGATCAGTTTGTTCCCAACTACCTTAACTGGACCCAAGAACAAATCCGAATAATACTTATAGGGATACAGAAAAAATGTAATACCCCAAAATTAAAAGTCACCAATATCTAGCATCCTACCAAACAGCACTAGATACTCAAAGAAAAATATGACCCATAATAAAGATTTAAAAATCAATCCATAGAAACAGACATTAATTAAATAACACAGATAATATAATTAGTACATGTGGAAATTAAAAAAGCTATTATAAATACATTCTGTATATTTAAGAAGATAGAGAAAACATGAGCATGTTAAATGGACATGTAAAAGATATGACAAAGATCCAAATCAGACTTCTAGAGATAAAAAATACCTGAGATGTAAAATACATGAGATGCCATTAATAGCTAATTAGAGGCTGCAGAGGACAAGATTAGTGAACTTGAAAAAAAAGCAGTAGAAAACATTTAAAATAAAACAAAAAAATACGGAAAATAAAGTGAACATTGATGTGCATTATCCCATCAGTGTGCCATGGTGTAGTTTCACAAGGTCTAAGATATGTGTAATTGGAGTCCCAGAGAAAAAGGGGAAGACAAGGATATTCAAAGAAGTCTGTTCAAAATTTTTACAAATTTGACAAAAACTATAAACCCCTAAATCCAAGAAGCCCAGAGAACTCTCCAAGCTGAAGAAGCTTGAAGAAAATGACACCAGTGCACATTGTAATCAATTTTCTTAAAACTGATATAAAGAGAATATCATAAAAGTATCCAGGAAAAGTAAATGCATTATGTGCAGGGAAACAACAATGAGAATGACAACAAACTTTGTTGGCAGCAACACAAACCAGAAGACAATGGGGCAACATCTTTAAAATACTTAACAAAAAGACAAAATACTTAGAATTCTATACTCAGCAAAAGTATCTTTCAAAAATGAAGGCCAAATGCAGGTAAATAAGAGGAGATATGTGTTTAGATATACATTTTAGAAGGGTCACTGTTCACAGGGTAATGAATAGATGGGTAAGAAAGACTGAAGGGAAGAGACTATTTTAGTGATCTCGATATCAGATGATGAGAGCCTAAGTTAAGACAGTTATTGTAGGAATAAAGAAAGAGATGAGTTGGAGAGATGTAGACTGTTGTTTGCCTAGGAAATATTACTCTTCCTTCAATGCACATTTTCAATAGCAGAAGTTGTGACTTCTTCATCTCTGATTCCTCAGGACATAGAATAAGCACACTGGTGGCTCTTAGAAAATATCATTTCAATTCTAGTCGCCTTTCTTTGTGCTGACTCTTGTCTATACCTCTCAGTTTTGTTTGTTTGTTTGTTTTTGAGACAGAGTTTTGCTCTTGTTGCCCAAGCTGGGGTGCAAGGGTGCAATCTCGGCTCACCGCAACCTCCACCTCCCGGGTTCAAGCGATTCTCCTGTCTCAGCCTTCCTGAGTAGCTGGGATTACAGGCATGTGCCACCATGCCTGTCTAATTTTGTGTTTTTAGTAGAGATGGGGTTTTTCCATGTTGCTCAGGCTGGTCTCGAACTCCGGACCTCAGGTGATCCACCCGTCTCGGCCTCCCAAAGTGCTGGGATTACAGGCATGAGCCACTGCACCTAGCCTGTACCACTCAGTTTAACTAGATACTTGCTTCTTCTTGAATTCATGTTGGCCCTATATTTATAAATAATGATAATACAACCGAAATTATCAATTTTGAAATGCAATGGTTTGTTTTGAAGTCTTGCTCTATAGTAAACGTCATGAGATATACTTGCCAATCTTTTCTTCTAGTTTTCTGTATTTTCCTCTACAAAGCAACCTGAATTTATTTAAAAATGTTAATTAAATTGGATACTAGAATGGAGTCAAAATAAGCAAGATTCAAAAATCTAAGTTAATTTTCAGTTTGTAGTATATATTTCAAAATGAAGTAAGTCCATGCTTTTATGATAATAAAAATTCCTACCATTTAGGTAGCAAACATAACACAACTGAATTAAAATTATTATAGTAGCAATTAGATTATTCTTTCTGGACTAAGGATGACAATTAATGCATTAATATAGTTGTTCAACAAAAAGAATGAGAGTATTACCAATAATTAACTACTTATCCTTGAAGGTTCTGCTCAAATGCCCCCACAGCTTTCCCTGATTCCTCTAGGTAGAGATGAATACCTATTACTCTTGCTTCTGTTGTATTGTGTACATATTTTTATGTTTTTCCTCATCTTGAACTCTCTTCTCCAATCCCTTAGTGAGCTACTACTCATTTTATTTTTAGTTTAGAAGTTCCTTTTTCCAAAAAGCCTTCCCTGAATTCTCATGTCTGTGCAGATGTCCCTTCTTTGTCTCTCATTGACCCAGATACTTCCCCTGATATAGACATTACTTAGCTTTGTAATTCCCTCTCTGTGTGCCTGCCCCTTCTCTCCACACTGCAAATACGATGAGGGAGGAGATCTTATTTCTCATGGTCACATGGATCTCAATGCCTATTAGAATTCTTGGCACTTAGTAGGTTCATTTTTGAATGAATACATGTGTCTAAATTATCCTAGATCCTCAATTTGTAATGTGCACAGTACTTGGCACACAATAGTTACTCAAAAAATAAGTATCGGTTAGACTAATTTAAAGCAAAGTCCTTGCTTATACAATCTGGTGAAAGACATAGATACATAAATAGGCCACAATACAACTAAGAATGTGCCAAACACTAAAAGAATAATTCATTATAATTGGAAGCTTTGGAAGTATAATAGAATATTGATGTTCTTAACAAATGGACATGATGGTTAAAGAGGGAACTGTTGGCAGACAAAACATCATGGCACAGAAGTATAACTTGCAGTGCAATGTATTGTGAGGACTGGTGAGCAGTTCTGTGCAATCACAGCATAGACTTCTCCGATGCCTGGGGCTGGAGTTGGGTGAGGAAGCTGTGGGAGCTGGGGTTGGGTTAGATCCAATTTTACCACTTTCTTTTGCAAAAGAGTTGTCTGGGTGCATAAGTAAGAAAACCATGGAAAGAAATATATATTTAGTGTCAACTTGTGTGGCAGTCTTTGTATATATTATTTTACTTAATACAACAGTCTTATGAGAGATTATACATTTTGTAGAAGGGGAAATTGAGGCTCAGAAAGTTAAAAGAAGCTGCCCAAGTAGACCCAGGTAAGTGGTAGTAAGTAGAGCCGGGATTTTAGACAGGGCTATCTGAATGAGAGAACTTCCACTTTTTTTTACACAATCACTTCCTTGCCTGTGTCTTTTCACCTGTATCCCTGAATGAGATATGTACACAATTTTTGGTTAAACCAGTAACAACGTTTATGGAATTATGACTATGTAAATATAGGTCCCTGCTAAGCTAAGTAGTGCACAGTTAGATCAACTTTCTCCTTCAAATTTTTGTTTTACTTGGAGTTAATAATTGCCTTGATTTTCCATTGTTTATTTTCTACTTGCCTATTATTATCATTTTTAGTGTTTCCACCTTCCATCATATGCCTATATATAGCTCTTCAAATATTTAACCACAGTTATAAGCTTTCAGTTGTATTTATGTATTTTATTTAATTTATTTTAAGGCACAGTCTTGCTCTATTGCCCAGGCTGGAGTGCAGTGGCATGATATTGGCTCACTGCAAACTCCACCTCCCAGGTTCAAGTGATTCTCCTGCCTCAGCCTCCCGAGTAGCTGGGATTACAGGCATTTGCCACCACGCCTGGCTAATTTTTGTATTTTTAGTAGAGATGGGGTTTCGCCATGTTGACCAAGCTGGTCTCAAACTCCTGACCTCAGGTGATCCACCCGCCTTGGCCTCTCAAGTTGCTGGGATTACAGGCATGAGTCACTACGCCCGGCTCAGTTTTATTTTTATGGTATTTAAAACCTGCCTCCTGGATCATGTTTTTATTTCAGTCTGCATAGATCACTTTTTCAATCTGATACATAATGGCCATTCTTTTGCTAATATTGGTCTCCTCAGTTGGATCCTCTGTCTCTTGGATCTTGGGTCTCCCTTTTCTATTCCTTCATCTCAGTAAGTGCCTCCTTCAGTACTTCCTAAGAAAGGAAATATAGAAGGCCATTTTACATTTATTATTATTATTATTATCATTATCATTATTATAGTGTTGGCAAGTCTGAAACTGCTCTCATTTCCTTGGAGTTGACTGATAATATATTTCCAGGTTGGTAAATCATACCATGGATTGGCTTACCCAACAGCCATTTCATCTTGCCTTTTCTGTGCTTTCCTATAATTTAGAGTCTGAGAAATTAAAAATATATTTCACAGGCTTCTGGTCATGGTGCAGTAGCTGGGACTGGATTATCCCTCCTCCTGTAAACAAATATAAAACTGGATAAAAATATGAGATAACTATTTTCAGGCAGTGGGCCGTAGGTAATGCAAATCTGCAATTCTTGAGAGAAGGGAAACTTCTGAGATGACTCTTGTGAGTATCCAGCTCTGTGCTTAGAACAATTTCCTGGTTGCAGCACAATAAGCTGGAGTCCAAACAGAAAGCATGGCCCCAGTGAGCTGACCAAACAGAGATCACAATTAAGAGTTATGGGCTTGAGGCAGATGGAATCCTCAAGGTGGGCCTTGAGTAGAAGAACCTCTGTGGACAGGGGATTCCATAAATTGATGGAGAATCCCTGAGATTCTGTGGCTGAATTTTCATTGTACATGTACAGGATAAGCCATCCAGCTTTACCATATAGCACATACTATGCTGTTAAGAGCAGAACACAAATATGAGAAGTCAAGCAGTTCTTGGAAGGAGAAGTGCAAGGGAAGTTGGAGTTCTTTCCCTGTCAGAGTGGAGACATCTTCTTAATCCATCATTAATACCCTAGCATCTAGCCGAGACTCCAGAAAGCTTGTGTCTTAACAATAGGGATCATAGCATGGACCTGGCCTAACCAAGGTCACAGAAAAGATCTCTAGAAAATACTGAGTTTAGTGTTTGGTCCCTCGAGGTTAGAGAGGTTTGGAAAACACCTTGAGCTTTTCACAGACTTGAATGAACAAAGTGTTAAACCAAGCATTTAAAAGTGCAGGTGATTAACCAGTAATTGAACGACTTGTGAATTTGAGAGGACAATACTGAAGCCAGAGTCTCTTCAATGTCTTTTCTACAACATTCAGTATTCAATGCAAATTTCAGTAGATATACAAAGAAAGAGAAACATATGATTCATAGTAAAAAACAAAACAAAACAAAACAAAACTGTCAACAGGGACCAAATCTAAGATAATGCACATGTTGTACTAAGAAAAGACTTGAAAATTACTCCTGTAAAGATGTTTACATAAAGAAAAATTTGATTTTAATTAGTAAGCAGATAAAAAAAATTCAATAGAAAAAAATGTAAACTATAAAATTAAATAGTGGCCAGTTGCGGTGGCTCATGCCTGTAATCCCAGCACTTTGGGAGGCTGAGGCAGGTGGATCATGAGGTCAGGAGATCAAGACCATCCTAGCCAACATGGTGAAACCCCACCTCTACTAAAAATACAAAAATTAGCCGGGCATAGTGGTGGGTGCTTGTAATCCCAGCTACTCAGGAGGCTGAGGCAGGAGAATTGCTTGAACCTGGGAGGCAGACGTTGTAGTGAGCTGAGATTGCACCATTATACTCCAGTCTGGGCAATAAGAGCAGAACTCCATCTTAAAAAAAGGAAAAAAATTAAATAGAATTTCTAGAACTGAAACAAATGAACAGAAATAAAAAGTTTACTGAACAGGTCTAATGGAAGATTGGAAATGGCAGAAGAAAAAGTCAGTGAACTTGAACATAGATAATAAAAATTGCCCCATTTGAAGGAAAGAAGGATAAAAGATTGAATAAAGTTTAAAAGAACCCCAGGGCTCTGTGTGAAAATAGCAAATAGTCTAACACATCAGCACTAAGAGAGAAACTAGTGAACAAAATGCAAAGAAAATATTTGGCCTGGCGCAGTGGTTCACACCTGTAATCCCAGTACTTTGGGAGGCCAAGGCAGGCGGATCATTTGAGTTCAAGACCAGCCTGACCAACCTAGTGAAACCCCATCTCTACTAAAAATACAAAAAACTTAGCCAGGCGTGGTGGCCAGCTACTCGAGAGTCTGAGGCAGGAGAATCACTTGAACTTGGGAGGCGGAGGTAGCAGTGAGCTGAGATTGCACCACTGCATTCCAGCCTGGGTGACAGAGTGAGATTCTGTCTCAAAAAAAAAAAAAAAAAAAAAAAATTGAAGAAACTATAGTCTCTAATTCTCCAAATTTGATGACTTACAGGTCCAAGCAGTTAAACAAATACCAAAACCTGATAAATACAAGAAGTTTCCTCTCCAGTAGTATGATAGTCAAATGATTGAGAAACAGAGATAAGGAGAACATCATGAAAGAAGCCAGAGCAAACAGACACATTATACGTAGGGGACAAGCATAAGAATTATTGCTGAATTGTTATCAGAAACAATGGAGGCCAGAAGATAATGGAATAACATCTTTGAAGTGCTGAATGAGAAAAGCAATAACCAAACCAAACTGTCAGTACAGAATTCTGTATTCAACAAAAATATCCTTTGAATGAGGGCGCAATAAAGGCATTTTCAGTTAAATTAAAATTTAGTGATTTTACCTCCATCAGACTTGTAGTACAAGAAATGCTAAAGCAAGTCCTTCAGGTCAAAGAGATGTAATATTCTATAGACGTTCAAATCTACAAGGGAAAATAAAAAGCACTGGAGATAGTAAATAAGTAGGTAAATATAAAAGACTTTTCTTGTTTCTTGTAACTCACACAAAACACAACTATTTAAAGCACAAACGAAAACACTAAAAAGTGAGGTATTACAATTATATCCTGAATTTAGTCATGAAGTAATAAGAAGACAAATTCTGATGTTCATCCTAAAAGACAAATGACGTGGAATTTTCAGAAAGACCAAAGTCTTGAAAATGCATAAAAGTAAGAGAACTATTTTTCATTAAAGGAGACTAAAAAGACAGGAGAATCAAATGCAATTCATAACCCTTAATTGGATTATGGCTCAAACACACAGATACACACATGTGCACATGTGCATGCACACCCGGAAAAAACAAGACTTAATTGGGATGATTAATGGAATTTGATTTGAATATGGACAACATGTCAGATAATATTATTGTTTCAAATAATTATCCAGTGTGATCATTGTATTGTGGTTATGTAGGAAAATGTTGAGTTGTTAAGAGATTCATATTGCTGTGTAATTAGTGGTCAAAATGCCATGATTGGTGATTACAACTTGCCTTCAAATGGTTTAGAGGAAAAAAAAGTAAAATATCAGAAACTGCTGTCACAGCCATAGAAGCTCCCTGCTCCAATTTCCCTTTAAGAAAGCACTTACCAGTCAGTTGCAGAGTGTAGTCAGCTGGAAGTTTCTAGTCATTAGGTCCTTCAGGATCCGATTCTGCTTTTGAGCTGAGGCAACACTCTTCCCCAGCAGTGCCCAGCCAGTGACTGATCAGTGCGTGATACCAGCTGTGCAGTGGGAAATCTTTGCTCTGGAGCTCTGTGTTAGGTCGGCTGAGACCTTGTCAGATCCTTATCATAGTCTGAGACACTCCCTGCCAGTGCTGCTTCAATTCCCTTGATGTCTCATAAACTCTCCTCTGGCATCCTAACTCAGTCTCATCATTAGTGTCCTTTCAACTGGCATTATCAGTGACTCTAATTGAGGACTATATAGATGTGCATTATCTCACTCTTTCAACTTTAGTATGGTTTGAAATTTTCACAATAATAAAAAGTTAAAAGTCATAATACAACAAGAAGAAGCACTTCCTTGTAGCTGGGGTTCCTGAGTAATTCGGGTTTTATTGATTAGAATTACTCGTGTGAACCTTGGAACAGGACGGAAGTTAACTGTATGATAATTCATTTTTAATAGGATGGATGGCAGAGATAGGGAGGCTATTTTGGTCAAAAGCTCCCCTATTTGACAATCCCCTATAGTGATGGCAGCAACTTTTCTATCTTAGCAAGACCAGTGTCTTTCTGAGGGCCAAGAGTTGTTCTGGAAGCTCAGCCTACAGCTTGTTTTCCAGATGTTATATCATATTTTTAAAATCTACACAATACCCTAGAAGTAAATCTCTGCTCTAGCAGCTTGCATGGTTTCTGTTGTCTTCAATGGAACCTTAGCCAAAATGCAGGTAGAAATCTATTTTTTTTTCTCATATACGTATTTAAGAATTTTTCCTCTTCTTTTCTAGGTACTAATGTTGCTGTTGAAAAGACCACTGTTGTTTTTTTCTCCAGGTTCTTTATATGTTACCCCCTATAAAAACTTTTAGAATCATGTCATTATTACTTGTAGTTTTGAAATTTCCTGATAAGGCAACTTCTCATTCATTATGTGAGTGCTCAGTGGGCCCCTTCATTTATTATACTTGTTACTGGATGTGCATGCCTTTCAGGTACAGAAATTTCCCTGTCTTGTATCTTTGACAATTTCACCTTATTCTTCTTTTAGCTCATTTTGGAAGACCATATGTCGAACCTCTTGGTTTAATCTTTTAATTTTTATTTATTTTAGTCTTTTTTCTCTTTTTTCTTGTTATACTTTCTGAGAGTTTTTTATTGTTTAAACTTTCAGGCTGTCTATGTTTTTCCCTAGATTTTATTTTTTCTTCTTTTCTTGTTTAATTGCTGAAGACTTTTTTTTTTATTTTGTTTCTCATTTGTTTCTTTTTTGTTGCTAACTATTCTTTTTGGACAGATATCATATCTTCTCTTACTCTTTTGGAGATAAAAATGAATTTTAGAAAAGTTTTCTTCCATCTCCTGCATTAGCTTCATTTCTTCTGACTCTCTCCTTCCACTGCTTGTTTTTGTCTGTCTTTTCCAGTTTGGAAGCTTTCTTTAATGATTTATGATTACTAGTTTCCATGTCCCAAGTACGAAGTGAGTGAATCATAAAAAAGATTATTGTGAGCTCTTTACGGGTAGTCAGAACTTATGGATTATTGGTTTCATTTCAGGAGGACTATGTGTGAGTTGACTTTTTTACTGATTGAAACTGAAACACCAGTATCTGACAATTACTAGTTTCTTAGTAACAGAACTTAGTATTAGGATTATTAACTTTTCAATGCCTCAGTTTGCTCATAGAAACAATGGTAATAATCATAGTACTTACCTTTTAAGATGAGGATAAAATGAATAAATGAATGTAAAATGCTTAGAAAAATGCTTGGCACAGAGTCAAGCATTATAGTAGTTGCCCCTTCTCTGAGGCTTCACTTTCTGTGGTCTCAGTTACCCTTGGTCAACTGTGGTCAGAAAATATTAAATGGAAAATTCCAGAAATAAACAATTGCTGTTTTAAACTGTGTGCCATGCTGAGGACAGTGAGGAAATCTCCCACTGCCTGTCTCCATCCCACCTTGGACATGAATCATTCTGCCCTGTGTCTCCACACTGTAGACGCTGCCCGTCATTGAGTCACTTTGGAGCTGTCTCAGTTACCGGATTAACTGTCGTAGTATCGCCAGTGCTTGTGTTCAAGTCACCATTACATTACTTAAGAATTGCCTCAGATTGCAAGAGTAGTGATGCTGGCAATTCAGATATGCCGAAGAGAAATTGTAAAATGATTTTTTTTTTTTTTTTGAGACAGAGTCTCACTCTGTCTCCCAGGCTGGAGTGCAGTGGCAAGATCTTGGCTCACTGCAAGCTCCGCCTCCTGGGTTCACGCCATTCTCCTGCCTCAGCCTCCTGAGTAGCTGGGATTACAGGCACCCGCCACCATGTCCGGCTAATTTTTTTGCATTTTTAGTAGAGACGGGGTTTCACTGTGTCAGCCAGTAAAGTGATTTTTAAGTAAAAATGTAACCCTGGTATTCCTTGGTTAGGGTTTGGTAGCAACTGTAGTTTCAGGCATCCCCTGCGGGGCTTGGAATGTAACCCCCATAAACAAAGGGGGATTATTGCATATAAATATTTTTCATCATCATCGTCATCATCATCATTCTTGCTGCAGTGTTGTTTCTTATTTAAAAAATCCTTCAGTACGCTACTGGGTGGTATAAACTTGGTTGCTGGTATTCTGAGAACAAGGCAGGAGTGGTCTCATCAGATCCTCCTAATTCTGTTTGATCCCTTATCACTCGTTTCCAATGTCCTGGTGTGTTAAGTCTGAGAACCCTTCAGTTCAATTTGTGTGGAAGATAAGCCTCTGATCTCTGTATGCCCATGCGCACGCACCGGTGTAGCTGGCTTCCTGGCTGGACAGGATCAGTAGAAATTGGGTGGATAGGTGTCTACCTGCTTTGCATATGCATTTCCGGACAATTCCACCCTCAGCCTTGCTCCTACCTTCCTAAGTACCCGGCGCTCTGCATGAGGGCCTTTCGGAGCTTCTGCAGGGTGATTTGACTCATTTCTCATTGTTCTATTCTACTGTTGCTGTATCTGTTTTTCTACTTTTCATCTCTCTTTCTCTTCCATAACCTGAAGTCAACAATCATCTTATTTCATATGAATCCTGAAAGAATTACATGAGGTTGCACCGGTGAGAAGCCTGGCATTGTGCTTGCCATATAGATCACTGATAATCGGTGGGGTCTATTTTCCTTCCCTCCCATCTTCCCTCCTTCTCCTCCTCTTCCTTCTTTCTCTCTTTTTTTATCTTTCCTCCTCCCCAGCATTATGCATTCATATGCTTCAACTACCCCAGGCTGCTTTCAGGACAGCAGTTTGTAATTACTGCAGCATGGTGTATAGTGTCTGTGGCAAATTTATTTCCTCTCATATTTCTTGTAAGTGTTGCTGATGCTGAATGAATGTCTCAAATCACTCAGAAGGAAACAAATAGGATGGAAAACCTGCTGGTAATAAGGCTGGATCATGAGGCATGCATGCCTAAAACAATTGTTCTCTTCTTTGCCTCAAGCTGTGCAGCCCATTAGAGGCTTGTCTGGGGAGATAACAATATGCCCTCTCCTGGAGGTGTGTTTTTTCCTAGAAAGGCTTGGTCCTGAGCTGAAAGGAAGATGGGAGGACTAGAACCCTGACCTTAGTCAATGGCCTCCTTCTACAAAGTGCTTTAGAAATGAAAGGGAACTTAGAGAGGATTGAATTTGTAGGGAGAGAGGCTGGATCCAGTGACTAGAGTTGCCTTTTTTCAAGGTCAAAGCAGTTTGTGGCTGAGCCTGGACTAGAATCTGGGTCACACCTGGTCCAGGTTTCTTCTGGGTTCAAGAAACAGCCCATTCCTGTTCCCTTTCCTCCTTCTTCTCCAGCCTGTGACGGTTTCTAGCATCCAGCCAGTTGGTTTCGGTTCTGTTTTTATTTGAAATTAATTAGCTCAACCAATATTTGTGGTGCATTTCATGGTGCCAGGCATCATTCTGGGCACTGGAGACGCAGATGAACAGGACTCTGTCGCTCCTCTCAAATTGCTCCCAGGTGGTTAGGGAGACTGATACTGAACAGGCTTTTTCAATTCTGTGTGGCTGGTGTCAGAACACAGGGTAGGCTGGGGGCAACAGGGAGAAAAATCCCTGAGTCTTTTCGGGGGCTTCCAAGAGTTTCTGGGAAAGGTGCTGCTTGAACTAAATTTGAAGGAGAAAAGAGAATAGAGCTTGTCAAAAAAGAGTCAGGAAAGAGGAGGGAGAGGGAGCCAGTCTCAGTGGGAAAAGAACTTGTGTGTGATGGTAGAGTGGGATTTCAACTCCTGTAGCCTGGGCCTAAAGCCCAAGCCCTCTCCTCTTGACCACACAGCCTTCTGGGCTAAAGGCCATACTGGTTTGGGGGTGAGGGTCCTTCTCAGGGCAAGATAGAGCCAGGACATCTAACACTTAACATTCAAAATCTCTCCACCTTCAGGAATGACTGCACCCCAAAAACTAGACCCTTCCTTCCCCAAACACAGTGCCCTCTTATCCTCAAGCAGTACCATGGAATCACAGTTATGAAGTGACTCATCCAGGGTCTAAGGTTCACGCTTCTCTCCTTCTTCCTGCTCAGCTTCCTCAGAGGGGGGCCATGGCAGGATGGTAACCAGAGAAATGGCACCCAGATGTGCAGGGCTTCTTAGGAGGTGCCCCCAGAGCTCACAAAGTACATTCATACACCTGGAATCCTCCCTGGGCAGGTACGCATGGGATAATAACAGCCTTTCACTGGACACTCACCCTGCGCCAGGTAATGAGAAAGTCTTTTATATTCTGTTTTCATGTGCTGAATCTTCCTTCCAGCATTCACAAAACAAGTGGATTTGATCATCCCTATCCCTTAGCTGAGGAAGAGGAGGGTCAGATAGTTTCTGAAACCTTCTCTAAGTCACACAGCAAGTAAGCTGGAATCAAAATGCAAACCAGGTCTACCTGACTCCAGAGATTTCACTCTGGAAAACAAACAATCAAAGAAACAAACTCTGTGAGCAAAAATGTTTCTGGGATTTCACAGGCATCAGTGTAAAACCCCAGATTCAGTCTTGCAAAACCCATTGGCTTTAAAATAGATGGAAGAGAAGTGGCTTAGAGACAGATCATGTGTCCAGTAACTGAGGCTTTATTTGACCACATGATGGTGTGACCCAGATCCTCAAAGCCACACTAAGAGCAGTTGGTGAGTGGGTGGCCACCAAGAGACTAGAAGTGGCATTGGGCTGACCTCGGTCCAGTCCCTACCTATGCATGCAAAGCTTGAGAGGTCTCTGACGTTGGAACAGGCTGTCTGTGAGCAAGTGAGTCCCTGGCACTGGAGGTATGCAAGGATGCATGCTTATCAAGGAAATTGTAAAGGAGACTCCTGCCCTGGATAGGAGGTAGCTGAGCAGGTAAAGTGAAGCCCAGAGAGAGGAAGGAACTGTCCAGAGGGTCCATGGTGCATTGAGGGCAGGACCAGATCTCTGTCTGCAGAGTCTTAGAGGCATCATGAACGTGGAGGAAAGTGACATGCAGGTCACTCTTGGCCTGAGTCACCACTTGAATTAACAGCTTTGCATATTCTACCTAGTGTTTCCTCGCCCAGACCAAGGCCTCAGATTTGTAAAGTGGGGGGTGGACAATTGTTAGGCAGTAGGGGGTTGGAATTCCCTTTTGCAGGCCGGGCTGTGTGAGCCATAAACATTTGTCATAGAAACCCTGGATTTACAGGGACAAAGAGCCCTGAGCACAGGAACAAATGGACTCAAGGCCCATAACTCCTCTCCATCAATCTTTTCTTCTGGATTGTGCAAGACTCTGGCGATTGCATACAGCGGCTCCTGGCAGCCTCGAGTGATGGACAGGGGTAGCGATAAGAGGCACATTTCTGGGAAGAAAGAATGTGCTTGGCCTGGCAGGATGAGGTCGAGGGAGTTGACAGGGAGCCCAGATATAAAACAGACCCTACACACAGAGATATGTGGACAAGGCTCTCCAGTATCCTAGTTGGGATGGGAGGCAAAGATTGGCCAAACTATCTCCAAGAGAGGGCAATTTGGAAGGGGCAGGAGTTGTAGCAATGTTTCTTCTAACTATTTTAAAAATTGTATTTTCAGCTGCCACCTTTTATGGAATCAACAGCAAACTTAATTTCTTTTTGGAAAATGGTTTCGCATTGGGGGATAATGAGTGAAGGTGCTTATCCTCCACATGTAAAGGGCAGGCTCAGACTTGAAATTAGACATTGTAGGGAATCTCCTGCGGCTTTGCATCTTGACAAAATAAGACAAAATCAGAAAGAACGAGAAGAAGACAATCAACCACAGCTGGTTGCATGCATCTTAGAAGCAATCCTCTGCTACCTGAGAGCTCTTAAAGCACTGCAGTGAACAGAAAATGCAGCTCTTATCTGGCTTGAAACATAAATGTATTGGCTCAAATAACTAAAAAGTCCAGACATAGATGTTGACTTGGGGTTTGGTTTTTTCCTTCCATCATCTCTTGGCTGGGCCTCCTGTGACACTTGCTCCACCGCCTGTGACATTGGCTCCATTATCTACACAGGTATTGTGTTCATGGTGGCAAAATGGTTGCAGTAGCTCCTTCGTGCATCCCTCCAGGGTCAGACCTGGTGGAAAAGGGCAAATGCAGGGTTTGCTGGACTGAGGTTAAATTGCCTGCCCTCTGTCTTGAGTCAGCCACTCTTCCCTGAACCCATCACTGAAACCAGGAAGAAGGAATGTACCAATATTTTTAGACAGAGGGCTTATGTTCCAGCCCAGGCATGGGGGTAAAGTCAGCACCACCAGAATCATGTGGATGGAGAATAGTGGGTGGATGGATCCACAAGTGAGAGTTGAGGGGTGCTGGAATCATTAGTGTGAGAGAATGACAACAGGTAGCCAAAAAAATCAACAAAAGTCCATTGTAGCCTGGGCAGGTGGCTCATCTACAATCCCAGCACTTTGGGAGGCTGAAGCAGGAGGATGGCTTGAGACCAGGAGTTCGAGACCAGCCTGGCCAACATGGCAAAACCCTGTCTCTACTAAAAATATAAAAATTAGCCAAGCATGGTGGCACATGCCTGTAATCCTAGCTACTTGGGTGGCTGAGGCACAAGAATCGCTTGAGCCTGGGAGGCGGAGGTTTCAGTGAGCCAAGCTTGCGCCACTGCACTCCAGCCTGGGCGACGGAGTGAAACTCTGTCTCAGAAAAAAAAAAAAGCTCATTGTACTTTCCAATATATTCTTTCTCCTTTTAAGTTAGTCATAGTAGATCGTACTTTCCAATATATTCCAATTCCAATTCCAATATTTTTGTATATTAGCTAAGATCAGTTTCTTTTGCTTGTACTCAAAGAACTCTAATAATAACTGAAACTTGAGCTATGTCAGCTTGGGTGGAGATTTGATCCTGTGTCACGGAAATAATTGCCATCCCATAACAAGTGCATCTCTAAAATCTTGGCTCATTTGGGAAGCAACCTTACTCAACAGTTTCCTGACTGGTGTTAGCATGGGGTTAAAATACCTTGGCACCAACAGGCACCCTCCCATGGCTTTCAGTTAAAATAAGAGAAGATACACACCGGAAACCCATCCCAGCCAGAGCTCTCTGATAGACAGAATCTAAGTCGTGGAGTCTAAAAGAAATTAGTATGAATCCTGACTTTCTCAAACTCAAGCCATGAGACTTTAGGTAGGTCCCTTAATCTCCCCAAGGTTAAATTTCCCCCTCTGTAAAGTGTGGACGATAAGAGTCCTTACCTTGCCAGGGTGATTGTGAGGATTAAATGAGAAACAATGTGTGAAGTGCTTGGCACATTGCATAACCCATGGAAACAATTTTTTTTTTTTTTTTTTGAGACGGAGTCTTACTCTGTCTCCCAGGCTGGAGTGCAGTGGCGCCATCTCGGCTCACTACAAGCTCCAACTCCCAGGTTCACGCCATTCTCCTGCCTCAGCCTCCCGAGTAGCTGGGACTACAGGCGCCCGCCACCACGCCCGGCTAATTTTTTGTATTTTTAGTAGAGACAGGGTTTCACTGTGTTAGCCAGGATGGTCTCGATCTCCTGACCTCGTGATCCACCCACCTTGGCCTCCCAAAGTGCTGGGATTACAGGCATGAGCCACCCCGCCCGGCCGGAAACAATTCTTAATCCATCAGGCATGCTATTACCATCATCATTGTATTAGTTTCCTCTTGCTGCTGTAACAAATGAATAACAAGGCAGTGGCTTAAGACAACACAAATGCATTGTCTTATAGTTCTGTTGTTGAGAAGTCCTAATGGGTCCCACTGGGCTAAAAATAAGGTATCAGCAGGGCTGGGTTCCTCCTGGAGGCTCTAGGGAAAAATCGAATTTCTTGTATTTTCCACCTTCTGGAGGCTACCCATGTTCCCTGGCTTAGGTTCCCCTTTTCCCTCTTAAAGTCAGCAATGTTGCACCTCTCTGACTTGGCTTCTGTTGTCATGCCTCTTTCTCTGACCACAGCTGGGAAAAGTTCTCTGCTTTTAAGGATTCATGAGGTTAGAGTGGGTCCACCTGGATAATCTAGGCTAATCCTCCAATCTCATGGCCCTTAACCTTAATAAGATCTGCAAAGTTACTTTTGTCAGGTCCGTAACATATTCACAGGGTCAAATGATTAGAAAGTGGACATCTTTGAGAGTCATTCTGCCTAACACACACATCATTACTATCTTCATCTTCATTATCATCATTACAAAGCAGTTGGATTACCCAGAACCATGCGTAGTTTGCATATCACATGACTATAAAAGGTAATTTTACAAAATACGATGAAATCTAGCAGAAGTGGTTCTAAAGGAATGACGAGAGGACAATTTACTTGGTAAGGTGGCCAGTTGGCAAGACTGAGAAACTGGTTGCAGTGACAGGAATCACATTTCTGAACCAAAAGCAAAACATCAAAAGGCCGTGGTCTGACAAATGTGAATACTTAAATGGACATTAGGTGAGCATACTGGGAAGATGTAAGAGGGGAAGTGGCCACAGTTGTAGAAGCAGATTTTGGGGTGATACCATTGAAGTAAAACTTAAAGGCTACTATGCCAAAGGGCCAATTTAACAAATGGAAAAAATATGTATATTTCAAAATGTCAGACCTCAAGGAGAAAGGTTTGTGACAAATTAAGAGTGTGAGATTTGAATATTTTACACTAATAACCACAGTGTTTCATTCCTCAGTAGTGACTCATTTTGTTCTCTCTCCATACCAACCCCATCTCTCTCACACAGACACACATGCTCCCTAGTACCCAGGGCTCCCAGGACTCATGCCTTGGGAAGTGAGAGGACTCAGCCCGAATTCATGAAACTCAGATAAAGTGGGAGGCGCATCAGGTTGAAGGGAATCCAAGGGCCATTTCCTTGGGAATTTCAGAAAGAATCTGGGAATGTTATAAACATGGTTGATGCTTTGAGAACACAGGTTCTAGTCTGGATGAAGTCTTGGCATGTTCTTAGAGTTGCCTGGGGCTCCAAGCTTTGGTGATTGGGAGGCTTTCACGGATGCAGAGAAGAAACACTACCCTGTGACAAGCATCACTGCTGAAATCTCTCTGTGGGCTAAGCCTCTTCATTTACTTAGTATCTGAGAAAGGAGGAGAAGAGTGGCTTCCTGTCATTTGTCCAATCCAATACATACTTGTCGAGAGTCAAATATGCTGAAGCCATTCTAGGCCCTGGAATAGGAGGTGAGCAAAGCAGACTAAATCCCTATGCACTGGGGCTTATTTTCTACTGTCCACCTCTCCTTGGTAAAGTTCTACTCACCTTTGAGACCCACCATGGAAACCACATCAGTCATTCATGCATGAACACATTCCTATATTCCGTCAACATCTCTTAAAAATATACCATGCTAGACACTGAACCTTGCAGAGGTGTGAGAAGGTCTTTCCCCCAGAAGCTGAAGTGCAGAAGATAAGACGTGATAGGTAAAGATGCACACACATGGTATCATGGGGGCAAGGTGAGAAGCAGAACCAGTGCTAGGAGTATAGATTGGCCAATCCCAGACCAAGGGCAGAGGCATCCTTAGAGGAGGTCTCCCTGGGGCAGAATGTCAGGAAAGGCATCCCCAAGGGATAACTGGGTCAGGGTGGAGTGGGGCTGGTGCTGTGGAAGCCCTCAGTGTGGGATGGCTCATGGGGTTTCAGGGAAGCCTGGGAATCCAGGTAGGTGGAAGAGCAGAATGGGCAGTGGTGGGGAGATACAGGTGACAGGGAGAGCTGGAGAGTGGAGGGCAGCTACTGGGGGCCCTGTGGCCACATTGCAGATACTCTTTTGGGACAGAGGGCCTGGGGGAGGGTGAAAAGTGCCTGTCTTGGTGACCCCCACACCAGTGATTATGCATTATGACAGTTTGACCACAAAAAAAGCACCCCATCTACCCCCGACCTGTTTCAGGAAACGGTTAGCCACAGAAACCCTTAGCCCTAATATTGAACAATCCTTCCTCTTTTGAAACTGAGGAGCTGCTTGCCTGCCTTTGCAGCTAAGGGCAGCTGAATCTACCTGAGGACCTATTAGGATGTTTCCTCGCAGCTAAAAATCCCGCCTTAATAGTATACTTGTCAATCCAAGATTGTCTCAGCATTTCCTGTTTTTATTCTATAAAACTGACTCTCCTTTCTAACACCTTTGAAGCCCTGCTGAAATGAAGGCGACAGCAGGCTACCTCCCTTGCTGCAATTTTATGGATAAATGTCGTTTGTTTATTTGATCTTGGATGCAGTGTTGTCTTTGCCACTAGAAAGCGTGACATGAAAGATTCTGTCACGATGAGAATACTACTTACTGAGGATTCGCAATGGGCCACTGATCAGCACTTCATATAATCTGCACAAAATCTCCCATTAAGTAGGTACTCTTGCCTTCATCAGCATCATCTTCACTTTATAGGTAAAGAAAGTAAGGTACAGAGATGATAATGAACTTGCCCAAAGTCACACAGCTGGTAAGTGATGAAAATGGGATTTGAACCCAGGCAGCCTCAAGATTCTGCACTTTTCCCCACTATACGATGTGGTTCTGATGCTGATGAGGTTTTCCTTCACATTTTTGAGGGCCTGTAGTGTTTTCTGAGTTCGGAAATGACGCGCGAGAATTTAGACCTCTGATGGACTGCTTCACCATTCCTGAGGGATGATGGGGTGAGGGTGGGAGGCTGAGGGGGGTAGTCCGGACACGAAGCCCAGGCAGAGGCCCCAAACCAGTGCAGTGGCAGCTGGGATGGAGGCAAGTGTGAGCCATGAGAGACCTTATCCAGTAGGCTGACACTTTTCCAGGCTGGAGTCTTTAATTCCAACCACAGAACTTGGAAGGACAGGTAGGTAGGACAGATAGCATTTTACAGAAGATGAAGAAACTGAGGTCAACGGTGGGTCACTCGCCTAGAGTCACTCAGCAAACTTGTGGCAGAACCAGATTCCAAGGATTCACTGGCTCTCAGTTGTGGACCTGGAGGGAAGGTGCAGCCCCAGACACAAAGCTGGAGTCCCAGGACATACCTGTTGCTTCTGCCTGTGGGGTATTTGAGCAGCTCATGCTCTAGCCTACCTGCGCCTCATCACAATAGTTCCTGAAAGGGACATTGGAGTTAGAGTTTGAAAGCCACATTTATATAAAGTGTCACTTTGTCTTCAGGCCAAATGTGAAAACTGGATTGTGATTTCCATTTTGTGGATGTGGTTTGGGGGTTAAGCGATAAAGCCAAGGAGACGCAGCTGGTAGATGGAGCAGCTAGGTCTAGTTCTTGGCTTTGAAGTCGAGGGGGCATTGACTGCATGAACTGCCTTCATTATCCACTCACCTCATTAAGAGCATTGGCAAGACTGTGAAATTGACCCTAAGCATGTGTGTGCTTTCTTTGAAACATAACTTAAAGGGTAAGTGTAAAGATTCACAATGCACTGGAAAGTGGGGGTGAGGTCTAGCAGGGCCTTTTCTGATATTCTGAGAGGTCATTTAAATCTTGTCTGGTCTGTTTCCAGGCCCTGCAAGGCACCAGGCTTGCTTTGACTGGCTGCCCTCAGAGTGTATGAAGATGAGAGTGTTATTAGAATCCAAAGTCATTCATTGGCCAGTGCTGGTAAACTAAAATCCGAAACGTGTGCAAAATGCGTTTTTTCTTTGGAGAAGGTGACATCTCATCTGAGTGCCTCAGGCCCCTGGAAGATGTTATCTGCTAAGAAGAAATCACACATGCCAGGTTACCCGTCTTTAGGTGATTTCTTCGAAGTGTGGCCGCACCTCCCTTGATGACTGCTGGGGGGTGTAATGAATCACCCACTTGCGGGAGAAGGCTGGAGAATTTGCTTTACCAGAGATACAGAAGTGGAGGGAATGCACAGATATTGAAGTGTGTGTGCACGCATATGTGAGTTTACATGCTTTGCATGCCCCTGTGTGCACACATGAGTGCATTTGTGTGTGCACAAGTGCATTGATGTACACACATGTGCATCTCCAGCCCTACTGAGGTCTCACAGAGGGGCAGATCAAGACAGTTCCTTAGAAACAACTACTAGCAAGGCATTTATGGAAGTGGCCTGGCCCTGGGAAGCTCAGAGCATCAGATTGTGAAGCAGAATTTTACATAATGACTCCAGGAAAGGATGCGGAGTAATGGAAGGAATACCGATTTAGAAAGCAAGGGGCTAAGCCCTGTCTCTGCTCCCAGCCTACTAGGCGACTTCAGGAGACTCATTAACCTCCTGAGCCTCGTTTTCCCCACATGCGAAGCTGTAAAACCCAAACTCCTTGCCAAGGTGTTCCAGGCCTGTAGTGGGCGCTGCGGTGCATGACTCTCCTTCAGGACTGAGCCCCCTGTCTCCCAGCTGCCGGAGTGTGGGCAGCTTGTGCTCCTCAGAAACGAAGAGTCCTTCATCCAAGGTCACACTCCCATCCCTAGGGAGCAGCTAGCCGGGGACACACCCATGCAGGTGTCAGGCCCAGCCTCCGGCCTGATACCTCTGCAGGCCCTCCCAGCTCTATGCTCCCT
This sequence comes from Homo sapiens, assembly GCF_000001405.40. Lineage (NCBI taxonomy): Eukaryota > Metazoa > Chordata > Mammalia > Primates > Hominidae > Homo > Homo sapiens. The sequence goes on from NC_000008.11 coordinate 133,697,028, forward strand.
GCGGGGCCAGCAGAGACCTTTCTTGTGAATACAAGGCAGCCCGGCTTCTCTGCTAGACTTCTGCTTCCCTTTCACTCCTTTTCAAATGGACAGTCCCAAGAGCACGTCCCGATGACTCCCCTGCCTGCAGACTTCCATCTCAGGAGATCCCAGACCAACACCCCAGTGGTCTGTGCCTCGGTGATGGCCCCTCCTCCACTGTCCCTCACTCTGCTGAGGGCTGTGCAGCCCTTCTCTTCATCAAAGCACACTCAAGCCTCAGGGCCTTTGCACCTTCCTTCTGTAGAAAACTCTTCCCCCCACCTTTGTAGGTGGCTTCCTACTATTTAAATCTCAGCGAAATGGTCATGTCCTCAGCAAGGCCTTCCCTGACCCCATCTAGGGTTCCTCCCTCAATTAATCTGAAAACATCACTGTTTTATTTTTTTTCAAGGCCTTTATCACTCCCTGATATTAGGTTTGTTAATTATGCAGTTGTTTATTTTCTGTCACCCACTCCTTTGAAATGAAAGTTCCCTGAGCATAGGATCTGCAGCTTGGCTGCTGCCCCATCCGCAGTGCTAACAAGTGAACCTGGAACAAGGTAAGCCCTTGACAAATATGTGTAGAGTGAATGGGAGACAAGGTGATACCAGACAGGGTCCTTATCCTAGGATTTGGGACATCCACTCACTTGGGTGGTGCATTAAGTGTAACAGATAGCTGCAAGTTGTGTGGCTTAAAGCAACAGGGACTTATCCTGGCACTGTTCTGGCGGCCGGAGTCCCAAATGAAGGCGTTGGCAGGGCTGTGCTCTCCCCGAAGGCTTGCAGGAAGAATACCTCTTTGCTTTGCCCAGTGTCTGGTGGCTGCAGGGGTTCCTTGGCTTCCTTGGACACATCATTCCTTTTTTTTTTTTTTTGAGAGGGAGTCTTGCTCTGCTGCCCAGGCTGGAGTGCAGTGGCGCGATCTCAGCTCACTGCAACCTCCCCCTCCCGGGTTCAAGCAATTCTGCCTCAGCCTCCTGAGTAGCTGGGATTACAGACTCCCGCCACCACGCCCGGCTAATTTTTTTGTTGTTGTTGTATTTTTAGTAGAGATGGGGTTTCACCATGTTGGCCAGGCTGGTCTCAAACTCCTGACCTCGTGATCCACCCCCTTCGGCCTCTCAAAGTGCTGGGATTACAGGCGTGAGCCACTGTGCCCAGACACATCATTCCAATTTCTGTCTTGCTGGTCACATTGTCTCTATCTTCCCATGGCCTTTTCCTGTTCTCTATGCCTTCCCTTTCATCTCTCATAACAGCACTTGTCATTGGATTTAGGGCCCACCTGGGTAATCCAGGATGCTCTCATCTCCAAATCCTGAACTTACTTGTCTGCAAAGACCACATTTTTTCCCCTAAGAAGTTTACATTCATCGATTCCAGAGATTAGGACATGGACATACTGTTTGTGGAGCCACTGTTCAACCTATTAGAGGCAGGAATAAAAATCCATCTTCATTTTGCCTAACTTTTAACCAATATTTAGGATTTGCTTCAATCATGAATACAGGCACGGAGCGCAGTCCCCTCAGCGGTGTCTATCAATTTGTCATTAGTTGATATCACAGAGATTTTTGCCATAGGAGAAAAAGATGCTCATCATTTTCATAAACACAGCCCTTATCACACTCCCCATTAGTTCTTGTTATAGAATCTGATACTAGAGAGCCCGTATGTTGTTCTTTTACCAATTTGTTTTTAAACTAGTTTGAAAGGTTGGGCATGGTGGCTCCTGCCTGTAATCTGAGCACTTTGGGAAGCCAAAGTAGGTGGATCACTAGAGGCCGGGAGTTTGAGTCTAGCCTGAGCAACATAGCAAGACCCTGTCCTACAAAAAATTTTAAAAAGCTGTCTCAAAAAGAAAAGAAAGTTAGCTGAACTTGGTGGTGTGTGCCTGTAGTCCCAGCTACTTGGGAGGCTGAGGTGGGAGGATCACTTGAGGCCAGGAGTTTGAGGCTGCAGTGAACTAGGATCATGCCACTGCACTCCAGCCTGGGCCACAGAGTGAGACCCTGTCTCAAAAAAAGGAAAAATAAAATAAACTAAAAATAAATAAACTATTTTGATGACCATATTGCAACTTAATTGGTAGCTCTCTAGTCCTGTGTATTTTGTTTTATGCATTGGCAAACATTATTCTGCGAAGGGAACCACAGGTGTTTTGGGAAAGCCAGAGGAGGCTAAGAGCATCTGGATGGAGGGTCTCAGAGGTGTTTTGAGTTTGTTTTTTTAACCTTCACAGGTTAGGCATTTTTTTTTTTTGATCATATAGTTTACTATTGATTTTTTTGTTTGTTTGTTTTTGATCAGTAGTAACACTATCAGAGGCAAGACAATGAGCTCTCTCTCTGCGGTCAGTACTGAGACCCAAGAGCAGAGGGCTGGACTTTGAGAGAGGAAATGTTCAATGCTATGATTCTTTGCATCTCTCAAAGATGTTTCCTGTTATCCCATGATGTTGACAGAGCACAGGGTGGCAGATCATATGGAAAGCACTTTGGGATCCACAAAGAAGAGAAGCAATTCCACTTTGAAGCCCCCGCATCCATAGCTGGCTGGTGAACAGTCACCAAATGAAGACACACATGAAAGACGGTGTGTGTAATGGGCCAGCAAGACATCGCTCCTATTCAAGGAAAGAACCCACAGAGAACACCTGCAGCTTGTTCCCTGAAAAGCTGCTTCCCATAGTCCAGGGGCAAGTCAAGGCTGAACCAGCTTTGCAGAGCACAGAATTGTTCTTGTTAAAGCCTCATAACTGTGAGCCACTCCAGGGCACGGTGGGTCAGGCAGCCATGGCCCATTAAAGTGGGTGATAAATATTTCATACCCTGGGCTAGAGGGCACCACTGGCTTCTGCTCACTTCCTAGCTGTCTGCAGCTCTCATGGACTTGTCTCTCCATTAACTGTGAGAATTATGTTAAAGCCAGACCTATACCAGGTCAGCATTGCTATCTTGCCTGCAAAACAGATTAGATGACTCTCAAGACCTATGTCTATCTACCCAGAGATTATTGCTCAGCCTGACGTATTTTGATGACACAGATGCTAAGCTTTGTATTTTATTTTATTTTTTGAGACAAGATCTCACTCTGCCACCCAGGCTGGAGTGCAGAGGTGCATTCAAAGCTCACTGCAGCCTCAACCTCCCAGGCTCAAGTGATCCTCCCACTTCACCCTCCCTTGTAGCTAGGACTACAGGTTCACAACACCATACCGGGCTAATTTATTTTTGTTTTTGCAGAGAGGAGGGTCTCACTATGTTGCCTAGGCTGTTCTCAAACTCCTGGACTCAAGTGATCCTGCCTCCTTGGCCTCCCGAAGTGTTGGGATTACAGGTGGGAGCCACTGCACCTGGCCCAGATGTTAAGCTTTAAAGAGGAACTGGATAACATGATTTCAAATAAGAGTATCATACCTGTTGCCCTTGTGTTTGCACATGAATCCAACTTGAACTTGTGTTGTGTAGGCATCTGCCTGTTGGAAACCACCTGGGAAAAGAATTTACATTGGACTTGAAGTGAGGTGCATCAGCTGCCAAGGACACCACTAAAATATCAGTCTCAGCTCCATTATAGGTGAAGTGGACAAACAAATCCCTGATTCTTCCTACCTTACAGGGTCCTGGAGGGCTGGAATGAGAGAGTGAATCATTATAGCTTCCACTGTAGTGGTCCATCGTCCTGCTTATTCCTTGTGGACGGGGCTTGATTGTGCTCAAGTGTTAACCCCACCTTTGGAAGGGGTGACTCTCCTTCCGTGGTACTCATGGTAATTTATTTTCCCTTGCTGGGTCTTGAGTTAGGTAGGACCATGTGACACAGCCCCAGAGGAGGAGACATGAAGGGAATTCTGCTTGGATGCTTCTGTGAAGGTATTCCTGGTTTTCCAAAAAATAAGATAGTAATTCTCCTCTCTTTGCTTTTGGACAGGTTGTGCAAGGACGGCTCTGACAGCCGTGTCAAAACTATGAAGGCGGCATGGCCCACCTGCTGAAGATGTCACAGTGGAAAGGTGAAGTCTCAGGGCTCAGACAAGATTGTGAACTGGCGAATTAACACAGGAGCCTTCTTTCCCCAAGTTCCTTGTCCTATGAGGTTATACCACTGATTGTTTATGCCATTTTTAGTTGAAGGTTCTTTTGCTTGCAGCCCCAAGCATTCTCACTGACATGAAAGGTCTGCAAGAGTCATGAGCAGACTGTGGCAGTATATTTTGATAGTCTATGTGGAGAAACCTTAGTGCATGGGTGTCGTCATAGCGGTTCTGCCTCTCTAAGGATATTCCCCTTTACTTCTGAGTTTACAGCTGTGATCAGGATAGTGAGTTCGCCCTCATCCCAGTGGCATTGTACTATCTTAACAGGCTGCATGGAGAGTAATGGAGAAAGACACCATTGTCCAAGCTGACTTTGACCCCCTGGAGCTCTCACAGTATTTCGAGATGGTTTGCCCTGTGAAGGGCAGACCTACCTGTGTTTCCATCAGGCCCCAATTTCCTCATTACTTTGCTCAGCTTCCAAGATGAGATCATTATTAATTAATACACTTATAGTTATTAACATATGGTGACATTAATTAACTACAGTCTACTAAATGCCCCCTGTGTGTCTGGTCTGATGCTACATGTTGTGCTGCATTTTCTCATTGATCCTCCCAACAACCCAAGAAGATGAGTTTTGCTATGCATATTTTACAAGAAAGAACCCAAGGTTCAGATCATTAATGCGCCCAAAGGCCCACATTCTGATTGGAAATCAGCAGAGGTAGGATATCACCTCTGCAATTCTCCCTGGTTACACTTCTCTAAGAGGAGTTTTGCAAAGGGAAGCATCTGTTTTAGATTTGCACCAGTTCTCGGCTTGTTCTGGTGGTAAAGAAGAAACAACATTAACCTTGATGTCAAGAACCTGGGATTGAATCCTGGTCTGTCTTCTGAGGTGATGGTGGGGAGGGGGGAAGGTCTCATAGCGTAGATTGATTTTTTTTTCTCCTGAGTCTTAGTTGTTTTTTATTCTCTAAAAGGGATAATAGTCCTTAAACTCCAGGTAATTTATTGTCAAAGGAAATAACAAATGTGAAATTGTCCAGGTACAATATAATCGGTACCAAAATCCTATGTTTAGTTCATTCATTTATTCACTCTTCACTCATCCCTTATATCAGCTTCTGGGTCTGCAAGATGCAGCATGTGAACAGCCTGGTAGTGAACTTGAACACTCTGGTAGGAGTCATTCTCCATCACCTACCAGCTGTGAAATGGTGGGCAGTGCAAGTAACCTTAGTAAGTCTCACTTTCCCTTCTCTAACAAAAGCATTTCTTTTGTGACAGCTACACTTTCATCATTTTAAATGTGTGAACTCATTAAATCTTCTCAATAGCCTTCAAAGTCGACATATAATTACCTCCTATTACAGATGAGGAAATTGAAGTACAGGGAAGTTAAAGACTTGGCCATGTCACATGGCTAGTGAATGCTGGAATTGGAAGCCGATCCCATAAAATTGTGTTGCAGAACTCACAGTCCAGTACCGCTATTTCTCCTCCTAGAGGTGCTATGAGGATTCAACAGATGTCAATTGCATGCAAAAGTGTGGCTAGCACATAAGCAGCAGTCCACAAACGTCAACTTATTATGTCAGTGAGATAATGTGATGGTCACATAAACAAGTTCTGGGACTGGGTTACCTGGGTTCTACCCCAGCTCCATTGCTAAGATGTACAAAATCTTGGACAAGAGTTCCATTGTCCTCATTAGCAAAAGAAAAACAACATGAAAATTCTACGTCTGAAGGTTTTTGAGAGGATTTATCAAGCTAGCAGAGGGAAAATATTAGAACAGAGCCTGGAACATTTTAAATGCATTCTGAGCATTGGTTTTTATTTAAAACCTCTTGCCGGGTTGGTTTTATTTAAAACCTCTACCTGAGCCACAGCTGTGAGTGCTCATGCTGCAGATCTTTTGCGGGGGCTGATGTCTTGTTCACCATTGTCTTCTTGCATCTCAGAGCTTGGTGCTCAGCACAGAGTCCAGGTGGAGGTGCTTAATTGAAATAGGTTGATCTGAATATAGCCTGGGATGCTTTGGATACTGTTACCTCTTTGTGGCATAGACATTCATAGGACCTGTGCATTAACTAAGTCCTTCCTGAGCAAGTCACTCACATAACAGGCTCCAGTGGGACAGATAAATGCCAAGCAGCTTGGTATGAGAAGGGAGGGGTTGGAGTGCAGAAACCTGGGATCATGAGCCCTTTCATATTTCTTTTAGCTCTGACATCGAAGGCATCTGTAATTCACCTCTACATTCATTCAATCATCCACGGTTGGGAGCATCCATTTCTGTTTATTTCCTCAAGAGAGGCAAAGCTGAACATTTAATTACTCCTTTCTTCCTTCATCTCTCTGAAAATGGAGAACCTTTAGTCATGTGGGCATAGAACACACTCCATCCTTTGTCTCAGGGAGAAGCCAGGTTACACATCCTAAAACTCACTCTTCTCCATTCCTGTTCTCAGTGGCTTTTTTCAACTTGACCTCTCAAATATCTCTCTAGTATGCCCCTTTCCTCACGTGTGCACACCCTTGCCACCTGGCCACTGGTTTCCTGCAGCAGGCCTCTCTTCCTGCCTTCCAGCACTGCCTTTGGTATGGACTCTTGTAATCCATTTTCCATCCTGTGGCCAGAGCAATCTTTCCAGATATGATCATCTCAATTCCCCGTTTGTCATGCTTCGATGGCATCTATCTACTGGCTTCTACCTGAAAGCATTGAGCAAACAGATGCAGCCTGTGCCCTCATGGAGCTGGTGGCTAGTCTGTGCTCATTGTCCACAGCTGTGACCATTTCCGCCATTCACACATTGGGGCACTTTGAGTGTGGACATAGGGAAGGCTTACCTAGTCTGTCTAGTTGGGATAAATAACAACATGCCTTGGGAGTTGCCATGTGAGCTAAATGCTGATGAGTAGGAGAAGTTGACCAGGCTCTGCAGGGCATACCAGGGAGAGGGGGAACAACCAGCACTAGGACAAATGGATATGGGGAACCTGCCTCTGGGTTGGCTCCTACAGCACTTGAACATGCTGTCACTTGAATGATGGTCACTTGCTTATTTGTGAGCATCTGTTTTCTGCTCTGTCCCCAGAGTTTCCTGAGGCCAGAGGCCCTGTCTTCTCTTATTCTACATCCTCAGTGCTTAGTGGACACTCAAAAAATATTACTGTCAGTGGGAGACTAAATAAAGAAGGGAATAGTCTCTTTTCTATCTCTTCATCATTTGTGTGAAGACTCCTCCTGCTGCCCCACCTCTCACTGTTGTTGTTGCCTTTCCTGCTCAGAAATGCATTGAATCTCTCATTTCTTCTAGCTTGGCCCAAGATACACCTCTTCTGAGTTAGATACAGAGAATTCAGTGGCAGCACCTGCAGGTAGACACAAAATTCTGCAAATACCACTCTTTGAATATTAGATGCCTGCACTCCCTGTCCATCTGCCTTCCAAGAAAATGTGTACTTAGAGTGCTCCATGAAGCAGCAGGTGTGGGGTGTGTGTATATGTGGTGTGAGTGTGTGTGCATGTGGTGTGTGATATATGCATGTGTTTGTGACTCAACATGGTTTAGTGGAAGTTATATTCCTACCTTTGGATTCAGGCTGTAAGTTCTAATCACCTACATGGTCATTTATTGCTATGTCATCACTTGACCTCTTGGATCCTCAGTTTCCTTATCAGTAAAATGAGCACAAGCGTCCCCTTGGAAAGACTGTTATGAGGATTAGATATACTGCATTTAAAGCACCTGACATCTAAGGTTTTGATTAATTCCACTTCTCAACTCACCTGTTACAGTGCTCAGGGGTTCATCCCATGCCAATGAAGGGCATTGACAGCTTCAGGTTTGAACCTATGAGCTAGACCTGGCCAGGGGCCCTTTGAGCCAAGACAAGGACAGACCTGAGCCATGGGCTCTTGACCTGGCAACATCCTAGAGAAGCCATAATGTTCAGCCTGATTTTTTTCTGAATAGGCCTTGGGGAGGGGCTGGCAGAATTCAGCCCTAATGGAACATGCATTAGGTGGTTGAATCCGCTTGCTTGACTTCATTGGGCCCTGTCCAGCACTGAAATTTCTGAAGCTGAGGTCATGGAGGAGACCTCCAAGGAATATGGGCAGCTCCACCCTTTCCCAAACTCACACTTTTCTTCAGGCCCTGACCAGTATCCAAGGAGAGGCTAAGAATCAAAATAGCCCACTTTTTCTCATGTGTCCATTAAGTCCCAGACACTGAAATGGGCACTCTGCATGTGCCATTTAATTCAGTCCTCAAAGGCAGTGGCTCTCAACTGGGTGTGATTTTACCCCCTCAGAGGACACTTTTCGATATCTAGAGACACGCTGATTAACAAAAACCACATGATGATCTCAATAAATGCAGAAAAAGCATTTGACAAAATCTGTAACCTCTTCATTATGAAAAAGGTCAACAAATTAGAAATAGCACTTTCTCAACTTGATCAAGTTTGTCTATGAAAGCCCCACAGATAATACCCTACTTAATGGTATTGAAAACTGAAAGCTTCTCCCTTAAGATCAGGAAGAAGGATATTTGCTCTCACCACTTCTATTTAACCTCTAATATGTTAGATGTTCTGGCCAGGGTAATGAGGCCGAAAGAAGAAAAATTAAATAAAAACAAAAATAAATAAAAGATACTCAGATTGGAAAGGCTGGTGAGGAGGGGAAAATGCAGTTGACTGCCTTGCGTCTACAGCCTCACATCTGAGTTGTCTTTGGAGTTGCCGACATCTGAGGGGCAGCTCAGCAGACTCCGGAACCCCAGGAGCACTCTCACCTCTCCTTCCATCCCCACCAGCATCCAGGAAACTTTTGGGTACATGGACTTGGCAAGCCATATGTGGAGCCACACACCAAAACACTCATTCCTTCGATGTAGAGATACTTGGTTTCTACCTCTCTCCAGACACTATGCTAGACCCAAGAAATACAGACATGAGTGAAATGTGGTGTCTGCCCCAGAGAAGTATTCTATGTAGCAAAGGAGAAAGAGCCTGATTAAACCAGTGCAGATACAGTGTGGTCCATGAGGGAAGCACGTGTAAAGAAGTCTTCCTGGAGAAGGCACTTGGGATATGCCAAAAAGTATAGATTTATTTACCAGGCAGAAAGAGTGTATGAAAAAAATCATTAAAATGTAAAAATCATTAGATCTCTTGATCCAAATATTGCTGTCTCTCCCTACTCTCTAAGCTAAGGTATGATTGCATTCCTATGCCTCTCCCAACATGCTTTGGTCAGTGGAAAGTTGAATGAAAAGATTAAGAGATAGAAAATGATTTGCCATGGTCTTTTCTTCTTGCTGTGACGACAGAAGAAAGCTTTATCAGTTTGAGTCATAGAGTGACTACAATGAGCAGATATTGCCCCCACAACTCCTGCTCCCAGTTGCAACTTTGGGCATGTAGAATAAAATTTAGGGGATGTTTGTTTCTGCAGCATAACTTAGCTCACCCTGACTAAAACATGAAGGCATCACCAAGGGCGGTAGAAATAGCACAAGAAGACTGGGCACAGTGGCTCACACCTGTAATCCCAGCACTTTGGGAGGCCAAGGTGGGTGGATCACCTGAGTTTGGGAGTTCGAGACCAGCCTGGCCAACAAGTTGAAAACCCTCTCTACTAAAAATACAAAAATTAGCTGGCTGTGGTGGCGGGTGCCTATAATCCCAGCTACTTGGGAGGCTGAGCAGCAGAATTGCTTGAACCTGGGAGGCAGAGTTTGCAGTGAGCTGAGATCATACCACTGCACTCCAGTCTGGGTGACAGAGCGAGACTCCATCTCAAAAAAAAATATATATATATATATATATAAAATAATAAAAATAAAAAAGAGCACAAGAAAATATCTGGAGGTGAGAAATAGCCTTTTGGATATGGAAAACTCTAAAAGCTTAGTATGGCTATTGTATAAAGTATGACACAGGAAAATGGAGACATAACAGGGCAGAATCTGGAGGTTCTGTTATGCTTTACAGAGGAGCTGTGCTGTTCTTATTTTCCTGTGAGCAATGGGGAGACATTAAGAGTTGCATTTTGAAAAAAAAAAAAAATCACCCTAGCTGCGATGTGGAGAATGGATCTGGGAGAATAAACTTCAATGCAAGGAAACTCAGGAGGAGCCTGTTTTAACCCTACGGGTGCAAGGAGAAGGGAACCTGTGTGAGGTCCATAGCATAGGGATGGAGGAGTGGGGGACACGCAGACAGAGAACTCAACAGGATGGAATCTGCAGGACTTGGTGGCTGACTGTATGTAAGAATGCGGGAGAAGAAAGAGAGTGGTCTCACTCCAAAGCCTGTGTTCTTTCCACTCACTTAGCTAGTTTTCTTTGGATAAAGACTTTTGCATTATCACCTAATTTAATCCTCAAAATTGTCTTCTAATTTAGTTTGAGCTAATTTATTTTGACTTTACAGATGAAGAAACTGAGTCTCAGAGAGGTGACAGAATGGGTTACTTTAAAATCAAATTTCTCAAGTGTCCAAACAGCCAATCTGTTCTTTCTCTAAATTTCTGACCTCAGTCACTTAGATATTTTAGGGGTGGACGTAGATTTTGAGGGGGCGGTAGCAGCAAGGTGAGAGGACTGGTAGTGAGCAGGGCTGTCGCTTTTCAGCCGTAGTTACCTAGCTGACTTATTTATGAGTATTCAGGCATACGTTACACACATAAAAAGCAGTGTGTTCAAAGGAAGCCTCATATACCAAAGTCTGGATTTATAAGACTCAAATGAGTGATTGTTATTCCACTGTTCAAGGCTTTTTTTTTCTCCCTTCTTACTCTATCAAAGTATTCCTCATAGGGTTTCTTAAAAGAGCAATCTCAGTCTCCCAGCATGCTTTTAAAATGCAATTTATTGCCCACATTTTATTAGCATTCCACTGCTTAGTAATGCAGTCCATGTTTAAAATGGCAGGTATCCACTCATAGAATTGTGCCAGTCTGAGATGTCATTAGCTTGGTACTTCCAGTTGTCTTCATGGTTGTTTTAAACAAAGACACAGTGAGTAGAGTCAGTTGTATAATTTGAAGTGGCCCAGTTTCCCCCAGTCAAACTCAGGGTAAAACACTCTGTGGAACTGCATGGACTGAGAGGACCTGGAGAGACGGCAGCTAGCAGACCTGGTTTCTCATGTACTCCTTGACTTCAAACAACCCTGAGCCTGGGCCAGCACCTCTCTTTCCTGAGACTTACTCTCTTTTTCTGTAAAGTTGGGAGATGGACAAGCCTGTGGCAGGTCTGGGCTTTGAGTTCTATCCTCCTGGTCAGCCCATTACTCCCTTAGAAGCCCTTGGGAAATCACGCTGTGGGGAACAAGTGGAATTCTTAGGGTTAGACAGTCTGATACCCTCTAGCTTGGGGAATCACAGAAGATTTGAGTCTCTAACCTACTTCAGCCACTCAGAAACTCTGAGAGCTCAAGTAGGTCCTATAGCTGTGTCAAACGTCTGTTTTTCTCATCTGTAAAGTGGGGCTTTCATATTGTATTTGGAGGGTTCTGATAAATGAAAAAGCCAGCACATTGTTCAGAAGCTACATGTGTTTAGTGTGTGTGTAAATGCTGTAAATGCTGACATTTATTCAGCTTTAAATACATGCTGGGACTACTTAAAGCGCTCTACACATTTAATTCTGACAACTCTATGAAGAAGGTGGTTTTTAAAAAAATTTCTTTTATACAGAGTTTAGCTCTTGTCACCCAGGCTGGAGTGCAGTGACGCGATCTCGGCTCACTGCAACCTCTGCCTCCTGGGTTCAAGCGATTCTCCTGCCTCAGCCTCCCTAGTAGCTGGGATTACAGGTTCCCACCACGATGCCCATCTAATTTATGTATTTTTGGTAGAGATGGGGTTTCACCATGTTGGCCAGGCTGGTCTCAAATTTCTGACCTCAGATGATCCTCCCACCTCAGCGTCCCAAAATGCTGGGATTACAGGCTTGAGCCACCATGCCCAGCTGAAGAAGGTGCTTTTATTTTCCTTCAATTTACTGGTGAAGAAACTCAATCTCAGAGAGACTGAACAACTGACTCAAGGTCAAAAAGTTCATAAGTGATAAATAGGAACACTGGAAGTTTTATCATATTTCATACAGACCTGGTCTAAAAACTGAGCTGAAAATTTAATTCCACCATAACTATTTATGCAGTTAGTCTGATGCAGTGATCTGTTAAAGTGGTGGACAGATTCTAATGTGGCTTTCCATAATAACTGCCTCCTGGTGTTCAGTGCCTAGTGAACTAGGCACTCCTGGTGTTCAGTATAGGCAGGACCTATGACTTGCTTTTAACCAAGAGAATACGGCAAAGAATGCACACCGTATATGACTGTCAAGCTTATCTTGTTGGAGTCTTTCTCTCTCTTGCAGGCTTGGTGAAGCAAGCGGTTATATCGGAGGTCCACATGGCAAGGAGCTGAAGATAACTTTTGGGAGCCGAGTGTGGCCCCCAGTTGATAGCTGCCACAAGGGATGGAGACTCACAGTCATATAGCTGCAGGGAACTGAATGCTGCTGACATCCAAGCGAGCCTTGAAGTGGCTCTTCCCGGGTTGAGTTTCCAGATGGAAACTCAGCCCTGAACAATACTTTGATTGCAGCCTTGCAGCTGGGCTTGACCTCCTGACCCTGAAAAACTGTGAGATGGTAAGTGTGTGTTGTTTTAAGCTACTAAGTTTGCAGTAAAGTTGTTACACAGCAATAGATAACTAATACAGTTATGGTTTTTATTTATTTTATTCTTGTTATCATCATCCTAATAGTTATTATTTAAAATATCCTTCTAGGATGGGCATAGTGGCTCACACCTGTAATCCCAGCTCTTTGGCAAGCTGAAGTGAGGATTGTTTGAACCCAGGAGTTTGAGAGAAGCCTGAGCAACATAGCAAGACCTCACCTGTACAAAAAATAAAATGCAGCCAGGTGTGGTAGTGTACGCCTGTAGTCCTAGCTACTCCACAGCCTGAGTCAGGAAGATCATTTAAGCCCAGTAGTTCAAGGCTGCAGTAATCTCTGATTGTGCCACTGCACTCCAGCCTGGGTGACAGAGCAAGACCTCGTTTCTAGAAAAATATAAATAAATAAAATAACCTTCTATTAGGCTAAGTGACCTTATGGGAAACAATTAGAGATGCAAAGCATTAAGTGAACACTAGAGACAACAGAATCCCAGATGACAGACGAAACAGCACTTGATCTCCTAAACTCAGTTCCAGCATCCTCAGTGCCTTCAGCTCTCCCTCACCAAGGAGTGGCTTCCAGTTCCCTCATGCAGCCCCTTTGCCAAACATTGCACAGCCTGCCGATGTCCCACTGGAAATGCTTCAGCCAGAGCAGAATGCATGTTCCACAGAGTAGGATGCTTTCTTCCTGCCACAGACTCTCCCCTCTTTGGTAAAATGCATCGCCAATTTCTCTGAGGAAACTTACCACTCTCAGTTCATATAGTTTAGGTGAGGTGTGGGATGAGTCGGCATGGGCTCTGGTCATGTTGCATGTCCTATTTTCTATAGCCCCAGGCAGGCCAGTGGGATTTTTCCCTAGGACCCCTGCTGGACCTGCTTGGAAAGGGGCACTTATTCTTTTTGCAAGGACTGCTATCTTCCATGAGGTCCCTGCCAGTGTAGGAGTTGCCAGGAGTCATGATGTGCAGAAAGTGAGCCAGCATCGGGGTGATGCCAGTGGAGGGAAGCAGAGTTTAGGGAAAGAACAAGAGTCATCATATTCCAGTGACCAATCCATGCGGCCTGAGTGAGTCCAAGCCTAGACTTTTCACCTATATCGATACATTTCCTTTTGTGCTTAAGCCAGTTTGAGAATGTCATCCATTCCTAGCCATAGAAAGAGGGCACTGGCACACATGTGCTGAAGGTTAGCCATCATCTTAGATAACAATTATTCCATAGAGACATCACAACATTTTTTCTTTTTCTTTCTTTCTTTTTTTTTTTTTGAGTTGGAGTCTCGCACTGTCTGTCACTTGGGCTGTAGTGCAGTGGTGCGATCTCGGCTCACTGCAACCTCCACCTCCCAGGTTCAAGCGATTCTCCTCAGCCTCCCGAGTAGCTAAGATTACAGGCGCCCACCACCATGCCCTGCCAATTTTTTTTTTGTATTTTTGGTAAAGACAGAGTTTCACTGTGTTGGTCAGGCTGGTCTCGAACTCCTGACCTTGAGATGTGCCCATCTTGGCCTCCCAAAGTGTTGGGATTACAGGTGTGAGCCACTGTGCCCGGCCATCCACAACTTTTAACTTAGACATTGACACAGGATGGCACGGCTATTTCCATCAGACATGTAATGCTGCCAACCCACAAAACTAATGGTAATAATACCTACCATGTGTTGAAGGCCAGCATCGTGCCAGGTAAAGATCATCCTCTTTTGTAAGTTATCTCATTGAAACCTCCAGAACCATGTGAGAAATGATGAGAACGACAGGCAGCCATTGTTGGCACCTGCTGTGCATCAGGGTCCTTGTTCAGCCCTTTACACACAGGATCTCATTAACTTCCCACCAACTGTCTTACAAAGGGGGTGACAACTTCATCTTCACTATAAGATGAGGTAGATTGCACACTTTGTTTCTGCTAAAGCACTTCCAATTTTCTCATAAACACCGAGACCAAGTATCTCTGTGGCCACACAAGGTCCTCGTGTAAAAGCTGGAAGGAATGACCATCCCTATCTGTCTCCAGGGCATCTGGGCTGAGGGCAGCCCTGGAGGGAAGCACTGAGGCAGAGAGGGCTGCATCTGCACATCTGTATCCTGAGATATTTGTTGATGGAAGAGCTGAAATGTTGGGCAGCACACACTTCTTGACCCAGCAGCCCTTCTAGGACAGCTGGTTCAGAAGTTGGGGGATTAGTGTTAGGAATGGCAATACAGGGATCTCTGCCTTGGACAGCATGAAGTGGCTGATGCTGTCTGTAAATACACCTGTGTTCATTCTTTACCTCCAGGATGCCCCAGGTGCTGTGTAGGGGCCTGGAGTTAGGAAATGAGGACTTAATCTCTGTGGCCTTTCCAGGGCTCATTTTGGATATTGGGGGCTGTATATACTCATCTCTGAACTTTTTTTTTTTTTTTTTTTGGAGACAGAGTCTCTCTCTATCCCTAGTCTGGAGTATAGTGGTGCGATCTTGGCTCACTGCAATGTCTGCCTCCCAGGTTCAAGCAATTCTCATGCCTCAGCCTCCCGAGTAGCTGGAATTACAAGCACCTGCCAATATGCCCGGCTAATTGTTTGTATTTTTAGTAGAGACAGTGTTTCGCTATGTTGGCCCGGCTAATTGTTTGTATTTTTAGTAGAGACAGTGTTTCGCTATGTTGGCCAGGCTAGTCTTGAACTCCTAACCTCAGGTTATCTGCCTGTCTCCGCTTCCCAAAGTGCTGGGATTACAGGCATGAGCCACCGCGCCCGTCCTCTGAATTTCTTTCTGGCTCTGGAATGCAAAGAGAATGGATCTTTATAGGGCAGTGCAGGTGGATGAGGCTGAAGGGGTCTCGAGGATCAGATTATGAAGAATTTTGGATGCCAGGCTTAGGACTATCAGGAAGAACCTCATTCCAGGAGCTTCTCACATCTTATCTTACTGTGTCCTCATAGCAACCTCAAAGGGTAGATGTATTAGTCAGCTTTCACACAGCAACAAATAATCCCCAAATGTCAGTGATTTATAACAGTGGATTCCAAGCCTGAGCCTGCATCAGAATTACCTAGAGGCCTTTTTAAAACACAGATTGCTGGGCCCAACCCCCAGAGTTTCTGATTAAGCAGGTTTGGATGAGGACTGAGAATGTGCATTTCTCCAAATTTCTAAGTGACGTTGATACTGAGGGACCATGCCTTGAAAACCACTGGTTTATAACAATAGACATTTCTTTCTCACTTACAGCCCTACGGGTGGGCCATGGTGCTCTGCTCTGGGCTGTGGATGGAGTCCAGGACTGCTCCACCTGTTTCTCACTCCAGAACTCAGGCTGAATGAGCAGTGGCTACTCAGGCATGATCTAATCACGCATGGCAGGAGCATAAGAGGCCAAGCTAAACCAGTCATGCACATTTAATGCCTCTCTTTTGATTGGTGTATGTCTCATCTCGTTGGCCAATGCAAGTCACAAGTCTAAGGCCAGCATCTATGGGAGTGGGGAAATATAGTTCTATTGAGTCAGTGGGAAGGAAGAGTAAATATGCAATTTATAAGGTAGATGCTCTTTTTCCATTAGGCATATGAGAAAATTGAATCTCAGAGAGGCTAACTGACTTGTCCAGCATCACGTGAATGGCAGAACTGACATTTGAAACTGGAGCCTGTTTGAATGGCAAGGTGAGACTGAGGTGGGGGGTGAGTGGGCTGCTGGTTGCTGATGGCGGGCTTCCTTCTGGATCCTTAGGAGGCCATGTTGAGAAAAGAGCAAGTAAGTGCAGGATCCAGACACACCTGAAATGAAATCTTGATTCTATCAGCTGCATGAGCTGGGCAGTCACTCACCTCTTTGAGCTTTGATTTTCCATTTGGGGTGAACAAGGGTAATAATTCAAAGTTCACAGCATTGTAATAAGAATTAGGTATAGTGCAGGCAAAGTAATTCAGAAGGTTCCCTCAAGAGAAAACACTTGACATTTTAAAAGAATGAAGCAGATAGTGAAACTAACCAACAATAGAAGAGATATTATTTTGTGTTGAGGGTTCAGAGGTACTGTGTAATCCTCTCCCCACTGGTCCTATAGGAATCCATCTGCTCAGAAGACCGGCCAGTTGGTCTTTCACAGAAAGAGCCTCACTCCATTCTTCCCTGTAGATTGGACTGGGTGAAGAAGTTGTCTTTTCTGAGCCTTGGGTCCCAGACAAATCTCTGAAGAACTGGGACCCCAGAATGCCTGGCTTTGCATTTTCTCAGGCATTGTGCCATCTGTATTTCCCCAGGATTGGGTAGATGGCCTGATACTTAGTATATGCTCAGCAAACACTATGTGAATTGCATTCTTACTCATCCTTACAACCTCCGTTCTCTCCCTGAAAATGGAATCCTGGGCATCTTTCAGCTATGTTCCATGAGCCTTTAGTGCATTTATTTTTTCCTTGGCATGCTTTGTACTGAAAGCTATTTTCTTTCCTGTCATCCCCTATCAAGTTAGTGAGACCAGAAGTCTGGGCCATTGTGATTATGGATGTACCAGGGCCTGGGCAGGATGACAGCTTTGTATTCTTATTGTCATGCTCTTTCCATTGTACCAAGCCTGGAGAAGATGCCACAGTGTGTTCATTCATTCATTCCTTCATTCCTTCATCATCTCTTCATGCTGGCAACACACATATGCTATTACGGTTATTGCCCATTTGGCATCCTTCCCTAGCCTGATTGTGAACTCCAATTAAGAGAAGGCTTATAAGCAGCCATGTGGACTCAATTGCAGTATCACTGAACTCCTGCCACATGCCAGCCATGGCCATGCATCCTAGTTTTTGCCTTTCCTGCATCCATTTCCTCTTTTTCTGGCAATAGTTCACTGGCGGTTCACTCCTGAAACCTTCTTCCCCTACTCTCAGAACATGTTTTGTGGATGGAGTGAATAAACACTCCTGGCTTTTGAGGCTGAGCTTGTGACCTGAGCCTGGCCCGTCAGGGCATCATATCCTTCTGGTTGTAAGTGATGCTTTGACTATGGGCACATGGCCTGACTCAGGCCAATCAGAGAAAATAGGACCCACCACTGTGGAGTTTGTTGGAAACATAGGGAGTAGGCTTAGAGTTGTGAGCAGCCATCTTGCTACCATAAGGTGAAAACCTGAGAATGGAACAAACATAGAAGGCAGAAGCAACATGGGGAAAATGAGACTGAGTCTGGGAAACAGTGCTTGAGATCTGGGGTGAGCCAGTGAGACTGACTTACTTTCTTTTCCTTCCTTCCTTCCTTCCTTCTTTCCTCTCTTCCTTCCTCCCTTCCTTCCTTCCTTCCTTCCTCCCTCCCTTCCTTCCTCCCTTCCTTCCTTCCTTCTTTCTTCCCTCCCTCCCTTTCTTTCTCCCTCTCTCTGTCTCCTTCCTCCCTCCCTCCCTCTCTCCTTCCTTCCTTTCTTCCCTCTTCCCCTTCTTTCCTTCCTTCCGTCTTCTCTCCTTTCCCTCCCTCCTTCCTTCCTTTCTTACCTCTTCCCTTTCCTTCCTTCCTTCATTTCCTTCCTTCCTCCCTTTTCTCTTTTCCTCCCTCTCTTCCTTCCTCCTTCCCTCCCTCCCTCTCTACCTCTCTCCCTTTTCTCCTTTCCTCCTCCCTTTTCTCCTTCCTTTCTCCCTCCCTCCCTCCCTCCCTCTCTCCCCCTCTCCCTTTTCTCCTTTCCTCCTCCCTTTTCTCCTTCCTTCCTTCCTTTCTTCCCCTCTCCCTCCCTCCCTCCATTCCATCCTTTTCTCCCTTTCTTCCTTGCTTCCATCCCTCTTTTTTTTTTTTGAGACAGAGTCTCGCTCTGTCGCCCAGGCTGGGGTGCAGTGGTGCGATCTTGGCTCACTGCAAGCTCTGCCTCCCGGGTTCACGCCATTCTCCTGCCTCAGCCTCCCGAGTAGCTGGGACTACAGGTGCCTGCCACCACACCTGGCTAATTTTTTGTGTTTTTAGTAGAGACCGGGTTTCACCATGTTAACCTGGATGGTCTCGATCTCCTGACCTTTTGATCCACGTGCCTTGGCCTCCCAAAGTCTCTTTCCTTTCTTACTTTCACTGGTATGGATGCATATGAGCAGAATAACATAAATATATTCTCATTTGACAGACTATCTGTGTACCAGTGATTGTGCTGGACCCTGGGGACATGATGATGGCTAAATAGAGATGTCCACTACCCTCTGGGGCCTTGGTCTGATAAGGAATAGAGATGATATGCAGGATACACACACAATCACAGCTGTGTCTGGTGCTTAGGAGGAGAGATGTCAGAGGGTCATTTACCAGGGGCTTTGACTCAGTCAGGTGGGTCTCTCTAAGGCAAGGTACTCAGCCGGGGTGATTTTGCTCTCCCAGAGGATACTTGGCAGTGTGTGGAGTTATTTTTGGTTGTCATATTTGGAGAGAGGTGATGCCACTGGCATCTAGGGAGCAGAGACTAGGGATTCTGCTAAATATCCTACAATACACAGCATAGCCTCCTATGACAAACAATTATCTGTCTCAAAACGTGGATAGTGCTAAGGTCGAGCAACTCTGTTTTAAAGCAACAGAGGCTGAGATGAGAATTGAAAGGTAAGACATTAACAAGGCAAGGGGACTTAGAGTGTTTCAGTCAGAGGAAACCCAAAGGGCAAAGGCTCAGCCAAAGACAATAAAGAGTGGCCAGGTGTTAGATGGTGCAGGTGAGGTTGGAAGTCAGTGAACATACAGGACTCCTAAATGTAGTTAAGTATTTTGGTCATCAATCTAAGATCTCTTTGAATATACTAAGAAAGAGGTGATAGCAGTGACAGGATATTATTTGCATTTCAAAAAGTCCTCTGTGGCTGCATCATGGAAAGTCGATTAAAGTGAAGTACAGTAATATGGATAGACCAGCCATGAGGCTATACCATGATTCTAGGTGAGACAGGAGTGTTGCTTGGACCATAGTAATCTTGGTAGAGTTGGAAATAGGTAAAAACTGTTGAAAGCCAACTAAGAGTTAAGATATGTGGGGCATAGCAGTGGATTGGATATACGGAGTTGGTGTAAGAGAAAGAGATATTACCCATGGCTCGGTGGTTCCAATGCAAGATGGGTGGACAAAAGTGTCATCAGCCAAAATAGGAAACACTAAGTTTGCACAAGAAGCTCATTAGTTAAGTTTTGGCCATTTGAGTTTGAGGTGTTGTGTTGATTTTCAAGGTGTATCCAAAATGCATTGATATTTCTCCCATTAAGAGGTAGAGGATAGTATCCCTCCCCTTCATTGTGGATGGACTTAGTTTCTAGTGACTTGAATATGGGAGGAGTGACAGGATGTTAAGTATGAAACAAGGTCGTAAAATGACTGTGGCTAGGTCGCATGGCTATATGACTAGGCTATGGCTATGGGATTAGGTTATAAAATGATTGCACCCTGGGTGCAATCTTGCCTTCTCTCTTGAGTCACTCAGTCAGCTGCTATATCATGAGATAGCCCAAGAGACAGGGAAGCCAGACAGCAAGGTGTGAGGATATTTAAGCAGCTCATAAAGAGGCCCATGTGATGAGGAACTGAGGCCTGTTCATGGCCTGGAAACAGGTCATCCCCAGTCAAGCCTTGAGCTGACAGTTGACTGTAGCCCCAGGTGACTTATTGAGGACAGCCTTAAGAGATACCAGAACCACTCAGCTCAGCCACAGTTGGATTCCTGACCCACAGAAACGATGAGATAGTAAGTGTTGCCTTACATATCTAAGTATTAGATAATTTGTTATACAGCAATTGAAAACAAACACAGAGGCCTTTGAAACACTATAATGGCTAAGGCTATAAAGCATATCTCAGTGTCATCTAGAGTTTTGACAAAATTCCTCTTGATATTTTTGCAGATATGATTATAAAATATGGGATGAATAAGAGTACACACTTAGCAATGGCATTGTAGAACAATTTATCTCAAAATGCAGGCAAATTCATGCCAAAGAGAAAGGTGGCTTGGTCCTTAGTCCTATCCTATTCAGCAATGATCTATGATGTTTCCTGGATAATTATGCAGAAGGCAGACTGGGAACATCTGAAGATGTTACTACTGAAAGCTGAAAGTGAGGGCTGATTTGCTACATAATCCTCAAAAGAGGCTAGAAAAATGAAATGAAAACTTTCAATGGTACAAGACAATTTCATTGACATTGTCTTACTTA
The DNA here is from genome assembly GCF_000001405.40 of Homo sapiens. Classification (NCBI taxonomy): domain Eukaryota; kingdom Metazoa; phylum Chordata; class Mammalia; order Primates; family Hominidae; genus Homo; species Homo sapiens. The sequence goes on from NC_000008.11 coordinate 133,717,960, forward strand.
ATCTTAAAAAAATTACATTCTATTATTAAGATGAAGAAACCAAAATCAAGCCATTTGTTTAAAGTCATATAGACAATGAGTGAGGACCACAACTCCAATCCATGCCCTTCGGCTCCTGGCCCACCCTTCTTTTCACCACACCAGGGCTCCCTGATGGCAGAATCAGGGCCATGAAGGATTTTAAGAGGCTGGAAGGAAAATGGACCAAAAAGTTTATGTTTATCTCCTCAAAGTGCTTGACTCTGTAGGACTGGGCTGTCTAATATACTAGCCACTCAGCATATGTGGCCATTTAAGTTTAAATTAATTACGATTATAAAATTGAAAATTCAGTCCCTCATTTGCACCAGCTGAATTTCAAGGGTTTGATAGCCACGTGCGGCTGCTGCCTTATGCACTGGAGCACGCAGATACAGAACATTCCCATCATCGTAGAAGATTCCATGGGAGAGCATTGCTGGACTGAAATACTGCTCTTTGTTGAGTGGAGGCAAGTTCACTGGTTTTTGGGTTTTTTTTGCTACTGAAGGACAACTGTGGAGTGACAGGAATGGGGAAGCTGATGAATACAAAACATCAGCTAAAATGGGAAGGAGTGAGTGTGTGACGGAGGGGTGAGCCAGAGGGGCTGCCAGGAATGACAGGCATCAAGCAGGGTTGAGCGTGATAAAATGGGAGTGCATTGCTATACGTGCCCCATACCCTGTTCTCATGACATCACAGAGGGACTTCACCTAAAGGAACGTTTCCAGCCCCTCTCTGCCCTGCCCCTCTTTTCCCCAGTCCCCTTTCCTTCCTGGCTGTCAAAGAGAGATGGTAGAAAAATACATTTGATTGGGAGAGTGGCTAAAAGCTGACATCTGTTTATACTTTAGTCCAGGCTGTTGATCTGGGTGACATTTATTGTACTGGGCCCCTCTCTCTTCCTCTTTCTTTCTCTCTCTCTTTCCCTCTGTCTTCTTATTGCCTCTTAACACACATAAAGTAGGGATTCTCTCTCCCCACTGCAAGTGAGTATAAATATCTGCTTTGCAGGCTTTCCTAAGTCCTTGGGAAGACAGAAGATCTTAGATCACCTGATTATGCCTACAGATCCCAGCTATGTCTTCTGGTTTTGTTTTAGTAGAGTTATTGTTGATCTAATCTCCACCTTTCTGGCCGCTGTGCATATTTCTTAATTGGTCCTAAACTTGGAGGAGGGGTACAGGAGTCATGAGTTGTCACTCTTGAATCTCAACAGTGATTAAAGTGGAATTTGAGAACATTGGTCTCCCTTGCCTATTGGATCCACTTTAATGCTATTTAAGAGATGAAAGAACAAAATCATAATACCAAATTACTATCAGTTTTTTGACTGTTTTTTTGAATGTCATCGCCTCAATCCAGAGTCACATAGGATATCAGGATATACTGGGTTACCCTTTGAATATGATAGTGCTTTCTAGTACAGAGAAGTGGGCTGAAGTGGATCTGGTCCCTGCGGCTCTTGGAAGATGTCTCTCCAAGGCTTTTGTTTCTTCAGGATTAGAGGAGAGTGTTTAGCAAGGAATTAAGGAGGCTTTAAGGGGAGGCTTTATGAAAACTGGTCCAGAATCCCAGATAGAAAAACAAAACAAAACATTTTTCTTGGAAAATACTTTGGAACTGAGGATATAGCACTGTTCAGACTGCATTATCCAAAATGTTCTGTGTTCTTCACGGAGTAGGACACTGAGGCTGAGAGAGGTGACAGTGACACTAATAATTAAAGCCACAACTAAACTTGATTGTGCGTTTACTCCACAGTAAGTGCCTCTCTAAGAACTTTCCTTCCATGACCTTATAGAATCCTTACAACAATGCTTTGAAGTAGGGATTTGTATTGTTCCCACTTTAGAGATGAGGAAATTGAAGCATATGGAGAGTTTCAGTAACTTAAAGTTTTTCAGCCGGTAAGTTAGGAAGCTGAGATGTGAACTTAGGTGTCTTTAATTCCAAAGCCAGCTCGGAGACACTGTTGGTTATGCCATAGGTAACCAAGCTGATGCCAGTCATCAGTACAACCACTCAACAAATAGGGCCATTAGCATTTATTGAGAGCCACTCACCTCAGGTGAATCAGCAGTGGTTAGTGTTCCCAGGAATTTTTCTGTCTAGTGGCAAAGACAGACAACGTAAAAGCATAATCAAAACACCTCCTCATTTTGTAGGTCAGGTACCTGCAGCCAAGAAGGAGGAGCCAAGCTGCCCAAGACCCACAGTTGGTGGGTCCCTAAAGGGCCAAGCTACATCTGAGGATGGGACAAGACTGAGTCAAGAGAGGAGTTTAGGGGGCTGAAGAAAAGGAGGCTCCCCCCGCTGCAGGTGCTGCCCATGCACTTGTGCAACTCTGAGAACAATGCCTCCTTAACTTTTTACCTTTGGCGATGAGACACTGGGATTTAAATTGTGGCCGCAGCACTTAAGCCTCACCCCAGTCCTGGCCCTGACTACAGCCCAGATCTCTGACTTCAGGAGTCACCCCATAGCCTGTGTTCTCACAGCATGATTCTTTGCCAAATCTTTATTCTGTTTTACATTTTTTTCCCAACAGACTTTTACAGAGATTTTATTAGGTGTGATATAAAACACCTTCTGGGATTTCTAAGGCAGTTATCAACCAGCTCATAAGCTCTAGAGCTGGGGGCTCTGCATCACCCATGTGTCCTGAGCATGAATTGTTTCTTTAATACTGAATTTTAATTATTCTGAGACTCTGGGGATTGTACGACTCATCCTATTTTTGGAGATGTTAAAGTGTTCAAAACAGTAAAAGCCTGTCAGAGAATCAGTGAAATAGAGTAAGAAGTACATGTTCACTGCCTCAATTGAGCCCCTTTTACATGGAACAACTGATTCTCAGTGAGTCCAAGGGTCTCATTCGAGGTCACAAGGTTAATCAGAGCAGAGCTGGCCCTGAAACCCAGGCTTCTGTCTCCTGACCTGAATCATACCTGATCCCAGAATTGTGACTGTTAACTACTGGGCTTGATATCATATATGAGTCTCTTTTTTGGGGGCATTCAGGGATTCTCACTGAGGAGGAGCGATGGGTGCAGGGGCAGGAAAGATAGATTTATTCTGTTCCCAGGCCATTTCGCATGAAACCAAAGTTTATTATAACCTTAATTTTGACAATCTTGGAGTTTTATGGGAAAGGAAGAGGTGGGCGGCCATAACTTAAACTACCCCCCACCCTGTTTATTTTCCCCTCTCTTTTTCCTGTTTTCATTGTTTTCTTTCCCTTCAGCACTGTGCAGTTGCTTGCTGATGTGGTTTGGCTGCATCCCCACCCAAATCTCATCTTGAATTGTAGCTCCCACAATTCCCATGTGTCATGGGAGGAGCCCAGTGGGAGGTAATTGAATTATGGGAGCAGGTCTTTCCCCTGCTGTTCTCATGATAGTGAATAAGTCTGATGAGATCTGATGGTTTTATAAAGGGGAGTTCCCTTGCACAAGCTCTCTTGCCTGCCACCATGTAAGATGTGACTTTGCTCTTCCCTCATCTTCTGCCATGATTGTGAGGCCTCCCTAGCCATGTTGAACTGTGAGTCCATTAAATCTCTTTCCTTTATAAATTACCCAGTCTCAGGTATGTCTTTATGAGCAGCATGAGAGCAGACTAATACACTTGCCGGCCAGGCAGTGGAATGTGTGCAGGGGAAAGTGCCATCAGACCCCTCGGGCACTAGCACCACAAGGGCACGCTTGCTCTCAGACTCACCTCACTGACCCTACCTTGGGTTTTTACAAAGAACCAGAACAGTAAACAAAGGGAAGCATTCCATGAGTCTTTAAAAGGCACTTTTTAAAAAGTCAGCAAAAATCAAGTAAGTTGTAACAAGGTTTGATAAACAACCCATCTTCATTTATAAGTAGGAGAAGTCAAAGATCATAACTATTTTGTGATGTTTACTCTAAACTATTCAAATATTGGCACTACACTCAGACTGTGGAAGGGAGAGAGATAAATAAATACCCATTCCTGCCTTCTACAGCCTCACAATTCTTACTGGGGAGAAAACCATCATCATTACAAAGCAGAATGGAGTGAGTGTTAATTAGAGGTGTGAGAGGAATGGGCAGATGGAAATGTTTTGTGGAGGAAATAACTCGGGTGTAGAGTCAGGCAAAGTCTATCTCAGTCGTTAGCTCTCTGAGTAACATTAATGAGATCTTCAAGCCCTCTGGGCCTCAGTTTCCTCCCGTGTAAACTGGGAACATTATGTATAGCCTATAGGCTGTTTGAGAATTAAATGAGCTCACATGTGTAATTGTTCTCGACATAGCAGAGGTTCTCAAAACATTAGTTTCTTCCTTTCCCATTTTCCTCCCTCTAAAATTCTATAGATACTCTCCATCCCTCAGTTCCATGCTCTTTGGTCCCTATGAAAGTTTAGGTTCCCCAGTCATAGTGCCTGAGAGAAGGTCTTGGGTATAGATAGTCTATCTTTGAGGTAGCACCAGGAAGCAAGGGTGAAAGAACAGAGAGGATGAGACAGAGAAAGAGAAAATCTAACATGAAGTTATACTTCTGTCATTATAGACCTTTATTTTGTCAGTGCAGTTGCCTCTGCTTGGATTTCCTGACCTAAGGATGAAATTCTTCCAACTTCCGTTGCAGCTGGAAATGCCATGGTAATGGATGTAATTGCTGGGCTGGCAGCAGCCATCTTGCAACCATGAGGCAACAAGCATGTGTCAATATGTAAGGATGGCAGAGAAAACAACTAGAAGGCACTTGGATCTATGATGTCATGGTCGAACAGCCAAACCCACACTAGCAGTTCCACACCTCTAGGCCTCTCCCCATGTGCAAACATTAAACCCCTGTTTGTTTAATTTCAGCCAGTTTTCTGATATCAGCCTGGGAGCATATTCCTGACTGACATATCCTTATGAAAACAGGGACTGTGGCTCTGTTGATCCAGTGGTGCTTTCGTGAGCACCTAGAATAGCACAGAGCACCCAATTGGTACTCAGCAAATGGTGCTATTATAATCTCATGGTGCGGCTGTGACTCCAGTCTGAGAGGCATTTCCTGTTTCCCAGGCTTATCTCCACCAAGGGGCAATGGCATCTGCAGGGGTGACTTCTGCAGTCAGATTTTATCCCAAGCCAATTATCCTCTAGCCTTTAACTCAATTTCTCCCTAGATGACATTCATGATCTTGTCAGCCTGTCCCAAAGGCCCTGGAATGTCCTGGAGCAATATCCCAGAGCGTGAGTCATGGACTTCTCCCTCATGACCCTTCCTGGTGTCTCTAAGTGAGATGCTGGTCCTGGTCAATCTCAGATTCAGAAACTATTTCCAGAGTGATATCAACCCAGGCTTTCTCTTCTGGGGCTGCAGAGGGAATGAGTAGGGTCTCATAGAAGTAGAGCTGGAAAGTATTGGGACCAGACAACCAGGCCTCTTAGTCACATACTCCAGGGACATCATTCCCCCTGTATTGCTGTCAGTGGTACCAGTGGAGTTGTGCCGTTCACGACCTGCACTGCTGCATGGGCTGCATGAAGAAGCCCTGCTGGCTGCACAGCTGCAAGACCTCTAGATGCTGCCATGTCCCACCAGCTTTTTATAAAGAGGACACTGAACAGCAGAGAGGTTGAGTATATCTTCCCAAATAGCATCCCAATACATAGCTAGTATATAGGGAAGTATATCTTCCCATATGCTATAAATGTATATATCATATTACAAATATAAATGCATATTCATATAATTGTATATTCAGTTAGAGAAAAAAAAGACTGGAAGAAAATAGTTAAACCAGGTTGCAGGATCATGGATGAATTTGCTGCTTGAGATCACACAGCACTTAAGGAATAGAGCCTGGACTTTATTTTTATTTATTATTATTATTTTCTCAGACAAAGTCTCACTCTGTTACCCAGGCCAGAGTGCAGTGGCTTGGGCTCAGTTCACTGCAGCATTAACTTCCTGGGCTCAGGTGATCCTCCCACCTCAGCCTCCCAAGTAGCTGGGACTACAGGTGTGTGCCACCACACTCAACTAATTTTTTATTTTTAGTAGAGACGGGGTTTCGTCATGTTGCTAAGGCTCATCTCGACCTCTTGGGCTCAAGTGATCCTCTTTTCTTGGCCTCCCAAAGTGCTAGAATTACAGGCATGAGCCACCACACCATGCCCTAGACTGGATTTTAAAATAATCTGTCTGGGGGCTCAAAGGCCTTTGACCTACAGGAGCCCACCTGATCTGGCACCTGCTGCTTGTTGGGACAGGCCCACTCATGGTGCTGGGTCATACCAGCTGCTTGGCTGTTGTCTAGTTGTTTGAGCTTGTCCTGCCTCAGAGTTTTTGCACTAGCTCTTTCCTCTGCCTAGGATGTTTTTCTCCCCTCTTGCCAGTCAAGTTTTGTTTCAAATGTCCATTTTTCAAAGAGGAGTTTCCTGACTATCCAGTCTAAGATAGCCTCCGTGACTCTGCAAATCACTTCCACATTAGGTTTCTCTATTTAGCATCTGTTTGAAGCCACCTTATCTCTGTGTTACTGTCTCTCTCCTGTGAGAATGTTAGCCCCATGAGCTCTGTCTGCTCTTTCTCCATTATTTTCCTGGCACCCAGCACTTACCATATACTGGGTGTTTAGTACTATTTTAGGTTTAATAAATTAAAGGGTTGGAATTGGGATTCTTGTAGCAATCCATCTGACTATAAAGCCGACACCCTTTCCCCGCATTAGGTTGAAAGCAGTAATGGCCAAATGGGGAGAACAGAAAAGCATGGCTTGGCTCAAGCCATGAAAATCAGCACACGGTGCGAGCTTTCTATATGCCAGGCCGTATCTCAAATTTGTTGACACAAGTGATCTCATTTATTCTCTCAGCAGCTCAGTGAAGCAGATACTATTATTTCCTTCATTTTACAGATGGTAAAACTAACCCCCAAGGAACTAAGTGATCACATAAATAAGATTATATGGCTAATATGTGGCAGGGTCAGGATTTGAAGCCAGGCAGTACAGTTGTAGATCCCAGGCCTTCAACCATTGTGCTATCTTACCTGTCTAGGCAGAAAGAGAATCACTGATATCACTTCACTTACATCCTCTGCAAAATATGAGGTTAGACTTGTTGTCAATGAAAGTTTGGAGCCTAGTAGAGAGTGAAGGATTAATTGTAGTCATGACCAACTTTGTCCAGGCCTCCCTGTTATCTCACCTACTGGGGATGCCCCTCCCTTGCTCATGCCTTCCCACACTGACCCTGGGCTTGCCCCATAGACGTGCTATAGGGCAGTGGCAAACACCCATCAAGCATGTGCTGACACCACCATGTGAATGAGCCTATGCGAGTTTGCTGGGGGATGAGAGGCCAGATGGGGCAGAGATGACTCATCCACACTAAGGCTGTTCTTGACCAGGCAACCCCCAGCCAGGAGACCGGCTGATCGCTGCTGCTAAACGAGTCCAGCCAGATCAGCTGAGCCTGCTGCCCAGCAAAAGAACTCCCCAACTAAGTCCAGTTCTAAATTGCCAGGCTACAGAATCATGTGCTACAGAAATACTTGTTTTAATCTACTAAGTTTGAGATGATTTAGCACACAGTAGAAACTAACTGATACAAAGGCTGAAGGGATTGCCAAATATAATTATGCATTTAATCCTCCCAACAGCCCAGAGGCAGATATATTATCTCCATTTTGCAGATACGGAGAAGGCAAATAACTCTCCCAGCTAGTCAGTGGTGAAGCTGAGATTTAAATCCAAGCAGTCTGATTCTAAAATTTGTCTTTTTAACCTCTATACTATATTGCCTTTCAAAGACTCATTGAGTCTGTAATCCCAGCAATTTGGGTGGCAGAGACAGGTAGATAACTTGAGCTCAAGAGTTTGAGACCAGCCTGGGCAACATGGTGAAACCCAGTCTCTACCAAAAATACAAAAAAATTAGGCAGGCAGGGTGGCGTGCGCCTGTAGTCCCAGCTACTCAGGAGGCTGGGGTGAGAGGATCACTTGAGACTACAAGGTGGAGGTTGCAGTGAGCAGAGATCCTGCTGCCACTGCACTCCAGCCTGGGTGACACAGTGAGACCCTGTTTCAAAAAAAAAAAAAAAAAAAACTAATTAAAATCTGACCATTTGTCAAAAACTATGCTAATTTCTGGGTATATGAAAACAAATAAAACAAGGTCTTTTACTCATAAATTTATACACATATATGTGAATACATATATTTAGAGAAAGAGCTATTAGTCTTCATGTAGAAATAATTTATATAAATTAATAAGAAAAAATCACAAAGAAAAATGAGTAGAGCAGAGGCATTTATTTTAAAAAAGCATGTTTACAAAAATGTGTTAACCACATCAGAAAGAAAGAGAAGCAAATTAAAGTAGGAATGAAAAATCATTTTACACCCATGAAATTGGCATTTTAACCAAGAGTAAATAAATTAAAATATTTAATTCTTCTGGTGGGAATGTAATAATTTGGCAAGAGTTTTAAATGTTTTCATGGTAAATGTAATTCTAAACAAAGAAAATAAAGATACAGAGACATACATCACAGTTATTTTTAAAATAGTAAATAATATCTAATAATAGAGATATAAAATATGTTATAATATATTTTGATGGCAGGCTATTGTGCAGCCATTTAAAATACTATTACATTTATTGCCATAAAAATATGGCCATGTCGGCCGGGCGCGGTGGCTCACGCTTGTAATCCCAGCACTTTGGGAGGCCGAGGCGGGCGGATCACGAGGTCAGGAGATCGAGACCATCCTGGCTAACACGGTGAAACCCCGTCTCTACTAAAAATACAAAAAAAATTAGCCGGGCGTGATGGTGGGCGCCTGTAGTCCCAGCTACTCGGGAGGCTGAGGCAGGAGAATGACGTGAACCCGGGAGGCGGAGCTTGCAGTGAGCCGAGATTGCGCCACTGCACTCCCGCCTGGGCCACAGAGTGAGACTCCGTCTCAAAAAAAAAAAAAAAAAAAAAATATGGCCATGTCATAACTGTGTCTAATATATCTTCCTAAATGTATTATAAATATATACACGATTAGGGAAAAAAGACTGGAAGAAAACACTAAAATGTAACCAGCAGTTAAACCAGGTTTTAGGATCATGAGTGACTTGCACAAAAATCTTCCATGGGACTCCATCCCTGTGTTGCCATTTTCTGTTGTAACAAATTGCCACACACTTAGTGGCTTCCTGCAACACAAATTTATTATCGTATAGTTTTGGAGGTGGTCAGAACGCCAAAAAGGTTTTATGGGCCTAAAGTCAAGGTATGGGTGGGGCTGCCTCCCTTTCTAGAGGCTCAGGGGAAAGTCTGTGTCTCAGCTTTTCCTGCTTTTAGAGGCTGCCTGCATTCTTTGGTACTTGGCTGCATCACTCTGACCTCCCTTCTGTTGTTACTTCTTCTCTGACTCTGACCCTCTCGTCTCCCTCCTATAAGGACACCTGTGGTTATATTGAGCCTTCCTGAATATCCAGGATAACCTCATAATCTCAAGATCCCTACCTTAGTCAAACCCACAAAATCATTTTTGCCATGTAAGGTGATGTATTCATACCTTTTGAGAGTTAGGAAGCAGATCTATTTAAAAGCCATTATTTTGCCTACGCAATCCTCTTCAGGATAAATCCCAGATTTCTGAGAGTAGTGTCACAGCCTCTAAAATTTGGAGTCCCTCCAGTTCTTCCAGCCTTCAGTCCTACTGAATCCATCTCCAGAACATTTGCTATCTTCCTGTAGGCCTCAGCTTCCTACTTTCTTGCCTTTATCTTCTTGTTCCTCCCTGGGAAGTCCCCTACCTTCTCCAAACCCACATCTTATCCTTTCTTCAAGATCCAACTTTACATCTGTAGTAGACAGCAGTGACCATAAAGATACTGCATAACATAACTGCCCTGAAACTCAGTGGCTTAAACCCACGTTCATTCTCATTTATGTTTCTGCAGCTTGGCTGGGGTCAGGTCTGCTCTATGCATATTTCATCCTCCATGGACCAGAGCTGATTTTTGTCATGGTGACGACAGTAGCATGAGAAGAAAGAACCCCACTGTGCAAGCACACTCGTCTCTGGTCTCTATTACGGTCACTAACAACCTACTGGCCAGAGCAAGTCACGTGGTCCAGCCTAACATCAATGGAACAGGGAAATATACCTTGCTTCTAGAAGGAGGTAAAGTACAGTAAATGTTTCATGTGGCTCAGCCTAAAATCAATGAAACAAGGAAATACACTCTGCTCCCAGGATGAGGTAAAAGATAGTAAATATTTGCTGAACAATGATTCAAGTGATCATAAATCCTCCTCCTCTGGGAAGCCTTCTTTGAGTTCCCCAGCTGCAAACTCTTTATTCTTCCTTTGACATCTCACAGCCCTCTAACTCCGCTTTTCTTAGAGCCAAAGGTATTTATCTATAGCATAGTTCATTATCTCTAATAGGGTATGGATACCTATGTATGAGCCACTTGAGGTCTAGACAAGTGGCTGATTCTCGTTTACTACTAAGCCCACCCTTCATCCCACTCCAAGTGTCTGATGCCTACTCAGTAAAGGCCCCAGAACAGAACAACCAGTACCATCCATCTCTTTTCATGAAGCTTCGGTGTAGAAGACCCATCAGGCTCACCTGGGAATTCTCTTATTGCTGGCAGCCAAGCTTGCAATATTTGGGATACTGCATTGGACACACAGGACACATCCATGACTCCCAAGTTGATGGTGCTTTCGTGGTCCTAATTATCAGAGGGATAAGAAAAGCCTGGTCTTTTTTGGCTGAATGGCTTCAGGCTGCATTCTCATGGGCATTTTTTTAAGGAGGGACTTTAAAATAAAAGAGGTGCCTTTTCTGCTTTAAATCCTGTGGAAGCAGATTATGAGAAACACACCTTGGGAACTGCCATCCCAGGGGCCTATCCATGGGTCCATTTAAACTTGGGTTTAAAACGTGTTTCTCACTTTTACACTGTTGGTGGGACTGTAAACTAGTTCAACCATTGTGGAAGTCAGTGTGGCGATTCCTCAGGGATCTAGAACTAGAAATACCATTTGACCCAGCCATCCCATTACTGGGTATATACCCAAAGGACTATAAATCATGCTGCTATAAAGACACTTGCACACGTATGTTTATTGCGGCACTATTCACAATAGCAAAGACTTGGAACCAACCCAAATGTCCAACAATGATAGACTGGATTAAGAAAATGTGGCACATATACACCATGGAATACTATGCAGCCATAAAAAATGATGAGTTCATGTCCTTTGTAGGGACATGGATGAAATTGGAAACCATCATTCTCAGTAAACTATCGCAAGAACAAAAAACCAAACACCGCATATTCTCACTCATAGGTGGGAATTGAACAATGAGATCACATGGACACAGGAAGGGGAATATCACACTCTGGGGACTGTGGTGGGGTCGGGGGAGGGGGGAGGGATAGCATTGGGAGATATACCTAATGCTAGATGATGAGTTAGTGGGTGCAGTGCACCAGCATGACACATGTATACATATGTAACTAACCTGCACAATGTGCACATGTACCCTAAAACTTAGAGTATAATAAAAAAAAAACAAAAACGTGTTTCTTCACCGACAGGGAAATGCCTAACTCTGATTGGTGTGTAGGGCTTTGTTTTAAAAGTTTGCACTCTGTGGCACTGGGATCTGGTTCAGTTTCCCATCAGTTGGATGATCTTGGGCAAGTCGCTGGCTCTGTGAGCTCCAGGTTTTCCATCTGATGAGTTGAGGCCTGGCTGGTCCTGGACACTCACCAGTCAACTGCTGTGCTAGCCCTTGTGTTTAGAGAATACTGTGGGCATTGAAGCGTGAGATTTGCAAAGTGCTTAGCAGCCCAGAGGGTGGGCTCAGCTCACTACCAGACTTTCCCTGTGCACCCACGCTGGGGCTGACCCTGTTGAGGAGTCATGGGTTCTTTCCCCAGTCTGCATGAGCCATTGGAATGTTTCCAGATTTCCTTCTTGCAGGCTGGGCAGGCCTCTTCATTCCCAGCCAATGGGTCAGAACAGCTATAAAATGAAAGAGGACATGGTTTGTGGATTTATACCCTGGAAGCACCTTCTCATATGCCTGCTCCATCAGAGTGGTGTTCTCAGCACTCCCCACGGGGAAAAGCCCACACTGGAGCCTGGGCAGGGGCGGCTGGTGAGGCTTGGAGCCTCACCAAACACTCCCAATGTATTTCCTGGTGAAGTGGAAAATGACATCATTTAAAGAGCGATGCAAAACAAACAGGAAGTTGGAACTGGGATCCATTCCTGCGGAGGAGGGTGGAGGAAGGAGGTTGAGGGGAACGTGACTAATAATAGTATAGTCATGAACATTCATATAGTTCTCTTTGGCTTCCTTTCCCTGCCTCTGTAACAAACTTCCTGAAGCTTAGGGGTGTGGGGGCTGAGTGAAATGTAATTACAGCCAAGAATGGGACACAATCTCAAAGTGACTATCAGACACAGAAATTCATTGATGTTCATTTCCCATCACGTGGCCTTCTTCATGGGTCCGCGTGGACCCTGGCCTCTCCTGTGTACTGGGGACTTCTCTCCTGCACTGCCTCTCACTCTGAGCTGCACAGCACCGTTCCCCTCCCTCCCCATGTTTGTTACGTCTCACTGTTGCACCACAATAAAAATAATCATGATGGGAAGAACAAATGCTTATGAAGCCCTGACAATGTGCTGTGCATATTTTAACCACTTTACATTTATTAGTCATTTAATCCCCACGATTATCTCATGGGGTAGGTCCTATTGTCCCATTTTACACTTGAGGGAACTCAGTAATGCTTCATGTTTTACAATGTAGATTTTATTACTATTCAGGTATGATGAGGCTACAGATCAGAGTGTGATGCCTTTGAAAAGACAGTTCCCAAGAGGAGGGGCACACCAGGCCATGGGGTCTATGGGGGAAGCACTGTGTCTGCCAGTCAGAAGACACAGGGAGTGGGAAAAGAGCCTTCACTGTGGCTTCCAGGGGAAGGAATGGTCAAGCAGGCTTAGGATTGTCGAGTTTGAATACTTTCCATGACTCTGGGGTCATAGAGTTCGACCCTAATTGTCCAGCACCTGTCCCTGGGGTGAGTAGGTCAGGGAAATCATGGCCAAGAGTATGAGAGCAATAGAGCAGGTAAAGTTGTGAGCTCTGGGTTGGCTGGTTTATGTACCCATTTGTAATCGGCAAAAGGGTCCAGCTGCCCATCGCCTGCGGAAAGAAGTCCAAATAATCACAAGTTATGAAAAGACATTGTAAGCTTTCTTTATTACCCATGCCAGCAAGAGGAAGAGTAGAAAGAAATTCCACTCTTTTAATTTGTGAAGGGAGTGCAGGGGTTTTTAAAGAAAGAGTTTGGAATATAGACGAGGCAGGAGGGTGCTAGGAGGTGCCAGGTGGCGTGACTTGCTCCAAAGTTGCATCTTGATTTATTGTTCCACTTGGTGGAGGGGCTGGCACCGTTGTGGATCCTCTCAAGTTATAAATTAATCACAGTCAATATTGTAGTCAGTCTTCAGCCAGAAGTGGGTTCCGACCTTAAAATATTTTTTTGCTAGAGAGAGAATTCTGATCTGGTCCTTATCAGGATCCAACTTCTGAAGCTTCTAAGGAAATAAATGACCATAAATATGAGCATGGTGTGACCCTAACAAGCATCTAGGTAAATAAATGTGCATAAGGTGTGGAAGCGTAGAATGGGAAAAGAAAGGGAGTGGAGGTTCACAGCACATTTCAAGGCTGTATTTCAAGATGAAAGGTGACCCATATGCAGTTTGTGTCAAAGTTATATCTTGAGACTTGAGGGTGTGCAGAGGAGGAAAGGGGAAATGAAAAAAAAAAGTTTTAAAACATGGTTTGAGGCTCAGCTGCTCAGCTACACATTTACTGTCTCTAGGAATTGGCCAGCTCTGGGAGGGTGGTCTCTTCAATACAAGCAAGGCTCTCATTGCCAAAACATGAGAATGACAAGACATGCTTCATACCCTTGGAAGTCTACAGAATGTTTTATGGAAGCCCCATCAGTCTATGGGATCCCAGCTCTACTCAGCTCCCTGCCAGGCACCTTTCTGGAGGTTGAAGGTCGTCAAATAAATGAAAGCCTAAATCTCTGCCCTCAAAGAGTTCCCAGTCTAGTGAGGAAGCAGATATGTAAATCTCCTTGCACCACCTGATAATGTCCACCCATTCACCCCCAGCTGGAGAGAAGTGCAAAGTACTATTTGATGAAGAGACTAACAAGAAAACCGCATAGCTGAGAGGCAATAAAAGCTAGACATGCAGGATAAGGAAGAGCTCTCTGGAAAGGTAAGCATCTGAGTTGTACTCAGAGAGGAGGAACAGAATTATAGAAGATTAGGGAAGTGCACACATGTAAGCTGCCTCTGGAAAACAGTACAGAGGCCAGAGCAGTTAGAAAACAAGATGTGGGCAGGAGCAGGACTGAGATGAGGCTGCTGTGGAGTTTAACCGTGTTTAGCATGATCATAGCATCCAGGAGTTACTGAGCACTTTCTATGTGCAAGAGGTCTCTAAGCAATAGCATTTTCTCATCCCTCACCGCAGGAGGAGGAAATTCAGGCACAGGTGTCCCAGGTCACAGAGGAAGAGGGGGAGCCTGGGTTCAAAGTTGAGGGGTGTGACTCCAGTGACCTCACTTTTAACTGCTGCAAAGGGAGCTCCAAAGGGTTTTACAGTCCAGGTGACAGTTCTAGAAGTTTCCTCTTGTCAGCTCTGTTGAATATTTTTCAGCAGGAGATGCTGAAGACAGTGAGCAATTAGGAGGTTGTTGCATTGGTTCAGAGGGGGAAAAAAAAAGAGAAAAGTTGATGGAGAGAGATGATGTTTATGGCACAGAATTGACTGGATCAGGTGAGAAGATGAGCTGCATGTAGGGGTGAAGGAGAAGTAAGAAGGGAAGGTTGAGGCTCCAGCCTGTGCAGCTGTGCAGGCACCAGCCCCCTTATCTTGGGGGTAGATATGCTTGGGAAGGAGCTGGGGTCAGCGGGAGGCTGGAAGTTGGCGGGCCCTGCCCGAGGAGGCGAAGCTGGCTGCAAGCAGCACCCAGGCTCACACTGAAACTCCTTTCCTGGTGCTGCTGCATCACAGCACAGAATTTAGTCCTGTGCTAGAAGTTTTGAAACCCCATTCTCTGTTCTTTCTCTCTGTGGGTCTAGGAACACCAGGCACCGAGATACTTTGCAACTCCCCCTGCAGGTGCAGACCTGGATTTG
This sequence comes from Homo sapiens, assembly GCF_000001405.40. NCBI lineage: Eukaryota > Metazoa > Chordata > Mammalia > Primates > Hominidae > Homo > Homo sapiens. The sequence continues at coordinate 133,733,221 of NC_000008.11, forward strand.
GTAACAGCCCTCTTCCCTCCACCACTCCCACTCTTGCTAGGTCCTGGACCCCGCTCCCCAGGTGCGACTCCACTACCCAACTGGCAGGTCTTTACTGCAGATGCAGCCTCCCCAGGAAATAGACTCTTCTGCGGGAGGCTGGGAGTGTGTCTTTTTACATGAAGGACTTGTGGGGTATCATGAAATGTGTCTGCAAAGGCCCTGTGAACTCACTCCAGATTCTCCTACGTTTCCCTCCCGTAATAGTTACACATATGCTGCAGTTGTCTGCCTGGAATTTCCTGCCTTCACCCTGCTCCCGACCAGACCCAGAGGAACCATTTTCTCCAGTTCCCCCTTGGTCCTGCTGGTGGCTGGCAGGGGCGTTAGATGTCCTTCTACCATCTGCACCCTTGGGGAAGAAGCCAGAGTTCCAGTCATCCTTTGCTTAGGGTCATCTGCTTACAGGCTTGCTCCTCTGCTCTGCTCTCAGTAACAGGGTCCCTGGGTACTCACCACTGGTGCAAAATTTAAGGAGGCACCAAAAAACTCAGTTATCAAGATAAATAATTTGTTGCAAAAAATTTTTAAAAATCAAAATGAATGCAAACAATCCAAATGTTTAACAACAACAGAGTCCACTTCTGCAGTTGCAGAGCCTCTGCCTCGCTCTCCTCATCTTAATCCCTTCCCTTCTAATCCCTTAAAGCCTGTCTTTATTTTTAAAATTGATATTTTGTTTATCATGAAGATTTTGCATTAATTTTGATTTTAAATATTGAATTTAGTATTATTTATCTTGCTTTTTGAGTTTCTTGGAGCCCCGTTAAATTTTGTACCTGAGGCAAGTGCCTCCCTTGCTCACCCTAGTCCTTGTCCTGCTTAGAACTGGATGGCTGCAAGGCCACACTTTCTCTGCAGATGCTAGAAGAGTGTCTGCCACACCCTCTAGAAGGCATGGCCCAAGTGTTAGACTTGGAGCCAAGGGGGTAAGGTTGCAGGGGAATTTCATGGGAAAGCTCACACTGTTTGCAACTTTTATCAAAACTCTCCAATCTGTGCCACCAGCTGTAACACTGAATGCCAATTTGTTCCCTCAAATATCTGATGCCTGTTTGTTTTTGAAACCTCATTGGTGCTTAAGACATGTTTACTAAGTGAATGAAGAAATTAATGAGTGAATCCTCAACTGCATTTTCAATTACGTATAGAAATTTCCCTTTAGAACCCTCAGAATCTTTCCACACTCACCATGTCTGGATTCCATCTTATTACCGTCTTCCTTAAACTTGCAGATGTTAGAGGAGAATGTTCTTCGGGTAGTAACATTGCACAGGTTAATGCAATGGCCAATTAGGAACAGTAGTGGCAGCCAAAGGTTTAATGGCTCCATTGTTGGAGATGCTGCACTTAGATTTTAAATGTGGAGCAATTGTGAACAGATGAAATTGGCTTTCTCTGCAGCATATATATCACCTCGGGTAAAAAGAAATTAACTATCGCTCTGCATGAGGCATAAAAGAAGAACAAAAATGATACAGAATTTCAAAGATAAGAGGAGGAGAAGTCAGAGAAAAAGATGAAACTATTTCTACAGTTACACTTGGCTAAGGGTGTCACCTGCTCTCTAATAAGAAGAAATCTGAGCAAAGAAAAGTAAAACTGCAAAAGGTATTGCATGCTTAATTTGTTATTAAGCTCAAGTTAACTTTATATAGTTATTTTTAGTATTGTTAATTGACTCTCAAATAACCTTTAATGTTTTTATAGAGCCCTAAGAAAAGGGAGCTCCTAGGTTGTGTATAGTCTGAATTGGTTAGCCCAACACTGACTAATCTCTTAAAAATTCTAGTACCTGTATTGGGAGAACCAGATAATAAGTTCATGCTACAGAAAGGTGCCCAAGCAAGGCTCATTTGGGGAAGTGGGTTTGCTCCACCATACCAATGGTCTTCACTGTGTTTGAGCACCTACTATATGTAGGGCTCAAGAGCATGGAAGATGGAAAGAGGGATAAATCTCAGTCATTGCCCTCAATGAAGTTATTGTCTTGTGGCCAAGGCAGACATGTACACCAGTATTTGCCCAATGAGGTTAATGTCATGGGAAGCTTTGTTTAAAGAGTAGAAAAACCCTCAATGGAAGCCTGATGGAATATACTTTGGGTGAAGATTTGGGGATGATGATGATTCAGAAAGTCTTCATAGATGTGGGGCCATGTGAATAGAGTCTAGAAGGAATTCTGGCCATATGACAGAGAGCCCAGCAGGGGCCACTTGGGAGCCTTTGAAAGAGAGTAATCCTCTCATCTTAGCAGTTTGGTGGGCTGCAAAGTCCACAGGGCCATTGTAGGTGGAGAAAGTTACACCTTTGGAGAGTTGAATTTTCTTGGAGTGCAGGAGTGAGTGATAAGAGGATGGTGGTGATAAGGCTTAGGAGTGGGTTCATGCTGGTTCATAAGGGGCCTCACATGTCTCAGTAAAGGCTGCTAGGCATACGAGAAACATGAAGCAATCCACACTTACACCAGCAGGCGGATGACCACACGGAGGATGGAGTGGAGCAAGACCAGTGAGAAAGAAATTCCCTCATTGCCTTGGGGTCACAGAGCTTAATGTACCCTGATGGGGGCCTCTGATTCCCTAGGGTTGTTAATCTAATAAGTGAAACTGGCAAGACCCTTCTCTGCCCTAGCTTTTCAGAAGAGGTTGGCGTCAGCCTCTCTTCCTGGGGTGCTGTTTTGCCAATTATTCTCCAATCACATTTGTAATGTGGGCCTGGCTCTGTGCCAGGAGCATCCATATGGATTCTTTCAGGTAATTTTCACAACAACACTGAGAACTGGCTTCATGACTCCATGCTGAGAAAAGGAAACTTAGGCTCAGAGGTCACATGGAGGAAATAAAGAGCTATGGCATGAATCAGGTCTGTTGACTTTGAAATTTCATGTGCTTTTCAGAGACATACATTATCTCATAATTTCTCTCTCTTTCTCTTTCTTCTTTCTTTCTTTCTCTTTCTTTCTTTCCTTCTTTCTTTCTTCTTTCCTCTCTCTTTTTTCTTTCCCTCCCTCCCTTCCTTCCTTCCTCCCTCCATCTCTCCCTTCCTCCTTTTCCCTTCCTTCCTTTAATTTTTAAAATTTATTCATCCATCATATTCATTGAAAAATATGATCCTCCACCTTAGTGCCCTAGAGTCATTAGCTACCTGATGGGATCCTCTAACAACTGAGTTGCATTCAGAAAATCTTTCTTGACAACTTCTATGTGCTTGGCATCTTATAATCGCTGAGGAATCCTGTGATGGTTAAGCTATGGTTTCCACCTCAAAATCTTAATCTAATGCAAGAAACAGATGTACGAACCACAAATTACAGTTTGCTGAGTTAAGTGTTAGAAATGAGCTATGCTAGAAACAACCTAATTCCCCCACATTGTAAAACAGATGACTTATGGCTATGTTGATCCCCACTCCTCACTCCCGTATGCACCATGCTTTAAAAACGAAAAGGCAGAACAAGCCGCTCTGGGTCTTTTACTCTGTGTTAGCACTTGGATGAAGCATGCATGTTCTCCATTGTCTGCTTTCTAGAATTCCTTATTAAATAAGGGGAAAAACTGAAAAATTTATATTTTAAGGCTTAATAGTCTGTGAAATAATAATAGACTCTGCACAAAAAATTTCATCTCACGTTATGGAGTTCTCTATATCAATGTATCAAAACATACATCTTGGATGCTCTTAATGTCTTATGAGATTGAATAATAAATAATTTCAAGAGGGTGATAAATATTTATATGAGATAGTAAAAGTTTGATTCAGTCATAAAAGAGTTTGAGGAAAAGAAAATTAAAAAGTATTGACATATGCATAGGAAAAAGATAAACATAAAGGAATTCAAATGAAATGTTAATAGTGGTTACTTCTGAGAATCAGAATTATATGTAATATTTATTTCCCTTTCCATATTTTTATGTGTCTTCCCAAAATTCTGCAGTGAGGATGTGTTACTTATATTTTTAGAAAATAAATATTACTTAAAAAAATAAACTTCTTGGTATCTTGAAGATTGTATTTTGTTGGTGGGCTTTTCATCGGCCGACCTGCGCTTTCCGCCACCTGACCTGCTCTTTCCACCATCTGACCTGCTTTTTCCACCATCCCACCTGCGCTTTCCACCATCCCACCTGCGCTTTCCACCATCTGACCTGTGCTTTCTACCATCTGACCTGTGCTTTCTACCATCTGACCTGTGCTTTCCACCATCCGACCTGTGCTTTCCACCAACGGACCTGCGCTTTCCACCATCCGACCTGCTTTTCCCACCATCCGACCTGCTTTTCCCACCATCCGACCTGCGCTTTCCAACATCTGACCTGCTCTTTCCACCATCTGACCTGCTCTTTCTACCATCTGACCTGTGTTTTCCACCATCCAACCTGTGCTTTCCACCATCGGACCTGCGCTTTCCACCATCTGACCTGCTCTTTCCACCATCTGACCTGCTCTTTCCACCATCCGGCCTGCTCTTTCCACCATCCGACCTGCACTTTCTACCATCCAACCCGCTCTTTCCACCATCTGACCTGCATTTTCCACCATCCAACCTGCTCTTTCCACCATCCAGTCTGCTTTCCACCATCTGACCTGCTCTTTCCACCATCTGACCTTCGTTTTCTACCATCCATCCTGCTCTTTCCACCACTCAGCCTGCTCTTTCCACTATCTGACCTGCTCTTTCCACCATCCGGCCTACTCTTTCCACTGTCCGACCTGCTCTTTCCACCATCCAACCTGCTCTTTCCACCATCCAACCTGCTGTTTCCACCATCCGGCCTGCTCTTTTCACTATCTGACCTGCTTTTTCTGCCATCCAGACTGCTCTTTTCACTATCTGACCTGCTGTTTTCACCATCCAGCCTGTGTCTTCCACCATCTGACCTGCTCTTTCTACTATCTGACCTGTGCTTTCCACCATCCAACCTAGTCTTTCCACCATCCAACTTGTGCTTTCCTGGAGGGGATTTGGAATTGACTAGGGTGAAGCTCTCTTCTTTGTAAAAATAAAAATTAAACAGGTTTGAACTAACTTAATGAGTAAGCCTCCGAAGTAGGTGTAGATGATTTCACCTATGCAAGGTAAGCTGAGGTTGCTGAAATACCAGCTTTCCTGCCAGGAATCCCGCTATAGTGTCTACAAGTATACTAGCAATGTAAGACTTCATGGATGGGGACTTTAAAAGTACTTTGACAAAGAGTCCAGTCAGATGTAAGTTGATACTGGCTGTCACAGTTGATAATGATAAGAACAACAACAATGGCAAGTGCTTATTTCAACCCAGTGCTCTCTCCCTGCCAAGCTCTAGTCTCCATTCTTCATATGTTAGATTATTTTATTAATGATGATTAGGTGAGGGAGCAAAGAGAAAGGATTTAGAAACATTTGGGTCTTGTCATTCCAATTCTCTGGGCATAGTTCTTTATTTCTTTTATTTATTTTTTGTATTTATTTTGAGACAGGGTCTCATTCTGTCACCCAGGCTGGAGTGCAGTGATGCAATCATGGCTCACTGCAGCCTTGACCACCTGGGCTCAAGTGATCCTCCCACCTCAACCTTCTGAGTAGCTGGGACAACAGGTGCACATCACCATGCCCGGCTAATTTTTAAAATTTTTTTTAGAGATAGGATCTCACTATGTTGCCCAGGCTAACCTCGAACTTCTGGGCTTAAGTGATCCTCGTGCCTCAGCCTCCCAAAGTGCTGGGATTACAGGCATGAACCACCATGCCTGGCCTGGGCACAGTTCTTTAATCCATAAAAAGAACATGATGCCATCCTTTGTATTGAGTTTATTAGAGGGGTGATATGGAGGGTACAGTAACATTATGTAGGTGAACCAAACTTCCTCACCAACTCACTCATCCATTCACACGCATTGCCATGTATTTAGTTTAATCCTAATTTTAAATAGAGAGACAGAGGGATATTGTTCTCTGCCTTGCACCCTTTCTCCTGAGCTGCACCTGCAGCTTCTCCATTCCATAGTGATTCTAAGATTTTCCACCAGGGGTATTGTCCCAAATGAGGCCAGAGACTTTTGGAAAGACCCTTAGGGGAGCCGTCTTTTAGTTCAGGATCACAGATGTGTGGATGGAATGCAACTTGTAAAGCTCATGTCTGAGAAGGAAGCAAGACAGATCTGAGTGAGGGAAAGAGCCTATGGGACCTTGACCATATGGAGTCACCATGGCTTAACCTGTCCTCCACCCCAGGATATCTCAGTTACTTGAGCCAATACATTTTGTTTTTGGCTCCTGATGACTGTCCTGAAAAAGCCTATTTTCTATGTAAATGAAATCTGAAAGGAATGATCCAAATATTAGTACAGAGGAAAGTATTTATTTTCATATTCTTTTTTTCTGTGTTTTTACAAGTGTTTTATAAAGATTGTTTTTACTTTTATGCTAAGAAAAAATTAAAGTGTAAATGTTTTAAAGGGTTGTGTTGTGATATCTGCCTTGGATACATTCCCTTCCTTTGTATGGTTGGGATTGTAGGCTAAGAATTTAAGGCTTTCCCACCTCCATCTGGGTGCTGCCCTGAGCTATAGATTTCAGTATGATGCTGCTAACAACTGAATGTTTCTGACCTCCTTAAATTCCTATGTTGAAACCTGATCGCCAAGGTGATGCTATTTGGAGGTGAGGCATTTGGTGTGTGATTAGGTCATGAGGGTACAGCCTTCACGAATGGAATTAGAGCCTTTACAAAGGGGACTCCAGAGAGTCCTTCACCACTTCAGGAGATGGCCAGCCGCCAGTGAACCAGGAAGCAGGCCCTCCCCAGATACTGTGTCTGCTGGTGCCTTGATCTTGGACTTCACAGCCTTAAAAACAGTGATAAATAAATTTCTGGGATTTTTTGCCCCCCTAGTCTATGGCATTTTTTTTATGGCAGCCCAAACAGACCAAGGCAGGTGCTGTCTCCCTCCGGGTCCAATTTAGAAATTTGGGCTCTGCCAGTTGCATTCCCAGTCCCCACCTGACACTCCCCACATGTTCACATTTGCACTGCCCTTTCCATTTCTAGTCTCCCTCTGTGCCTTGTGTTAGTTGTTTGTTTGCCTGTACCTCTCTCACCTGCAACCTCCTGAGGAAGAGACACACCTTGTTCCTCACTGCTGCCCAGCCCAGGAACTGGGCCATGAGAAGTCATTTGTCCATTTGCTAAATGCATGCATGGCAGATCCTATGGGCTGGCTCGTACACCACCCATCCTAACTACCTTCTTCCTGGTTTTCTCTTGTAGAGACTGGAAAGCAATCATGTTTTATTTCTCAGCTTATTTTTTTAGCCAGGACTGGCCAAATACCTCATGTTTGCAGAAGTCAAGGAGATGATTCCACTCCCAAATAAAAGAGCAAAATCTTGAGAAAATCATTTGCCTTCCTGCCCTGCCCATTTCTTCTTGCCTGTAATGCTGACATTCAACTGTGTACATGCTGTAGCCATCTTGCATCCGTGAGGCACTCAGTACAAGGGGGAAAGCCAACATACTCAAATGGAGAACATAAGGAGGGATGGAACCTGGGTCCCTACTGACATCACTGAGATCATATTGGTCCTCAACTGCCTACCACTGGGCTTCCTATGTTGGCAGCCACATAAACCCTATTTTCTTTCTCCACTGTGGTCAGATGTCTGTTATGTGTAGCAGATCCCCTGATACTTGCATGAATGAATGAGGGACCCCGCATCAACGGGTGGGGTGCATAAAGGGCATTGGAGAGCATCAGCATTGAATTTGGCCCAATGCTGCAGATCAAGGGCTGCTATTCATGGTGTCCCTGGACATACAGAGGCTCAGCGAGGATGATGGCTTGCAGAAGAACACACAATTGAGCATTGGCAAAATCGATATGCATTCTTTACCTTGTTATACAATGTCTCTTTTGTAAGCATGTTGCAAGGTGCTGGGCATACAGAAGGTATTCACTGTATTCCTTTGTTAAATAATCCTAGCAGAAATAAAAGAAGTGTTGCTTGATTGGGAAGTCACCTTTCTTTTTCTCCAGGTAACCGCAACGTAATCGAACACATCCCAAGACACTTTATACAAATGTAACATCAATTCCCTTTCTCCCTTGCCTAGCCTTTGGAGTTCCTGGACATCACCAGTGTTATTGATTCTTGGTCCAGTGCAAATGTAGATGGGATGTGTCACACTCCAAGGAAATGTCATTTGAGGAAACAGATCAATAAGTTTGATTATTCACATTACAAAGGAATCCAGGCTAGTGCAGTGGAATAATTGGTTGTAGGAAAAGAATTACTATAGAAAGACAATGCTGCTTGGTGGAAAAAGTCCCAGTCTTTAAGACAGCTCTGTCTCTTACTATCTGGGCTATCTTTCCATGCTTTTTATAGAATAATAATAGTCATGGGGTAGAAATAACTACAATCACAATGATGATGATGCTAATTTAACCTTCTAAGTTGTTTTTTTATGTGTGAACTACTTAAACTGAGTGTAAACAAACAAGCAAGCAAGCAAACCTAGAAGAGTGCTGGACCACTCAGAAATCAATATTAGTGGTTAAGAGTATAGTTATGGGAAGCCCTCAAACAAGAAGAGAAAGTTATTTGAAGAACAATTAGATCTAATATGGGAAGCTTTTCATCCATAGCATGAACAGGTGTTACAGGTAAGGAGCATTTGACTTGGAAAATTTTCCTCTCTGTAAAGCCAGACCCAGACATTGTCTGCCTTTGCCCCATGGACACTACACCCTCAAGCTCTTCACACTGTATTTGAGTCTGTTATGAACCTGGGAGGGTCTTCTTTTCTCCAGGGATATGCAGAGAATTCTGATTCTCAAAAAATCTGGACGGACAAGGGGATATTTTCTTATCAGTATTGAATGGGTTGAAGAGGGATGTTTTTTAAATAGACACCTGTCACCCGATTCCTGATTTGAGAGGCCACTGCTATTAGTGGGACTTTGGCCATCAACATCATGAGGGCAGAAACCACATCTGCATTCTCAGTGCACTGTCTGACATGTAGTAGATGCTCAGTACATATTTGTGGAAGAAAGGGATAAAGGAAGGAGGAAAGAAGGGGGTATAGGGATAGAAGAATGGAAAGAAGGAAGGAAGAGAGGGAGGAAGGAAGAGAGGAAGAGAAAGAGGGAGGGAGAGAATGAAGGAAGAAAGAAAAGAAAGGAGATGGGGAGGAAGGAAAGAAGAAAGGAAGGGAGGGAGAGAAAGAAGGAAGAAAGAAAAGAAAGGAGATGGGGAAGAAGGAAAGAAAGGAAGGGAGGGAGAGAGGGAGAAAGAAAAGAAGGAAGGAAGGAAAGGAGGAAGGAAGACAAAGAAGGAAGAAAGAAAGGAGAAAAGAAGGGAGGAAGGGAGGAAAGACAGAAGAAAGAGAGTGAAAGAGGGGAGGAAGGTAGGAGAGAAGGAAGGAGGGAAAGAAGGGAAGGAGGAATGAAAAGAGAAAGGGAAGGAGGGGAGGAGGGAAGGAGGGGAGAAAGAAAGGAAGGAAGAAAGTGACAGAAGGTTCAAGGAAGAAAGGAGGGAGGAACCTCAGGTTGTTGAGGCAGGGCAATACCTGAGAGCCCCAGGTTTAGAGGCAGTATTGCCTATTGTCTTACGAACTCGAACTAGTGCAGAGGCTGGGATTCTGTTCCCAGCTCCATCACTCATTAGCTATGTGACTTTGGTCAGGTCACCTCCCATCTCAGAATGCTGACACTTTGGAACTGACTCTGGGACACAAAAGTTATCAAAATAGATAAGGCAAATCACCTCACTTTCATCTCAGGTATAGAAGTGATCTCAGAATGTGATTGGTACAATGATAGCAAGATTTGCCCTTAAGCATCTTTTGAAGCTGACAAAAGTTGACACGGAATATAAGACTTTTTGTCAAAGGATGTTCTGATGCTGAACCCACAGGTCTCCCAGCTGGCCCTTATCCTTCTGTGGGGAAAGTCAATAAAAAGCCTTTAATGAAAAATATTCTAGTTTGGGGATGTGGAAAGCAAGATATGAGTGTGGGTTAGGGTCCCTCAGACTGAGCTCTTTGGTAAGGTGAGGGTGGAAATCCCTTCCTAAGTCTGAGGATCTGAGTGTAGAGAGGAAATGAGTAAGGCCCAGGGGTCTTGTTGAGATGCCTTTGGTTCCATCACACGTAGCAGCCAGTGAGCAACCAAGACTCTGTGGCATGACTGTGCAAAGCAGGGCAGGAGAGGGTTCCTGAATCTCCTATGGTCTAGCTAAGGCATGGGAAGGTGAGAAAAACAGCAGAACTTGAATCACTGTCCTGTTGGGCATCAGTTGAAGACATGGCTCTCAGCAGATGTCCAGGAGAAAGGAGGAGGAAGGGCTTACCTAAAACCAACAGAATAAGACTTAGGGGCCACAGAGGGCAATAAAAGGGTCCAAAGTTGGGATATGAATGTAACCTTCCCACAGTTGCCCAGGTTTCACCATGTAAGCCCAGAGATCTTAACATCTGCTCTAAGGAAAAGTGGAATTGGGAGTACGATTGGGAGTAGGCACCTTATCATGGGCATAGGGTTTGCCAATTTCCATGATGTCAGTGTCAATTCCAGCTTGCACAACTCCTAAAAGATTAATGGTCATCTTTTACTGGCCACACGAGCACAACATGGGGCAGGAGGGAATTCCTGAATATAACTGAGCAGATCCAACATGGCTGGGAGAGTCCAGAATTTACTAAATTTTCTGCACCACGTAGAATGGGACCTAAAAGTAGAAAGAAGAGCAATACAGCGGTAAAGGAAAAATTATAGACTTCCAGAATAGGGAAGTCCAGAGTAGCTCCAAAGTTAGAGCTCAGTGGGGCTAAAATTGTATCAAAGATGGTTGGAACCACCCAGGACTTAGCACTGTGGGAAAAGGAGAGATAGAAAGTGTTAGGAAATGACTGCTGTTAAGATCACAGTCCCTGGCCTCCCAGAGTCTCTTCTGTTTCCACAAAGTTCACAAGCACATAGACTGGCTCTCCTTTGCTTCAGATTATCTTTATGAGGACGTCGGTGTAGCAAACAGCCTGGGAGGGAGATGGTGTCTCTCTCCAGAGTAAAAGACAGACAGGATTAGTGACTATTATAAAAGGTTTAGGGTCCCTATATTTGGAGTCCCTCTCCTGGAATACACCCTGCTATGGGTGAAGGTGCTACCTGGCCCTCTTCACCTCGCCATGTAGGAACTGTGGCTTGTAGAATTGGTGTGACAATGATGATGCTTGGATTAAATGCCTATTGCCTGAGTCATAAATTACCCCGTGCCCCTGATCAAGGAGCTGCATAACTTCTGCAGCATCCAGGAAACTGTGCCAGGCTAACTTGGCCTGCAAATAAAGTAAAACCTCAGCCCCTTCACAGTTCTTGACAACTACAAATCCAGATTATGAATAATTGCCATGTGTCAGATCATACGACAGGCACTTTAAGAGTTTGGAAACACAGCTGACTAGAGTGAGGAGGTTTGGAAGCACAATTTCCTGGAGTTGAATGTCACGGTCTGATCCCATGGGTAAGGAAACTGAAAATGGGAGAAACAAAGGTCTTGCCCCAAATTCTGAGGATAGGGAAAGGCAGGGCTTGTGTTTGACAGAGGTCTGCCTGGCTCTAGAGCCCATAATGTGTGCCCTAAACTGGAAGCCCTCCAAAGCTTTATGCAACTTTAGGAGGTGAGGGTAGACTTTGGAAGAGCCCTGACTTTCACAGCCAAAGACAGGTTGGAGAAGGCAGTGGCAGCTGCATGGGCTTTGGGTTTTACAGATCTGGAAGGCAGTCCTGGCTCAGTCCCTGTACCTTAAGGAAACTCAAACAACTTATTTGGCCTTTCTGAGCCTAATCTCTCTCATTTGTGAAATGGGAGAAAACAGTGCTTACCTCACAAAGTAGCCATAGCTTAACCAGATAAAGTGAGTGAAGTTCCTAGCAAGATGTCTGCAAAGATCCAGAACTAAGAATAGTTCCTCTCCAAGGAAGCATTCTTCCAATGGTAGCAATTATGATCATTCAATAGGATGCTGGAGAACCAAGTCTAGGGTGTTGAACAGCAGATGAGAGAACTAAATTTAGGGAGGGGCGAACTCTCTCATGTTCCGTTCCCAATGCGTGTTAGTGTTTGAGTCTGGATGGGACCTCATCTCCAGCTCGGTCAGTCCATGTGTCTCCACCCCTCCCTGCCACTACTGCTCAATGTCCCTACCTGCCTCTGTGCCCCTTTCCACACAGTTCAAAAGGATCCAGCCACCTCTCTCAGGAACCCAACATTTCTCTATTTAATGCTTTTCTCTCCTATCTGGGTACAAGCTCTACAGGGGCGGGATCCATGCCTATTGATGTTTGCTGTATCCCAGCCTCAGCATGGTGCCTGGCACAGACTGGGGGCTTGATGGATTTCTGTATAAAAGCTACAAATGAGTGCACAAATACATGCATGAATAAAACACTCTGAGGCATACTGCAGGCCTGCAGGAAAGGAAAGATTAGGAAGAGTGGGGATGTGTGAGTAAGGAAGGGCAGCATGGAGATGAGACAAGGACACAGAAGCTTGCCTGGGTCTGATGTGTCCTCTCTGTGGGGGCTGCAGGTGGCACTGAAGATGGCAGGGCCCCAGATGCAGCGGCTGGCCCAGGCAGATGGTGCCATCTTTATCATCTCTTCTGCCTGTTGAGAAATCCTTTCACATTTATTCAACACAGTGAGGGGTGTTTGTTGGCCAGAGCCTAGGAACTGGTGAGGGAGATGAAGGGGTGAACAGAGAGGACCCTGGGGGTGGGCACAACATTGGTGGGGCAGCTGAGCCATTGATGTAGAAGGTCAGGGGTGCTTCTCAGAAGCGGCAGCACCTGAGCTGAGTCTTTAGGGAGTGTTGGGATCCTCTTTATACAGAAATGAGCCAGCTTCAGGCTCCTTCAGGGTCCACGACAGCCAGCACAATGCCAAGTGCTATGATCAACCCACTGTGCCCAACTGGGCCAGCCAAGGCCTTTTGTGCTTTGCACCAATCATGTGGGAAGCCAGCCCTGATTTCTCAGGATAATGCCAGTGCTGAGAGTGAGCCTGGCAGGGTGTTAGGAGCATGGGCTTTTCAGCTGGACAGACCTGGTCCAAGTCTAAGCTACCCCAGCACTGATTGTGTAACTGCACCTGTCTGAATTTTGGTGTTTTTATTTGCTAAACTGGAAAAATACAAGTACTTGTATGTTTTTCACAAGTAATGAGATAATCCATGGGAGGTGCTGTTGTCATTGTTGTTGTTATTATTTTTGGTTTCCTTCTGATTTTACCGTTTCTGTGTTCATATCCAGGCAAGTTTTGGCATCTTCACCACCTTCATGCCTGGGCAGTGCCAGCTTCTAACAGGACTCTGTGGATGGTCCCCAGGCAACCACGAGGGCTCAGCTCCAAGATTCTGTGACAGCTGGTGTTACCAGTGGGAAAGGGTGTTTCCACCTTAAGTGGGAAGCTTAAGGCAGGACCAGTCTGACCTGTCAGCTTGTTTATTTACATGGCAAATTGCATTTTCTACTTCATTAGCCACCATGCTGCACCCAGGAGCTTCTTCTGGGCACTGGCTCTGATCAGGGATTGGAGTATCTTTGTTCTGGGGCCAGAGGAAGATGGGTTGGGAAAGGAGGGGAGTTTGGGGGACACTGCCAACCCAGGAAGCATCTGCAGAAAGAAAACTGACACTGTGAACTGGGGCAAGAAATGCTGAAAACCTGTGGGCTTTTCCAACATACAATTTACTGGAAATGAATGTGCTGCTACCTCAATATAAACCAGGGTGTATTTCTTTTCTTCTCTGAGTCACGATATTTTCCTCTACAAAACACAGCTTCTGCCAAGGTGGTTATGATGACCATGCTCACAAATGATGCCTGTGCGTGCAGTTCTGTAAACTCCAAAGTCAAAAGCAAAGAGGGTGGGTGGTGAAGGAGAATAGATATGGCTTCAATGCTTTTGTTCTCTCTAACATTCATGTTGAAAATTAATTCCCAATGTGACAGCATTGGAAAGTGTGGAGTTTGGGGGATGATTCAGTCACGAGGACTCTGTCCTCAGGAATGGGATTAGGTGCCCTTATTAAAGGGCTTGATGCAGGGAGTTTGACCCTTTTGCCCTTCTGCCTTCTGCCATATGAAAACACAGCATTCTTTCCCTCTGGAGGATGCAGCATTCAGGGCACCATCTTGGAAGCAGAGAGCAGCCCTCACCAGAAAACAGACCTGCTATCACTTTGATCTTTGACTTCCCAGCCTCCAGAACTGTGAGGAATAAACTTCTGTTCTTCAAACATTCCTCAGTCTATGTTCTGTTACAGCAGCCCAAACAGATTAATAAAGGAGCAAAGCTCCCTTTGTCCTATCACAGCCACTTAAATCCATCTTGGGGAAGATAACCACAATGAAAAAGTTATGTGTCTCAGTTTATCCATCTTCAACATGAGGGCAGGAACATCTATTGCCAAAAGTGCTGTGAGAATCAAATTGGATAAGGCACACACATCTCCAAGCACACTCTCCAGCACTTGAAAGATGCTCAGTTCTCTGAGCCTCAGTTTCCCTGATTTGTCTAATGGTGAGGTTGAATAATAAATTTAGAAGAGCAAAGAAATCACTTCCTAGAATCCAGGCCTCATGTGCTCAGTGCACTACCTTACTTATTCCCATAAAGGTGAGACAAGTTAGGGTTTTGATTATCCCATTTTACAGATAAGGAGAGTGAGATGTGGAGAGGTAAAGTGTCTTGTACATACTCACATCTCCAGGAAGTGACAAAGGTGAGATCCTGTCTTAAGATCCCAGGCTTTCATGGACCACCCTAAGTTGTCGATAGAAGTTGGACTGGACCATGGTCCTTCAGTCCTCCTCTGGGAAGCTGCTATGACACACAGGACCTCGAGGGCTGATTGAACCCAGCAGTCTGCAAGCTGAGTGTGAACTCCTTTGAATTTCACAAAGACTTTTGAGGGTGTGGATGGCTTGAAGGAAACTCCTTCTACCTGCTCAACATCTGTAAGTGCTCTTTGAAAAGTGATCCAACTAAAGATGCATCTGGGCTCTGCCAGCTTTCCTCTCTCCCCATGCCTTTGCAGAACTTCTGTTCCCTTTTTGTAAAGGAAAGCCATTCTTCATCCTGAATGTAGCCTCTGGAGCATCAAACCAAGGTAGAAATTCTGTGAGTGCCAAGTGAAGGAGCTTCTGTGAGAAATACTGAAGGTGGTGGGGCCTTATTTCAACCAGGCATCAAACACAGGCAAAAGCAAGTGTCAGATCTAGTTCTCTCTCTCTTTCTCTTGTTGTCTATTTATCTCCTATGTATCTATCCATTCATCCACTCACATTAATCTGGCTATCATCTTCTCTCTACTTATCCTTCTATTCATTCATCCATCTTCCCATCGATCCGTATATCCATATAGCCAATCAGCTATCTCTCTTAAAATTTGATTTCAGGAATGAGAAGGTTAACAGAGCTTGTATATTAACACATCTCCTTCAATTTTAGAATAAAGTCAGGCTCTCCTGTCAGTAAATTGGATTTGGCTGATGGGTTTGACAATAAGAACTGGCTTTGCCAACTAAGCTACATGGCAGATATTTTTCATGAATTAAATAAATTAGGTCAGGCACAGGGGCTCACACTTGTAACCCCAGCGCTTTGTGAGGCCCAGGTGGAAAAAATTGCTTGAGGCTAAGAGTTCTGGCCCTTTTTCTACAAAAAAATTTTTTAAATTATTTGGTCGTGGTGGCACGTGTCTATAGTCCTAGGTAGTTGGGAGTCTGAGGTGAGAGGATCGCATGAGCCCAGGAGTTTGAGGCTGTAGTGAGCTATGATTGTGCCACTGCACTCCAGCCTGGGAAACAGAGCAAGACTCTGTCCCTAAAGTTAATTAATTAATTAATTAAAAAAAGTTAAACCTGAATTCCACAGTTTTGACCAAATCGAGTTAAAGCATTATACAATATTCCAGACCTGGGACAGGAGGGGTGGCTCACGCCTGTAATCCCAGCACTTTGGGAGGCCGAGGCGGGTGCATCACGAGGTCAGGAAATTGAGACCATCCTGCCTAACACGGTGAAACCCCATCTCTACTAAAAATACAAAAAATTAGCCGGGCGTGGTGGTGGGCGCCTGTAGTCCCAGCTACTCGGGAGGCTGAGGCAGGAGAATGGCGTGAACCCGGGAGGTGGAGCTTGCAGTGAGCCGAGATTGCACCACTGCACTCCAGCCTGGGCGACAGAAGCAAGACTCCATCTCAAAAAAAAAAAAAAAAATTCCAGACCTGCACCATCCAAATGATAGCCACCAGCCACATGTGGCTACTAAGCACTCGAAATGTGGCTGTCAAAATTGAGATGTACCATAGTATAAAACACAACGGAGTTCAAAGATTTAATGTGAAAAAAGAATGTAAAGTAGCTTATTACTATTTATCATATTGACTATAGGTTGAAATGATAATATTTTGAATATATTGAGTTAAATAACATATATTATTAAAATTAATTTCATCTGTTCCTCTTTTACTCTTTAAATTGTGTTTAATAGAAAATTTAAAATTGCATATGATGTTCTCATTATATTTCTATTGGACAGTGCTGCTTCAGAGAACAGATTCCTTGGAATTATTTAAATGTATGGCAAAGTTTTACATTTCTATTTATAATGTCACAGTGGTACATATTGTTCAAAATTCTCATAGAAGGTATACAAGCAAAGATTCCATATTTTACAGGTGGAAAAATTCTGGCTTTTCTAATTTTGTGGTTTTGTGAGAATTCTATAATGGGCACAGAAAATTTACTTTCAACCTATCGAGTCTTGACAAATATAGGGATATTGACCTTAATAAAGCTCCTGCAAAGGTTAACGGAAGACTTCCCTTTGGAGAGCATATCTTTTGCGTGTGCTCTGAGACCTTCTAGCATTTGCCAACTACTGAGAAGCTATCTGTCGTTTGGCCAGGCCCCTCCTTCTCCCCCACCCCAGGTCTGAAAGAGAATGGGGGAGAGAGTAAGAGACGGGCTGAGGGCAAGAGGATAGGGTCTGGGTCCGTTTACAATGGCCAACTTGCCGAGTGACCTTAAGAAGTCACTTCCCCTCTGAGTCACACTTGGATGATCTATAAAGCATAACCTTAAAACCCACTGATTTACATGATCCTGGCTAGGGCCTAAATGTTTGTTTCCTTCTAAAATTCTTTTTTTTTTTTTTTTTTTTTTTTTTGAGACGGAGTCTCGCTCTGTCGCCCAGGCTGGAGTGCAGTGGCGCGATCTCGGCTCACTGCAAGCTCCGCTTCCCGGGTTCACGCCATTCTCCTGCCTCAGCCTCCCAAGTAGCTGGGACTACAGGCGCCCGCCACTACGCCCGGCTAATTTTTTGTATTTTTTTTAGTAGAGACGGGGTTTCACCGTTTTAGCCGGGATGGTCTCGATCTCCTGACCTCGTGATCCACCCACCTCGGCCTCCCAAAGTGCTGGGATTACAGGCGTGAGCCACCGCGCCCGGCCTACTCTAAAATTCTTGTGTTGAAACTCTAACCCCCAAGATGACGGTCTTTGGAGTTGGAGGCTTTCCCAGGTGATTAGGTCAAGAAAGTAGAGCCTTCATGAATGGTAGTAAGTGCCCTTCTGAAAGACACCCCAGAGAGCTCCTCGTTCCTTCTGCCACATGAGGATGCAGTGAAAAGACAGCCATCCCATGAGCCAGAATGTATCATCAGACACTGAATCTGCCACTGACTGACCGTGGATTTCTCAGCCTCCAGAACTATGAGAAGTAAAGCTCTGTTTGTGTATAGGCCTTTCATTCTATGGTACTCATAACAATGGCCTAAATGGACTAAAACAATTCTAAATTGACATTTCTCTAGCAGTGACATTCCTGTGTCCTCATCTGTGTGATGGGCATAACACATTCCCTGGCCTCCTGGGGCTGTTGGGAGGGTTGACTTAATCAATACATCACTGTATTGGAACAGAACGTGGCCTGTAGCATTAAAATGTGCCTGCTCTTTCTTGAAGTGCTGTCTGTGTACTCTGAAGAACACAGTCTTCAGAAGAAGTCTGTGAGGACACAGTTGTCCCATTTTACAGAGAACGATGTTGTGCTCAGCCTCAGAGAGATGCAAACCCACCCAGCATGTTAATGTCAAAACTGGTCAGGATTGAACCTGAGGACCTGGGACTCCACTCTCAGGGACTCTTATTTCTAATCATGGCAAAATATATGTAACATAAAAGTTACCATTTTAACCATTTTTAAGAGTATAGTTCAATGGCACTATGTATATTTGCATTGTTGTGAAACTATCACTACCATCCATCTCCAGAATATTGTCATCATCACAAACTGAAACTATACCCATTAAAAAACTCCCTGTTTCCTCCTTGCCCAACCCCCGGAAAACATCATTCTACTTTCTGACTCTATAAATGTTATTACTCTAGGAGCTTCATATAAGTGGAATCACACAGTATTTTTTCTTTTGTAACTGGCTAATTTCACTAAGCAGAATGTCCTCAAGGCTCATCCATTTGTGGCAGATGTCATAATTTCCTTCCTTTTCAAGGCTGCATAATATTCCATTGTATAGATCACCACCATTTTGTTTATCCATTCATACGTTGATAGACACTTGGGTTGTTTCCACCTTTCAGCTATTATGAATGATGCAGTTATGGACATGAGTATACAAATATCTACCTGAGTCCTTGCTTTTAATTATTTTGCATATATACTCAAAAGTAGCATTGCTGAATCACATGGTCATTCTATGTTTAATTTTTTGAGGACCCACCGCACTGTTTTCCACAGAAGCTATAATTTTACATTCCCACCAACAGAGTTCCCAATTCTCTACATCCTTGCCAACACTTGTGCACAGGCCTCTTTTTAAAACCAGCTCAGAGTCTACCCATGTGAGGACAAAGTAGCTGCTCAAAAAACTCTGGCTGCTTGGCAAGCAATGGAGCATGGAGACCACACCAGGAGGCTGTCAGACACTTTGGTGGCCTGTCCAGGCCACTGGGATGATTGGAGCCCAGAGCCATATGTGAAAACTGAGATACTAAAATCTCTTCATGCAGGTTTCAAAGGCCAGATAAGTACCTGCCTCTATTGGCTCTCACTACTGCATGGCAACCGTGATCCCTCCCCAAAGCCTCCTTTTTCTGAAGCCTTCTCATTAGGGTAAGCAGGGCCTTCACTTATCTGGCAGATCAGGTCAAAAGTCTTAGAGTCACATGACTTGTCTATTTCTCTCACATTCAACCCCACTTCATCAACAACTCTTGTCAGCTCTACCATTGATGTCTATCCAGAATACTATCACTTTTCACCTCCTCCCCTGACCAGCCTGGTCCACACCACCTTTATTTCTCACCAAGGTCCCATTGAGGCCATAAGGATCCTCTCAAAACCTGGGGCAGCTTAGAGTGTTCACCTGCTCAGAGCCTCCAGAGCTGATGCCCTCACCAAGGTCAAATCCAAAGGAAGTCCCCACCACCACCTACAGGATTATAGGATCTCCTTCCAGGCCTGGTGACTTTGCTAACTCACCTTCTAACTCTCCCTTGCACTCTCACATTCCTCCATGGCCTATGCAGTGGCTGTTCCTCTATAGGAATGTCCTTTTCCTGGGATGGCTCTCTTCTCCAGCAACTCTGCTCAAATGTGTCTTGTTGGTGAGGACTTCCCCAACTTCCCTTTATACAACAGCACCACCCTGCCCTGGGCTGCACAGTCATCTCACCCTTTGGGTTACTTTCCTGGAGCTTCCCTAACAAATTACCACAAACACAGGGTCTTAAAACAACAGAAATTTATTCTCTCAAAGTTCTAGGGGCCATAAGTTGGAAATCAAGATGTCAATAGAGCTGTGTTTCCATACAAGCTCTAGGGGAGAGCCCTTCTGTATTAATCTGTTTTCACACTGCTATAAAGAACTGCCTGAGACTGGGTGTTTATAAAGAAAAGAGTTTAACTGACTCACAGTGCCACATGACTGGGGAGGCCCCAGGAAACTTACAGTCATGACAGAAGGCAAAGGGGAAGCAAGGCACATCTTACATAGCGGCAGGAGAGAGAGCCAGAGATCAGCCAAACACTTTTAAACCATCAGACCTTGTGAGAACTTACTCACTATCAGGAGAAGAGCATAGGGGAAACTGCCCCCACAATCCAATCATCTCTCACCAGGTCTCTCCCTCAACATGTGGGGATTACAATTCAAGATGAGATTTGGGAGGGGATACAGACAGAGCCTAACCCTATCCCCTTCCTTGCCTCTTCCAGTTCCTGGTGACTCCAGGCATCCCTTGGCTGTGGCTGCGTCACTCCAATCTCTGCCTCTGTGTTCACATGGCCTTCTTCTCCATGTCACTGTGTGTCTTTTTCTGTCTCCTATAGGGACGGTCTTGTTAGAGGCAGGGCCCACCCTAATCCAGTATGGCCTCATCTCCATTCTTACCTTAATTATATTGGTCAAGACTGTATTTCCAAATAAGGTCACATTCTGAAGTTCTGGGTGGACATGAGCTTAGGGGACACTATTTAACTCACCATAGCTCTCTCTTTTTTAACTTCTTGCACTTATGACCAATGACCATCTGATAGAATCCCAATTTAGTTGTTTAATTGCTGAGTCTCACTATAAGAACATGAGCTCCAGCACCACAGACACCAAATCTGTCACTGCTGTGGCTCCGCAGCAGGGTTTGGCACATAAGAGGGGCTCTGTAACCATGTGTGGGCTGGAGGACTGGATGTCGGTGCCCCTCAGGGGCTGCTTCTGCCTTGCCAGGGGTCCACTGTGCTAGCAGCACCCCATGAGGCTGAGGGTTCCCTCAGTCCCCTGAGCTGGAGTCCCGTCTCTTTGGGTGGCCAACATCCCTGGAGAGCAACTGAGACCCTGCAGCCAGCCTGGCCACACTCAGGCTGCACAACAGTTTGTAAAATGGATTACTGTCTCTATGTGAGTTTTCTCTGATTAAGGAGGTGAAGTGTAGGTGGAATTGATTGGGTGGTTGAGAGATTATTAATGGATTTTTGTTGTATTATAGGATTTGTTAATTGTTTTTGCATTACTTTTTAGAGTTTAAAAAGGCTAATAAAATGAAATGAAAAGGTACTGTATATTCACTGAAAAGAAAAGACAAAAACCGAACAGTAAAATCTGAAGAAAAATCTTTGTAATCCCACAACCCACAGGCAACCGTCTCTGGCTTGTTATCAATCAGTTTTCTGTGCAGTATGAATTGTGGTTGAGATCATACCCCACACTCAGTTTTAAATCATGCTCTTTTCCCCTGAAAATTAGGCGATGAGCATTTTCCATGTCATTAACGACTAATAACAGTTACCACTTGTGCCGTGCTTACAGGGTGGGAGGCACTGGGCCAAGCACTCTGTCCAATTGACTCTTAATTTTCACAACTGCTGCATGCAGTATGGCAAGAAGTGGTGGGCCTTGGAGCCGGGCAACTTGGGTGCCAGTTCTGGCTCTGTCGCCCCTGAGCTGTGTGACTTTTGGTATGATGGCTGTGCTCTCCATCATGACAAAAACTAGCCCTATCTCGATTATGTTTCAAATTTTCCCATCAACAAACACGAGTATCCTCCTATCTATCACAATCCTATCCATTATAGTGGGCGGTTGAGGAGGACTTAACCAAATACAACTGCATAAAATCCTAGCCTACTCCTCAGTCACTCACACAGGTTGAACAATAGCAGTACTAATCTATAACCCAAACATTACCATTCTAAACCTGACTATTTACTTTATCTTAACAACAACCGCATTTCTAGCATTCAACCTGACTATAAGCACCACAACGCTGTTGCTGTCTCACACCTGAAACAAATTAGCATGGTTGACACCTATAATTCCACGAATTCTACTATCCCTAGAAGGTTTACCTCCATTAACAGGGTTCCTGCCTAAATGAATCATCATCCAAGAATTTACAAAAATCAATAGCCTTTTTACCCCGACCATTATAGCTCTCATAACCCTACTCAACCTGTACTTTTACATACACCTAATTTACTCCATCCCAGGGACAATATTCCCCACATCTAATAATATGAAAATAAAATGAAAATTCAAAAACACTAAACCCAGATTAGTCTTCCCCCCACTTATCATCTCTTCTACACTCCTCTTACCCATCTCTCCATTAATACTAACTATAACTTAGAAATTTAGGTTAAATAAGACCAAGGGCCTTCTAAGCCCTTAGTAAGTAAATTACACTTAATTTCTGTAACAGACCTAAGGAGTGCAAGACTCTATTCTGCATCAATTGAACACAAATCCGCCACTTTAATTAAGCTAAGCCCTTGCTAGATTCGCAGAATTCAAACCCATGAAAATTTAGTTAACAGCTAAACACCCTAATCAACTGGCTTCAATCTACTTGATTGGCTTCTCTACTGGCGGGAGAAGCCCCAGTAGGATTGAAGCTGCCCCTTTGAATTTGCAATTCAACATGAAAAATCACCTTGGGGCTGGTAAAAAGAGGCCTTGACCTCTGTCTTCAGATTTACAGTCTAAGGCTTATTCAGTCATTTTACCTTTTTCCCACTTATGTTCATCAATTGCTGATTGTTTTCAACTAACCACAAAGATATCGGAACACTATACCTGCTATTCGGCGCATTAACAGGGAGAGTAGGCACTGCGTTAAGCCTTCTAATTCGAGCAGAATTAGGCCAATCAGGAACTCTGCTAGAAGATGATCAGATCTACAATATTTTTGTTACCACCCACGCATATGTCATAATCTTCTTTATGGTAATACCAATCATAATTGGGGGTTTCGGCAACTAGCTAGTCCCTCTAATAATTGGTGCACCCGATATGGCATTCCCCCGGATAAATTATATGAGCTTCTGACTTCTCCCCCCATCTTTTCTACTTCTACTTGCATCTTCAATAGTAGAAGCTGGCGCTGGAACCGGCTGGACAGTTTATCCCCCTTTAGCAGGAAACCTAGCACCTGCAGGAGCCTCTGTGGATCTGAGCATCTTCTTGCTCCACTTGGCAGGTTTCTCTTCCATTTTAGGGGCCCTTAACTTTATTACCACAACTGTTATCATAAAACCCCCAGTTATATCCCGGTATCAAACACCGCTTTTCGTCTGACCAGTCCTCATTACAGCAGTCCTTCTACTCCTTTCCCTCCCAGTCCTAGCCGCCGGCATTACTATACTATTAGCGACTGTAACGTCAACGCTACTTTTTTTGACCCTGCTGGCAGGGGTGACCCCATCTTGTACCAACATTTATTCTGATTCTTTGGTCACCCTGAAGTCTATATCCTAATCCTACCAGGCTTCGGGTAATCTCCCACATCGTAAAGTATTATCCTGGAAAAAAGGAACCATCTGGGTTCCTTTTTGGCTGTGTTAGTTTCCTGCGGCAACTGGAACAAATTACCAGATGCTGTGTGGCTTAAAACAACACGCATTTAGACCATGCTATAGCACTCCAGCCTGGGTGACAAGAGCCAAACTCCATCTCAAAAAAAAAAAAAAAAACAAAAAAAACGAGAAAGGTGAGACCTTTAAGAGATGATAGGAGCCCCTCTCCCTCTCCCTCTCCCTCTCCCTCTCCCTCTCCCTCCCCTCCCTCTCCCTCTCTTTCCACGGTCTCCCTCTCCCTCTGCCTCTCTTTCCACGGTCTCCCTCTCATGCCGAGCCGAAGCTGGACTGTGCTGCTGCCATCTCGGCTCACTGCAACCTCCCTGCCTGATTCTCCTGCCTCAGCCTGCCGAGTGCCTGCGATTGCAGGCACGCGCCGCCACGCCTGACGGGTTTTCGTATTTTTTTGGTGGAGATGGGGTTTCGCTGTGTTGGCCGGGCTGGTCTCCAGCTCCTGACCGCAAGTGATCCGCCAGCCTCGGCCTCCCGAGGTGCCGGGATTGCAGACGGAGTCTCGTTAACTCAGTGCTCAATGGTGCCCAGGCTGGAGTGCAGTGGCGTGATCTCGGCTACAACCTCCACCTCCCAGCCGCCTGCCTTGGCCCCCCCAGAGTGCCGAGATTGCAGCCTCTGCCCGGCCGCTACCCCATCTGTGAAGTGAGGTGCGTCTCTGCCTGGCCGCGCATCGTCTGGGATGTGAGGAGCCCCTCTGCCTGGCTGCCCAGTCTGGAGAGTGAGGAGCGTCTCTGCCCCACCGCCATCCCACCTAGGAGGTGAGGAGCGCCTCTTCCCGGCCACCATCCCATCTAGGAAGTGGGGAGCGTCTCTGCCCGGCCGCCCATCGTCTGAGATGTGGGGAGCGCCTCTGCCCCGCCGCCCCGTCTGGGATGTGAGGAGCGCCTCGGCCCGGCCGCGACCCCGTCTGGGAGGTGAGGAGCGTCTCTGCCCGGCCGCCCCGTCTGAGAAGTGAGGAGACCCTCCACCTGGCAACTGCCCCATCTGAGAAGTGAGGAGCCCCTCCGCCCGGCTGCCACCCCGTCTGGGAAGTGAGGAGCGTCTCCGCCCGGCAGCCACCCCGTCCGGAAGGGAGGTGGGGGTCAACCCCCGCCAGGCCAGCCGCCCCGTCCGGGAGGGAGGTGGGGGGTCAGCCCCCCACCCGGCCAGCCGCCCCGTCCGGGAGGGAGGTGGGGGGGTCAGCCCCCCGCCCGGCCAGCCACCCCGTCCGGGAGGTGAGGGGCGCCTCTGCCCGGCCACCCCTACTGGAAGTGAGGAGCCCCTCTGCCCGGCCAGCCGCCCCGTCCGGGAGGGAGGTGGGGGGGTCAGCCCCCCGCCCGGCCAGCCGCCCTGTCCGGGAGGGAGGTGGGGGGGTCAGCCCCCTGCCTGGCCAGCCGCCCCGTCTGGGAGGGAGGTGGGGGGGTCAGCCCCCCGCCCAGCCAGCCGCCCTGTCTGGGAGGTGAGGGGCGCCTCTGCCCGGCCGCCCCTACTGGGAAGTGAGGAGCCCCTCTGCCCGGCCAGCCGCCCCATCCGGGAGGGAGGTGAGGGGGTCAGCCCCCCGCCCAGCCAGCCGCCCTGTCTGGGAGGTGAGGGGCGCCTCTGCCCGGCCGCCCCTACTGGGAAGTGAGGAGCCCCTCTGCCCGGCCAGCCGCCCCGTCCAGGAGGGAGGTGGGGGGGTCAGCCCCCCGCCCGGCCAGCCGCCCCGTCCAGGAGGGAGGTGGGGGGGTCAGCCCCCCGCCAGGCGAGACGCCTCGTCCGGGAGGGAGGTGGGGGGTCAGCCCCCTGCCCGGCCAGCCGCCCCGTCCGGGAGGTGAGGGGCGCCTCTGCCCAGCTGCCCCTACTGGGAAGTGAGGAGCCACTCTGCCCGGCCACCACCCCGTCTGGGAGGTGTACCCAACAGCTCATTGAGAACGGGCCATGATGACAATGGCGGTTTTGTGGAATAGAAAAGGGGGAAAGGTGGGGAAAAGATTGAGAAATCGGATGGTTGCTGTGTCTGTGTAGAAAGAAGTAGACATGGGAGACTTTTCATTTCGTTCTGTACTAAGAAAAATTCTTCTGCCTTGGGATCCTGTTGATCTATGACCTTACCCCCAACCCTGTGCTCTCTGAAACATGTGCTGTGTCCACTCAGGGTTAAATGGATTAAGGGCAGTGCAAGATGTGCTTTGTTAAACAGATGCTTGAAGGCAGCATGCTCGTTAAGAGTCATCACCACTCCCTAATCTCAAGTACCCAGGGACACACACACTCTGCCTAGGAAAACCAGAGACCTTTGTTCACTTGTTTATCTGCTGACCTTCCCTCCACTATTGTCCTATGACCCTGCCAAATCCCCCTCTGCGAGAAACACCCAAGAATGATCAATAAAAATAAATAAATAAAAACAAAAACAAACAAACAAAAAAACAACACGCATTTATTCTCTCACTGTTCCGGGGGCCAGAATCTGGAATTAGGGTGTTGGCTCAGCCATCCACCTCTGAAGACTCTGCAGGAGAATGCTTCCTTGTCTTTTCTTAGCTTCTGGTGTTGCTGGTAATGCTTGGTCTTCCTTGGCTTGTAGATGCACCACACCTCTCTTCTGCCTCTGTCTTCACATGGCTTTTATATAAAGACATCAGTCATTGGATATAGGGACTGCCCTAAGCCAGTATGGCCTCATTCTGAGGCTCCAGCTGGACATGACTTTTTGGGGATCACTATTCAATCCAGTAGAGGGTGTAACCCCCCTGCAGCTCACGTTTCTCATATGTTGGATGCAGAGACTAGTGTCTGTCTTACAAGGTTAGTGCAAATGATTACATGAGGATAAAGATGTGTATCTATGGCTGAGAACCGTGACTAGTGCATTGCAACTTCCAGGGCAGGGTTTGCTGTGACCATGAGGCAGTTTTACAATCATCTCCATCGGTCCACTGAGGAAGTTGTGTCTCAGTTAAAAGTTGCTCAGAGCCCTCGCCCCAGGATGGCAGAGCGGGCACACATTGGAGCTACTGGAGAAATTTCTTGGAGGTGTTCCCTTTTTAGGAGATAGTATCAGTAAGCGATCAAGAGAAGAGACTTCCATGCCAGCCAGGGCTGAGGACAACTCCCAGCTTTAGTCACCAGCTGTGTGGCCTTGGGTGAGTCCCTCAGACTCTCTGAGGCCCCTTCCCTCAGCTGTGACTTGGGACAAACCATACCTATCTCACAGGGCTATTGTGAGGCCAACGCAAATCTGCAGGGGATTCTCAGCTCAAGAGGAAGAACACAGCAATTCGCAAATGGCAGCTGTTATTAGTTTACATTTAAATCTAGTTTTGCTGATTTGACATGTTCACTTGTTAGTTTTAAAAATAGCCTTCAGGCCGGGGGCGATGGCTCACACCTGTAATCCCAGCACTTTGGGAGGCCAAGACAGGCGGATCACATGAGGTCAGAAGTTCGAGACCAGCCTGGCCAACATGGTGAAACCTCGTCTCTACTAAAAAATATAAAAATTAGCCAGGCATGGTGGTGCATGCCTGTAATCCCAGCCACTCGGGAGGCTGAGGCAGGAGAATCGCTTGAACCCAGGAGGTGGAGGTTGCAGTGAACCGAGATTGCGCCACTGCACTCCAGCCTCGGTGACACAGCGAGACTCCATCTCAAATAATAATAATAATAAAAATTTTAAAAAGTAAAAATAGCCTTCATTATGTTTCTTATTACAGAAGTCATATATGTTCATTATGAGACAGTCAGAACATGTAGATAAGGCAAGAGCAAGCATTAATCGCCCGTAATGTTACCATCCAGAAATAAAACCTCCTAACTACCCTTCTAGTATTGCATATATGCAGCTATGTAAAGAAATACGCACATATAGAAAACATACATCTTAGTGGGACATTTGTGAGCTGTCTTTTATTTTAGCTATATGTAATGAGCATCGTGTGTGTGTGTGTGTGTGTGTGTGTGAATGTAAATTGTCATAGCTATACCACATTGTTTCAAGGCCTGTGTTGAACCACAGCCTTATTTAGACACCAAGTGGTGGTTGCCCATCTCATATTTGGTTCATTTCCATGATGCGTCTGTTTCCATGTTACTGACATGGGTTTGTGGTGCAGTGATGGGGCTACTTCTGTGTCTAGCCCAGTGGCCACAAAAGAAAATGGGAATGTCACTGAGGACGCACTTGTTATGGTTCACAAAGCATCTCCACAGCCTCTTCCCAGTGTGCCCTTGCTGTTTGAATGCGGGGCTCCCTTTTGTAGGTCAGGGACTGAGTATTTCCAGAGGCCAAGAAAAAAATGGCAATGTCAGAACCTGAATGCAGGACCTGTCTTAGCAGGGTCTCTGTTCTGCCTGGGGCGGGGACTGAATGTCAAGGGCCTCTGTCTGCTCACCCTTCACCGTGGCCCCCTCTCCTGCTTCTTCCACCACCCAGAGGAATAAACAGATGACTCTCCCTGTGCCTTTGGGGTCCCAAGGCCTTCCACCACTGGGGACTTGAGTATTTGGAGGAACCCTGGAGAAGGATTCCTTCTCCAGAAATGTCCTCTCTGTGCACACTTCTATGACAACAGCTCTTCCACTGTCTGCTTCCTTCCTTAGCCTCTGAGCCTCTTGGGCAGGGACTTTTGTTTTCTTCAATCCAAACTCTTGTATCTAACAAGGGAATTCAATAAAAATTATGCCAGTTGAATCAAGCCAATGAAGAGAGATGAATGGTGGAATCTCAGGCAATAGCTGCCTGCCAGGCTAGAGCCTGTTGGCTACTGTTTGTTTGTTTGTTTGTTTGTTTATTTATCGAGACGGAGTCTTGCTCTGTCGCTCAGGCTGGAGTGCAGTGGATCTCAGCTCACTGCAAGCTCCGCCTCCCAGGTTCACGCCATTCTCCTGCCTCAGCCTCTCAAGTAGCTAGGACTACAGGTGCCCACCACCACGCCTGGCCAATTTTTTTTTTTTTTTTTTTTTTTTTTAGTAGAGACGGGGTTTCATCACATTAGCCAGGATGGTCTCGATCTCCTGACATCATGATCCACCCACCTCGGCCTCCCAAAGTGCTGGGATTACAGGCGTGAGCCACCGCGCCCAGCCTGGCTACCGTATATTAAAGATTTCTTATGCTTTTGTGACATTATACAGATTACAGAGGGCTTTGCTCACATCCACTGTCTTGTAAGGTAGGCTGAGTTTAGATGATAATGATTTGGTTTCACAATTAGAATGATTTTTTACTTCTTGCATTCACTTTTCTTCTGGATCCTATACATTTCTGGTGACACCCTCAACAGCATTGTGAATTCTTATTTTTAAATATTAATATAATGGGAGTAAATTGGTATTTCTTTCCATTAATTGATTTTTAGCAAGTTTGAACATTTTTGGAAAGTGTTCATTTCTGTTCTTCACTCATTCACATCTTGAGGTCTCAATATATTATTTTTTTATCAATTTACATGGGCACAGTCATAGTTGTGACAATTTTTCTCCAGACACTTTTTTTGAAATCAATTTGTAGTTAAGTGCTTATTTTCATGAGAGTTTAGCCTTTTAAGTCATATTTCTTGATTTTTTTCATTTCAGACTCCTCAAACAACTTTAAAGTTTAGAAAGCCATTCGTGTTAAAGATACTTGATAAGAAGAAAATCTAGTTTAGTATAGGTTTTTATGTTTTAATGTGTCATAATTTACTGTTTTAATCTACCTGGAGGCTATTTTGATGCTAGCTATAAAGTGAATTATGAAGACTTGAAGCTACCTTTTCCTTCCCCAAATTAAAAATTAAAAGCAGTCTTTCAATTTCTACCTATTGGTTTATCTTTGCCATCTACACACACACACACACACACACACACACACACATTATTCTAAGTCATCTTCAGGTATTAAATGTAATAAATAAATAAATAAATATCTAGGTATCTATTTCTACTGATAGTTGATGTTGCACGTAAGACCATTGAGACACAGAGAGGCAAATTAATTTTCATGGACTCACCCAGTGAGTTACTGGAACATCTACGAGGAAAACCCATTTCTGTGGATTCTTAACTCAATGCTGTTTCATTGATTTCATCCATTCTCTCAAAAGAGGTTACAACTAACGTCACTTGTTTCCACACTCTGTCTTTCCAATTAGACCTACATTGTCTAATACCATAACCACCAACATGTGGCTGTTGAGAGTTTGAAATATGGCTAGTTCAAATTCAGATAGGCTGCAAGTATCAAATGCGCACTGATTTTTGAAGACTTGATGTGGGAGAAAAAGAACACAAAATGCAAAATTAATAGCTTTTGTAGTAATTACGCATTGAAATGATAACATTGGATTAATGGATCAAATAAAATTTGTAATTAAATTTAATTTCAACTATTTCTTTTTACATTTTAATATAACTCCCCCCAAATCAAAAATTACATATATGGCTTGTATTATGTCTCTATTGGACAGTGCTGAAAACCAGATTAACTTTAAATAGGCATTGTAATTTTTTTGTTTTTATTCTTTTTTTTCTCGCCACTTTATCTTAGTAATTAGCACAGTTTCTAGTGTATAATAAATATTTATATTTATTATACCCACCGAATATTTGTCAAATGAATGAGTGTGTGAATAAGGGAATGACACAACTACAACCCCATCCGCTTGTGAAAGGACATGATTCTCAAAAGTCATGATGGTGGTTTTCTCTCCAAGTTTAAAGGGGTTGGCTAGGCCACATGATCATAATCAAAAGGGTCCCTTAGTCACTAGGGATCCACAGGGAGCAATCTAGGATGGCCCATGAACTCCGGCCATGGAGGCAGCTTGTTTGAGAGCCCCTTATGCCATGATTCTAATCACACTTGGCGGATCTTAAGTTCCTACTCACACAATGTTATTTGCTCTATCGCACTCTTTCTCTTTCAGTTATCACCCCGCAATTCAGACCCCTCTTATCATGCACTTCCTCAACTTCTCTTTTAAGCAGGAAGCTGGAGGTAGCGGAGCCCAGGACACATGTGAGAGCAGAATGTGGTGGGAAGAGCATGCAAAGCAGAGGCCAGGATACATGTGAGAGCAGAATGTGGTGGGAGGAGTGTGCAAGGTGTAGGGTCCCGGGGTCCGGGAAGGATGAGGTTGGCAAGAGGAGAAGCTGCAGGATCAGCAGGGCCTGTGAGTCATCTCTCTCAAGGGCACTACGATGACAATGAAAGCTTCCAGAAGGGGAATGACACATTCAAATTACCCTTTCTGACAGCTCCCTGGGGCTGCTGCATGGAGCATGGATGGAGACACACAGGAGGCTGGTGCAATCTCATGGTGGCCTGCCAAGCAGGGTCCGTGTCCACGGAGCCAAGCAGGCAGACTAGAGAGCGTTTAGGTGCCCAGGAGGGATATGGGTTCCTGGCGTGAGAGCAGGGTGGCTGGAGGAGCTTCATAAGTATTTGCTGTCTGGATGCTTGGATGGGCGGATGCTTAGATAGTGGATAGATGGTTAGATGCTGTGCTTTCTTCAGACCTCTGTGCCTTAATACTCTGTTCACCTTGGGTGTCCTAAGTCCCCATGGTACTTGACAATTTGTCTCCAGCCTCCTTTCACTCTCTTTTTCCAAGCTCCCTCCTTTGGGTGCCCACAGCATCCTGCAGTCACCTCTAAGCTCTCCACTAACGTTGTCGCCTGACTTCTCTGTCTCCGTATACTTTAATAATGGAGGGGCCCTGGCCTTTCTTTTCTTTGTGCTCCTAGTGTCTGGCTTATAGAGGATATTCAGTTGGTGTATGTTGAATGAACGGATATGTTAAAATAATATCCAAATTCACCAGATTATAGTCTCCATGACAGCAAGAGCCACACCTGCCTTAGGCATCATCCTGTCCTCATGTCTGCCTGTGACACACACTGGCCTTATGCAGAGGTAGAATCAGAACTTTCTTAAAGGGTAAGATATGAAAAATTTCTCAGAACAAATCTGTGCTCCTAAGAAACTGCTCTAGGACCACACTATTCTTCATTCTTGCTACATCTACTGTAAGTAACTGGGAGAGAGACCTTTTTCTATTGAGGGCTTTGGGACTTGGCACACTCACTTATGCACTTCTTCATTTTCTCATTCATTCCTTAATTTATTTATTTTTTCACCATCTTTCAATCTCCTGTGGTCACAAAACCCCCGGTGTTGATATGCTGGTTCTGGACATCGTCCTCCATCAATCAAGCAGGGTGATGGCAGAGGTGGCGTCCAAAACTCAGGATGTCCTGAGGGTGCGTTCCTTGCCCAGATGTCATTCCAAACAACACAATCTGTCTTCATATTCCTAAAGACCTCTGCGAGAAGCAATAGTCATAGGTGCCTTAGGGGAAGAGATGTAAGCCTCCTGAGAAAGACTCCCCTCAGCCAGAGGAAGGCTGCTCTGTGAGTTGGGGTACTCTGCTCCATGGGTATAAGGAACTTCCTAGGGGCTGGCTGTGGACCTGGCTGAGCTGCTGCACAGCCATCTATCATGTAGGTCACAGGCTGGGAGAGGTGAGCTCTGATGCCCATTCTAACGCAAAGTTTCTTGCAATGTCACTTTCCCTTAATCTACCTTTCATGTTTTTCAATTAATGTTTTAGCATCTTGAATGGAGAAGCTGTGTTTCATAAAGCCATTGCCATGGTCCAAAATATGTTAAGTTTGAATCTTTGCTCATTAACTGTGTGACGACATGGGAGCTGCACAACCTCTCTGAGTCACCTTCCTCCTTCCTCAGTGAGGAGACCCATACCTCCCTCGTGGTTTTCTGTGTATGTGAAAACACCCAGTACTGCCTTTGGGACAGAATCCCGTTCATGGACTCCCAACTCTGTCATTTATAGCTGAGTGACTTCGAAGAAAATAATAGAATTCACCTTTGGAATTCCATTAGTTGATATATGCAAAGCTTTTAGAACAACACCTGCCACATGTAACATATGAAGCATTATATAAATGTTAGCAATGATTATTATTTGTATGTGCCCTTCTAACACCCTGTATGTCCCAGTGAGTCCTAATTAGGGCATCTTTGCATTGCCTATCTTCATCTGTCCAGTCCCCCATCTGCAGCAGTGCCTTCCTGCCCCATTCCCACCCCAGATCCTGGCAGAGCCCGGATCACAACAAAAGCTTAAGTCATCCACAGAAATTACTGAAGGAAGAGGCTGCTGTCACCTGTCACTCAGCTCCACAGCACCATGTCCAGCTCAAGGACAGCTGGACTTCCCAAGAGCACTATCTGAGGAGTCCTCCCTTTGGGCCAGCACCACCACATTAGACATCTCCAGGGGGTACCAGGACTCATGCACATTGGCGTCTCCACAAATGGGACCCAAGGGACACTGTTTTTTGGGTGAATGCTCTCCATGGGAGCTGTGGGACCTCAAGGCCCTGACTGCTGTGCCAGCCTCGTGTGCTGGGCCTCTCAGGAGCACCCAGGGATGGGCACGGGGCCTGGGTAACAAACACTTCTCTGTGAGGTGCAAGGGATTCCTGTGAAGCTGCAACTAACCATGTAAACTGAGTCTGTGTTGTTGATAAAATATTTCAGGGAGATGTGAAGTACTAGTGGCCACAGATCATTTCTGACTTCGCAGCTGGGGAGAGGTTGGTGTTAGGGCAGATGAGAAAGAGAATGCTGGGGGAGTGTCGGGAATTCCAATTAGTTCTGTGCTCAGGGCTGACCCTGTTTTCAAATACTTGACCCAAGGCATGTTTGAAGCAGGAAAATAGGGTCTGGAGGCAGGAAATATAAGGCCAATTCACACTTCAGCTGTGACAGGAAATATCCTCTCCTTAGAGCAGACACAGAGTAAATGACTTTGTAACTTTACTTCAGCCTCTTCATTTATATACGGCGTACACCAAGTAGCCAGTGGAAACCCTTAGAGGGTATTTAAACCCATGCAAATTCTGTAACAGGGCCCTTGAGCCCCTATGCTTGGGCCCACTCCCACCCTGTGGAGTGTACTTTCATTTTCCATAAATCCCTCATTCTTTCCTCACTTTGTTTGTGTGTTTTGTCCTATTCTTTGTCCAAGATGCCAAGAACCTGGACACCTTCCACCAGTAACATGTTGACATGAAGCCCTTTGTGTGCAGTTTTCCTATGGGAAAAAGGCCTCAAAGATGGGTTTACTTTCTATAACCCATGTGGAGTCCCATGCTGGGAATCTGAGGGGGCCTCTCGTGGGAAGATGCTGTGAAATACACCTAGGAGAGGGTGTGTGTGTGTGCGTGTGTGTGTGTGGTGATCGTGGTTGTAGTGGGGGGTGGAACTGTGTGTTTTGAAGTTTTGGGGATTGTATGCACTATAAACAGACTCCAGTTTGTTTAATTAAGGATAAAGGTTCATTAACTGGAAGATCCCTGGCCTGCTCAGGGACTGAAGAAGAGTTGAACAATGAAGACGCCCACAGTGCAAGAAGTGGGTGGCTTGGGGAAATGGCAGCAAGTGTTTTCGGTTCTCTGGAGATCACGGGTGGGCAACAATTTTCTGTAAGGTGCCAGGTAGTAAATAGTTTCCGCTCTGGGGCCATACTCAGTTATGCTTATCCTGTGAAAGGAGCCATAGGCTGCATGCATGAGTGTGGCTGTGATCCGATGAAACTCTATTACATATTTACAAAAACAGGCAGTGGCCGAATTTGGTCCTCAGGCAGTGGGAGCTGGCGCCTGGCCTGGACTGAAGCTATAATTAGGATGGTGATTTCCTCCCTGCGGTCACTGCACTTTTTCCATGTGGGACTCCACCTCCTCAAAGGAGTGATTCTGTTGGGGAAAGCCAGGCTGTGATTGCGTGGAGGCAGAAGCAGCTCCATCTCGGATGCTGATCTGCCACGTTGACCTCTGATTAACCCCAGTTCCGGGATGCCTCTAAGATTTGGCTTTTATCTACTCTTCCTTGCGTAAGAGCATCTACTTACCTAGTAAATCCTGCCATTAGGTTAAACTATCTTGAACATAAATCCTGCCCTTAGGCAGATTCACATTCATTCTTGTCTTTCCCTTTCCCTGAGAGGTCCACTTCAATTGTCCTACACATCTCTTCCCTGGGTCTGAAGGTAATGGCCCAGGGAGACCATGTCTCTGGAGACTGGAGCTTGTTTGTAAGTCTCTGCTAAATGTTGCTTTCTGAAAAACAATATGTCAGCCTCTTTCCCCGGCCTCTCAGCTTCCTCAGATTTTGGAACAGGTGTGCATAGGCCTACCCACCAAGACAGATCTGTTTAGTACCCTAGGCTCAAGCCAGTCAATTCACTGACTCACCACTGACCACAATGATTGGCTCAAGTTGTTCCAATCAGATTAAAGCAGGGGCTTTTGTTCAGTGAAAGAGAGAAAGGTTTTTCTCCTGATCACCTCTCCCTCTCTTTCCCTTCCTCCATCTCTTCCTCCTGTACAGGAACAGCTGATATCTGTGCAGGAGCACATGAAGTCTGACGTTTTTGTCGAGTCAGGATCCAGGGCTTCTGCCCACATCCCTTTCCAATCAAGTCACACCAGATTGAGCTAATTCCATGTCCTGAGCTCTTACTATGTGCCAAGTGCCAGTGAGTCCCAGCAGGTGGAGAGATGCATGAGCCAGAAGAAACAATTCCCCATGTCCTCAACAGCTTGTGACTGGCGAGGAAGATGGAAGCACAACCAACAAAATCACAACACAATGTGATGCAGCAAAGATGAAGCATGAGGACAAGGCATTGCCCTTGCATAGAGGAGGTGGCAGGGCTGGAAGAAGGAGGTACTGGACCAGCAGAGGTCATGTCGGAGCAGATACTTGAAGACACTGTGGCTTCACCGGGACACATGCACACAGAGAAACATGTGCAGCATCACAAAGGGTGAAAAACCCTGGTGTGCTCAGAGATCCCTCTTCGTATCTTTCATAGTCTACCTGCCAAAGTGAGACCTGGGCTTCTTTAGAATGACAGACCCAAAGAGGTGCCTCAATGCCATCACTCAATAGCTGATTGAAGCCCCAGCCAGCAGATGCTGGGAGCAGCTGACCTTGGCCGAGCCCATTGATGGCAGAGGTAAGGAGCTGGCTCTCCAGGACAGATGTCCTCAGGTTACATGTGCAGCCGTCAGGCTTCTGCCTGAGCCACCTCCAAGCAAATCTGCAGCCTTCTGGACTCTGTAATGCACTGCATGAGGCTGGGTTGATGTCAAATAAACTTGCATCCCAATTCTGGCCCAGAAATTTTTCATCTGTGTGACCCTGGGCAAGTCACTTTATGTCCCTGACTGCAGTTAGCTTATATGCACAAAGAGGTTATTTAAATCCGTCTCCAAGAGTGGTTGTGGGGCTGGAAACATGTGTATAGCCAGTCTGGCACACAGTGGAGCTTAGTAGCTATGAGAAAGGAATGTTACTAATCCCGTAAGGCTGGTGCGGGGGTGTGCAAGGACTCCTTGGAAGCAGAGGTTGGCAAGGGCCAGAGCTTCAGAACCTGTGGAAACAGGTGAAGACTTCTTTGAGAAATCAAGTCTGTCTACTCTCCCGGGCTGCTTGAGTCATCGGTTGACCCAGATGTAGCCTTGGGCAGGTATGCCACCATCTTTACCCCTGCGTGACACTCCTAACAAGCCAGGACTCTACACCTGTGTGGATGAGATCACCACCAACCCACGCACACCTCCTCCCAGGACAGGTCCTGACCTTTGACCTTTGGGCTCCTCCCAGAGCTCTTCCAACCACCTGTAAACCAAAAATAAAATTCTAAGCCTCCCAACCAACTGTTGGACCTTCATCTTGGCCAAAAGCATTCCAAAATAAACCCGAAAATCTAGTTCAAGCCATGATGGGAAGGGAAGGTCAGACATACCTCATGATACCCTCATCCCTTTGGAATTCAGGCACAACTGACCAGCATTAGCATGAAAACAAAGATCTTTAGAATGACAAAACAGAATATTTGGTAGCAATAAGATACCAAATTCCAACCTAATTCTAATATAGTATCACATGAAAAATAGCAGGCCCTGAAAGAAATTTTACCACAAAAGTATTTTACCACAAAACAGATGTCTTTGGCTGTTTTTTTTTTTTAAGATTCTTGCTTTGCGCAGGCTGTAGTGCAGTGGCAGGATCTTGTCTCACTGTAACCTCTGCCTCCCAGGTTCAAGTGATTCTCCTGCCTCAGTCTCCCAGGTAGCGGGGATCAGAGGCTTGCACCACCACACCTGGCTAATTTTTGTATTTTTAATAAAGAAGAGGTTTTGCCATGTTGGCCAGGCTGGTCTCGAACTCCTGTGTTCATGAGATACTTCAGCCTCAGCCTCCCAAAGTGCTGGGATTACAGGTATAAGCCACCGCGCTTGGCCTCTTTCACATATTTTGAAATGGTCTGTGAAACTGTCCCTTGAGGAGAAAATGTACTTTCTATGGAGAATCTCCTTCTGTTTCCAGGTCTTTTCGCTTATCCAGGAGAGAATTAACTGAGTCTGGCACCTTTTAAAATCTGATGAGAATATTTACCATCCATTCTCTCTGTACCCTGCTACCTGGAGGTTTTATCTGCAAAATAAGAACCTTGGACTCCACAATCCCTTACTTAACCTAGACTCTCCTTTCTATGGATTCCAGGTCTTTAGATAATAACTTAACCCTTTCAGCCAATTGACCCACCCTCTTCAAGTTGTCCTGCCTTTCCAGACCAAACCAGTGTGCATCTTACATGTATTGATTGATGTCTCCCCAGCATGTATAAAACCAAGCTGTCGCCTGACCACCTTGGGCCCACGTTCTCAGGATCTCCTGGGGCTGTGTCATGGGCCATAGTCACTCATATTTGGCTCAGAAGAAATATCTTCAAATATTTCACAGTTTGACTCTTTTCATAGACATGTTGAAATGCCTGAATGCTGGGACTTCAACCATGCACCATGTATATCTGTTTAAAATATGTATTTGTTTTAAAAATTAATTCAATTAATTACAAATAGATTAATTGATATTTCTGTTTTTAAAATTAAGCCTGATACTATTGAAACAAACAAACAAACAAAATACAGCTTAGATGGGCCAGGACATCCCTGCTGTGGAGGAAGGCTGTTTGAAAGAGCCTTTACCATGCATAGCTTGGTGGGGCAGCTTTCACAAAACCTCCACATTCCTTGTATATGGCTGCATCCACATTTCCAATGAACGGCATGGGTAGAATGGATTGCACTGAGCCTCTCTGGACACTGATGGACTTAGCAGCAAGGCCATTATGCTATTTGATGTTTGGAGGTGGAGGGCCCCCAGGGGTGATTTGTTGTCATTGTTGGGTACTGACTCCTGCATTTGTGGCCAGAGCATTTTCACAGTTTCACAGTTGCGCTCCACTCTGCAGGCTTGTCAGCAGCCTCTGCAAATTGCAGGTCGCCTCCCTCAAGTTGCTAAACCTTGAAAAGAGCAGGACCTCAGCTGCCCAGACAGAGAGTGGTGTCTTTTTCCAAACCTATGGCCAGCTGGGTGGGTGCCCCAAAGGAGCACTGGGGGTTCAGTGAGATGTGAATTCAAGTTCTAGAATGTTCTCATTATGTGCAACCAAGGGGCTGCCTCTTGGTGGCTGTTGCCGCTTTCCTTTCCCTTAGATGTGGTGGGAAGAGCCCCACTGCAGGGCGAGGAGCCAGGGGAGAGGAACAGAGCCTTTCTTAGCCCCAGAATTGTGGCCTGAGAGACCCCAGTAATGCCAACTAACACCAGGCGGGATCCTAGGATTGTCACATGCGAGACTCATAACAGGGGCTTAAGTGAGACCACGTGCTCTGCTGGCTATCCTGGGTCTGTGAGAACATTGACTGAGGTCCCAGGTGACAATGGCTTGCTATGCCCAGCTGGCGGATGGTGAGAAGAGGCCTCATTGAAACCACCTATCGCATCCAGGATCTTTACCGCAGGACCTCTGAGCCACAGAGTGGGGTAGGGGAGCTCTGGGGAACACAGATAGCTTTATAGCTTCTGCTTAGACAATAACTATCTCTCAGGGCTGGGGGAGCCCAGGGCAGCCCGTGGGGCTCCACAGGGAAGCACCAAGAGAAGTTCCCTGGGTGGCCTTAGAACCAATCTTCCCTCCTTTCTCAAGTACATGCAATGTGCTGTGGGAGGCCCTGGAGACGCACTGCCCTTCTACTGCAATCTGTTTAATGATTAACTTCTTTTAGCTCTCTGGACATGTTGAGGGTGGGAGGGGTGTCACCAAATTGTAAATCATCCAGCTGAGGTGAGTGATTTTTGCACCGGACATTGTGCCAGGCATGGGGGTAAATGAGGCCCCCTGCCTGGCCCCCTCTTCTGGGTGCACAGTTGACTGCACAAAAATATGCTCTGCAACAAAGGATCAAAACAAGCCCAGAGAAGAGAGGGTCTCTAAGGGGATGACTGTGTGAGCTCAGCTCCTGGCTGGGCCTTGTTGGGGGGATACAAGAAATGAGTACATCTTTTGTGCCCTCTGTTGGTGTGGATCCGAACCTTCTGGCTGCGTGGAGTCATCATTTAATATTTATTTATTTATTTGTTTTTTCTTTGAGACAGGGTCTCACTCTGTTGCCCAGGCTGGAATGCAGTGGTGTGATCACAGCTCACTGCAGCCTCTGCCTCCTGGGCTCAAGCAGTCTTCCCACCTTAGCCTCCTGAGTAGCTGGGACTACAGGCGCACACTACCATTCCTGGGTAATGTTTTAAAATGTTTTGTAGAGATGAGGTCTCACAATGTTGCCCAGGCTGGTCTCCTGGGCTCAACCGATTCTCCTGCCTCAGCCTCCCAAAATGCTGGGAGCACTTTGGCCACCACACCTGGCCATCATTTAGTATTTAAACAATTATCCCATGTAGAGGTAAAAACCCAGACTTCTCCCTTACTTCGAAAGTTTCAAGGATTCTCAGAGACTTCCTCATTTCCTCAGTTTCTCTTGTACCAGTTCTATGCTTTAACATTAAATTAGTCATCCCAAATACATTTTCTTTCTTTGTCTTGGTTTGGGTCCCCTAACACCCTGAGATGATAACTCGGTGCAAGTTTTCTGTTTGAAAAATCATCCCAGGAAACACTAGTCCTGTAATTGAAGGGGCTACGTTGTCTGGAGTATATAAGCTGGGGTTCATTGTCATGCGCCAGGAAAATTTAGGACATGGACACGCATGAGCAGTTTAGGAGCGGAGGTTTAATAGGTGGAAGAGAAGAGAAAGAGAAATAGCTTACTCTATAGAGGAAGGGGTCTCTCAACGTAAAGGACCGGCTGGTGGCAAATGCGCTGAGTTTTATAGTTCACTTTGAGGACGTGGTGTCAGATTTACGTGGGGCTCACAGATTAGCTAGATCAGGTATGACGTTTACATAGTGCGCAGGGAAGGCTGGTCGCCCACCCTGATCTTCTTATGCAAATGGGCTTTCCAGTTGATCCGTGCCATCTTATCTGCTCCTTACAATACACCTGGCTGGCAGAGAAGGGAAGATGGAGCCTCCATCTTGAAAATATCTAGTCCTTAGTTCCTACCGGCATTCACCCGTGCAAGCTCCCAGCTTGCAGGCTGCTCTTTGTTAGAAAATGATTTGGGGCTGCTTTTCATTAAAAAGAATAGCATTACTGAGGACTCCCATGCCCTTACTATCTGCCTAAGTAATTTATTCTTAACTCCTGTATCATAAGGATGTGGGGAGGTGGCGAGGGAAAGAGGGTCACTTAAGGGTGCGTTATGAAGCCAGGTACTACTGTGGGCAGCTGATCTCAGTCCACTGGGGGCTCTGAGAGATTACATAGAATGTGATGCAAAGTTGTCTCCACTGAGGGGCAAGGAAGCTCGGATATTTATCCTCCACTTCTTCTGTCCGTCGCTGGCTGAGGGCTGATTCTGGGGCCTAATGCAGGCTGATGTGGGTGGCCTCTAGAAGCTGGAAAAGGAAAGTCCTCCCCTGGGGAGTTCAGAGGCCTTAGAGGGAGCAGCAAAGGTGACAGCTATCTACAATGTCATGCAAAATGTGACATAGTATGAGCGAGGGCGGACAGCCTTGGGAACCAAGAAGGGTTCTTGCACCAGCCCGTGGGTGCTGAAGAAGCTCGCTACAAAGATGAAGTAGCTGAGCTCCTTCTGAAAGTAAACTGGGGGTCAGCCAGGGGTGAAAGGCTGCCCTGGGATGATGGACTCCCAGGGGACGTCGTGGAGGAGCCGCATCAGAGAGAAACAGCACAGTGTATTAGGAATACATAGGTGACTTACCCAACACTGGAGGCCTGGTGGGGGCTGAGGCGGGAGGTGAGGCTCAGGGGGTCACCAACACCAGGTGTGAAGCACTGGGGCAGCAGGAAGAGCGGGGCACTCCAAGGAACAATGGGGCCAGGTGTGGGGTCTTGGCATCCTCGTTACACCCAGTTGAGTTTGGGAGAAGGAAGGGGAGGGTGGGGTCACTCTCCCTCTTGGATCCCCCATCACATTGTGCTCGGCAGCTGGGCAGTGCCAGCCCAGGGCGCAGTGCTTTATGAATATTCACCCGCTTACTTTTCAGAACCACTTTGTGGAGTAAATGGTATTATTTAATCCACTGCACAGATGAGGAAACTGAAGCACGAGGATATTAGATTACTTTCTTGAGGTTAACATTGTTGAATAGAGATGTGGTAGACCGAATAATGTCCCTCACAAAGATGTCCATGTCCTAATTCTGGAAACCTCTAAATATGTTATTTCACATGGCAAAGGGACTTTGCCGACGTGATTAAGTTAAGAATCTTGAGACGGAGGAATTATCCTAGATTATTTGACTGAGCCCAATGTAATCACAGTGGTCTCTACAAGAGGAAGGCTGGAGCGGCAGCATCGGTGGGGATGTGATAACAGAAACAGTGTTAGGAGTGATGCAGCCACAAGCCAGGAAATTCAAGCAGCCTCTGGAAGCTGCAGAAGCAAGGAACATGTCCTCTCCTAGAGCCCCAGAAGGAACCCCGTCTTACTGATACTTTGATTATAGCCCCCTAAGTCCATTTTGGACTTTCTGAACTTCAGAACTATAAGATATTCAATTTATGTTGTTTTAAGCTGCAAAGTTTGTGAAAATCTGTTACAACAGCAACAAGAAAGTAATACAATATGTAATGGGCTCCATTCTACCTAGTAGATGGAGTGTGGGTTCCCTATGTGACACTGAGGTGGGAAGACAGACGTGTAAAGGACAGATTCATTGCACAAGTAAGCCTCTGGGATGCCCTAAATTCTAAAGCCTTTGGCGTAATAGTCGTGATCCGTTACAATCTTTCTGAATTGCCATGTTCCCCACCTTCCCCCTGCTAACTTTCCCCAGCCCCTGGCATTGCGGCTTCCCCTGGTGAGGACATGCTATTCATCTGCGCCTTGAATGCTCAGCCCTCAAAGCTCATCCCGCTGGTTCCTCTACCTGGAGATTGCTTTTCCCCAGGTTCAATTTACTCAAATCATTCTTGTCTTTCGAGGTTAAGGACAGCAGGAGGTTTTTATACTTCTTGGACAATAGGACTCGGTCTTTTGGGAACTGGACTATTTAAAGCATTTGAACTTCTAAAAATCCTATAGAGGATTATGGAAGACTTTGTTCCTCGCCAGCTATGGGGTTGGCACACATCAGATTTTTAAATTAGAGATAGTCTAGAATGCTCCTAGGTGGGCGTGAGGGGTAGGAGAAAGGAGAAAGTATTGTTATTGAACACCTCTTTCTGCCAGGTGCTGCAGGGGCCCTTCTTCTTTTTGTGCTT
This sequence comes from Homo sapiens, assembly GCF_000001405.40. Lineage (NCBI taxonomy): Eukaryota > Metazoa > Chordata > Mammalia > Primates > Hominidae > Homo > Homo sapiens. Next base: position 133,775,363 of record NC_000008.11, read on the forward strand.
CTTATCCAGGTTGACGAGCACATGGTTAACAGAATGCGCTCCAGAGCCAGAATGTTCAGCTTCAAATTCGAACGTTGCCAGCTTCTAGCTATCTAACCTAGGGCGACATCTTATCTCTATTCTTTCCTTTCCTCATCTATAAAATGAGAATAACAGCATAGGCCTTGTTGTGAGGATCACACAGTTAATGCATTTTAATATTATTTTTATTTTATTTTATATGAGAGAGGATCTTGCTTTGTAGCCCAGGCGGGAGTGCAGTGGTGTGATCATGGCAACCTTGAACTCCTTCATGCAACCTTGAACTCCTGGGCTCAAGCGATCTTCCCACTTCAGCCTCCCTTGTAGCTGGGACTACAGGTGTGCACCACCACACCCTTCTGATTTTTTGTAGTGATGGAGGGTTATCACTATGTTGCCCAGGCTATTCTCAAACTCCTGGGCTCAAGCGACCCTCCTGCCTGGGCCTCCCAAAACGCTGGGATTACGGGTGTGAGCCTCTGTGCCTGGCCCATTTTTAGCACTCTTCAAATGGTCTCTGGCATCTGGAGGATGTGAAATAGCTGCTAGTTGTTATAATGATGATCATCAATGTCATAGTTACAGCATCCTTATTTCTTACTCCACGAAAAAGATTTATTGTCATCTCTATTTTGGAGGTGACAAAACTGAAGCTCACAGAGGTCAATTGCATGCCCAAAGCCACATGGAGAGCGGATCAGAGATGGCTTTCAATACCAGAGCTCTCTTTTAGTGCCGAGCAATTTCTGAAACTTTATTTTCCTCTGTACGTCCAGGACACACAACACTTGGGCTGTCTCTTCCCAGTGATCCGATTCCCAGGCCCTTGGGCTCTGTCAGTTCCAATTCCCAGCATGCTCAGAGGCTCTGTCCTTCGATAATGAGTTCTCTGTCAATTACCAGCTCCTGCCCAGCAGCCTCCGGGGCAGTGTGGGCCAATTGTCCTGTCAGGCTGGGGGCTGAGCAGAGCGTCTCAACTTGGGCAGCTACTCAGTGGTCAATCACAATCTAAAACAGAGACATCAGGGTGGCCTTATGCCCGGTGATTTCTGGAAACCAGCCAGCCCTTCTCCCCAATAAGACACTCAATTTCTCAGCATGCAGTTTTCTACCAGACTTTTTATGCTAAGCCAGGCTAGTCCTGATTGTAATTGGTTCTGGCTAGTTCCCGTAGGAGCTGTTAAATCTTTTATTTGCTCACTATCTGGGGAAGTCCTCCACCTTTGGGAACTAACCCTTACACCCCTAAGAAAAGGTGTCTCCCCTGACCCTTGCTAGAACATATTCTTTCACTCCTGTCCCACCTCACCCCAGGCATCAGCAGTATCTTTAAATGGACATTATTTTTAATCTTCTAGAAAAACTAGTGTGCCCTGATTTCTTTGGTAGACTTTAAGCCTAGGGCTCCAAACATCTGCTTCTCTGTAGGGAGTATTTGCTGGCAAATCAACCTTCTATTCAATAAGAACTAGCCAGTAGAAGCCCTGCCAAATTATCCTTGTGCTTTCTACAGGTTTCATTGGAAGTTTATGGTGTTCAACATGCGTGGTCACTAAGTTTAAATGGTGCATTGATTTAGGATTTACCTCTTAGCTGGAGATGGTTTCTCATCAGCCCAGGATCCTAGTAACGGCACAGAGCTGGAGCTGTCTGTGGTCACAAAACACTTGTCACAGCTATGATCCTATTTGGTCCTGAGAGTAAGTCTTCAAAGTAGCGGTTATTTTTATCTCTGTTTACCAGATGAGGAAATGGGGCTCAGAATGGTTAAATAATTTGCCCCAAGGCCAAAGAGTTATGACAGACCCAGGATTTGAACCTGATGTCATTTGAATGCCAAGCTTCTTGTTCTTTTTACTGTGTCCATTTTCAATTGTCTGTTCATTTATTCCAAGCCTATTTATTGAGAGCTTACCAGACAATGATCTAGGCCCCAGGAGCCCAGCAGCAATGAAATGGTTTCCACCCTGGGGGAGAAAAGCAATGAACAGACAATATTGGAAAGTGGTAATTGCTCTGCAGAGGATTTAAATAAGGTGAGGCTGGTGGAAGTGTAAACTGGGACAGGCTCTGTAAAGAGCAATTGGGCAATAGCTATCAACATTTAAAATGTGCATCGACTTTGATGTGGCAGTTTGGCTCCTAGGAAATTTATCCTACAAACATGTTAGCACATATGCAAAGCAGCTCATATGTGTACAAGGATATTCACTGCATCACTGAACTAGCAAAAAAAAGGGGAAATAATGTAAATGTCCATCAATAGAGAATACAGTGTATCCCTACAATAGAGCCCTCTGGAACTATTAAAAAGAGTAAGGCAATTTCTAAATAGATAGATGGATAGAGATACAACACAACATCTAAGATGTTTTGTGAAGTGAAAAAAGCATCTTATAGAACAGCATATTGAGTGTGCTGCCATTTAATTATGGGAAAAATCAAACAAAAGAATACATGTATGTTATTAATCACATAGCCCACATGAAGAAAGACTATTTGAGAAAGTAGGGACAAGAGTTACCTCCAGGGACTATTGGGATGGCTGGAGAAAGGAGAAGGAAAAAAATGTTTGCTTTTTTCCCTCCTTGTATAACCTTTGGTATCTTTTGAATGTGCATGCACTGATTATTCCAGAACATACGTTAAATTTATTTGTTGTTATTATTATTTCAATAATTTTCGGAGAACAGGGGGTGTTTGGTTACACGGGTAAGTTCTTTAGTGGCGATTTCTGAGATTTTGGTGCATCCGTCACCTGAGCAGTGTACGTTGTACCCAATGTGTAGTCTCTTATTCTTCACCTCCCCTCCCAATCTTCCCCCCAAGATTTCAGAGGTCATTATATGATTCTTACACCTTTGCATCCTCATAGCTTATATCCCACTTATAAGTGAGAAAATATGATATTTGATTTTCCATTCCTGAGTTACTTCACTTAAAATAATGGTCTCCAACTCCATCCAGGTTGCTGTGAATGCCATTATTTTGTTCCTTTTAATGACTGAGTAGTATTCCATGGTATGTATATACCACACATTTTCTTTATCCATATGTTGATTGATGGGCATTTGGGCTGGCTCCATATTTTTGCAATTGTGAATTGTGTTGCTATAAACATGCATGTGCAAGCATCTTTTTCATATAGTGAATTCTTTTCCTCTGGGTAGATAGCCAGTAGTGGGATTCCTAGATCAAATGATGGATCTACTTTTAGTTATTTAGGGAATCTCCACACTATTGTCCATAGTAGTTGTACTAGTTTACAGTCCCACCAGCAGTATAAGTGTTTCCTTTTCACCATATCCACGCCAACATCTATTATTTTTTGATTTTTTAATATGGCCATTTTTGCAGGAATAAAATGTTATCACATTGGGGTTTTGATTTGTATTTCCCTGATAATTAGTGATGTTGAACATTTTTTTCATATGTTTATTGGCCATTTGCATATCTTCTTTTGAGAATTTTCTATTCACGTCCTTAGCCCAGTTTTTGATGAAATTATTTGTTTTTTTCTTGCTGATTTGTTTGAGTTTCTTATAGATTCTGGATATTAGTTCTTTGTCGAATGCATAGTTTGCAAAGATTTTCTACCACTCTATGGGTTGTCTGTTTACTCTGCTGATTATTTCTTTTGCCGTGCAGAAGCTTTTTAGTTTAATTAGGTTCCATCTGTTTATCTTTGTTTTTGTTGCATTTGCTTTTTGGTTCTTTGTCATGAACTCTTTGCCTAAGCCAATGTCTACAAGAGTTTTTCTGATGTTATCTTCTAGAATTTTTATGGTTTCAGGTCTTAGATTTATGTCTTTCATCTATCTTGAGTTGATTTTTGTGTAAGGTGAGAGATGAAGATCCAACTTCATTCTTCTACCTGTGGCTTGCCTATTATCCAAGCACCGTTTGTTGAATAGGGTGTCCTTTCCCCACTTTATGTTTTTGTTTGCTTTGTCAAATACCAGTTGGCTGTAAGTATTTGACTTGATTTCTGGATTCTCTATTCTGTTCCATTAGTCTAAAAACATGCCTATTTTTATACCAGTACCGTGCTGTTTTGGTAACTATAGCCTCGTAGTAAAATTTGAGGTTGGGTAATGTGATGCCTCCAGATTTGTTCTTTTTGCTTAGTCATTTTTTAGCTGCGCAGGCTTTTTTGGTTCCACATGAATTTCAGGATTGTTTTTTCTAGTTCTGTGAATAATGATGATGGTATTTTGATAGGAATTGCTTTGAATTTATAGATTGCTTTTGGCAATATGGTCATTTTCACAACATTGATTTTATCTATCCATGAGCATGGGATGTGTTTCCATTTGTTTGGGTCATGTATGACTTCTTTTAGCAGTGTTTTGTAGTTTTCCTTATAGAGATTTTCACCTGTTTGGTTAGGTGTATTCCTAAGTATTTTATTTTATTTTATTGCAACTGTTGTAAAAGAGGTTAAGTACTTTATTTGATTCTCAGCTTAGTTGCTGTTGTTGTATAGCAGTGCTACTGATTTGTGTGCATTGATTTTGTATCTGAAACTTTACTGAATTCATTTATCAGATCTAGGAGCTTTTTGGATGAGTTTTTAGGGTTTTTGAGGTATACAATCATATCATTGGCAAACAGTGACAGTTTTTACTTCCTGTTTACCCATTTAGATACTATTTATTTCTTTCTCTTGTCTGCTTGTTCTGGCTAGGACTTCCAGTATGATTTTGAATAGAAGTGGTGAAAATGGGCATCCTTGTCTTGTTCCAGTTCTCAGGGGGAATGCTTTCAACTTTTCCCCATTCAGTGTAATGTTGGTTGTGGGTTTGTCATAGACGTCATTTATTACCTTAAGGTATGTCCCTTCTATGCTGATTTTACTGAGAGTTTTAATCACAAAGCGATACTGGATTTTGTCAAATGCTTCCGGTGCATCTATTGAGATGATCATAAGAGTTTTGTTTTTAATTCTGTTTGTGTGATGAATCGCATTTATTGACTTCTGTATGTCAAACCAACTCTGCACCCCTGGTATGAATTCTACTTGATTATGGTGGATTATATTTTTGGTATGTTCTTCAATTCAGTTAGCTAGTATTTTGTTGAGGATTTTTGCATCTATGTTCATCAGGGATGTTGGTCTGTAATTTTCTCTTTTTGTTATGTCCTTTGCTGGTTTTGGTATTAGGGTGATAATGGCTTCACAGAATAATTTAGGAAGGATTCCCTGTTTCTCTATCTTTTGAAATAGTTTCAGTAGAATTGATACCCATTCTTCTTTGAATGTCTGATAGAATTCAGCTGTGAATTCATCTGGTCCTGGACTGTTTATATTGGCAATTTTTTAAATTACTGTTGCAATCTTGCTATTGTTATTGGTCGGTTCAGAGTTTCTATTTCTTCTTGGTTTAATCTAGGAAGGTTGTATATTTCCCGGAATTTATCTATCGCTTCTAGGTTTCCTAGTTTGTGTGCATAACAATGTTCCTAGTAGTTTTGAATGATCTTTTTTATTTCTGTGCTATTGGTTGTAATATCTCATGTTTCATTTCTAATTGAGCTTAGTTGGATCTTCTCTCTTCTTTTCTTAGTTAATCTTGCTAATGGTGTATCGATTTTGTGTATTTTTTAAAAGAACCAGCTTTTTGTTTTATTTCTCTCTTGTATTATTTGTTGTTGTTTGCTTCAATTTAATTTGGTTCTGCTCTGATCTTTGTTATTTCTTTTCTTCTGCTGGGTTTGGGTTTTTTGGTTGAACAAAAGAAATGATTTGTTTTTTTCTTGTTTCTCTAGTTCCTTGAGGTGTGAGCTAAGAGTTTCTATTTGTGCTCTTTCAGACTTTTTAATGTAGACATTTAATGCTATAAGCTTTCCTCTTAGTACTGCTTTTGCTGTATCCCAGAGGTTTTGATAGGTTGCGCCACTATTGTTGTTCAGTTCAAAGAACTTTTTAATTTCCATCTTTATTACATTGTTGACCCAGAGATCTTTCAGGAGCAGACTGTTTAATTTCCATGTATTTGTATGGTTTTGAGGGTTCCCTTTGGAGTTAATTTCAAGTTTTATTCCATTGTAGTCTGAGAGAGTACTTGATATAATTTCAATTTTCTTAAGTTTATTGAGCCTTGTTTTGTGGCCTGTCATATGGTCTATCTTGGAGAATGTTCCATTTGCTGATGGAAAGAATGTGTATTCTGCAGTTGTTGTGTAGAATGTTCTGTAAATAGCTGTTAAGTCCATTTTTTTTTGTGGAGTATAGTTTAAGTCCATTGTTTCTTTTAAAACGTTGTTGCTTTAAATCTGTTTTACAATTAAATACACATTTCCCATACAATCCAGCAACCCTACCCCCAGGTTCATTCAGGAGAAATGACAACCTATATTCATACAAACACCTATATGTGAATGTTCATAGTGGTTTTATTCATAATCACCAAACAGTCCAAACTGTCCAAATGTCCTTCTACTGGATAATGGATAAACAAAGTATGATACATGCATATAGTAAAAAAAAAAAGTTCGTTTTGTCTGATACAAGAATAGCTACTCCTGCTCACTTTTCCATTTGCATGGAATATCTTTTTCCAAACCTTTACCTTAAGTTTATGTGAGTTCTTATGTGTCAGGTGAGTCTCTTGAAGACAGCATATACTTGGTTAGTGGATTTTTATCCATTCTGCCATTCTGTGTCTTTTAAGTGGAGCATTTAGGCCATTTACATTCAATGTTAGTATGGAGATGTGAGATACTGTCCTATTCATCATTCTAGTTATTGCCTGAATACTTTTTGTTTTTTTCATTGCGTTATTGCTTTATAGGCCCCGTAAGATTTATACTTTAAGGATGTTCTATTTTGGTGTATTTTGAGGTTTTGTTTCAAGATTTAGAACTCCTATTAGCATTTCTTGTAGTGCTCATTTGGTAGTCACAAATTCTCTCAGCATTTGTTTGTCTGAAAAAGACGTTATTTCCTTCATTTATGAAGCTTAGTTTTGCTGGATTCAAAATTCTTGACTGATAATTATTTTGTTTAAGGATGCTAAAGATAGGACCCTAATCCCTTCTGGCTTGCAGGGTTTCTGCTGAGAAATCAGCTGTTAATTTAATAGGTGTTCCCTTATAGATTACCTGATGCTTTTGCCTTATAGCTCCTAAGATTCTTTCCTTCATCTTGACTTTAGATAACCTGATGACTATGTGCCTAGGTGATTATAGTTTTGCAATGAATTTCTAGGGTGTTCTTTGAGCTTCTTATATTTGGATGTCTAGATCTGTAGCAAGATCAGGGAAGTTTTCTTGATATCCCCTCAAATAAGTTTTTTAAACTTTTAGATTTTTCTTCTTCCTCAGGAATATCAATTATTCTTTTGTTTGGTCATTTAACATAATCACAAGTTTCTTGGAGGCTTTGTTCTTTTTTTTTTTATTTTGACATGTTTTACTCTGTCACCCAGGTTGGTGTGCAGTGGCACAATCTCAGCTCACTTGAACCTCTTCCTCCCAAGTTCAAGTGATTCTCCCACTTCACCCTCCCAAGTAGCTGGGGCTACAGGTGTGTACCACCCTGTCTGGCTAATTTTTGTATTTTTTGGTAGAGATGAGGTTTCACCATGTTGGCCAGTGTGGTCTCAAACTCTTGAACTCAAGTGATCCTCCTGCCTCAGCCTCCCAAAGTGCTGGGATTACAGGTGTGTTCATTTTTATTTGTCTTTATTGAATTGGGTTAATTTGAAAGCCTTGTCTTTGAGTTCTGAAGTACTTTCTTCTAGTTGTTTAATTCTATTTTTGAAAGTTCCAGTGTATTTTGCATTTCTCTAAGTCTGTCTTTCATTTCCAGAAGTGGTGATTGTCTTTTCTTTAAGATATCTATTACTCTGGAGACCTTTTCATTCATATTCTGTATTATTTTTAAATTTTTTTTAAGTTGGTTTTCACCTTTCTCTGAATCAGAGAAAGGTGAAACAGGGAAGGAGTATTAAGCTACTCTGAGTAGCTTAATAATCAACCTTCTGAATTCTTTATCTAGCAATATAGAGATTTCATTTGTTTAGATCCATTGCTCAAAAGATAGTGCAATCTTTTGAGGGTGTTATAGAACCTTGTTTTGTCATATTACCAGAATTACTTTTCTGGTTCCTTCTTAATTGGGTAGACTGTTTCAGTGGAAAGATCTGAAACTCAAGTGCTGCAGTTCAGATTTTTTTGTCCTATGAGTTGATCCCTTGATATGGTGCTCTCCCCCTTCTCCTAGTGATGGGGCTTCCTGAGAGCTGGACTGCATTGATTGTCATTGCTCTTCTGGATCTAGCCACCCAGCAGGGCTTCCAGGCTCTGGGCTGGTTCTGGGAAATGTCTGCAAAGAGTTCTGTGATGTGATTTGTGTTCAGATGTCCCAGCTGTGCTTAATAGCACCTGCTCCAGTGGAGGTGGCAGGGGAGTGAAGTAGACTCTGTAGGAGTCCTTGGTTGTAATTTTGTCTAGTGTATTGGTTTTTTCAGATGCTGATTATGCTAGCAGTGAAGTTGTTACATGGACACACTAAGGACCTCTAATTAGCCACAGTATTGTAGGTGGTGGAATTAGCTGTTGTTTTCTCCTTCTTTGGAGCAGGGTTATTCTGTTATGAGTTGCTGGAATGGCTTGAGTTGGTTGACCTCCAGCCAGGAGGTGGCACTTCAAAAAAGCACCAGCTGCAGTAGTAGAAAGGGCATATAATTCTGCCCTACATTGGCCAGGATAAGTACTGGGGTTTCTCAGGTGATGGGCAGGGCCATATTTCTTCTAACAGTTTATGTATTTTGTCTTGAGCTACTAGGGCAGATAGAGGAAAGCCATCAGGTGGGGGCAGGGTTGGATCTGAGCTCAGACTCTCCTTTGGCAGGGCTTGCTGTGACCACTGTGGGGGATTTGGGGTAGTTCTCAGGCCAGTGTTCCCATGGCGGGTTATAGCTGCCTCTATTGCATTATACAGGTCACCAGGATAGTGGGGGAAAGCCGGCATTGACAGGCCTCACCCAGCTCCCAGGCAGCCAGCAAGGCCAGCCTCACTCTTGACGTGCCCCAATGACAGCACTGAGTTTATCTCCAGGCAGCCATTGAACAAGGCTGAGATCTTGCCCCAGGTTACAAGCCTTCCTGCTGAGAAAGCAAGCAAGGCTGTCAGGCCTCACTCCTCCCCACCTACCTGCCCCTTTGGCTGTGGCTTCTGTACTCATATCTGCAGTTCCCAATTGTCCCCCCATGATTCCACTCAGGACAATTTGTGCTCAGTTGAAATTGTTACAAGGTTCAGCTAGGAGCTTCCTTCACCCTGTGGCCCCTCTCCAATTCCACTGGCTGCCTTCCCTTCTCCAAGGACCAGTGTGAGATAAGGCCAAAAATGGCTTCCCTGGGCTCAAGCTGGGGACAAGAAATGCCTATAGGGCTTTTCTCACTGCTTCTTCTACTTTTATATTTCATTTGGCTCTCTAAATCCATGTCAGCTATAAGTAAGGTTAAATCCTTCTCCCGTGATCTGGATTTTCAGGTTCCCCAATAGGAATGTGTGTTCAGAGGCAGATTTTTTTTTTCTCCCACACTTTGAAAACTCACAGATTTTTGGCTGTCCTGTGGAGTTTGCAGAGGTAAGCTGTTTCTTTCAAAGGGTCTGTGAATTCTTTGAGTTTTCCTGGTATGTTCCTGTGGTGGTTCTTGGAGCAAAAGTTCACAGTATGAGTCTCCACATACTGTTCTGTCCATCTGAGCAGGAGCTGCAGGTTAGTCCTGTCTCCTGCCCACCATTTTCTCCCTCTCTCCCATACATTAAATTTATAAAGAGGTCAGTGTGAGTGACTAGTTGTTGATCAATGAAGATTTCTCTGTAGATGTGAGGTAACAGTAAGCTTTGAATGAGAAAATGCCATATGCCAGTTAGGGGCTAAAACTTCCTGGCAGAAGGAACAGCTCATATAAAAGTCGGGAGTGTGAATGAGCTGGTCATGAGGAACTGGAAGACGACCAGTGTTGGGGAGCTGAGGAAGTGAGGAAGATAGCCACATGGGATTAGCCTAATGATATTGGCTGGGCACAGACTATATATAGATGTTTTTGTCAACCAGCTTAAGAAATTTGGACTGTTTTTCTTGTTGTTGTTTTTGAGACAGGATCTTGCTCTGTTACCTAAGCTAGAGTACAGTGGTACAATCACAGTTCAGAGAAGCCTTGGCCTCTTGAGCTCAAGGGATTCTCCTGCCTCAGCCTCCCAAGTAGCTGAGAGTGCAGGTGCATGCCACCACAACTGGCTAATTTTTATTATTATTATTTTGTAGAGACAAGGTATCACTAGGTTGCCCAGGCTGGTGTTGAACTCCTAGTCCCAAGTGATCCTCTTGCCTTAGTCTCCCAAGTAGTTGGAACTACAGGTGTGTGCCACCACACTTAGCTATTTTTTTTATTTTTATTTTTTTGTAAAGACAGTGTCTTACTATGTTGCCCAGGCTGGTCTTGAAGTTTTGGGCTCAAGTGATTCTTCTACCTCAGCCTTCCAATGTGCTAGGATTGCAGGCATGAACCACTGCACCTGGCCAGAAGTTTGGACTTTTTTCTCCCCAGTTTCCATAGGCTTTATTGGTATATACACTTTAGAAAAGAATGATTCATCCTATGATTTCCACATCAGGGGTATGGAGAGCCATGCCCAGGGATATGTCAAGCAGTGCTGCAGGGATAGCTGCTTTGTCCACCTCTTGTGCAGGGATCCAGTCCTAAGCACCAGACTTGTAGTCAGCCAATTCTTCAGCCTTCAAACATAGCCTGATTTCTTTTTCAGCACTTTTTACTGACTCACTGCCATGATATTCCTGCCAACTTAAATACAGACATCCCCGCATATGGTGCTCAGCTTAGACTGCACTGGATTGGTGTTCCCAAGCCAGGAGTTTGCATTCTGTTCCAAGGATGATGAGAAGATATTGATGGACTCTAAACAGGCAAAAGCAAGTTCTAATTTATATTTGAAAGTGATTATTCTGCTGGGGTGAATAAAGAGTTGAAAGGAACTAGAGAAGTAGTAAGAAAAACAGCTGTAAGCTACTGCATTCATCCACAGGAGATGTGATGGTGGCTTCACCAGTGGAGGAGGTATGACAATAAGGAAAATGCACAGATTTGGAGTAGGTTTTGGAGTTAGGGCAACTACACTTGCTTATTGAAAGACTGAGAGTGGGGTCTGTGCAAAAGAGAATCTCAGATAATTTCTACTGTTTTAGCTTGAGCAACTGGATACCATGTACCATGGTGAAGAAGACTTGGAAAGAACAGATCTGGAGAAGAATCAATAGTTCCATTTGGATCACATTAACTCTAACATTCCTACTGAGATCATCATTCCTCCTGAGACACAATGTCTATGTGGACATACATAGACAGTACATCTTTGTGTATAAGTAGTCATAGAGTTAGGGAGAGGTAAGGACTGGAAACAAGAACTTGAGTACTTAGATAATATTTATGACCCTGGGAACAAATAAGAGATTTTAGTGAATGAGAAAGGCCTTAGGAGTCTCCAACTTTGCCAAGTCAAGCAGAGACAAAAGATCAAGGAAATGAGACTGAAGGGGTGGGAGGAGGATAGAATCAGCCAGTGAGTTAGGGGGGATATTTGAGAAGTGTGCATGATGGAAGTCAAGAGAAGGGCAGAAGGACATGATTCTTGAAAGAGGAAGTGATCAGCCAGGTGAACTTCTGCTAAGTGATTATTGGAGAACATGCAGGAAAAAAATCTTTGTTTGGTCATGAGGACAGAAACCCAATCAAAATGAACCAAGGAGAGGACTGAAGGTGAGCAAATGAAGATGGACACACAGTTTTCAAATACCCTTCAGTGAAGGGAAGTGAATAAATGGGATGGAGCTAGAAATACTATAGAGGCAAAGAAGATTTTTGTTTGTTTTATTTGTTCTAAATTATAGAGATGCTAGAACATTTGGTATGCTAATTGGGATGATTCTGTAGAGAGGGCATGGCTTAGCATGCAGACAGGAGAAAGAGGATATAAGAGCAGGAGCAAAGTCCTTGAGTAGATGAGGTTGAATGATGTCTACAAAAACAAGTGGAGGCTTTACCTGTAAGGATCAGAGACACTTTTTTTTTCTTTCATAAGAAGAGGGAATAGTGAAAGGATGTGAGTAGGTGGTTGGGATGAGTGAAGGGAAGATGAATGGGGTTTTGTATAATTCTTTTTGTATTCTCAGTGAATTTAAGGTACACACACACACACACACACACACACATAAAGTAGCAAGCAAAGTCACAATTTGGGAATGACGTGGAGGAGGGGACATAAGGATGTAGGGGCTCAGTAAGAGAGAAGAAGATTTAAAAAATCATCACTTTGGAAAGTAGAAAGAGTGGCAGGAACTCAGGAACATTTTGCATGCTGCCTGAAATCTGTTACCCTGAATTTAGAGTTAGGTCAGTCAGCAAGGTAGTGTGTTTTCCTCCAGCAATATTGGATATCAAAGAGGATACCTGCCTCACTTCTCAAGACTGTGCAAAGTACTGATTCTACATCTGTTGACCATTACAAAAATAGAATCTGGGATTGCTATTACAGTTTGGAATTGGGGTTGTCCCTGAGCTTGGCTCAGTGTTGGCTTTCAGTATTTGTATTTAAGTGAATGATTTTCCAGCCCTTTATTGCAATCTCTCTTGCTCTCTCTCTCTCTCTCTTTCTCTCTCCCTCTTTACATTTCTGAAGTGTAGGCCACTACATGAATGAAGAAGTGAATTAATGAGCTGTGGGCTCTGATCAGGTAAGAATGATGGAGAGAGAGAGGAAGACAGAGAAGCTAAGGGTACTTTCAAGGAAGTGATTCCATTCATGGACCATGGTCCCTGAGATAGATACGGAGAAAAGTGAGGGTGCACATGAGGTACTTAAAATAATAGATTGGTAAGGTTAATGAATTCTTCAAAAATTGTTGCAATGGGTACACTAGTTAGGTAATAGGAGGTAATAAAGAGTTAGTGGCTTGGAATAGAATGTCAGATGGGTGCAGTTATGGTAACAAGGTCAAGGATATGACCATACAATTGTGTAGCTGAGAAGATAGAGGGGTAGATTATTGGAGGTGAGGCAAAGGTGATTTGATGGATCACATATGGATATATAAGTCTTCATGAATCATGATAATATTGAAGAAAAGGAAGACAATGAGCCAAGACCCAATGTTAACCATGAATGAATACACGAATGGAGAGTCAGCAAGCTGGTGTGTTTGCCTTCAGTAATATTCAACTGATCAAGTGTAGGCCACTGCCTGGGTGAAGAATGACTTAGTGAACTTTGGGCTTGACCAGGTAAGAATGACAGAGGAGGGGACAAAGAGTTCAAGGTGCTTTAGAGGAAGTGATTCCAATGAGAAGCCATAGTCCCCGAGGTAGATGAAGAGGGAAGTATGTGACATGTGAAGTATTAGTATATGCCAACACAAAGAGCACTGGAGGACAGGGATCTGATGGCATAGACTTCTAAAGAAATGAAGTTTTGGAAAATGGAGATCTCTCTCTCTCTCTCTCTCTCTCTCTCTGCAATGACTCATGCATATTATTGTTTTCTCTCCAATAAAATAGAAAGTGCTTAAAGAGCATAGAATGTATGGTTGCTTATTATTATTATTTTCTCCTTACAGAGTCAAGCACCACAAGATCAGACATAAAGGCCCATTTTAAATTGGCTTATTACTCATGATCTTGGTTGCTAATGACAGAAACCTAGTTCAATCTGGCTTAATGAACTGCCTTAGAAGACCGGGAATGTCACAGAGTGAAGCTGGCTCGAGGCATGTCTCTATCCTGGGGTTCACAGATGACTTGCACTGGGAGTTTGTTCTTCTCCCTTGGGTGTGTCTGAGTTGGCTTCTATTTCAGATAGTCTCTCCCTGAGAAGTGCAAAGAAGGTCCCAGCAGCTCTAGGTTCTAGCATCCTTAAAATGGCAACCCAATGAGAGAGAAAACTATCTTCCAGTGGTTACACAGAATTTTTCTGGCTGATTTTGACTAATTTGGCTTGGGTCATATGCCCAAGTGTAGACCCTTGTCTAGAGAGATGGAGTTCTCTGATGGCCCAGCTTGTAAGCTCTCAGATCTCTTTGGGGCCAGGAAAGTGGTCAACCCTATTAAACCTCATAAAGAGAATGTGAAAGAACCGTGGTTTCTCAAAGGAAAATTGAGTTGTTACTATCAAAGAAAGCAGAGGAGGCCTGTTGGGCAGCAAAAACACCAGATGTTCATGCACACATGGGAACAGAAGCTGCTAACTGGGTTATCAGGAAGATTAACTGAGATACAGTATATAAAGCCCTTCTACAGTACATGGTACCAAGTAGGTGTTAAATACATTTTCATTTCCTATAACTCTCCTGCTGTATTCTGGGCTCTGATCATAACTTGTTCTGTGATGCTGGATAAATCTCTAACCTTCTTCAGGATCAGTGAATTTATATATCTGATGTCTTCATGGTAAATCTCAGCAAAAAAATGGCCACAATTTTCCCCCTTCCTGTACCCATATTCCTTGCCACAGAACTTGCAGCTCCTCCCAACAGAAGGTGCAGTCTTTATCTTACACTTTGAATTGGGGCTGGCCTGGTGACTTGCTTTGGCTAATGAAATATGACAGAACTAGTGGGACAGTTTCATACCTAGGTTACTGAGGCCTTGTGTTTCTGCTCCCTGCCTTGGGAACTTGCCCAGCTGCCATGTGAACAAGCTTGAGCTAGCCTGCTGCAGCGTGAGACTGTGTGGAGATGGAATTCTCAGCCAAGGTCCATCCTAGACTAGCTAGGTCTTAACAGACCTGCCAGCAAGTGCAGATTTGGAGTGAGCTCAACTGAGATCAGCCCAACCCAGCCCAGACCCACAGAATTGCTCAACTGACCCACAACCACATGAGCTAAGTAAATGCATGTAATTTTAAGACACTCAACCTTTGGGTGGTTTGTTACACAGCAATAACAATTTGATACTGTCCCTTTGTAGCACAGGACTCCTATATTTTCAATTCTTGTTAAATGCCACTTTCTGCTTGCTCTTTGAATGTATTTGATGAGATAAAAGCCCTTTCCTTTCCACAAAACTGAGTTTCCTGCATACTAAACAGCTCTCTTTCAGTAGCTTCAGTTCCCAGGGTTTCGATCTACACGTGTTAGGCAGCAGTCTCTGCAATAAAAGCATGTTGAAGGACACTTTTCCTGATCAACTATGTCATCTGTTGATTTTTCTTGTTTCCTGGAATCTTGGTGAATGTTTTAATGCCAATGCTGTCCTTTTCCTTTGGTTTTTACATAGTTCTTATGTATGGATTTTATAGGTTTTCTCTTTTATTCCTTAAATTTTAATGTTTTACTGAATGAACCTTTGCAGTTGGATTTAGAGGATACAGGTGCAGAGCTCAGCTCTCCTTTCCCTGGCGGTGCTGCCTTGGACAGCTGTAGCTCTGGGGCTTCCTCACCTGTAGCATTAGGGATTATTAGCATTGGGCTCACAGGATTTCAGAAAGGATCACATGAACCTGAATGCCAGAAGGTGTTCCTGTGGTGCTGGGCATATGGAAGGGGCTCGATACATGTTAGTTCCTCTCCTTCCTAATGACTGTAACCCTTTTGAACCTACCATAACGGAACTGAGCTCCATTCATGTATCCTGTGATGGCTGCTGAGAAACAGAGATAAATGAGACATCACAGAGGTTATCTTTTAATTATGATGATTATTTCTAAAAGAATAATTGTAAAGAATGCTGTAATAACAAGTCCAGAGAATAAGGGAGCACTGGAGGGACATTTATTCTCATCTGCAGTGGAATCATGAAAAGGCTGAGGTGCAAAGATCTTAGATCTCCCTGTTGGTGGTGGTTAAGAACTAGGATGCAAGGTTGGGTATGCCTGATTTCAAATCCTAGTTCTGCCATTTATAACAGGTGTGACTGTCCACAAAGTACTTCAACAACACAAACCTCAGCCTCTTTGTCTGCAAAATAGGGAAAATCATAATATCTCCTTTATGTGGATGTTGTAGAATGAAATGAGAGGGTACTCAGCCTTGAGCACAATGCCTGTAAACAGCAAGAGAGATATTTAATTTATCCACACCTTCCCTGGATGTGTGAGAAAACTGAGACTCTGAGAAGGTCTTCAGCTTCCTGAGGTTGCACAGATGAGTAGGGCTGGGCCCTCCAATTTCTGGTGTTAGTAAGTGGTAATTTGAGCTAATATCTTCCAGGGTATAAAATTACAAAGCAGATTCTCATCAGAGAGAAAGAATTTCTGCCAATTTCCAAATCAAACAGCTATTCTTCTAGTTGTGAAATAGAATTGATATTCAGAGCTTAAAAAAGTAATGTAAAAGTGAGCAAGTAAACTATCAGAGTGGTTATGGCATTTAGCAAGCAACCTGCTACCCAGAGGGATTGGTTTGTTTTCTGTGGTGGGCTCAGTGTCCCATCACATCCAGGTATGATGGTGTGGGGCATGGGGAACATCACAGACAGGGACAGGGGATGCAAATACTTGAGGAGCCTCAGACACACCTAGAGAGGACTGTCAGGCAGGCAGGAGCTGAGTGCTGAAGAGTAATAGATGGTGAGAGTTAAAGGTAAAGAGAGGACAAGTTCTGCCTTCTAGGAACTTCTACTAGAAGCTTATTGTTCTGGTGACAGCCAGCCCTGGAAGGGCCAGGCTGAATTAGCACAACATGAGAATTTAAGAACATTTCATTAGGGACATGTGGCTTTGCCACTTCTAAATGAAGCATTGAAACTTAGACTGGCCTGATTTAATGATAAGGAGAAAAGGTAACTTTAAAGTTTCTGAAGGAGTATTCAACCAACTTTGGTTGAACCTCCTAGGAACCCTGCTTTCTGCTAGGCACAGGAGGACAAGATGTAGTTCTTGCTTTCCAGTTGTCCAATCCAGTGGGAACAACAGATGGAAACAGAGAAGTCAGCAGAGAGCGACCTTAGAGACACAGGCTCACTCTGGCGGATGCTGGAGGGGCAGCCAGAGAGCTGGGGCTTGAGGATGAAGAGGAGTAGACCAGGTGGAGATGTGGAGGAATGGGATTGAGAAAGTAGGAGGAGTGTATGAATGCCTTCAAAGGTTGTGGTGCTTGAGAGGAGTGAGAAGGTCATGGTGCACATATGGGCAGGGCTAGTCCTAGGGAAGTGGGAGGGGAGACTGGACAAGATTGTTTAAGAATTCAGAGAACTGACCCTTCCTAATTGCTTCTCTATCTCTTAAAAACCCCATCATGATATGTAATCCATATTAAGACATTAAATCTTTGATGAATAAATGAATGAATGAATGATGTGCCAATGCTTGAGTACAGGGTCTCGTAGAAGGGAAGGGGCTGATCAGAGACAGAGGGGAATGCTGCATGGGGAGTCTCCAACAGCAGCGAGGACAAGGCAAGTGCTGAGGCAGCAAGGATTGCTGAATGAAGAATGCTGTGGAGTCAGAGGAACTAGAGAGGATCCCGGCCAGGCCAAGCATTCTATCTGTGGTCCTGGCCAACTCAAGAAACCTCTCGGCTGGGTGTGGTGGCTCACACCTGTAATCCCAGCACTTTGGGAGGGCGAGGCAGGCGGATCACCAGGTCAGGAGATCGAGACCAACCTGGCCAACACGGTGAAACCCTGTCTCTACTAAAAATACACACACAAAAAAAAAAATTAGCCGGGCATGATGGTGGGCGCCAATAGTCCCAGCTACTCAGGAGGCTGAGGCAGGAGAATGGTGTGAACCCAGGAGGCGGAGCTTGCAGTGAGCCGAGATCGTGCCACTGCACTCCAGCCTGGGAGACAGAGCGAGATTCGATCTCAAAAAAAAAAAAAAAAAAAAGAAAGAAAAAAAAAAAGAAACCTCTCAGAGCCTCAGTTCCTTCTGCTGTAATACAAGGGTAATAATGACAGTCTGGTTAGTCAGCACCACTTTGCTTGTAAGGGACAGAAAACCCAACTTGAGATGACTTAGGCAAAAGAGGGATATATTGTCTCTTGAAACTGAAATGCCTGGGTGTGGCTTAGTCTGGGAGCACACATGAGTTGCTGTGACTCACTTTGTCTCTGTCCCTTAGCCCTCCTTTCCTGCAGGTTGGCTTTGCTCTCAGACGTGGCGTGCTGGTGAGTGAGGAAATCAACATCTGTCATAAATGGAACCTCATATCACACATTCTGAAAGTTCAAATGCCAGCTACACAGAGATTATTAATATTGCATTCCCTGGAGCGAACACTGGGACCTCTTCCCAGGTGTTCAATACTGCACTCCTCCAGACAAATTTTGTGATAACTTTTGTGATGGCTAATTTTATGTGTCAGCTTCACTAGGCTGAGAGATGCCCAGGTAGCTGATAAAACATTATTTCTGGGTGTGTCTATGAGGGTTTTTCTACTTCCTTCCTATAATACAGTTCTTGGAATGGCAAAGCCATTCTTGTTCTTAAATGTTGAGGCTAAGTTAAATTTTCCATAGCACAAATGACTGCTGATAGCTCAAGGCCTCCATCTTTCTTCCTAGACTCAAGTCTGGTAGAATAGAAATCTGTTTTCTTTCCCTTATTTCAAGCACAGATCTTGGGTCTAATTTTCCTTGCTCTGAATTTGATCCTGTGCCTATTTCTGTGCCTAGTCCCTGGGGCCAGTGGGTTGGGCTGCATGATTGGCTTATGCCCTGCTCACCTGCCCACTGAGAAGAGGAAGAAGTCAGCTACACCAAATGACATCAATCAAGGACGGATCAGTAATTTTCCAAAAAGCAATTCAGGGTGCTATTACCAGAGAAAGAAATGGCTGCTGACCCACAGCCAACAAGTGTCTAATATACATTACTAATTGGTGATGGTGTGAAGATGGATTAAGATGGCACATATAAGGGCTTTGACACGTGGTATGTGCCCAATAAATACGCAATATTAGTGTATTTTAGAATGCAGTTGCTGATGCTAACAGTAATAAGCATGACTTCCTGCTTCATTCGGTTTATTACACTAGGAAAGAGCATAAATCCCAAAAGCTGCCTGCTTGAACGCCAATCTCATCATTTCCTCTTGTCAGTTGTGTGCTCTTGGACAAGTAACATTCCCTCTCTGTGATGCAAACTACCTACCTCATGCCTTATGAGAACTAACTGAGTTAATACAATTAATGTGTTTAGAACAGTGTCTGGCATGCAGAAAGAGCTAAGCATTTGTGGTTATTACCCAGAGCATGTCCGTGGTCAATTATACAGCAAAGGGCTCTGATCTCTGCTTCTTAGGCAGTTAACCATGCAGAAAGTATAGACTCCAATTACAAAGAAATCCTCCCATCTCCCTCAGTGCATGTATAAACAATCCTAGATCCCTAACCAAACAGTGCAGAGGGCCATCTGGAATTCTTCAAGCTAAGGTATGGGATCTGGGGAAATGCACAACCTTCTGGTTAGTGAATTGTGGTCAGAGACAAACAAGGTCCAGCTGGAAGCATAGAGTCCAGGCTAGGTTGAAATGGATTGATTCCAGAGTCCAGAGATCCATCTTCAGCCCTGCAAGGATTTGGGAACCAAGCTTTTTGAGGAGGGACAACCAGTGGTGTGATGGTAAATGTTTAACAATTGGCTCTCTAGGGAAGGAAAAATGGCATGATTTACAGTATTCCATGCTGTAAATACCGCCACCATGGCTGACTTCAAACAAGCAGTGTTAGTCATTAACAAGGAGTTGGGAAAGAGAGGTACATAGTTGCTTCTCACAAGCCTGTATAAGCAGGTGCCAGCCCACCACTGCCTGGATGCTCCTTGGTGATTTCCAGCTTTGCCTCACTCCTTCAGCATCATTTCCGGCTACTTACACCCTCAAATTTACTCCCTGGGCACACAGCAAGATGTGCAGTTCCCTGAGCAAGTGTCATTGCTCAACTCTGCCTACTCAGCTTTCCCTCCTTTTTGCCTGATTATCCTCACTTCCCCAGAATGACCTAAGGATACTGCATCAGGTAGAGCAGGCTGTGCACTGCACCACTCCAGGAAGGCCATCAGAGAAGGCTGGAGCCGTGCAGGGCACAACAAATAAAATCACCTGTGACAGCTCAAATCTCAGACTTTTCTTTCTCCAAGAAGTCTTTCCCATTCTTCCAGGCTGGGTTGTTACTGCTCCTCTGTACTCCTATAGAACCCTGAATTTTTCTCTGTTCCCAATTTCCCTAAGATAGGAAAGACATCTTCTCTAAAATATTGCAAGAGTCTCTTTTAGTGTTTGATATGGTTTGGTTATGTGTCCCCACTCAAATCTCATCTCAAATTATAATCCCCACATATGGAGGGAGGGGCCTGGCGGGAGATGATTGGATCATGGGGGTGGTTTCCCCATGCTTTCTTATGATAGTGAGTGAGTTTTCATGAGATCTGATGGTTTAAAAGTATATGGTGGTCCAGCTAAAGCAGTGTTAAGAGGGAAATTAGTAGCACTAACTGCCCACATCAGAAAGCTAGAAAGATGTCAAATCAACACCCTAACATCACAATTAAAAGACCTGGATAAGCAAGGGCAAACTAATCCAAAAGCTAGCAGAAGACAAGAAATAACTAACACCAGAGCATAAATGAAGGAGAAAGAGACACAAAAAACCCTCCAAAAAAATCAATGAATCCAGGAGCTGTTTTTTTGAAAAATTAACAACATAGACAGACTGTTAGGTAGACTAATAAATAAGAAAAGAGAGAAGAATCAAATAGACACAATAAAAAGTGATAAAGGGGCTATCACCACTGACCCCACAGAAATACAAACTACCATCAGAGAATGCTATAAACACATCTATGCAAATAAACCAGAAAATCTAGAAGAAATGGGTGGACACATACACCCTGCCAGGAAGAAGTCAAATCCCTGAATAGACCAATAACAAGTTCTGAAATTGAGGTGGTAATTAATAGCCTACCAACCAAAAAAAGCCTGTGACCAGACAGATTCACAGACAAATTCTGCCAGAGATACAAAGAAGAGCTGGTACCATTTCTTCTGAAACTATTCCAAACAATTGAAAAGGAGGGACTCCCCCGTAACACATTATTTTGTGGAGCCAGCATCATCCTGATGCCAAAATCAGGAAGAGACACAACAAAAAATGAAAACTTTAGGCCAATATCCCTGATGAACTTCTATGTGAAAATCCTCAATAAAATACTGGTAAACCGAATCCAGCAGCACATTAAAAAACTTATCCACCATGATCAAGTTGGCTTCATCACTGGGATGCAAGGCTGGTTCAACATACACAAATCAATAAATGTAATCCATCACATAACAGAACCAAAGACAAAAACCACATGATTATCTCAATAGATGGAGAAAAGGTCTTTGTTAAAATTCAACGTGTTTTCATGTTAAAAACTCTGAAAAAACTAAGTACTGATGGAAGATATCTCATAATAATGAGAGTTATTTATGACAAATCCACAGCCAATATCATATTGAATGGGTAAAAAATGGATGCATTCCCTTTGAAAACCGGTGCAAGTCAAGGATGCCCTCTCTCACCACTCCTATTCAACATAGTTTTGGAAGTCCTGGCCAGGGCAATCAGGCAAGAATAAGAAATAAATCGTGCTCAAATAGGAAGAGAGGAAGTCAAATTGTCTCTGTTTGCGATGACGATTTTTTTTGCTTAGAAAACCCCATCATCTCAGCCCCAAAACTCCTTAAACTGGTAAGAAACTTCAGCAAAGTCTCAGGATACAAAATCAATTTGCAAAAATCACAAGCATTGCTTTACACCAGCAGTAGACAAGCAGAGAGCCAAATCATGAATGAACTCTCATTCATAATCACTACAAAGAGAATAAAATACCTAGGAATACAGGTAACAAGGGATGTGAAGGACCTCTTCAAGAAGATCTACAAACAACTGCTAAAGGAAATAAGAGAGGACATAAACAAATGAAAAATATTCCATCCTCATGGATAGAAAGAATCATTGTTGTGAAAATGGCCATACTGACCAAAGTAAATACAGATTCAATGTTATTCCCATCAAACTACCACTGACATTCTTCACAGAATTAGAAAAAACTACTTTAAATTTCATATGGAATCAAAGAAGACCCCATATAGCCAAGACAATCCTAAGCAAGAAGAACAAAGCTGGAAGAAACAATGCTACCTGATTTCAAACTATACTACAAGGCTACAGTAACCAAAACAGTGTGGTACTTTTTATCAAAACAGACATATAGACCAATGGAACAGAACAGAGACCTCAGAAATAACACCACACATCTACAACCACCTGATCTTTGACAAACCTGACAAAAACAAGCAATGGGGAAAAGATTTCCTATTTAATAAATGGTGCTGGGAAAACTGTCTAGTCATATGCAGAACATTGAAACTGGACACCTTCCTTACACCTTACACAAAAATTAACTCAAAATGGATTAAAGACTTAAATATAAAACCCCAAACCATAAAAACCCTAGAAGAAAACCTAAGCACTACCATTCAGGACATGGGCATGGGCAAAGACTTCATGATAAATAGGCCAAAAGCAATTGCGACAAAAGCCGAAATTGACAAATATGATCTAATTAAACTAAAGCACTTCTGCACAGCAAAGGAAACTATCATCAGAGTGAACAGGCAACCTACAGAATTGGAAAAAAATTTTGCAATCTACCTATCTGACAGAGGTCGAATATCCAAAATTTACAAGGAACTTAAACAAATTTACAAGAAAAAAACAACCCCATCAAAAAGTGGGCAAAGAATATGAACAGAGACTTCTCCAGGGAAGACATTTATGTGGTCAACAAACATATGAAAAAAAGCTCATCATCACTGGTTATTAGAGAAATGCAAATCAAAACTACAATGAGATACTACCTCATGCCAGTCAGAATGGCAATTATTAAAAAGTCAGGAAACAATAGATGCTGGCAAGGCTGTGGAGAAATAGGAACACTTTTACACTGTCAGCTGGAATGTAAATTAGTTCAACCGTTGTGAAAGACAGTATGGCTATTCCTCAAGGAACTAGAACCAGAAATAACATTTGACCCAGCAATCCCATTATTGGGTATATACCCAAAGGAATGTAAATCATTCTACCATAAATACACATACACACATATGTTTTGCAGCACTATTTACAATAGCGAAGTCATGGAACCAACCCAAATGCCCATCAATGATAGACTGGATAAAGATAATGTGGTACGTATACACCATGAAATACTATGCTGCCATAAAAAGGAATGAGATCATGTCCTTTGCAGAAACATAGATGAAGCTGGAAGCCATCATCCTTAGTGAAGTAACACAGGAACAGAAAACCAAACACTGTATGTTCTCACTCATAAGTGGAAGTTGAATAATGAGAACACATGGACACAGGGAGGGGTACAGCGCACACCCGGGCTTTTTGGGGTTGGGAGGTGAGGGTAAGAAACTTAGAGGATGGGTCAATAGGTGCAGCAAACCACCATGGCACACATATACCTATGTAACAAAGCTGTACATTCTGCACATGTATCCCGGAACTTGAAGTAATTTTTTTAAAGGTGTGTGGTTGTCCCCTGGCCCCACTTTGCCATGGTAAGAGGTGCTTGCTTCCCCTTCCACCATGATTTTAAGTTTCTTGAGGCCTCCCCAGTCACGTGGAACTGTGAATCAATTAAACCTCTTTTCTTTCTAAATTACCCAGTCTCAGGTGGTTCTTTATAGCAGTGTGAAAACTAATACAGTGTCTGTCTCCACTTGTATATCATAAGTTCTCTAAGAAGAGGAGTCAAGTTGTATTCACATCTGTATCTACAGAACCTACTATAGGGGTGTCCAATTTTTGTCTTCTTTGGGCAACATTGGAAGAAGAATTGTCTTGGGCCACACTAAAGTACACTGAATACTAACAATAGCTGATGAGCTAAAAAAAAATATCTCATAATGTTTTAAGAAAGTTTACGAATTTGTGTTGGGCTGCACTCAAAGCCGTCCAGGGCTGCATGTGGCCTGTGGGCCATGGGTTGGACAAGCTTGACCTACTAGAGCATGCAGCCCAGGGGCTCTGTCTGGACTGTATTAGATTGGGGCAGAGAATCCTCAGGGCAGACAATTAGAACTGTGCCTGATTACCAGAAGGGACTGCATGCAAAGAGTAACTGGATTGGTTCTGTGGAACCCCAGAGCACTGATATAGGTCTGCTGAAGGAAAGACATTCTGGAAGACAGACGACAATTCTAAAGAATGATATTTTAACTGACAAAACTCTTCAAGCAGTGCAAGAGCTGCCTTGAGAGGTGGTGAGCTCCTTGTCTCTAGAAGTATGTAAGTAAAGATTGAGATATATACAGAAGGTAAGCTATATGGGGATTTATCGATGCAGAATCTTTTGTGAGGCATTGAAGGAGGAAGATAAAATATAAATGGGCATTGACTTCGCCTTAGCTTCATAACAAGTGAGATATCTTCAGAGAATCCATGCAAATCTCTAGACAGTGTATCATAAGGGAGAAAGGGGGAATTCACTCCTCAGCTCAGGTCTCCAATCAGTCAAATTGCACAGGACATCAGCACGCTTGCGTTTCCCAGTTGCCGCACCCGATCCCTCTGGCAGCCTCTGGAGAAGCTATATCCCAAAAATCTGTGGAGTCATTTTAGGGCAAACCACCTGCCTTCTTAGAGCTTGGAGGGTGGCCTGGCCTGCTAGCAGTGGGTCTGTGAAATCCTGCACCTCAGCAGCAGCAGGGAACACCAGAGAGAGAAGAATATGCAGGCCTGGATGGGAGAGGCACAAGAATTGTGAAGCAAGATGCTTCTGAGCTTGCCCACTGGCCATATGTAGGTCCAGGTTGGCGTGGCCAGCTGAGAGGGAGGGACACCATTCAGGGAATGGCCCCTTCCCAAAAGATGGCAACATAACTCTAGATTCTCTATTCAATAAAAATGAAAACCTCCTCTCTACAGCCTACATAAATTACATTGATTGCAGAAATCTGCCTGGATGTTCATCAGTAACCTCAAAAAAAAAAAAAAAAACAACAACAACAAAAAAAAACACAGCTGAGTGTATCCAGGGAGGCACTTAAACTGAATCCAGCACAGACTCCAATATCACAAATGCAAATCATCAATATGGACATTTTCTTCATTCCAGGGAATGTATTTTTCCAGGATTTTAGTGGTAAGAGAACATGTTACATTCCTTTTTACACTTTCCCTTTTTGCAAATGACAGGATGAAGCCAAGAAGGTTGATGAGGTCTGCACCGAGAAGTCAGGATGGAACATTTACTATGAAGGATGTGCATGTGCTTGTGTGTGTGTGTGTTTGTGCGTGCTTGTGTGCATGCGCATATGTGTGCATGTGTGTGTATGCATGCGTGTGTGCGGGTGTGGATGTGTGCGTGTGTGCATGTGTGTGTGCGTGTGCATATGTGTGTGCGTGCATGCGTGTGTGCATGTGTGCATGCATGCATATGTGTGTTTGTATGTGCGTGTGTGTGTGAGTGTGTGTGTATGCACATGCTTATAAGCAAATGTAAGTTTGCATTCAAATGAGTGTGTTCCATGTATCAGTGTGAATATGTGGGCTTGATTATACTTAAAAGTACACATGCATTCTCAGCTGTGTATGCACATCTTTGCATGAGCCTAGATGTGGGTGTGAGTGTGTCTTATTCATGTGGATCTGAGTACACAATGAGAGTGCACTCTGGTGTGTGTCTGTGTATGGTGTACAAAGGCCCTGTCTGCTGGTTAATGTGTGTGTGCAGCTTGCTCTGCAGCTTCCCCTCCCATTCTGCCTGCCCCTGGAAGGACCTGTGTTCTCCATATTTAGGAATCTCTGGACCTCTGCCTGCAAGATAGACTGAGGTTCTTTCTGAGGAGGAGCCAGCGTGACCCACCTCTAAGCCCTGGGCCCTTGCCTGGGACAGTGAACTACACTGTTAACTTTCTCCTCTGGGAAATGAGAAAGAATAAAAGCCCAGACCTAATGCAAATATTCCACAAGACAGTGTTACTAAATCCTGCCTGTACTCATTGAAGAGAGCATCAAGGTGACAAAAGTCAACAGGTCAGCTGGGAAATGCAAGTCTGCAGAGCTCCTGCCATTCTCACCAGCTCTGTCCCTGCACTTGCCCCTACCCAGCTGGGTTCAATATGTCTGGTTTCCAACTCCCAGCCCCTCTAGGCCTGCCCTGTCTAATGTCATTTGATTCAATGCAATTCATTTCAAGGCAAGTTGATATCATCATGAAACAAAAATGGAAAAAATCCTTAAAACCAAAAACAGGTTTAAAAAGGTGTAGGGCTGCAAGGTAATTTATAGATTCGATGCCATCCCCATCAAGCTACCAATGACTTTCTTCACAGAATTGGAAAAAACTACTTTAAAGTTCATACAGAACCAAAAAAGAGCCCACATTGCCAAGTCAATCCTAAGCCAAAAGAACAAAGCTGGAGGCATCACGCTACCTGACTTCAAACTATACTGCAAGGCTACAGTAACCAAAACAGCATGGTACTGGTACCAAAACAGAGATATAGACCAATGGAACAGAACAGAGCCCTCAGAAATAATACCACACATCTACAACCATCTGATCTTTGACAAACCTGACAAAAACAAGCAATGGGGAAAGGATTCCCTATTTAACAAATGGTGCTGGGAAAACTGGCTAGCCATATGTAGGAAGCTGAAACTGGATCCCTTCCTTACACCTTATACAAAAATTTATTTAAGATGGATTAAAGATTTAAATGTTAGACCTAAAACCATAAAAACCCTAGAAGAAAACCTAGGCAATACCATTCAGGACATAGGCATGGGCAAGGACTTCATGTCTAAAACACCAAAAGCAATGGCAACAAAAGCCAAAATTGACAAAT
The DNA here is from genome assembly GCF_000001405.40 of Homo sapiens. Taxonomy (NCBI): domain Eukaryota; kingdom Metazoa; phylum Chordata; class Mammalia; order Primates; family Hominidae; genus Homo; species Homo sapiens. The sequence goes on from NC_000008.11 coordinate 133,802,259, forward strand.
GGGATCTAATTAAACTAAAGAGCTTCTGCACAGCAAAAGAAACTACCATCAGAGTGAACAGGCAACCTACAGAATGGGAGAAAAATTTTGTAATCTACTCATCTGACAAAGGGCTAATATCCAGAATCTACAATGAACTCAAACAAATTTACAAGAAAAAACAACCCCATCAACAAGTGGGCGAAGGATATGAACAGACACTTCTCAAAAGAAGACATTTATGCAGCCAACAGACACATGAAAAAATGCTCATCATCACTGGCCATCAGAGAAATGCAAATCAAAACCACAATGAGATACCATCTCACACCAGTTAGAATGGCGATCATTAAAAATTCAGGAAACAACAGGTGCTGGAGAGGATGTGGAGAAATCGGAACACTTTTACACTGTTGGTGGGACTGTAAACCAGTTCAACCATTGTGGAAGACAGTGTGGCGATTCCTCAGGGATCTAGAACTAGAAATATCATTTGGCCCAGCCATCCCATTACTGGGTATATACCCAAAAGATTATAAGTCATGCTGCTATAAAGACACATGCACACATATGTTTATTGCGGCACTATTCACAATAGCGAAAACTTGGAACCAAGCCAAATGTCCAACAATGATAGACTGGATTAAGAAAATGTGGCACATATACACCATGGAATACTATGCAGCCATAAAAAATGAGTTAATGTCCTTTGTAGGGACATGGATGAAGCTGGAAACCATCATTCTCAGCAAACTATCGCAAGGACAAAAAACCAAACACAGCGTGTTCTCACTCATAGGTGGGAATTGAACAATGAGAACACTTGTACCCAGGAAGGGGAACATCACACACCGGGGCCCATTGTGGGGTAGGGGGAGTGGGGAGGGATAGCATTAAGAGATGCATCTAATGTAAATGGTGAGTTAATGGGTGCAGTACACCAACATGGCACATGTATACATACGTAACAAGCCTGCATGTTGTGCACATGTACCCTAGAGCTCAAAGTATAAAAAGAAAAAAAAAATGTGTGGGGCTGAGACTCTGAGACTGAGAATTGCCTGCAGCAGCTTCATTGGAGAGTGCTGTCCTGAACAACACCACTAGGGTGGTGAGGGAGGCAGGTTTGGGCCTGACGGAGAAGTTACACTGAGACACACTTGCATCAGAGGCCTCTGTCCCACCAGCAGCTCTGGAGCTGGGCAGCCTTCAGGGTTGTCATCAATTGAGGCAAGGGGGCAGGTGTGTACACGTCACCACCAACCCTCTCCAGAAAGTCTTTCCATCTTGCAAAGATGAAGCTCTATACACCGTAAGTAACATCTCCCTATTTCTCCTTCCCTGGCAACCACTCTTCTACTTTCTGTCTCTCTGATTTTGACTATGCTAAGTATCACAAGTAAGCGGAATCAGAGACTATTTGTATTTTTTGTGACTGGCGCTTATTTCACTCAGTTTAATGCCCTCAAGGTTAATCCATGTTGTGGCAGTGTCAGAATTTCCATTCCTTCTGAAGCTGAAGAATATGCCATTGTTCGTATATACCACATTTTGCTTATCCATTCACTTAGTGATGAACATTCAGATTGCTTTCACCTTTAGGGTACTGCGAGTAATGCTGCTATGGATACGGGTATACAAATGTCTCTTTAAGATCCTACTTTCAATTCTTTACTGTATATGCTCAGAAGAAGCAGAACTATTGGATCATACAAAGCATACAATTCTATGTTTAATTTTTTAAGGGACGGCCATGCTGTTTCCTATGGCAACGGTACCATTTTACAATCCCACAAGTAATGCACAACGATTCCAATTTCTCCACATCTTCACCAACACTTATTTTATTTATGTATTTGCCATCCTAATGGGTGTGAGGTGCTAAACTGGGTTTTGAAAGATGGAGAAAAAGGAGTGGAAGAGGATCAGGAGCAAATTGAATGTACACAGCCTTACCCAATTTCACTGTCCCAAGCACCGTCTATGCTCTTGGGTGCAAAAACACAGAGTAAATAATGATTCTAGGAGGGAGAAAGGTAGAGAATAGTAGAGATAAGGTGTGAGTTAGGATGGCCAATAGAGTCTGTGGTTCTGCTTTTTTGGTCACTTAGAAATAATTGAACTCTCCACATTGCTGAAACCACAATCAGGAAGTGTACCAAGATTAGGCAGGCACCTTTTCATAAATCCCTGATGATCTAGAAAACTGTTCTTGTTCTTTCATAGCTATTTGCTTGACATCACATGAAGTGCAGGTGTGACTAGCTAACCTACTAAGGTTCACATCCTGAAGGAAGCAAAGGGCCTAGCCTGGCACTGCCAAGGGCCCAAATAATCACACTTCTACACCCAGAAGCAGAGGGTCAGGCCTCATCAGTTGGTGAGAAGCCAAGCCTGGATGTCAGGAGACCCAGGAAGAAGTCCAGCTACTGAATCCAGTCAACCCTGCCCATGGCATCACCTGACCTTGAGGTCACGTCAACTAATAAATATCCTTACAGGGCTTGGTGCTTTGTGTTTCAGACCCTGCCTTCAGTGCCAGGATACACGGGTGATTAAGACCCACTCTGACCTACAGTAACCTGTAGCCTCACCACATAATCACAATTATAATGCAGTGAGTACTGTTGGAAGGCAAAGGGGAGCTGCACTTTGCAGCCTGAGAATGGGAGTCAAAGAAGGTGAAGGATGAATAGAATTGATCCTATTCTATTGAGGAGAGCAAAGGGATTACAGTCAACTACAGGTCACAATGCTGGCCATATTTTATGGGCTTAAGAGAGCATCCATGTTGTTGATGACGATGATGATGATGATGATGATGATGATGCTATGACTCCCAGTTTAGTGCTCTTCTCTGAGTCTCTACCCAGGCAGCCCATTGCAAGAGAATGCGATGAGTTCACCCACACAACTTAACTTGGATTTACACGATGCAAATGCTCAATCAGAAGGATTCTCACTTCTTGCCTACTGCTGTCTGCAGGTGGGATCTCATTTCCGTGCATTTGTACCACGGGGCTAGGAAAAAGAAATGGGGTTGGGTTTTGTGGTTTGTTTCATTTGCCTGCCTGTTTCTTCTTACATTAGGAGGAAGCCTTCTGGTGTGATGGAGAGTGCCCTGGGAGAGTCAGGAGCCCTGGCTGGGACAGCCAGGAGCCGTGGCTGGGAGAGCGCTCCATTTACAGTGGAGCATAAACAACAAATCTTTACACATCCGTGGGCCTGTTAAGCATGGGGAGGGTGGGAGTTTGGTCCGAATAACAGCAATTATGGGCACAGATTTAGCATTTTTGTATCTTACATGATCTCCCTAAATCTTGGAAGAACTCTGATATAGTTGAAGGAATAGCCATGTTGTGGAAAGCAGATTGTTCTTGGACTCATACCCTTAGCTCCGTCTCTTATGAGTTCCACAGCAGAGCTCATTCTCATTAAACCTCAGTTTTCTCATCCATAAAATAAGATTCATCATGCCTCTCTCGAAAATTGTTTTGATGATTTGAATGAAGCATTAAAGTGTCTTACATGTAGTAGTTAGAGTTGAATGTTAGTGGAATCTGTAGGGGAAGGATCACAACCCTATTTCAAAGCTACTATCCAAGGTGACGTTCTCTAAGGTTCAGCAACTTCTGTGTTCTGGAAACACTTCTGACACCACCTTTTGGCTTATGTATCCAAAGGAACATTTTTTTAAGAAGTTCTTCCAGGAGGCTAAATATTTATTCCAACAAAGCTGCTGTTGCTCAAAACATAATCAGTCTTGTCTGGAAATGCCCTTTGGAGCAGTGTTGTCTAGAAATACAATGTGAGTCACATGTGCACTTTAATACTTCCTAGTAGCCTCACTGAAAAAAATTAAAAAGCAGGTGAAGTTAATTTTAATCATATATTTTATTCAACCCCCAATGTTAAAAATATTATCATTTCAATATGTAATCAATATAAAAACTATTAATGGATATTTTACATTCTTTCTTTCATATTAAGCCTGTAACATCCAGTGAGTGTTTTACTGACAGCACATCTCAATTCAGATGCTAAATTTTCACTGTAAGTACTGGATTTATATTGTAATCTCAGAATTTGCAGTTGCAAAAATAGATTCATACATTCACATTGCTCCAAACAGGCTTAAAATTTTTCAGTAAAGTTGTATTCATGGCAGACTCTTTTACTGTGCTTCAGTTTTTAGATTTAAATTTAAAGTATTTAAAATTAAAGAAAATTAAACATTCACTTTCTCACTCATACTAGCTATTTTACAAGCACTCAGCCACATGTAGCTAGTGACTACTTACTGGACAGCACATCTCTTGGGCCTGGGGACGTTCCTTTAAAGGTCCTCAGCAACACTCATCGTTTTTGAAGTTGGTTCCATATTTTCTGAAAAATACCCTGAACTCACTGGGAGTCTTGTCATTTGGGGGAAGATTGTGAAGAATGATAAAGTGCTTAAGTTCAGAATGAAGACTGACTACACTGAGAAGGGGTTACTTCTCTCATGTGACTCCTGCCTGGAAATTGTTTTTGTGATCATGAAACCTATTTGGGTAAACAAGTCCCAGTGTGTTTGCTTTACAATTGCTTGCATTGCTTCACAGTCATGCCTGGCTCAGATGGCAAAATAGGCAGTGTGACCCGATGCACAGAAACACTGACATCTCAGCATTGGTCATGAGTACAATGGCCAGGGAAACTGTAAATCAGCTGGGGAGTTGGGTCAGAATGTCCCTAGGGATGTCTGCCCCCACCAAGTTTGTACCCTTCTTAAGAAGGCAGGTTCCAGGCTACAAGGAGGCCTTCACTAAGGCAGGGCTAACATATTAGCTGTCCCATCGTGGACACAGACAGCCTGATGATTTCCTCCTGGGTGCCTGGCTTTATATCCTACTTCCCATCTGGCTTATGCTGAAACTGTTTTGAAAATGACCTATAGGTAGAATAGCAGCTTTGCTTCTTAACACCCTAACCGGTAATAGCCTCAGCAGGTATGCAAATTGAACTACACTAAAAAAAGATTTTTGGTCACGAAACCCAGAGTTCCCCTATTAGCTAGTTGAATACCTTATTATTATTATTATTATTATTGTTATTATTATTATTGTTATTATTGCAGTGGACTGCATTGAGCAGTGCCAAGATTATACAAGTACAAGATATGACAATTCTAAGCCCACCTCATACACAGAATGGTGTTACCAGGAGCCTTAGGGTTAATTTTTACCTTCCCACTCCTTTCTTTTTCTTCAATTTTTCCATTTAATCAAATTTTGAAAGCATCTGGGGCAGGTGGTAGGCTAAGACTAATGAGAGAGGGGCCTTGTTCTTCTGCTTTAGTAGATGGAAACAGATGTGTAAATACATAAATGTAAGTATGTACATAATAGTAACTATTATCTTCATCAGTTTAAATACTTCCCTAGCCATTATTTTATTCAGGCTCTGAATTGAAAGAGTCCAGGATTTGAAGTGAATGGATCCAAATTCAAAATTCCAAGTTTTTTTATATAACATTTTATGTACTCTTGGGCAAGTCACTTAACTCCATTGAGCTTCAACTTCTCTACCTATAAAATGGGGTATTAATATCTACTTTACAAGGCTGGTTGACCAAGGTAAAACCACATGTGTTCCAGGAGCCCTTGGAACAAAGCTGGCTCTCAATACATGCAATGCCAGTGAGTACTATCTTTAATGAATCCTTCCAGCAGATTTGAAGTGGTCTTCACTGCCATGAAAATTGAAGCCCAGAGGAGAAAAGTGTCTTGCTATTGATTCAAATGTTACATGCCACATGGGAGTCTTAGTCACTTGAAGATGGGACAGGCCATTAACCTGCCTCAAAGTGCCAGGAAAGTACATCTGAGGAACACCTCACCCAGCGGGGAATAGGGGAAGTCTCCCTGGGGGAGAAATCTTCCAATGGGAGAACTAAGGAAGGTCAGCGGAAAAAGGAAGTTGAGGGGAAAAAGAAGGAAAAGAGGAAAGAGATGAAATAATGTCTAAGACCAAAGGACAGAGAATGGGCAATAACCAGAGACAAAAAAAAAATTATGGCATCTACAGATAACAAAAATAAATTAAGCATGATTATAATGAGTGTGTGTGTGTGTGTATGCATGTGTGCATATGTGCATGTGTGTGCATGCATGTGTGTGTTCATGTGCACACGTGCATGTGTACATGTGTGTGCATGCCTGTGTGCGCTCATGTGCGTGTGTGCATATGTGCATGTGTGTGCATGCATGTGTGCATTCATGTGCACGTGTGCATATGTGCATGTGTGTGCATGCATGTGTGCATTCATGTGCATGTGTGCATATGTGTGTGTTGTCACTGGAGAAGTACATGATGCTCAGGTCACATCAAGCTAAATTAAGATATTGTTTTTATCTTTGCAAAGCATTGAAATGTTTTCAGTTATTCACGTGTGAATTTTAGGTGGATCATAATGACTGCTGTGTGGGAAAAGTATAGCAGAGGGAGACTGGAGGCAGAGAAAGCAGGAAAGACACTCCTGCCATCATCCAGGCAAGCAATGACGGTAGGTTGCCCCAAGGAAGCAGCAGTGGGGATGAAGAACCCTGCACAGGGTTGAGAGCTATTCAGAGGGTATGGTGGATTCGAACCCATGGCTTCTGATCTATGGTCACTAGTCCAAACTTCTATAGAAGCAATAATTCAGTTGATTCCTAGAAGTTCACAGACCATGGTTTGTTTCTAGGTGTCTGCTGTAGCCTTGTCTTGGGCTTTTTTTCTTGATGCCAATGAACGGTGTTGTTATTGGGGTGAAACTCATTTTATAAACGCAGCCTTAGATTGGGTGGCTGTGTTGGGGGAATTAATGTTAATTGTTATAACAAGTAACCCCCAAATTTTAGTGGCTTAACACAATAAAATTTTGTTTTCTCTGACATAAAACTAAATGTGGTTGTGGTGGATGGCTTTTCTCCAAGCCCATATAACTCAGTAATTCAGGGGCCTTTTAATTAGTGGCTTAGATGTTCTCAGAGCCTTGGAATTCACTGCTCCATCTTCTGCATCCAGCCACCCTATGATCAAAAGGAAAATTGTGTGGGAAGTTTAAGGGGCCAGGTCTGGAACTGATACAGATATATGAATGCCCATATTCCATTGTTCAGAACCAATCTCGTGGCTCATATTTAAATAATCTGACAAATACAGTTTGACCATGTACAAGGGAAGAAATAGGATCTGGTGAACATCTAGCCAAATTCTGCCATGATGCAAGCAGCAACTGCATGAACGAAAAATGTGGATTCATTTCAACAATGTTTACTTTCCTCAATCCAGAATCCTCTAGGTTTCTTCCTCTATCTGAATTAACTGCCACTCTTAAGAAATGTGAACAGAAAACTTCAAGTGTGTTTAAGGCTGGACTCATCCTCTGTTTGGTTTTGTGCCAGACCCAGTAGGCATGGTAGAGAGTGACGATGAGATGCTGATGTTAACGGCAGAATGAGGCTTGAGTCTTTAGTTTCAGCCTAATCTAGGCATTCATTAGACACTAAGATTCTGTTTCCCCTGTCCTGTCACTTGCTGGATTGGCTCAGGCAAAAATTACCCTGTGATTCCTAGTGTATGAGTGGATCTTCAATATTTCCAATTCTTTTTGAAAAGTATAGCCACCCAGTACAATGAAGAGGAGGGCAAGGGAGCTGTAATTGGGGGCATATGATAGAAGACAAAGTTCCCTCAGCAGTCAGCAGGAGAGGCATGTCTAAAACTGAGCTTTATTGTTTAGCAGTTGAGCTCTGTCAGCCTAAATTAATTGTTTCCTGTAGTTTTTCTTCTCATCCAAATTATATGCTTAACTAGAAGTCCAAGAACCCTTTATTTAAATTCATTCTCTAATGGTTATTGGTTGCTTGGCTTTTGCAAAGCTCCTTGCCCATTTTATGCTTCTGTTTTCTCATTTCTAAGTTGGAGTTGATGATTTCCAAAATTGCTCTGGACCCTAATCTTTCATGCCTCTGTCAAGGAATCATGAAAAGGGAGAAAAAAGGTAAAGGAGAAAAAAGCTGACAGTCCTTGCTTTCATCATTACTGAGGAATGTGTTAGGCATTTGACATTCCCAGAAAGGCCTAGGATCTAATACGTTGTTGACCAAACTGTGATTAAGGAATAAAATAGTCTATTCTATACTCAGTATAGCTAGGTCACTGACACTTTATGTGCGGTGGTCCCTCATCTGTCTTGGCAAGACTACATGGGTGAAAATGCTGGTCTCACAGTCAAAAAGAGGAATCCTTTACTCCACAAGGCCATGTGAAACATAGTGGGTACCTGACTGATGGTGATTTCCACCTAGAATCAACGTTCAGTGGAAATTGCAGATGACTGAGTTGCCCTCTCTACCGTGTGAGTGAAAGCACTCTGTGATAAAGGGTTGACTCAAAGACCACTCAGTGGAGAATACACTGTCCAGGGAATAAAGAAGCTACACAGATTCAGCAAGGGAATAAAATAGACATCAATTGTTTTGCCCATGACTTCTCCCTTCTTCTACTAGAACACTCTGATTTTCCTGGAAAACTCCCCCTTTCCTTCTGCCATTCTCTGTGGTTATGGTGGGGTTAACCTGGTCCATTAACCCCAGTCCAAATCCAGTCACCCTGGTCAGAGGATTAGTTTGAAAATGTTCAAAGACATTTCTTGCGATTGATGGGAGAAAATGTCCCTACGAGGGCTATTCAGAGGGGGATGCTTGAGGAAGAAGCTGCAAGATAGAAATGCCATTTGCAGCAACCCGGATGGGATTGGAGACTATTATTCTAAGTGAATTAACTCAGGAAAACCAAACATCGTATGTTCTTACTCATAAGTGGGAGCTAAGCCATGAGGATGCACAGGCATAAGGAAGATACAATGAGCTTTGGGGATTCCGGGGAAAGGGCGGGAAGAGGGTGAGTGATAACAGACTACAAATTGGGTTCAGTGTATACTGCTTAGGTGATGGGTGCACCAAAACCTCACAAATCACCGCTAAAGAACTTACTCATGTAACCAAATACCAACTGTTCCCCAAAAACCTACGAAAATTTAAAAAGGAATGCCAGATGAGCAAGTAGAGAAACTGAGTCTTGAGGACCTGTTCAAGATCCTGAATTTTGCCATCCTTGAACCTTGTATGTCCAACAGATACTTTATTTTCCTTTTGATTGAAAATATTTTAAGGGAATGGGGGAAGGATCTCTATTGTGCAACTGAAAAGGCTTTGACTAAAGCAAGAGGGAACCAGATTGCTTATAGTCTTTGAGTAATGATCATTTGTAATTGCATTGATAATGACTATTCTCTGAGCTCCTGCTAGGCACTTCTCACATATGGCTCCTTCTCTTGCAATAACTTACAAGAGATACAATGATCACCATTATGTAGTTGTAATTATGAAGGGTCTGTTACATTGAGTGATCGGACCAAGGTCAAATTGCTTGTAGGAAGTTAAGCAGAGGTCAGGCACAGTGGTTCACACCTGTAATCCCAGCACTCTGGGAGGCCGAGGTGGGTGGACTACCTGAGGTCAGGAGTTCAAGACCAGCCTGGCCATCATAGTGAAACCCCGTCTCTACTAAGAATTCAAAAATTAGCCAGGCGTGGAGTTGTGTGCCTGTAATCCTAGCTACTTAGGAGGCTGAGGCAGAAGAATCGCTTGAACTCAGGAAGTGGATGTTGCAGTGAGCCAAGATCAAGTCACTGCACTCTAGCCTGGGCAGCAGAGTGAGACTCCGTCTCAAAAAAAAAAAAAAAAGAAAAAAAAACAAAGAAAGAAGAAAAAAAGAAGTGAAGCAGAGAATCGAACCCAATTTTGCTTGCACCAGATTTTATGGGCTTGTCACTCTTTCATATGGTTTTTCCTGAAGGGAGAGGCTCAATAAGCATGAGGACAAATTAGAGAATCAGAGAACACAATTTGTTTAGTTATTCAAATAATTGGATTTTCCATCAAAGACACAAATATCTAGAAAAGGGGTTATTGTTACATCAAAGAAAAAGATTGAAGAGAAACAAACAAACAAGCACATTTGAAAAGAGCATTTACCTAAATAAAAACAAAGGGTTTGTTTTGTGCCTAACATTTTGTTAGGATTTTTTGGAGCATTGGTAGATATCATCTGGAACTAATTTGTTACAAGAATACAGAAGTCTTACAGAACCTGATGTTGTGGACTTAACTGAGTTTCAGACAGGGTTTGGAAGTGGAGACCAGAAAAACCGCAGGCCTCTAATTCTTATTCCCACTTCTCTCTGCTTGTCTATTGTGCCCTTTTCTTCCTCTGTAGACAGGCTTTCTGTCATCTGCTGTCTGTGGGGCAGAACCTGGCTGCCTGCGACTCCCTGGTTGGCATATTGCACAGAGACCCAGTCACCCACAGAAGCTGATTTCCTGTCTCAACTCCCACTTTCTGTCACTTCCACATTTCTCAGAAGAGGGTATCTGACTAGGTTGGTGGGGTAAGCGCTCCACCTTGGGAGACTCAATCCTGGATCATTACTGGAGTGGAGAGGGAACAGCGCCAGGACCCCAAATTTAGGAGCCCTCAGGAGGGGGCCTTGTAATGCACTGCTCCGATGCTCTGCCAGGCACTGACAACTTATCGTCTCAGCTAGCATCAGCTTCTTTCCAACATCACCTTGCCAGAGGTCATGCCACCTTCATGGAGGGGTGGGGGTTCTTCCTCCAGGTGGGGCATCTCTGAAGGCTACTTTGCAGGGGACCATTTTGGGCCTACATCCAACTCAATTTCTCCCTCCCTTCAATCATGTTTTCCCCTTCTATCCTCACAATTTCTCTTGAATAAATGTCCTGTGCTCAATTTCTAACCTGAATCTCCTTTGAAGAACCTAGCCTGTGACAGCTGGTTCTAAGGACTGTCTGAGAAAGGAGATATTAAGATGAGATTCTGGGACAGGATAACCCACTGATTGTCTGGCAATGAAGACTCTATTCCTGGGGTTAGTTGGAGCACAGGTGCCCCCAGAAGTGGGTAACAGAATAATTGCTGACTTTTCATGAGTGATGATCTGGGATGGATACCAGGGGAAGGAGAGGCATTAGCTGGTGTGAAGCATCAGATGTTTATAAATATGGGGCAAATAGTAAATATGGGTGGAATAGGGTGGTTATTGCTAAGCTCAACTGAGATTTTGGAAAATGGAAATGAAAAGGTGAGAGTGATTAATTGGTAAGTCAGAGCTAAGTATGAAAACCAGGAACCTCCTGGTTAGCATACAAAGAGGCTCTCAGCTTCTAGAGCAAGAGGCCAGACCGAGCTGTGGACTTAGTTGTCAGAATATTTGAGCTCTAAAGAAAGTAGAACTCCCCAATTTCTCAGTTCAGCCAGCTTTTCCAAGGTCACCAAATCTTCAATCTCCAGGCTCCTCCGGACTTCTGGGCCACTTGCCTCTATTAAGTACTAAACTCCTTCTTTGCTTGAAGATGATTTAGAGGCCTTGCCTCTTCCAGAAAACATGAGCTGCCCTCAGGATCCACACCCACCGTCCCGCAACCCCCTCGTAGCTAGGCTAGGAACCAGGAACTATTCCCCTTTATGTTTGGGGCATGCTGAGAGAAGAGGAAGAAAGCTATATACTAAAAGAGCTATATACTAAAAGACTAAGAGATCCAGTCAGCCTTTGTCAGCAGTAGCTGGGAGAATATGCGAATATGCAAGAGATGAGATTTTAGGGTGTGAGATCAAGGAGGAGTTTATTGATTTGAGAACACTTTCCTGGGATACAAGAGTTAGCTCCTTGGAAAGAACCCTGGGAGATGCTAAGAAAACACTGACTCCAAGAAGCATGGAGAGATCAGTTGTCCCCAAACCCCAACTTGGGACACTTCCAAAGGCTCATCAAATCTCTAGAGTCCCCGTAGGGTCAAACTGAGGCCTTTGCTGGAACTGCAGAGTAACTCAGCTTCTTTTTTTTTGCCAAATCCTACTTTCTTCCCCTCTGTTTCACAGGCCTTAAGAGCAATTCCCAATAAACTTTGTGCATTGTGATTTTTATCTCAGCATTTGCTGCCAAGAAAACTTAGCCTGCTACAGACACCACCCCTCTTGGTGGGGCTGAAGATCCTAGAGTGTAGATGCTGGGTACTTACTCCATAGAAGTCTCCATATATCAGCATTAGAAGAACAATTGATTTGCCCAGAGAAAATTGGTCATGCTGCCAAGTCCAGATTCTGATATGTCTGTCTTCAAAGCCATTTTCTTGAAAGCCATTTGTATACTGCTGTGTTTTCCTATTTAATACATATTTTTATGATTGATCTGTTGGCAAAGTGTCTAAATTTACAGGCAGAGAAAATCAAGCTGATAGACATCGATTGCAGCATGTGGTTGGAAACAGTTGGAACACGATATATAAGATGAGCTAAGTGTCTGTGATTCATTCATCCATTCTCTGATTTATTCATTTAACAAACTTTTATTAAGTTCTTACTCTGTGCCAGCCCTAGGCTGGCTGCTGAGGATACATCAAGAAATGAAGCCTAGATTCTGATTTCCAAAGTGCATGGTCCAGCAGGAGATTCATAAATCATTTAAAGGCTGATAAAGAATGGTTCAAGCTTCCACTTACATTCCACGGGAATAGCTGAGCACTATTTCTTGAAGACAGAAGCCCACAGAGCTACAGTGCCCCTCAGGGTCAGTAAAATGCTGAAATCATCTGGTATAGAACTGGCAATAAAACTGATAACCCTGTCTTTCCTTGTACAGCTCACTCTGATGTGAGCCAAATACCATGTGCAGGCCTACATCCCATATTAAAGAAACTACAACCAGTGCTTCTTAATGTGATAGCACAGGTAGGTATGGCCTAAGGCAACTTTTGGTTGAAGCAGCATATGGTGACAACATTGTCCTGTTAATTTCCTCCTTTGGTGATGATTTCCAGTGCCAAGCAGGATGAGAGGCAGGGCCCCTCCGCTAATATAGAAACTAGACTATGGTGTTGAAAGAAAGTGGGATGCAGTGCCACAATGAACTAGTGAACAAGGGGTGCTAGTGAACATTTGGCCATGGTGGTGCATGGAAATGTCATCAGTTTTTGTTTTTTTCCTTTTTCTTCCCCCATCATTGGTCACCAGTAATCTATATCTGCCATTCTACTTAGTGGGCACATGCCAGAGCTTCCAGTGGTAAGAAATCCCTAAGTAAAGGGCAAACACAGTGAAAGTTCATCAAGATGAGGAGGTGAAGAATTATGTAGCCATCCCTCAGTATCCATCAAGGATTGGTTCCAGGACCTCCCAAGGATACCAAAATTCAAAGATGCTCAAGTCCCTGATGTTAAATGGTGTGGTATTTGCATAGAACCTATACACATACACCATATACTTTAAATCATTTCTAGATTACTTAAAATTCTGAATACAAAGTAAATGCTATAGAAATAGTTGTTATGAATTGTGTTGTTTAGGAAATAATGACATAAAAAAGTCTGTACATGGTCAGTAAAGATGCAGTTCTTTGATCTGTTGTTGTTTGAATGAATGGATGCGGAACTCACGGATATTGAGGGCTGACTATAGGAAGAGAAGGGAGAAGGAGAAGAAGACATTTAATAATTAACCAACAAATGAGTACCGCATTGTTTTCCATTCCAGAACCTGTGGCCCTGAGTAGCCAGAGAGGATGTGATTCAGTGCATGGGTGGCAGGGTTGGTCTTAGATCCGGTGTCAGGAGGAGATGGGTGTATAACACGATGGCAGGACAGTAATGGAGGTGTGGTGGAAGGGATGAAGGGGTTTTCCTACCAACAAGGCTGTCCAGTGCCTTTATTTGTCAGTCAAAGCCTTTCTCCAGCTAATGTCAATTTGCATTTCCATGTATCTTACCTTGTCCAAACTTTATCCTACATGACCCAGCCAGGCCTTCAGTAGCAGATGTTACACATAAAGTTCCTTTTGCCCAAAGAGTCTCCTGTGTCCTCTAAGTAGCAAATCCTCCCCACAGCCTGCACAATGGCTATCACCTATCTTGCTTCCTCTGACGTGCCTGGACAGTCAATCCTTCTGCCCTGTGGGCTTCTTTGTTACTTGGTTTACTCGTCTGTTGAAGCTACCTGTGCACAAAGGTGGAGCCTCACTCATTGCTCAATCAGTAGCTCCCAGCGTAGAGCTCAGGGTTGGCCAGTCATTCCACAGACCACTGGGAATGAATGATTGTTAGAAGGAATTAGTGAGTGAGCATCTCATCGTGCCACTGATCTAGCTCTCAATGGACTCATCAATGAAAGGACTGCACAGAGACTGGTGGATGAGATTAGTGGCTCTCACTGGGGATGCCCACCAGTGGAACCAGAGGGAATTTGGGGAAGTCTGGGCTCACTTAGAATTAAAAGAATCAGCCTCTCTGGGTATTTTTAGGGGACAGTGGGATGCCACCCTCTGTGTTAGGAATCAACGTCTGGGCAGGTCTCTCGAAGTCCTTTCATTTTGTACATCTAATGAATTCTATTTTGTTCTGTGGGTTTCAGCCTGAAAAAGTGGTGCTCTGATACCAGGATGCATTGAGCCTTCCCTGAGCGGCTGCCCCAATTAGCCTGAGCAGTGACATGCAAATCCCCGAGATGTTTTGCATTTTTTCTGGCATGGTCCTTACCACAGCCTGCTCTGTGTTGTCTTTGTTTGTGTTAAGAGCTGAATCCCAGCTGTTTAGGAGTCTCAACAGCCAGGGGCTGATGTACTCATTTCTGTTTCTCCTGCAGACCTAGTTAGTAACTGACTCACAATGTGTCCTCTGTTCACTTTTTGTTTGCTTTTTTTCTCATTGAAATGAAATTGAATTCATCTGGGTAGTGCCCTCCTACCCTTAGTTACAATTTTGACCTTTAGAAGTATAATCAGCTGTGTACAAATTTTCAAATTAACAAATTAACCGTTTATCTGGAAAGGTTTTACAGCCCAGAAGCTCCAGGTAAATGCTACACTGTTACTGGCACCCAGGCTGGAGTGCAGTGGCGCAATCATAGCTCACTGCAGCCTTGAACTCCTGGGCTCAAGGGATCCTCCTGCCTCAGCATCCCGAGTAGCTAGGACTACAGGCATGTGTCACTATTCCTGGTTAAGTTTCTAATTTTTTGGTAGAGGTATATTTTCACTATTTTCATCCCACGTTGGTCTCAAACTCTTGGCCTCAAGCAATCCTCCTGCCTTGGCCTCCCAAAGTGCTGAGATTACAGGCATGAGCCAGTGTGCCTGGCCATGCAACCTTATTTTTTATGGAAGTGGGCACAGCACTCCCAGTAGCCTGCAGTCACCGCTGGGCAGTGGGGCACAAGCCAGGGGAAGTAATCCCATTCTCTGAGCACCATGCTGGGTGCTTCCCCACCATCAGCCTGAAAGGAGGGTGCTAATGGCTCTCCTCTCATAGATGAAGAATTTGAGGCTCGGGGATGAAGGTCACTCCTGCTTAACATGTGTTCTGGTGATGAGAAAGCCCCCTCTTTGTAGAGAATCCCTCCCCCTTGGCCTCATCCTCAAGGCCATTGACTTCCAAGTAGCTACCTGGTCCTATTGAGAGAGGGCTGTCTTTGGATTGCTAAGGGTCCTGGGATGGTGAGAGAAGTACACACTTGGAAAAGGATCTACAGACACCTCCTGAAAATGAGCCAGAAAGAGCCCTCCATGCAGTCGGAGAAGGATGAATCCATCATGGAAGAAGCTAGCTCAGTTTTCCTTCAGTTTCAGCTCCTGACAGTCCCTGCATTCAGTGCTGCACTCTAGATTTACCCAGAGGCTGTGGTTCTCCCTCACACCCAACTCTTTCTCCATCTCAGACTTTGCTCACCCTGTTTCCTCTTCCTGGAAAGGCCTCCTGATATCCTTGGCTCTTTCTGGCTGGTACCTCTTCACACTGTAGCAGATGCTGCTGGCGCCTGGTCTCAGCTCGCCCTGGCCACTTCCAGGTTCCCCTGCAGCAGCCACCTAGCGTCCAGCTTCCACCTCCTCATGCCTCTGCTCCTCTGCCTAAGGTCTTCATTTGGCAGAAGCCAGCTGATATGCTTTGGCTGTGTCCCCAACCAAATCTCATCTCGAATTGTGGCTCCCATAATTCCCACATGCTGTGGCAGGGGCCTGGTGGGAGGTAATTGAATCACGGGGACAAGTCTTTTCCTTGCTGTTCTGGTGATAGTGAGTAAGTCTCATGAGATCTGAAGGTTTTATAAAGGGGAGTTCCCCTGCACAAGCTGTCTTGCCTGTTGCCATGTAAGACATGACTTTGCTTCTCCTTCACCTTCTGCCATGATTGTGGGGCCTCCCCAGCCACACGGAACTGTGAGTCCATTAAACCTCTTTTCTTTATAAATTACCCAGTCTCGGGTATGTCTTAATTAGCAGTGTGAGAACAGACCAATACACCAGCTCAGCACTGTATAGGGCAGGTGGAAAATGCCAGAGATTTGGCACCCTCAGGGCAGTCCTCAGCCAGCAAAGGAAGAGAATGTGTGTAGAAATGACCTGGCTTCCTGGTCCCCGGAGGGGACAATGCTAAGATGCCTTCTACAAAATTGCCACCTGTTGCCTAGAGGGTCACCTACCCTTTGAGGCCCCTTTCTTGGCTTTTGTTCTTTCTGATTTATGTTCCCCCTCATTCACTTTTGCTTCCAGGGATCACCTCCCACGTAAGCTACCTGCACCAAGTCCTGGTCTCAGGGTCAGCTTGGGGTGGGGGGCGGGGGGCAGGGGGCGGGGGGTGCAGGGAGAGAGTACTAAGACTATAATAAATAATAGCACGTTGTATATTTCAAAATTGCTAAAAGAGTGGATTGTAAATGTGTTCACCACAAAAACATAAGTATATGAGATGATGGATTTGTTAATTAGCATGATCCGATCATCCCACAGTGTGAGTATATATCAAAACATACAATCATTATTTGTCAATTAAAAATAAAATTAAAAGAAGATACTCATTAAGGTCCACTCACACCTTATCTGGTGACCCCATCCCAGGTGAGAGCTGGTGAGGGTCTCCTCCTCAGAGGGCCCAGGAATCTGTGGTTTCCCCTGTCCCAGCACAGAGCAGGATGGAGTGCAATGGTCTCTTCACTTCTCTGTCTCCCCCAGTAGGCCATGGGTTCCTGGAGGGCAGGAGCTCTGTCTTGTGAGCTTTAGACTCCAGTGCCTAGCAGATAGGAGATTCTCAGTGTTTACTTTTCAGCTCAGTAATTCACCATGTGGCTCAGTTTCTCCATTTATGAGCTTGTCTCTAGGGCCCTGGACCTTGTGAGTCTTCATGAGGACAGGATGTGGGGTGGGCCAGTTGTCACGTGGGGCTCCTGCCACCAGGCAAGGTCCTGATATAACTACGGTTATAGTTGCGGTGTGGGGCAAGGGCTCCCCAACTCCAGATGAGCAGATTTGGGTCAATTTCTTAATATTTTTTAAGGGCTGTGATGTATCTTGGCTATAAATGGTCTTTTCTGCACCTGGGGCATTTTCTTTTAGAAATACTGCTTTGGAAGTCAGATTAAGATGCGTTTAAATGGAACATTTAATGATTGTTTTAAAACAATCCAGGTCATAGCATACAAACACACACACACTGATTCTGTGCTCTGTATCCTACGGCCTAGAACCAAGACTTGCTGAGTGAGTCCTCACCCTCCAGTTTAGAGGAAACAGGTGAGGACGTGGCCACCACAAAGCAAGAGGACAGGGCAGGGCAGAACAGAATGGAGGGCGCCCTGTCCCACTGCACTGCACTCCGGGGCTCCTACAACCCATTCAAATATGAACAGTAAGTCGCTCACCAAGGGCTGGATCAGCCACTGTTCCCAGCTCCCACCCAAACATTCCTCTACAAGTATTTCCTCTCAGAGAAAAAATCAAAAACACCTGTAACTGGATGAGGGGAAATGAGTGTAGATTTCAGACTAAACCAATTCAGACCCTATCATCTTCCCAGACTCTCCAATCTGGCAAAGCCCTTTGAGAGTATTTCTGTGAAACCCACTTTTCTTAATATTTATTGTACCCAGATCTCCCCTTTGGAATACCATCAGACCTGCAGTTTCTTTCCTTGGGGAAAGGCAGGACGCACGCACCCAGCAATCAGACACATCCTCAGGGATGCCTGGATCTCCTGAAACCTAGTGGGTCCTGAATGGAGCTACCTCCAGATGAGAAGTACAGGCCAAGGCTCTGGGAAGGAAGGGGCCCGGCCACTCACACATCTAAGTCAGCGGGAGGCTTAGACATGAAGCCAGGAAGCCTGGTGCCTATCTCATCAGAGAGAGAAAGATCAGTTAATTCACCAACAACACAACCATTGATATTTAATGTGGTGTCCAGGTTCAGGGCCAATTGTATATATATTTTTTGAGACAGGGTCTTGCTATGTTGCCCAGGTTGGAGTGCAGTGGTGCAATCACAGCTCACTGCAGCCTTGACGTCCCAGACTCAAGTGATCCTCCCACCTCAACCCTTCCAAGTAGCTGGAACTACAGGTATGCACCACCATGCCTGGCTAATTTTTGTATTTTTTTTGGTATTGTTATTATTATTATTATTATTATTATTATTATTTGTGGAGACAGGGTTTAACTATGTTACCCAGGCTGGTCTCAAACTCCTGAGCTCAAGCAATCAGCCAGTCTCGGCCCCACAAAGTGCTGGGATTACAGACGTGAGCCACCAGGCCCAGCTGTATTTTTAAAATAGTCTTTTTTTTTTTTGAGGTGTAATTTATTTACAGTGAAATTTAGCTATTTAAGATGTACAACTCAATGATTTTATAGTGTAGAATTGTGTTCACTAAAACAGTGACAGTGATAGTGACTGTCACTAAAAATTTAGTGTAGATTTTTTGTAGAATTGAAGAAAAACTTCATGCCCACTAACTGTCACTCCCCATTCTTACCTCTACCCTAGGTAAACACTAATTTACTTTCTCTCTGCAGATTTGCCTTTTCTGAACATTTCATAGCAAAGAAATCACATAGTATGTGTTATTTTGTGCTTGGCTTCTTCCACTTAGCATCATGTTTTTGAGGTTTATCCATGTTGTAGGGCACAGTAGTACTTTGTTCCTTTTTTATTGCTGAATTATAGACCCAGGGCCAATTGTTTGAAGTGGTAGCGTGTGTGTGTGTGCGTGTGTGTGCATATGAGCATGTGTGTGCATGTGTGTGTGTGTGCATGTAGAAGAGACACTAGGAGTTGAGGTCCTGTGGGGAGGACTGGCTGGGTTTCTATATGACAACCTGTTTTAGTGTCTATCCATTTTTAATGGTGAGATGACCCATATGCAGGGGCTCCAAGTTAGCTGGAGAGGACAGGGCGAGTATCTGGTGGTTCTTTCTACTTTAGAGGCAAGGGCTGGCCAAGTCTGCCTTTTTCCTCCTTACCGAGTCCTTGGCACATTTCTTCTGAAAACAACGGGGATTTTTGGTTGTTTAATGTATTAGTCCATTCTCACATTGCTATAAAGAGCTACCTGAGACTGGGTAATTTATAAAGAAAAGAGGTTTAATTAACTCACAGTCCTGCACACTGTACAGGAAACATGGCTAGGGAGGCCTCAATAAACTTACAAATATGTTGGAAGGTGAAGGGGACGCAGGTACATCTTATATGGCCAGCGCAGGAGGAAGAGGGCAAAGGGGGAGGTGCTGTACATTTGTAAACAAGCAGATCTTGTGAGAACTCACTGTCACAAGAACAGCAAGGGGGAAGTCCACCCCCATGATCCAATCACCTACCACCAGGCCCCTCCTCCAACACTGAGGATTATAATTCAACATGAGATTTGGGTAGGGACACAAATCCAAACCATATCATTCAAGCTGTAGGACTGTGGGATCTTCTCCCCCCACAAAGCTATACTTCTTTTGTGCTTGACTCATCTGAATTCAAAATCTTGAATATCCTTATTCTCATCCCAGACTCAAGGAAAGAGATCCTCATGATACTCTTCCCTTTGATGTAGGGTCTGGGGTGGAGTTGATGGGGTGATTGGCTGGGCTATTGGTGGTGGGTTATTGACGGGGCAATTGGCAAGGCCAGGCATCCCATAGGCAGCCTTGAGGGGATGTATGTGTTTTATGTGTTATCCTTCCTGACCCAGGTTCAGCCTGAACCTTGGCTGAGAGCAAGGCAGAGTTGGAGCACAAGGCGGTGCCCAGGAGGACACTGGAAGGCTGGAGCCCACCCCAAAGATAGGCTTTGGAGAGCCCAGAGAGCACCATGTTCCAGGGTCCTCCCAAACGGTCTTCAGATTACCAAGGACTGTTACGTGGGAGAAAGTATCTGCACTCCATGAGCTTCCAGTGCGCTGGACAAAAACCAGTGTTCCTGAGTCATAGCTTGTGGACAACAGGAGGGGGCTGTGGCATCATGAGCCACTGGAAAAGGGACTCGGGTCTGGCTAGTGTGCCAGTCCCGACAGGTGATTCAGATCCCAATTAGGAATTTAAGTATAATCCTGGCCATGTCAACTGGGAAGCCTTGGCTTGGGCTGGGAAGGAGGGGGCTGTATTCATGCCTTAAGCTCACTTCTGCTATGTAGACACCAGGCTGAGGGCATGGAGACACTAGGGTTCTGCCTGTCTGTGGTAGCAACTGACTTATGAAATGGGCATGGCTGATCCTTCTTGGGCAGGGCTCCTGGGTCTACCATTGAGTGAGCTGAAGGAAGTTAGGGTTAATTTCTTTTTTGTCACTCTAAGTATCTTCCCATTTCCCTAAGCTCTGGGCTTTGGGGTTAAACTACTGGGGTTAAGTAATAAGAAAGGAGTAAATTCATGAGTCATTCTCATGTCTTTCTGTTGTCCTCAGCTCTATTAGTCCCCAGTAAGTCCTCCTTAATATTCCCAGCATTATTGAGGCAGTTTAATGGCTCCTATATTTAAAAGGGACAGTGAACTTGCCTTACAATCATTCTTACAAGATCCTTTATGAATAGCAACAATGTTCACATTACGATTTCACATTCCGCTTTAATAAGAATGGAATTGCCATGGGCGATTCTGAATGAGCTGGTCTTGGCTTCTAATTGCTGTAGGTCTTCTGGCAGCATCCTGCTCTATTTCCTGGCTCTTCACTAGATTAAATTAACTTTCCTCACAGTTCAGCCCTTAACCCTTCTTTGGGCTAGCAATCTGGAGAGACAGATCAAAAGATTACAGAATTTTTGGCACTCAAGGGTCCCCCTGACCCCAACAAAGTGCAGAAATCTTCAAAATGGCAGAACAGACCTATGGATGGTCCAATTTCAACTTGAATCTACCAAGGATAGGTCCCCTGTTTTAGCCCCAGATGGTTCTTTTGCTGAGTAGCTCCAGAGAACTCCCCTTAACATTGAGCAGAGTGGACCAGAGAAAAGTGGTTTTGGAGACAAACAGATCTGTGGTGAGTCTGACTATATCTATAACATTAAGCAGATTATTTCCTTTCTCTGTGTTTCAGCTTTACCATTGGTAAAATGCACATAATGAAGTTGACCTCAAGTTGTATGCAGACTTAGCTGTGATAATAGATGGCAATGCTGAGCATGGAACAGGTGCTTAACAAGCTATTAATTATATTTGTGAGTAATAGTAACGCCCTGGCAGTTACTAAAGACAGACTTCTTCAAGATCTATTCCAAACCACTTCAAACTCACCTTTACAAGAAAGGCTAGAAAGCTCAAACTAAAACAAAATTAAAGAAAGCTGAGATTCCCTGTTCTCTCCTGCATCCAGAGTTCTGTGTGTGTCTCAGCTTCTGCCAGAGATTGGAGCAGCAGTGAGAAAGTGGAGGTGATGGCCTCGATGGGATAACTGGATCTTTCTGGCGGGAGTGGTGTCTGCATTTCCTGGAGTAGTCCCTGTAGAGTTTCTAGCATCTGGTTCCCAAGCACCACAGAAGCTAAGTGGATCCCCAGTATGGGATTCTCCACTGGAGTCTCAGCTATGGTTAAGCATCTTTCCTGCCTACATTGTTCCTGGGCATGTAGAATCTAAGTCTGATTTCGTGACTCTTCCAGAGATGCTGTGAGCTAAGTCTTTAATAAATTATTTATTGTCTAAATTAGCTTGAATCAATTCTTCTTTTAAAATCTGTAGCCTAAAACCATGATCAACGTAATTGCTTGTAACAATTCCTCCACTTCTAAGAGCTGTCTAAAATGCTTTTCTAAGTTTTTTTTAATTTTTTGAGACAGAGTCTTGCTCTGTCGCCCAGGCTGGAGTGCAGTGGCTCGATCTCGTCTCACTGCAACCTCTGCCTCCCAGGTTCAAGTGATTCTCTTGCCTCAGCCTCCAGAGTAGCTGGGATCACAGGTGCCTGCCACCATGCCCAGCTAATTTTTGTATTTTTAGTAGAGACGGGGTTTTGCCATGTTGGCCAGGCTAGTCTCAAACACTTGACCTCAGGTGATCCACCCCCATTGCCCTCCCAAAGTGTTGGTATTACAGGCGTGAGCCACCACGCCTGGCCTAAAACGCTATTTGGAGCAGCACAGACCACACCTTTGTGCAGAGAGCCAGCAACGAAAAGATCTCAACAGCTCATTAATCTGGGCACTTTATTTTACAGAGAGGAAAACCAAGGGCCAGTAGTGAACAGTAACTCTCCCAGAGCTCAGTGTCTAGAGTATTGAGCATTTGCAACCACTGTGCCGGGCTGTGTACTCAGTCCTGTATTTGTCATCTCATGTAATTCTTTCTAGAGTCCTGAGGTGTAGACTTTATCATCTCTTTACAGGAAGGAAGTAAGGCTCAGAAAGCATATGTAACTTTCCTAAGAAGTCAAACAGATATTATCAAGCAGAGCTGAAACTTTGGCACGGAACTAATGCCAAAGCCCATACTTTTACCCTGACCGTGTGTCTGCCTTTGATGACATGGATTTTCATATCACCCCTTCATAATCCTAACTAACTTGGAGTGATTTTAAGGTGATTAGAAAGGGAATGTAAAATGGCATTGGTGCCTCTTCTGCACCCAGTGGTGCTCGCTGGGTGCTGAAACAAAGGCAATGTTGTGCAAATGTTAATTCTCTGAGACTAGATGAAGGCTTCACTGTCAAGGACAAATTAGGTTCACTATGAGCACAGAGAATGGCTACCTTCATGGAACAAATAGTATCTTCTATGCATGTAGAGGAAGGACTCCTGCCATTCCTTCCCACCCTTTCACCTTCTTCCCACCATCCAACCAACTCCCTTATATAGGAGGACAGTTGCTAATATAATGGATCTGGTCTTGTGACTTGGATTGGACCACCTTTTACCAGTGCCTGGACAGGGACTTTCTGTTCAGGGGCCTTGGTGAGATCTTTCTCTCTATCTCTCTCTCTTTCCTTCATCTCTCTGATTGCAACAGTATGGGTCATGAATTCATGAGAAACGACAGGGGTGCTGAATACCATTCATGTTTGTAGAACTACAAGTAGATTCAGATGACTGAGAGTGTGGTGTATTATAGAAGGAGACGGCCAGAAGTTGGAGCAGATCATATGGAGCTCTGAGTAGCTTTAAGGCACCCAGGTGTTCAATCCCTGTTACCCAGCCAAACCCCATATGTAACTAAAACTACATGGAAGTCCTACTTCAACTTCTCCTTACATTGCCCTAGCTTCTCTCTACCTTCCTTCCTCTCCAGTCTCTGATTCCCTTTTGATGCCTTTTCCCTTCAAATACACTTAGCATGGTGATTTTAATGGGCTTTCACTCAGACCCAACTATCAAAGGTAGATGAACCCTGTAGACCTATATCCTACTCCCATTCCAGAATGTCACACAAACGAAACACCTACTTTAACCAGAGTCCATGCCTGTAGCTTTCCTATCATGATAACTTTTGATGGTCTGAGCACCCAGTGAGTTAGTAGTCATCAGCCTCTTTAATAGGTTCGGGAGGCCCAGAGAGACTTGGCAAAATGGCCAGGGTTGCTCAAAGTCTTAGTAGCAGAGCCCAAAATCTTGACAGTTGTGACCCTAATGATGGTGCTCCTACTGGGTTGGGGGTTTATTTTATCTTCCTCATCCTTGGCCTTAGCCAAATGCTCCTGAAATCTATGGCAATGTCCTGCTGAACTTGGCCCCACAGAATAAGTCAGGTCTGGTCCTGGGCTTGGTTATCTTTCCTCTTGTGGCCCTGAGCCCCCTCATGTTGCTGGAGAGCTCTAAAGAACAGCATGAAAAACCGAGGTTGCTGTTAGTGGGTGGGAATTTAATGGGTTTGGTTGGTTGGTAGATGATAGCAGAAGCCTTGCTGGAGGATCTTGCTTCTGCTTTCCTTAGTTTCCTTACCTGTACAGTGAGGAAGCTGGGCACACAGCCTGGCTTAGCTCTCATTGCTCATGGGTCTTTAGTCCAAGAAATGGAAAGCCAAAAAAAAAAAAAAAAAAAAAAGGAAAAAGAAGTCCTGCAGGAAGGCCACTTCCTGCTTTCCTGGGTCCACCCCTGAGCTTCAGCCATGCGGTTTCTGAGCTGATGAGGGCCAGAGGCCAACATGAATCTATGTGTCATCTCATGGGAAACTAAGATGGGTTGGTGGAGGTGGCACAGACAGTATGTTGAAAGAATTCTGAGGCTACCGTTGAGCTTAGCAGGGAAAGAATTCTTGACATGATTCATATTGCCTACCATGAGGGCAGGATTTGGAGGTGGTGGCAGGCATGCCACAAGCAGCCAGCTCTAGCCAGTGGTAGAATCAGCTCATCAGCTGTGGAGGAAAGAATGACTTTATTCCCAATGGCCTTGAATCAGTTTTTCCAGAAGTAAGCTCTAGGTCTCCTTTCATCCTCAAACCATATTTCATGGACAGATATCATGATTCTTATTTTATATACAAGTAAATCAATGCTCAAAGAGGTTGGGCAACTTGCCCAAGGCCACTCAGCTAGGACATGATGTATCTAGGATTCAAATCCAGATCTGTCTAATTCCGGTCTGTTTTCTTTCCATGCATTGGTACATTCTGCTCCTTATGTTTCCTCTCTGGCAAGGGCTGAATTAAAGTTTTATAAGTATGCATGTATTTTTTCAAAAGACTATCAACAAATGAAAAGTTGAAATAATCTTTAAAAAAGATTTCTCAGCTCAAGACTAAAAATCCTGATTTGAAAAATTAAAGTCATAGAACAGTTGCAGAGGCAGTCATTAGGTCCTTCAAAATCTCCTAAACTTGAGAGGGAACAGCTAGTGAGAGCTAATAGAGATGCTTGCAAAGGTGACCTCAGGCCTTTCCAGAGATTAGCCCAAAGCAGATAAGGATAAAATACTTTCATTAAGGCAATTAGAGCTAGCATGAGAGGAATGTTCCCAGGAGACATCACTTCTGGGACACTTTAGCTATAAGCCCCAGGTGTTTGACAGCCACAGTACCTTAAAGCAGAGAAAGAGCTAGGTCTATTTCTAACTGCAAAAGCAGGAAAACCCTCCATTGGGTTCAGCAAAGAGTTCATCCATGGGTGGTCTATTCTGATATCAGATGTAAATTTTTTTGTATTCCTTCTCAATGTCTGATTTATCCAGCGGCATATCACATGACTAAACACAAAGCGAGTAGAGATGAGAGAGTTACCAAGTGACGCCCAAGGGTTTATAGACTTGAGGCCATTCTCTGAAATCATAGAACTCTTTAGGAGCTATTATACTGATATCTGTTTTTAGATACAATCTGGGCATGGTAGGTGATAGCCATGAGAGATGGGGGCTAGATGATGGGGGCCCTTGAGTGGTGTGCTAAGATAATTGGACTTTATCTTATGGGCACTCTCTTCAAACAGTTTGAAGGGGTAGATTGATATCATCAGAATGGCATTGCAAATGGCCAAACCAGTGAAGTGTGGAATGTGGACAGAGGGAAACCAGGCTGGAGGAAGGGAGATAGTCAAAAAGTAGGTGGAAAAGTGTCTGGTTTCCCATTTTACTGTTTCCATGAGGGAAGAAATTACACCTGATTTACCTATTTGTATATCCCTAGAGCTAAGGATAGTGTCTGCCACCTAGCAGGCTGTATTAGTCAGCTTGCAGACTGCTATAAAGAACTATATGAGACTGGGTAATTTATAAAGAAAAGAGGTTTAATTGACTCACAGTTTCACATGGCTAGGGAGGCCTCAGGAAACTTATAATCATGACGGAAGGCACAGGGGAAGCAAGGCATGTCTTACATGGTGGTAGGAGAGAGAAGTAGACTTTTAAACCATCAAAGCTCATGAGAATTCACCCACTATCACAAGAACAGCATGGGGGAAACCACCCCTATAATCTAATTACCTCCCACCAGGTCCTTCCCTAGACACATGGGGATTACAATTTGAGATGAGATTTGGGTGGGGATACAGAGCCAAACCATGAC
Organism: Homo sapiens; assembly: GCF_000001405.40. Lineage (NCBI taxonomy): Eukaryota > Metazoa > Chordata > Mammalia > Primates > Hominidae > Homo > Homo sapiens. The sequence continues at coordinate 133,828,570 of NC_000008.11, forward strand.
ACAGGCCCAAAATAAGTATTTGTTAAATGATTGAATGATGTGATTTCAGTAATCCTATTGGGAAAAGAGAGTAAAGTCTTCACCAAATTCTTAATAAAGTGAACTGAGAGGAGAGGATGGATTTGAGAAATGGGATAAAGTTGGGAGACTTTGGTAATGGACAAAAGTGGGATGTGGGGGCAAAAAAGAGTGTTAGAAGCCTGCAGTTTTCTGGCTTGGGGACTTGGGGACTCTCACTGAGTGTGATGGAAACAGATTTGGGGAGATGGTGGGTCAGGGTGAGGTTGGGATGCCCTTGAAACATGCATGGGGGCATATTCTCATATCACTGAGCAGCCAACTTTCTCCTCTGCACTGTCCCTTTAGCATGCACTGTTCTCTTCAAACCAGAATCCCTTCCTTCCCTTTCATACAGTTAACTCTCCTGCGCTTTGGACCCAGCTCTACCTCACTTCTCCAGTGAAGACTTTCCTAGACCCAGCTAGGCCAGTCAGATTCCCAGGCTCTAGTAGACTGCCTCCTTCTCTTCTAGCTGTAGATCTCAATTGGCAATGGGCCCCTTATGTGTGGTTCATGGATTAATGTCTACCTCCCCTTTTAGAGAGGGTCAGCTCCATAAGTACCAGGAGCATGTCTCTTTGGTAGTCACCACTGACTCCCAGTAATAAACACCATGCCTGGCACATGGTAAAGGCTGAAAAAAATATTCATTGAATAAATGATCAAATGAATGAGTGTCTGTATAAACAAACGAATGCATGTACAGCTGTCATAGCTCTATCTCTTAACACTGAGTCCCAATTAGCTTTCCCGATGGAATCAAAGAGGCAGTTTTGCAGAGCTGGAATAACATGAGTTTCTGGATTTGAATTGATGTGCCTGCAACACAGTAGGTGCTTGGTAAATGCTCACTGAATTATTCCAAGCTTTTCTGATCATCTCATCTGAACATCTTTAGGCAAGAAATACAGTGTTTTGAAACTTTGACTTCATTTATCCATATGAGGATAAAGACATCTATCTCAGTTTTTGAAAAATGAGAATTTGGTGAGATTACCTATGTCAATACCAGGCACATAGTAGACACTCATTAAATGTTTATGATCAACAACTGAGTGAATCATGTAATAAAAATCCCCAAGAGTTTACAGGGACCAATCGATAAAATAAATGAGTGCAGCATCAAGAAAATCCAGGTCCTTCCACACACAAAAGGACACACACACACACAAACACACACACATGCACACACGCACACACGCACACACGCACATAGCCCTGACCCCATATCTTCCCTCTGTATTTTCTATCAGCTTTCTGCAGCTGGTCAAACTCCTAGAAAGGGGTTAGCTTTCGTGTTGTGAAGAGTTTCCAAATATTTTAAGACATGACTCAAACACAGTGAAGTGAGTGAGTTTCTGAATGTGTGTATGTGCTCAATGGCAATGTCCACTGCATGGCGGACACTCGATACCCGCCTACTTCTTTTCTTTTTCATTTTCCCCTGTCTTCTCAGCTCTTTGCACAGAGCTTAACACATAGTAGGTGCTCCGTGAAAGTTTGAGCCAAAGATAAGGGAAAGAAGAAAAGAAGGGAGGGAAGGGGGTGGTATAAACATGTGTTCATGTTTTCCTTTCTTTCCAGGCACATTATTGCCAACAGACATGAATTGAAGGAGAGAGTGGAACAGGTTGGAGCTGTCAGAGAGGGCAGGCTCATTGTCTGGAGCTGCCTAGCACCTTTATGTATGATTAACGCCATGTGGAGCCCCCAGTGTGTCTTGAGTTTGCGGGCTCCATGTTGCCCACTTGTGCCTAATGTTCACCCTGCTGCTGTTGTTAAATCACCAGGAGATCCTGGCCACTTCCCTGCGACTTCCCTGACTCTGTTTCTGGATGCCTGGATTTGGTGATTCTCTAACAAGTGTAAGAAGAGTAGTAACAGCTCTTTACATTGTACAGCACTCTAGAGTTACAGATCTCCCTATAGACCACTCTCTCTCTTGAGCCGCCTTCTGGACATCTCAGCAGGTGCAACATGGGTCTCATGATCTTGCAGGCTTCTGCTTAGACCCTTCTCCTGCATCATTCAACTTGTCAACTGGTAGAGTGTGAGTCATCCTAGAAGCCCCAAATCAGTTGGTGTTGAACCTACCAGCATTCAGATCCACCTCAACCCCTTATCAAATGTGTGACCTTGAGTAAATTACATAACTTCTCTTAGCCCCAAGTTTTCTCATCTGCAAAAATGGAAAAGAATGAACCTTATTAATAGTTGTTCACAGGGATGGTAAAAGGTCATGCTTGCAAAAATGTCAGCTTAGTGTAGACAAGATAATTAATACATGAGTCTTTTCATACCTTTGCTCATCCATGTCACTTCTCAGAAATTAATAAATCATCACAGAATGGCCACTTTTCCTTGCATTATTTTAAGTCTTAAACCTCAGTCAGCATCTGCATCATGAGAGGCACAATTTAAAATGCAGGTTCTCAGCCCTGCTTTTTAGGATGCGACTGCCTTCATTCTGCAGGGCCCAGGAGTCTGCATTTATAAAGAGGGGCCTGTGATGTTGTAAAGGCTGCCCCTTGAAAAAAACCTTGTTTTCAGTAAAGATCTGTGGTTTAATTGGAGCTCACTCGTTCCCTAGCTGACTGGCTTGAGAGTTTGTGGAGTAGAGGAAAAAGAAAGAAGGGGGACTTAATAAAAGGTTGAAGAGATTAGAGAGGGAGGGTCCCTGCACGGTTGTCTCTCACTGGATGGGAAAGGTTGACAAAGCCTCTGTCTCTTGTTGCCCATAAAACCACTATTGTGCTTAAATTGGCAACACTTAAGGAAAGAAGCACGCCGTTTTGGCTTCGCGTAGCTGTAATCATGGCTCTCCTAATTAAAGGCTGCTGGCGGAAGGCCGTCCTGGCATCTAAAAACTCCCTCTGGGGCAGCCACATTTCTAAATGCCAGTGGTTGGTTCCTGGAGCTCCGGGAAAGAGGAGCTCCCAGAGGGTTCCTGGGGAACTTTGTTCTGGAAGATTATTTGTATCTCCTAATCAGCATCAGAGAGTTGTAGGGGAGGGGTTCTCAACATCCTTGCCCCCTTCTCATCTCCCAGAGGTCTTTAAAGACTTAAGGGGTGCTGAGAGGGTAAATTGCTACCTTTCGCTCATCCTCTCTCCTTGCCTCCTCTCTCCTGCTTGGAATCAAAGGACAGTTCCCGGGATGGGAATCAAGTGACCCAGTAAGTGAACAGGAAGAGAGGGTCTTCACACACAAATCCCAAAGTTCAGATTCAAGGTCTGGTTTTCCCCCTCCTTTTAGCTATTTTGTTGATTTTTGGACATTGAAAAAGTAACTGCGAAGTCACTTCTTAAAATCTGGTGTTGCTGTTTTCAAACTAGGAGATGTCTTGGCTCCATTTCAATAGCACATGGAAATCATACCTTGTAGAGCTTAGGGGGAATCAGAAACAAATCATGCAAGGTGGCTGGCGTAGCATGGTGGAATGATTTCATTTGCTGCCCATTTGAATGTTGTTTTACAACAGCTTCCAGAGAGAGACAGATAAGAGGAGAAGGTTTGGAAGTGAGAGAGCCGTGGGTTCAAATCCAATGCTCCATGTACCATAGTAAGGCAGCTGCCAGAAGGAGCCCACCCTCTCTGATTCTGACTCCCTGAGACTATGCACCAGTGCTGTAAACATCCAGCTCAGAGTTTTAGGTAGAAGTGAGTCATTCCTTCTTCTTGTAGAGCAAAACATCTCAGTAGTCCCCTAAAATATAAAAGTAACACATGAAAATATGTTTGTGTAGTTCATGCTGCTTGGCCTTCAGTTGCTGTGTAAAGTGAGGTCTCAGGAACACAGCTCTTCTTCTATTGGCTTGATGGGTTGCTCCTATCATAACCTGAGGCCCACTGTTTTTTTTTTTTTTTTGAGATGGAGTCTTGCTCTGTTGCCCAGGCTGGAGCTCAGTGGCATGATCTCGGCTCACTGTAACCTCCACCTCCTGGGTTCAAGTGATTCTCCTGCCTCAGTCTCCCAGGTAGCTGGAAATACAGGTGTGGGCCACCATGCCCGGCTAATTTTTGTATTTTTAGTAGAAACGGGGTTTTGCCATGTTGGCCAGGCTGGTCTCGAACTCCTGACCTCATGTGATCTGCTCACCTCAGCCTCTCAAAGTGCTGGGATTACAGGCGTGAACCACTGCACCCGGTCCCACTTTCAAGATTTCTAACCTTCTCCTTGGATGTCTCACTAGTGGTAAGATACTCCAGGGCTATTTTACTTCATTTATTGTGTATTTGTATTCCAAGGCTCAAGGATTATAAGAGATATATCTCATATATATATATATATATATATATATATAAACGCATATTATATATACATATATTCATGTACATATATATGAACGCATAGAACACACAACATACATATAGATGCATGTGCATATATAGGTTTCTATGCATAAATATATATAGAACACATGTAAGCATGTACATATTGACATGCTTCATATATAAATGTGTGTATACATATGTAGTTATAAACACCCATGGCTACATTATCTACATACATGTGCATGTACACACGTATGAACAATGTGTGCTTGGAAGTCCCAGATATATGTCAGAGGTCATACTCTCAGTGTTCAGCAAGGGCTCCCAGGCCTTCTCACTGTATCTAGGTCATCACCCGTGGAGCCTCTGAGGCCGATGCCCCTGTTAGAGGTCACCTGTGGCATCCTGGTCTCCTGGCCTCTGCCCAGCACCCTATCAGCCCACTACTTCGTCTGCTGCAGCCCACCTTGGGCCACGGTATTGGCGTGAGCAGTGCCCACTCGGTTGCTCCTGACTTTGGAGGAGGCCCAGCACAAAGCGGTTTGGGTGCTGAGCAATTAACAGGCAGGCTCTTCAGGTTCTTCAAGGACATTTCCTCCCAAGCAGGGCAGGGGCAGGGTAAGGCTAGTCAGTATGCACTTTCCTGTTCCACCCTCAGGCCTGAGGTTGAGTCCCCTTGTAAGATGACCTCGCTCAGAGTCCTTCTGAAACCTCTCACTGCAGGGTGCCCTTAATTGTGCTGCATCTGCCCCAATTCCCTCCATACCCACACCAAGCCACAGGCCTCCACATAGGCCCTCAGGTGTCTGAACCCTAAATTAAAATCTGGTGTTGCCCTTTTCCTAAAAGATACCTTAGCTCCACTTCAATAGCAAATGGAAGTCATATCTTGCAGAGATAAGGGGGAGAATAGAAACAAAGAACGCAAGGTGGCTAGCATAGCGTGTGGCGTGATGAATGAAGGGTGGCATTGCTGTCCTTGTGTCACAGCTGAAGAAACAGAGAGGTGAGTGAACTTGCCCGATGTCACCCAGCTGAGAACTGGGATACTGGAGTCAACCTCAAGTTTGCCCCTCTGACTTGGAAGCCCGTGGTCTTTCTTCTGCAGGGCCTCTTGGGGCAGCAGCAGAGCTGGGAGAGGCACTTGCTCTTTAGGCTCTGGGCCCAGTGTTCTTTGTACAGTACCAGGGCCTCTCTGAGTGAAAATCTGAAGACACAAGCTCAAAGCCTGCAGGGCCCAGGGAGCTGCCGTTGTTGGTGAACTGGCACTGGGGCCAGCTCCAGGAGGTGCGGGAGCCTGGCCAGCTGGAGGAGAACACCCCCCACCTAAAGGGGCATCTGCTCCTCTGCCCAGCCTGTGGTTCCCCTGGGAGTGAAGGCCCAGCGTTGCAAGATCTTAATGGAAGTCACACGTTGGAGATTTTAGGTAAAATTAGCCAAGGGCTAATTCCCAGCAGCTAATTCAAATTGTGTGTGTGTGTGTGTGTGTGTATTCCTATTATACTAGCTAAAGAAAACACATATGTTAGTAGGATCTTGTTGGCAAGCTGCCAGTTTGCCTCCTCTGCTATAAACTGTTCTACAATTTAAGGGAGGTATTTTGGTTAATTTTTGTTTGTTTGTTTTGCAGATGAATCTGACAAACCTACCTCAGTTACCCCAGAACTCCTATGACCGGCTTTAAGCTCTGGTCAGGGAAACAGAGGCAAAAGCAGCCTGAGAATTACTGAGGAAGACTGGACGGAAACCAGGGTCAGGTGGGGCTCATGGCTTTTTGAACCCCTGAGTCTCCAGCTCACCTGTAGAGTGAGCTCTTTGTTTGAGCAAGACGCAAGCTTTGTATCCTCATCCATAGCCCAGGAAAGCACCAACTTATAAGGTCAAAGAGAAGGCTGCAGGTTTGTGTCTGGAAAGAACCTAGGGTAGTTCCTGGGACAAATCAGACTCTAAATGGCAGCTGTAGGCCTGGCTGCTTGATTTATGTGTCCCAGCACAAGAAAGAAATGTGAGGTTGCTTGTTCAAAACTTGTTAAGAATTTCAGTACAGTGACAGAAAAGTATTAAATGGAGTCAGGAGCCCTTCTAAACACAGGCCCTGTGTGACTCTATAGCTTATATGCCCACAAAGCCAGCCCTGGGTGGCCATCATTATTAGCTAGCAGAGACAATATTTGTTGAGCAACTACTGTGTGCTGGGCACCATGCTAAGTGCTTGCCATGGTTTTATGTAATCCTTGCTATAGGCTTAAGCATGGATATAGCTATTATTCTCACTTAACAGGTAAGGAGAATGAGGCACAGAAAGGTTGAGTCATTTGTTCAAGATCACACAGCTGGCGAGTGGCAGAGTTGGATTTGACCCAGGCAGTCTCGCCCATAAACCCATGTTAGTAACCACTGGGCTATATTATACCGTTCTTATGATTGTCATTATCATTATCATCATCATTGTCTTCTTCTGAACTTAAACAGGGAGCTTGGTCTGACTAGGATGGAGCACCCAGAGACTCCCTGAGCCAGGCCCAGAGATCAGGCCCAGGAATCTTATTCCCAAAGCCAGGGAGGCTAGGTACAGGAGGCAGGACGCAGTCCTCCCTGGAGATGCTGCCTGTGAGGTGCTTACATTAGGAGGTCGGCACCCAAAAAAGCAAGGAGAAGAGAGTTTAAATGAGGACACTCTTGCTATTCATTAAACCAAGGAGAGGCCTCTGCAGGACTGAAAGCACACGGCTTTATTCTTTATTCTCTGTTCCAAAGTCTGGATCAGAGCTAATCAACCGCAAAGCGATTACTCACATTACACAGCTTCAGGCTGACTCAGCACCTTCAGAACCCAGGTTGGATAACAGATCCTCTCTTCCCACTGTCCTGTAGAGATTCCAGGCAGCAGGGGCCACCCCATTTGATATGAGACTGCAGCAAATTCTCCTGAGATCAGACAGGTGCCTGACCCTGACTAGGGAGTATTTTTCCTCTGTGTTTTCTCTTTTTGGCACGGAGAAGTAAACTGCCATCTTTTTCTTTTTTTCTTTTCTTTTCTTTTTCTTTCTTTTATTTGAGACAGAGTCTCACTCTGTTGCCCAGTCTGGAGTACAGCGGCACAATCTGGGCTCACTGCAACCTCCACCTCCCAGGTTCAAGCAATTCTACTGCCTCAGCCTCCCGAGTAGCTGGGATTACAGGGGCATGCTGCCATGCCCAGCTAATATTTTGTACTTTAGTAGAGACGGGGTTTCAGTGTGTTGCCCAAGCTGGTCTCAAACTCCTGGGCTCAGACAATCCACCCACCTCAGCCTCCCAAAGTGCTGGGATTACAGGTGTGAGCCACTGCTCCCAGGCCCCATCTTTTTCAAATACTCTCATGAATTCAAGATTTTAAGTTGAAAGCGGGAGGATAATGTATCAGCAATATTTTTGAAAATGTTGAAAAGAAAAAATGTACCCCAATTTCAATGATTCTCAGAGCAATAATTTAATTTCTTACCTATGAAATAGGAATTATGGTAATGATGATGATGATGATCGTAACAGCTAACTTATATTGAGCCCTCACAATGTCCCAGGCACTTTGCTAAATGCTTGACTCAAATTATCTGACACACGCATTCCTAGTTGACATAGGTGTGATCCTGCTGTCCAAAACACTTACAATCTTTTTTCAAGATGCACTAAATTATAGCTCAGGCAATTTACATGCAATTAATTTCCTTAATGGAATGTTTATGGTTAGATAATAGAACCATGGTATAGATGAGTGGCAATTCATTGAGCTCCTCTGCTCGAGTTGGATCTTGCCTGTTCTAAGAGGGGTGTGGTGGGGGATGTGGAAAGGAAGGTGAAGGGGAAGCAGGGCTGGGAAGCTGACCGCTGCCAGTGACCCCCCCTTGTTTCCCTCTGTATCTCCCTCACTAAGCTTGCTCCCTCACTAAGCTCCAAACACAGTACTCCTTTTGTCTTTCTTTGTTCCTTAAATTCTCTGTGCTCTATCCCTCTCCAGGGCCTTTGCAAGTGCTGTTCAACCCCTTTCTCTTCTGTGTGCCTGGGTAGCATCCACACATCCTTCCGGCCTGCAGCTTGGTGTCATGTTCTTGGGAAGCCCTCTCAGACCCTGGGTCCTGGTTGTGCTGTGCAGCCTTCTTCCTATCGCTTGCCAAAGCTGCACTTGAACATTCGTTTCGGATCTTATTTGTTAGTGCCTCCCATGCATTAGACTCTTCACACCACAAGGACAGAGAGCATGCCTATCTTATTCCTATTTATTATCATTGCATCCCTACCACCTAACACATAGTATGGATTCAATAAGTGCTTGTTGAAGGAGTGAATAAGTAGAAAGATGTGTTCAGGTAGCACATATGCAACAGCTCTGTGAATGTGGGTGATGAATTCATGCTGAGCTGGACCCTAGTCCATACCTGGGGAAAGGGGATAGGGTGTCACGGCCTCAGCCAGGGGTCAGATAGGCACACTGGATACTTTGTAGGTTGATGGCAGCATCATCGAGTCTGATCTTCCAGGGTGTGGGGCTGGCCTTTATGTGGACTGGATTTGAAGCTGGAATAAAGAGGAACTGAGAGAGCCAGGCAGGTGCGAGGCAAATGCCCCTTCACTGGCCCAGAATTTTCTCCCCTGCCCGAAGCAGAAACACTGGGCCCTCAAGATCTAGACCAAGAGGTGGTAAACAGTCTCTAAAGGTCCAGATGGTAAATATCTCAGGCTTTGTGGGCCTTATGGCCTGTGTTGCAACTATTCAACTTACACCATCATAGCACAAAAGCAGCCGTAGACAATGCATCGGCCAATGAGTCTGGCTGTGTTCCAATAAATATTTATTTATTGACATTTGAATTTCACATCTTCATGAATCATAATTTATTTTTTAATTTTTTTCTCTCAACCATTAAACGACGTTAAGGCCGGGCACAGTGGCTCACGCCTGTAATCCCAGCACTTTGGGAGGCCGAGGCAGGTGGATCACGAGGTCAGGAGTTGGAGACCAGCCTGGCCAATATAGTGAAACCCCATCTCTACTAAAAATACAAAAAAATTAGCCAGATGTGGTGGCATGCGCCTATAGTCCCAGATACTCGGGAGGCTGAGGCAAGAGAATTGCTTGAAACCGGGAGGCGGAGGCTGCAGTGAGCCAAGACCATGCCATTGCACTCCAGCCTGGGCGACAGAGTGAGACTCTGTCCCAAAAAAAAAAAAAAAAAAAAAAAAAAAAAAAAGACGTTAAAATGATTATTAGCTGGTTGGTTGCACAAAAAAACAGGTGACCTGCTGGATTTGGCTCACCGGCTAGGCTCTGCCGACCCTGGTCTATACTCTTGCTCCATGTCTCTGTTTTCTCTGCCATTTCACTTTAGAAGATGCTTTTTTAGGTCAGCCAGGTCCAGGTCCTCAGGTGCCATTTCCTCCTTGTGAGATCTAGGGGGTGTCATTTGATCTCTTGGGGCCTGGGCATTTAGGGGTTGGGTTAGATAAGTTCCAAGCTGAGGCTTTCTGTTAATGGTTGGGTGACGCTGATGTCTGGAGACTCCTGCTGGGGTCTCTCCACTCCATACTGGGGTTTCTTCTGGGGAGGTTCTGCATGGATTTGAGAAAAACTCTGGACATCAGAGCGAGACCACCATGTAGGAAGCCACCAGTGGATAGCGAGGCAGATTCCAGATTCCTGAGCTGTGGGTGCCACTGGGGGTCTTGTTCATTGAAAGAACCTCCAATTCACACTTGGAATTGGACCTGAGCCACGCATTCATTCATTTTCCTTCCAGAAAACTGTGCAAGATTACGGGAATCCATCCTTATCTTCAAACACTCTGCTGTTGTGAAATAAGGACTTGATTTCCATCAAGAAGGAAGAGGTGAGGCTTGAGTGGGGCAAGGGACGTGGGACATGTTACCACAAGTAATGTGTGGGCAAAGATCACAGCTCACAGCTGATTTGTAAAACAAAAAGCCTGGCCAACCTGCTTTTTGTCTTATTACCTTATTCTTTGTAAATGACCCAAGTATATACCCAACCCGGAAACCGGGGCTTACTCAGGCCTTCCATCCTTTCTCCCACACACACCATTAATCCTGTCGATCTGTGCGTTTTTCCCAGGACCACTTGCGAGTGTGTGACCTTTCTTGGACTCCAACCCACACTTCCTTCACCCAGCACTTTACCTTCCCGCACCTGGACCAAATTTGACCTAAAATCATTGATCATCGTCCTGCCTTTAGACACTTTCTAATTTTCAGGTCATGATACATGTTGTTGTTGTGTGTTTGTTTTGTTTTATTTTCCAGAAAGGAAAATCTGATTGTATCAGT